>NC_000023.11:142327871-143027116 GCF_000001405.40 Homo sapiens
AGCTAAAGTCTCCTATAGGAACAAGTCAAGCCTGGGGGATGGGCATCCCTGGCCATACTTCACTACAGAGGCTCCTGCACCAAAGCCCCTGGGCTCTGCATCAGCTGGAGCCCCTACCGCTTCTCTAAACAGCTCTTCCTGCCATCTCAAATATCAGTGGTGGTCATGGGGTCTCCTCCTGCCGGGATTCCAGAGTGGTGATAGCAGGTTGCTTCTTGTCTGCTCACTCACTCCTTCCCCAGGAGTCACTGGGGGCCAGGAACAAGTCCTGGTGTGTGGTGGCCCTGCACAGATTTTTCAGCTTCCTCCCTGATATGGTTTGGCTCTGCGTCCCCACCAACATCTCATCTTGAATTGTAACCCTCATAATCCCCATGTGTTGAAGGCGAGATCTAGTGGGAGGTGATCGGATCATGGGGGCAGTTTCCCTCATGCTGTTCTCGTGATAGTGAGTGAATTCTCATGAGATCTGATGGTTTTATAAGTGTTTGACAGTTCCACCTACATGCACTCATACTCTCTTCTGCCACCTTGTGAAGAAGGTGCCTGCTTCCCCTTCCTACATGATTGTAAGTTTCATGAGGCTTCCCCAGCCATATGGAACTGTGAGTCAATTAAACCTCCTTTGTTTATAAATTACCCTGTATGGGGTACTATCTTTATAGCAGTGTGAGAATGGACTAATACACCCCCCTTAGGCCCAGCGTGTGCGTCTTCCCTCTATCCACTCTCAATGCCTTCCCTCTGAAGATCTGCAAGGAGTGTGCCAGTCTTCCCGATGTGCCAGTCCCTTGGTGGCATATGTTTCTCCTAGCTACATCTATTTGGCCATCTTGCCCCTGTTTTGCTTTCTCATCTTTTTGATATTTCTACAAATGTGTCAATTATGCCTTCTATGTTCTTATCCAACCAATTGAAGAAAACAGCAAGCAAGGTAAATTCCAACAGAGGTTTGCAGCATAATACTGTATACTTTTCCCCACGTTGATATCTGTAGTTAAATTGCACACCTTGGATACACTTGTTAACACAGGTACTGATCCACCTAATTGTCCTAGCTTTTTGTTCAGTTTCCTTGTTGCCTGCAGGGGTCTCATGACAGCCCGTGTCAGATTCTAGGATTGGGCTGATCTCTGCAGATGGTGTCTTTGCATCGTTTGACTGAAGGGGTTCAGTGTTTATGGATCTTAAAATATGGGCCCTTTCTTGGGATCTGGAGAGGCTATGGCCATGAATTAGTCCTAGGCATCCCAAAAGGAGTTTGGTTTGTTCTAGAAAATACCAGAAAAAAAGGATTTGATCTGAAACGGGCTTATAAAAGAATATGTGGATGACCTCTGGCAACTAGTGTTGGTGCCTTTTATCCTTAGTTTTATTATTTTTTTCTGAAATCTCTTATACCAATTTATGTCATGTTATAACCTTATTCCATGCTGTGTTGGATAAATTATGTGGAAGAGAGGCCCACCTGGAACTAAATAATGAAATATAGTATTGTTAGCTTTGTGAAGCCAACCTCTGAATGATTCTTTCTGTATTCACATAATACAGAATTCACAGAATAGATTCTCATTTAAGAGTTGGATTCATTTATTTAATTTATTAAGAAGCTTCACCAGTTTTCTCTAGGAAGATGCTAAGTGGGCTAGTACTACCTTTCATGAGCTCTGATGTTAGTCTGGAAGCAGTGATGACCTAAGGTGAATGGTTATCAGCATTCGAGTGGAGAATATGACTTCTCATTTTAAACACCTCCCATTTTCTGATAGCATAGACGTACAAATATGTCAGAAACCATTTATACTCATCATACAACAACTGAAATTCCTGAGAGTGCATGACAAGAGGCCTATGAAGGTAATTATTATTTTTTAATTCTCTTTAACCCCTTGATCACATATGTCAATATTGTTCATTGTCAGAAATTTCAGGTCCCTGGAACTTCTGCTGTTTCAAAAAAAGTGAGAGCCCCAAGAGAAACAGGGAATGAACTCAAGATCTTGGTATGAATCCATTTTTATTGTTAAAGAAAATGATGGATGTGTCTGGTGCCAATCCTTGAAGTCATACTACAGTATAAAAGTGATTGTTTGGCTATTAGAAAAACTAATAATATAAATCCCCATGCAGTCAAATTCAAGTAAATCTTGATTTGTGGGGCAAAATAACACATATAATTTACCATTTCTCATTGTATTTAGTTAATCGTATACTTCACCCTATTGTCTGGAGTTCACTGCAGTAATTGCCAATTTTAGTACATCCTTTAGATGCCATGAGGAACAGGTGCAGCTTTTTAAATTGTTCACAGTCCCATTTATTACCCTACATTGGAAAATTAATTGAGTCATATTTGAATACTTACTCACTCCAGTTTGCATGCAGATTGTTGAAAATTCTCTTTACATCTACAAGAAACTAACACCATTCTTGTGTTTGCCATCTTTCCCTCTTTCTCTCTCTCTTCTCCTTCTGTCTCTCATACTTTTCTGGTGCCTGTACTTCTGTGCCCATTTTTCTCTGCACTGAAATAATAAATGCTTCTGTAGTTTTCAAAGCTCTACAGGTGATTCTGATACTCAGACAACGTGTATAACCCTTAGATTAATCTGTTAACCAGGCTTAGTGTTAACCAGGCTTACGGATGATATATTCTATTAGGTGTAGTAAGACATGTATGTTCTTTTAATCACATATTTAATTGTATTTTTATCTCCAATTGTATCTTGTTGAAATCTATTAGCTGTAAGAGCGATACTCCCTTATGTATTAATTCATAAATTCAGTTGATTGTGTATCTACTATTTATTAAACACTATGATACTATACTCCATGTCCCTTCTATTATTAGCTCTGTTATTCTTGATTTTGTTTTAGCAGTTTTATTGACTTTTCTATGAAAATGGAACTCTGAACTCCTATGTTCCTGTCTCTTTTCTCTAATTCTTTCTAATTCCAATTCGTTAATCTGCACCAGATTCTCAATTTCTCCCTTGGCTTGAGAGTTTGATTGTTTTTCTTTCCCATACACTATATATTGACTCAAGTTAGGCTTACCATTGCAGCTGTAAATTTAGAATCTTAACTCTGGAGAAGAACTCAGTTCAAAAACAGTTTTGGGAGCCAGTCACATAATAAAAAACTTACATGAGAATTTAAAATACACTAATAACTGTGTTTTCTCATTTGACATTCTGGAAAAGTCTTATTTTGTAGGTAAAGAAACTGAGATTCACAGAAATTAAGTGACTCTCTCCACCTTACTGTTTTGCCTCACACCCGAGAGCTCTGGGTGAGTAGCAAAACTCTGAAACCTTAGTTGTCTATCTTATATTCCTTCTGCCAGACTATAGAACACAATAATCTTTCTAGAGATAAACTACTCAAATTTAATGGATATGTAGATCCCCTGGGGATCTTGCAAAATGTAAATTCTGGCACAGTATGTCTGGCGTTGCACCTGAGATTTTTCATTTTTAACAAGCTACCAAGTGATGTTCATGCTGCTGGTCTGCAGACCTCACTTTGAGTAGCAAGACTTGAATATTCCGGGTGGTATTATTACTATATAACAGGACTTATAGAAACAAGTCTTCTTCCCTTCCTTCATTGGTAAATTCTGCTTTGGGACTAAGGAAGAGCTGATGGAAACATAACTAAGGTCTTTGTTTATTTGAGGTCTGGAGTGCTGCTAGCTTGTCAGGAGCAGCTTAGTCCAATAGCCTGATTGTGTGTCCTTGTCTTCTCCCAGTGAAGAGAAGCGATCAATCTCTCGCTCTTATTCACTCTACCATTTCTGATTGTGTACATGACAACAAATGCATAATTAAATCCCTTCCATTTTATTTTACCTTTGTCCTCCAAAACCCTTTTGATCTGAAATAAATGCATCACTGGGATTTTATGTTCTGTAGCAGCAGCAAGCAAGGATTCAACAGAGCCAGGAAATGAAGCCTCTACTATGCATTACTTAGGTAATTACTCAAGCTCAAAGCAAGGTATCTTGATATTTTGTCACCTGAATGACAGCTCCTTAAATTCTCCAATTCTAAGAACAAAATTGGTCCCAGGGTCAGAGATAGGACCAAGCATAGATATGAGATCAAATGGTTTGACAGTGTAGAGAAAGAAGCTGCAGGAACAGAGATCTGTTGGAGTGTTACAGAGTCTAGAGAGGTTATCATCTTGTATTGTTCATTGAAATAAACTCCAAAGCTTATTTAAAATTCAGAATATTAGATCTCACTTCCAGAAAATCAGAATCAGTAGGTATAGGGTGGGGTTCATAAATATGCATCTTTTAAAAGCACAACTGCTATTCTGATGCATACTGTGGAGCCCACACTTTGAGAAAAACTGGTATTCATGCAATATTCAAAGGCCAATATTTTACAGCATTTGAAAGGAATGTTCAGCAGTTACAGAATAGCCCTATGTAAGTAAAGTACTATCTTAAGTATAAGACATCCCCCTCCTCAATCAAAAATTACTTTCATTCAGTGTTAATGGAAACAGATTTGTTCAAGCACCAGTGGATATATATGTTAAGGAATGGTGACTATAGCAGCATAAAATAGCGGATCTTTTTACTTGAAACCAGCCCTCTTCCACTCTAAAAAAATGGGATTTTTTTCAAGATGGCATCTTGGAGGCTTTTGGCATGCCTCAGCCATTTGGAAATAGCAAAAGAGTGCCTAAAGATCAACTTTGTGAGTTTTAATTCAAGAAGAAAAATGGGAGTACAATAGAAGAGAAAAAGACACTCGGATCCCAGGGAAGAGCATACCGGCAAACAGCTCCCATGGCAGCATCCAGCTGATAAAAGTGAGTGAAGCCCCAGTACGTGAGACAGGCTGAGACCCTCCCTCTTTGACTCACCTTTCCACTGGAGGTCTGAGAAACCCAGGCTGAGGGAGAACACTTTATTTCTCCCAAGCCATGGAGCTAACTTGGGAGAGATTGGGGATGCAGAGAAGGAAGAACACTAGGAAAAGCTGCAGGCATTTTTCCTAGACCCAGGACTGAAAGCAGGATGTCATTTTTAATCCAGGTTCATACAAAGTCAGTTATACTTTAGTAACCTGGCACCATGGCCACGCAGGCATTTTCACCTCAGACCAGAGATTGGAGCTCTCTCTCTCGAGCAGAGTGGGGACCTTCACAACCATCACTGGGTGGTGATTATGGAAGGTGCCCCAACAGAATGCACTGGAATTGTGATCTCCCCCATTGAACATCTGGGGCAGGAGGAGAGCTGCTGCTTTCTCCTGGGTGATGAGACTTGAAAACAGAGCCAGCTTGGCAACCTGGAATCAGCCTATGTGTGTCATTGTCAGGTACCCCAGCCCTGTCTTCTACATACCCAGGCATGTCTCCAGACATTTGGGCATCCACTCACTTCAATTTACACCCTGAGCCACCCCCATCCCACTACAGATATCCTGGTGTGGGGAGCTCTCTCCACTGCATGACCGGGCAGTCAAAGCTCTTGCTCTCCTAGATCAGCAGCCTGCATCTGCAAACCTTCTGTAGTACAGATCATGGTGCAGTGGGGCCCTCAATGATCTACACAAGGGCAGATCTCCAGGCATTTGGAGCACCCGCTCCCATGTATTAGCAGCCTGAATCACCCTTACCTTTTCTGCGTAGGGATCTGGGTGCAGGGGGTGCCTCCTCTGCTCTACACTCAGGCAAATCTCCAGACAGTTGGAGTACCTGCTCACCTGGATCAGCAGCCTGAGCCACCCCACCTTTTCTGTGCAGAGATTGTGGCAAAGGGGGTCCGCTACACTCCATGACCTGGCAGATTTCCAGGCATCTGCAGCACTCACTCCCCTGGAGTGGAAGATTAGGCTGTCCCCAGTTCCTGTGCAGAGAACTTGGGACTAAAGAGGTTTCCAAGCCCCATGCCTGGGCACACCAATGGGCACTTGATGGGAGCCCTCTGGAAGCCCCTCAACACTGGAGGTTGGGCTGAACTATTGAGGGACATGTGGGTGTGCCTGCTCAGTCTGGCTACCCCACCCATCTTAGACCGCTATCCTGGGCTGAGCAGAGAGCTCAGAACCCTGTGCACTCCACAGATCAGCCCATTGCCTGAGACAACAGAGAGCTTCTTCCAGCAAATAAGGATTAGAAATACAACCATCCGTTTTGGACACAGCTGGCTCGTACCTAAAAGTGTCATCTACCAACCTGTGAGTTGCACCACACAGCCTGATTAAAAAAAAAAAGAAAGAAAAAAAAAAAAAACACACCTGTGGAAAAAAGGTGCATAAGGCAAAAGAAGCAAAACCAAAATACCCTACCTAACATTCTCTACAGTCATGTCCCCTAGGGAAGAAAGAAAGGGAAATGAAAAAAATTCCTATCTGCACAAAAATAAGTACAAAAACTGTAAGTGTCAGGGTCTCCAGATGAGAAGGAGCCAGGGCAAGAATTATGGTAACATAAAAGATCTGAATGTTTTGACACCACTGAAGGATCACGCTAGCTCTCCTGCAATAATCCCAAACCAAAATAGAAACTCATAAATGACAGATAAAGACATAACAACATGTATTGCAAGGAAGCTCAATGAGATCCAAGACAAGGTTGAAAATCAATACAAAGAAGAGTGTAAACCAATCAAGGAAATGAGGGAAGAAATAAACATCTTAAAAAGAAATCATTCAGAGCTTCTGGGGTTGAAAAACTCACTTAAGGCATTTCGAAATATAACTGAAAAGTTTATCAGTAGACCAGATGAAGCAGAAAAAAGAATTTCAGAGCTTAAATAACAGTCTTTCAAACTAACACAGTCAGACAAAAGTAAAGAAATAGATATTTTTTTAAATGAACAAAGTCTTCAAGAAATATGGAATTATGTAAAGCAACCAAACCTATGATTAGTGGCATTTCTGAGAGACAAGGAAAAAAAGAAAATGACCTGTAAAACATACATGTGTTTCTACAGGATAATTCAATCAAATTTCTGCCATCTTGGTAGAGAAGTAGACATCCAGATAAAAGAAGTTCAGAGAAAATTTGCTACATACTATACACAACAGATATCACCAAGTCATATAGTCATCAGGCTGTTCAAGGTCAACACTAAGGAAATTTTCTTAAAAGCAGATAGAGAGAAAGGTCAGATCATGTACAAGGGGAGCCCCTACCAAGCCAATAGCAGAGTTGTCAGCAGAAATCTAACTAGCCAGAAGAGGTTGGGGGCCTACCTTTGGCATTTTAAAGAAAATAAATACCAATCGAGAATTAAATATCCCACCAAACTAAGCTTCATAAGTAAAGGGGGAATAAGAGCTTTTCTCGACAAGTAATTGCTAAGAGAATTTTTACCACTAAAGCAACCTTACAAGATAACCTAAAGAGAGTCCTAAACATGGAAACAAAAGAACAATATCTGCTACCGCAAGAACACACTTAAGCACATCGTTCATAAACCTATGAAGCAATTACACAATAGAAACTAAAAAGCAACCAGCTAACAATTTTATGATAGGATCAAAACCTCACATATCAATATTAACCTTGAATGTAAACAGTCTAAATGACCCACACAGAGTAGAAAGTCGGATAAAAACAAAATAAGACCCGTCCATCTGCTGACTTCTTGAGACCCATCTCACATGAAATGATACACATAGGCTCGTGGTAAAACGTTGGAAATAGATCTACCATGCAAACGGAAAACAAAATAAACAAGAGTCACTATTCTTATATCAGATAAAACAGATCTTAAACCAACAATGGAAAAAAGGCACAAGGAAGGGCACTAAATAATGATAAATGGATCAATTAAGCAGGAAGACCTAACTATTCTAAATATACACATACCCAATATCGGAGCACCCAGATTCATAAAACTCGTACTTCTAGACTTATGAAAAGACTTAGACAGTCACACAATAATAGTGGGAAACTTCAATACCTTACCGATAGTGTTAGACAGGTTATTGAGGCAGAAAGCTAACAAATAAATTCTGGACTTAAATTTGACCCTCGACTAATTGGACCTGGTATATACCTACAGAATACTTCACTCATCAACCACAGAATATACATTCTCCTCATCTGCATATAGAACATACTGTAAGATCAACCGCATGCTCAGCCATAAAACAAATCTCAATAAATTCAATAAAAATTCATATTAGACATACAGACTGCAGTGGAATGAAAATAGAAACCAATACCAAGAAACTTTCTCAAAACCGTGTAATTATCATGAAAATTAAACAACTGGCCCCTGTATGACTTTTGGGTAAATGACAAAAGTAAGACAGAAAAGTTTATTTTAAAAATTATTTGAAATAAATGAAAACAGACACAACAAACCAAATATCTCTGGAATGCAGCAAAAGCAGTGTTAAGAGGAAAGTTTATTGTGCTAAACACCTACATGAAGAAGTTAGACAGATCTCAAATTAACAATCTAACATCACACCTGGAGAAACTAGAAAAACAAGAACAAACTGACCCACAGGCTAGTAAAAGAAAATAAATAATTAAAATCCAAGCAAAGCTGAATGATATTGAGACTCAAAAATCTATCCAAAGGATGAACCAAACCAAAAGTTGGTTCTTTAAAAGGAAAATCAAGATTGATAGACCACTAGATTAACAAAGAAAAAAGAGATAAGATCCAAATAAGCACAATTAGAAATGACAAAGATGATGTTACAACTGATTGCACAAAAATACAAAAGATTTTCAAAGAATATTATGAACACTTCTATGCACACAAACCAGAAAATCTAGAGGAAATGGATAAATTCCTGGAAACCCAAGACCTCTCAAAATTGAATCAGGAAGAAATTGAAACCCTGAAGAGACCAATATTAAGTTTCAAAATTAAATCAGTAGTAATAATTTAAAAACTACCCATCAAAAGAAAAACCTGGACAAGATGAATTCACAGCCCAATTCTACCAAACATACAGTGAAGAGCTGATATCAATTCTGCAAAAACTATTCCAAAAAGTTGAGAAGCAGAGATTCTTCCCTAACTCATTCTATGAAGCCAGCACCACCCTAATACTAAAACCTGGCAAAGAGACAATTAAAAAATGAAAACTACAGGCCAATATCCCTGATTAACATTTACACAAAAAATCGTCAACAAAATACAAACCAAATCCAGCAGCACATCAAAAAGTTAATTCACCACAATCAAGTAGGCTTTATTCCTGGGATGCAGGGTTGGTTCAACATATGCAAATCAATAAATGTGATTCACCACATAAACAGAATTGAAAACAAAACCATATGATTGTCTCAATAGAAGCAGAAAAGGCTTTTGACAAAATCCAACACCCCGTCATGATAAAAACGCTCAACAAACTAGGCATTGAGGGAACATACTTCAAAATAATGAGAGCCATCTATGATGAATGCACAGCCAACATCATACTGAATCGGCAAATACTAGAGGCATTGCTCTTAAAAACAGGAACAAGCTGAATGTATTGGCTCATGCTTGTAAACGTACCACTTCAGGTAGCCAAAGTGGGAGGATCACACGAGCCCGGGAGTTCAAGAACAGCCTGTTCAACATAATGAGACCTCTAGCTCTACAAAAACTAAAAACTAAAAAATTAGCCAGTTGCGGTGGCATGTGCCTTTGGTCCAAGCTACTCAGGACTCTGAGATGGGAGGATCACTTGACCTGGGAGGTTGAGGCTGCAGTGAGCCATGATTACACCACTGCAATCCAGTCTGGATGATAGACTGACACCATGTCTCAAAAAAAAAAAGAGAGGATAGCAACAAGACAATGATTCCCACTCTCACCACTCCTATTCAACATAGTACTGGAAGTCTTTGCCAGAGTATCAGGCAAGAAAAATAAATAAAAGGCATCCAAATTGAAAAAGAAGAAGTGAAATTATCTCTCTTCACAGGTGATGTGATTCCATATCTAAAAAAGCTCTGAGGACTCCGCAAAAAGGCTTTTGGAGCTGACAAATGATGGCAGTAAAGTTTTAGGATACAAAAATCAATGTACAAAAATCAGTAGCATTTCTATACACTAATAACGTTCAAGCTGAAAGTGAAATCAAGAACATAATCCCATTTACAATAACCACAATAAAATAAAATACCTGGGAAGACATCTAACCGAGAAGTTGAAAGGTCTCTAAAAGGAAAATGACATAATACTGCTGAAATAAATTATAGATGACACAAACGAATGGAAAAACATTCAGTGCTCTTGGATCAGAAGAATCAGTATCGTTAAAATACGAAAACTGAGGGAGGAGCCAAGATGGCCGAATAGGAACAGCTCCGGTCTACAGCTCCCAGCATGAGCAACGCAGAAGACGGGTGATTTCTGCATTTCCATCTGAGGTACCGGGTTCATCTCACTAGGGAGTGCCAGACAGTGGGCACAGGCCAGTGGGTGCACGCACCGTGCGCGAGCCGAAGCAGGGCGAGGCATTGCCTCACCTGGGAAGCGCAAGGGGTCAGGGAGTTCCCTTTCCTAGTCAAAGAAAGGGGTGACGGACGCACCTGGAAAATCAGGTCACTCCCACCCAAATACTGCGCTTTTCTGACTGACTTAAAAAACGGCGCACCACGAGATTATATCCCACACCTGGCTCGGAGGGTCCTACGCCCACGGAATCTCGCTGATTGCTAGCACAGCAGTCTGAGATCAAACTGCAAGGCAGCAGCGAGGCTGGGGGAGGGGCGCCCGCCATTGCCCAGGCTTGATTAGGTAAACAAAGCAGCGGGAAGCTAGAACTGGGTGGAGCCCACCACAGCTCAAGGAGGCCTGCCTGCCTCTGTAGGCTCCACCTCTGGGGGCAGGGCACAGACAAACCAAAAGACAGCAGTAACCTCTGCAGACTTAAATGTCCCTGTCTGACAGCTTTGAAGAGAGCAGTGGCTCTCCCAGCACGCAGCTGGAGATCTGAGAACCGGCAGACTGCCTCCTCAAGTGGGTTCCTGACCCCTGACCCCCGAGCAGCCTAACTGGGAGGCACCCCCCAGCAGGAGCACACTGACACCTCACACGGCAGGGTATTCCAACAGACCTGCAGCTGAGGGTCCTGTCTCTTAGAAGGAAAACTAACAAACAGAAAGGACATCCACACCGAAAACCCATCTGTACATCACCATCATCAAAGACCAAAAGTAGATAAAACCACAAAGATGGGGAAAAAACAGAACAGAAAAACTGGAAACTCTAAAATGCAGAGCGTCTCTCCTCCTCCAAAGGAACGCAGTTCCTCACCAGCAACGGAACAAAGCTGGATGGAGAATGACTTTGACGAGCTGAGAGAAGAAGGCTTCAGACGATCAAATTACTCTGAGCTACGGGAGGACATTCAAACCAAAGGCAAAGAAGTTGAAAACTTTGAAAAAAATTTAGAAGAATGTATAACTAGAATAACCAATACAGAGAAGTGCTGAAAGGAGCTGATGGAGCTGAAAACCAAGGCTCGAGAACTACGTGAAGAATGCAGAAGCCTCAGGAGCCGATGCGATCAACTGGAAGAAAGGGTATCAGCAATGGAAGATGAAATGAATGAAATGAAGCGAAAAGGGAAGTTTAGAGAAAAAAGAATAAAAAGAAATGAGCAAAGCCTCCAAGAAATATGGGACTATGTGAAAAGACCAAATCTACGTCTGATTGGTGTACCTGAAAGTGATGGGGAGAATGGAACCAAGTTGGAAAACACTCTGCAGGATATTATCCAGGAGAACTTCCCCAATCTAGCAAGGCAGGCCAACGTTCAGATTCAGGAAATACAGAGAACACCACAAAGATACTCCTCGAGAAGAGCAACTCCAAGACACATAATTGTCAGATTCACCAAAGTTGAAATGAAGGAAAAAAAGTTAAGGGCAGCCAGAGAGAAAGGTCGGGTTACCCTCAAAGGGAAGCCCATCAGACTAACAGCGGATCTCTCGGCAGAAACCCTACAAGCCAGAAGAGAGTGGGGGCCAATATTCAACATTCTTAAAGAAAAGAATTTTCAACCCAGAATTTCATATCCAGCCAAACTAAGCTTCATAAGTGAAGGAGAAATAAAATACTTTACAGACAAGCAAATGCTGAGAGATTTTGTCACCACCAGGCCTGCCCTAAAAGAGCTCCTGAAGGAAGCGCTAAACATGGAAAGGAACAACCGGTACCAGCCGCTGCAAAATCATGCCAAAATGTAAAGACCATCGAGACTAGGAAGAAACTGCATCAACTAACGAGCAAAATCACCAGCTAACATCATAATGACAGGATCAAATTCACACATAACAATATTAACTTTAAATGTAAATGGACTAAATTCTCCAATTAAAAGACACAGACTGGCAAATTGGATAAAGAGTCAAGACCCATCAGTGTGCTGTATTCAGGAAACCCATCTCACGTGCAGAGACACACATAGGCTCAAAATAAAAGGATGGAGGAAGATCTACCAAGCAAATGGAAAACAAAAAAAGGCAGGGGTTGCAATCCTAGTCTCTGATAAAACAGACTTTAAACCAACGAAGATCAAAAGAGACAAAGAAGGCCATTACGTAATGGTAAAGGAATCAATTCAACAAGAAGAGCTAACTCTCCTAAATATATATGCACCCAATACAGGAGCACCCAGATTCATAAAGCAAGTCCTGAGTGACCTACAAAGAGACTTAGACTCCCACGCATTAATAATGGGAGACTTTAACACCCCACTGTCAACATTAGACAGATCAACGAGACAGAAAGTCAACAAGGATACCCAGGAATTGAACTCAGCTCTGCACCAAGCAGACCTAATAGACATCTACAGAACTCTCCACCCCAAATCAACAGAATATACATTTTTTTCAGCACCACAACACACCTATTCCAAAATTGACCACATACTTGGAAGTAAAGCTCTCCTCAGCAAATGTAAAAGAACAGAAATTATAACAAACTATCTCTCAGACCACAGTGCAATCAAACTAGAACTCAGGATTAAGAATCTCACTCAAAACCGCTCAACTACATGGAAACTGAACAACCTGCTCCTGAATGACTACTGGGTACATAACAAAATGAAGGCAGAAATAAAGATGTTCTTTGAAACCAACGAGAACAAAGACACAACATACCAGAATCTCTGGGAGGCATTCAAAGCAGTGTGTAGGGGGAAATTTATAGCACTAAATGCCCACAAGAGAAAGCAGGAAAGATCCAAAATTGACACCCTAACATCACAATTAAAAGAACTAGAAAAGCAAGGGCAAACATATTCAAAAGCTAGCAGAAGGCAAGAAATAACTAAAATCAGAGCAGAACTGAAGGAAATAGAGACACAAAAAACCCTTCAAAAAATCAATGAATCCAGGAGCTGGTTTTTTGAAACGATCAACAAAATTGATAGACCGCTAGCAAGACTAATAAAGAAAAAAAGAGAGAAGAATCAAATAGACGCAATAAAAAATGATAAAGGGGATATCACCACCGATCCCACAGAAATACAAACTACCATCAGAGAATACTACAAACACCTCTACGCAAATAAACTAGAAAATCTAGAAGAAATGGATAAATTCCTCGACACATACACTCTCCCAAGACTAAACCAGGAAGAAGTTGAATCTCTGAATAGACCAATAACAGGAGCTGAAATTGTGGCAATAATCAATAGTTTACCAACCAAAAAGAGTCCAGGACCAGATGGATTCACAGCCGAATTCTACCAGAGGTACAAGTAAGAACTGGAACAATTCCTTCTGAAACTATTCCAATCAATAGAAAAAGAGGGAATCCTCCCTAACTCATTTTATGAGGCCAGCATCATCCTGATACCAAAGCTGGGCAGAGACACAACCAAAAAAAGAGAATTTTAGACCAATATCCTTGATGAACATTGATGCAAAAATCCTCAATAAAATACTGGCAAACCGAATCCAGCAGCACATCAAAAAGCTTATCCACCATGATCAAGTGGGCTTCATCCCTGGGATGCAAGGCTGGTTCAATATACGCAAATCAATAAATGTAATCCAGCATATAAACAGAGCCAAAGACAAAAACCACATGATTATCTCAATAGATGCAGAAAAAGCCTTTGACAAAATTCAACAACCCTTCATGCTAAAAACTCTCAAGAAATTAGGTATTGATGGGACATATTTCAAAATAATAAGAGCTATCTATGACAAACCCACAGCCAATATCATACCGAATGGGCAAAAACTGGAAGCATTCCCTTTGAAAACTGGCACAAGACAGGGATGCCCTCTCTCACCACTCCTATTCAACATAGTGTTGGAAGTTCTGGCCAGGGCAATTAGGCAAGAGAAGGAAATAAAGGGTATCCAATTAGGAAAAGAGGAAGTCAAATTGTCCCTGTTTGCAGATGACATGATTCTCTATCTAGAAAACCCCATTGTCTCAGCCCAAAATCTCCTTAAGCTGATAAGCAACTTCAGCAAAGTCTCAGGATACAAAATCAATGTACAAAAATCACAAGCATTCTCATACACCAACAATAGACAAACAGAGAGCCAAATCATGAGTGAACTCCCATTCACAATTGCTTCAAAGAGAATAAAATATCTAGGAATCCAACTTACAAGGGATGTGAAGGACCTCTTCAAGGAGAACTACAAACCACTGCTCAAGGAAATAAAAGAGGATACAAACAAATGGAAGAACATTCCATGCTCATGGGTAGGAAGAATCAATATCGTGAAAATGGCCATACTGCCCAAGGTAATTTACAGATTCAATGCCATCCCCATCAAGCTACCAATGACTTTCTTCACAGAATTGGAAAAAACTACTTTAAAGTTCATATGGAACCAAAAAAGAGCCCGCATCACCAAGTCAATCCTAAGCCAAAAGAACAAAGCTGGAGGCATCACACTACCTGACTTCAAACTATACTACAAGATTACAGTAACCAAAACAGCATGGTACTGGTACCAAAACAGAGATATAGATCAATGGAACAGAACAGAGCCCTCAGAAATAATGCCGCATACCTACAACTATCTGATCTTTGACAAACCTGAGAAAAACAAGCAATGGGGAAAGGATTCCCTATTTAATAAATGGTGCTGGGAAAACTGGCTAGCCATATGTAGGAAGCTGAAACTGGATCCCTTCCTTACACCTTATACAAAAATCAATTCAAGATGGATTAAAGATTTAAACGTTAGACCTAAAACCATAAAAACCCTAGAAGAAAACCTAGGCATGACCTTTCAGGACATAGGCATGGGCAAGGACTTCATGTCCAAAACACCAAAAGCAATGGCAA
This sequence comes from Homo sapiens, assembly GCF_000001405.40. Taxonomy (NCBI): domain Eukaryota; kingdom Metazoa; phylum Chordata; class Mammalia; order Primates; family Hominidae; genus Homo; species Homo sapiens. Next base: position 142,343,120 of record NC_000023.11, read on the forward strand.
CAAAAGCCAAAATAGACAAATGGGATCTAATTAAACTAAAGAGCTTCTGCACAGCAAAAGAAACTACCATCAGAGTGAACAGGCAGCCTACAAAATGGGAGAAAATTTTCGCAACCTACTCATCTGACAAAGGGCTAATATCCAGAATCTACAATGAACTCAAACAAATTTACAAGAAAAAAACAAACAACCCCATCAAAAAGTGGGCGAAGGACATGAACAGACACTTCTCAAAAGAAGACATTTATGCAGCCAAAAAACACATGAAAAAATGCTCATCATCACTGGCCATCAGAGAAATGCAAATCAAAACCACAATGAGATACCATCTCACACTAGTTAGAATGGCAATCATTAAAAAGTCAGGAAACAACAGGTGCTGGAGAGGATGTGGAGAAATAGGAACACTTTTACACTGTTGGTGGGACTGTAAACTAGTTCATCCATTGTGGAAGTCAGTGTGGCGATTCCTCAGGGATCTAGAACTAGAAATACCATTTGACCCAGCCATCCCATTACTGGGTATATACCCAAATGACTATAAATCATGCTGCTATAAAGACACATGCACACGTATGTTTATTGCGGCATTATTCACAATAGCAAAGACTTGGAACCAACCCAAATGTCCAACAACGATAGACTGGATTAAGAAAATGTGGCACATATACACCATGGAATACTATGCAGCCATAAAAAATGATGAGTTCATGTCCTTTGTAGGGACATGGATGAAATTGGAAATCATCATTCTCAGTAAACTATCGCAAGAACAAAAAACCAAACACCGCATATTCTCACTCATAGGTGGGAATTGAACAATGAGATCACATGGACACAGGAAGGGGAATATCACACTCTGGGGACTGTGGTGGGGTGGGGGGACGGGGGAGGGATAGCATTGGGAGATATACCTAATGCTAGATGACGATTTAGTGGGTGCAGCGCACCAGCATGGCACATGTATACATTTGTAACTAACCTGCACAATGTGCACATGTACCCTAAAACTTAAAGTATAATAAAAAAAATACGAAAACTACCTAAAACAATCTACATATTTAGCATTACTCCTATCAAGCTACCAATTTCATTCTTCACAGAATTAGGGAAAAAAACCTATTCTGAAATTCATATGGAACCAAAAGAGAGCTCGAGTAGCCAAAGCAGTCTTAAGGAAAAAGAACAAAGCTAGAGACGTCACATTACCCAACTTCAAACTATACTATCAGGCTACAGTACCAAAATCAACATGGTACTGGTATAAAAACAGACACATAGACCAATGGAACAAAATAGAGAACTTAGACATAAAGCTGCATACCTATGACCATCTGATCTTTGACAAAGTTGACAAAAATAAACAATGGGGAAAGGACTCCCAATTCAATAAATGGTGGTGGGATAACTGGCTAGCCATATGCATAAGAATGAAACTGGACCCCTACTTTCATCATATACAGTAATTAACTCAAAATAGATTAAAGACTTAAATGTAAAACCTAAAACTATAAAAACCCTGAAAGACAACCTAGGCAATCAATACCCTTCTCTACATCAGCCTTGGCAAATAATTTATGGCCAAGTCCTCAAAAGCAATTGCAACAAAAACCAAAAATTGACAAGTGGGACCTAATGAAACTAAAGAGCTTCTGCATATCAAAATAAATTATCAACAGAGTAAACAATCTATAAACTGGAAGAAAATATTCATAAACCATGCATCTGACAAAGATCTAATATCCAGAATCTATGAGAAACTTAAATAAACAAGTAAAAAACAAACAACCCCATTAATAAACTGGCAAAGGACATGAACAGATACTTCTCAAAAGAGGACATACAAGCCACCAACAAACATGAAAAAAATGCTCAATATCTCTAATCATCAGATAAATTCAAATCAATATGGCAATGAAATACCATCTGACAAAAAGTCAAAAAACAACAAATGATGGCAAAGCCATGGAGAGAAGAGATATAAATTAGTTGATGGGAATGTAAATTAGTTCAGCCACTGTGGAAAGCAGTTTGGAAATTTCTCAAAGAATTTAATACAGAACTACCATTAGACCCAGCAATCCCATTATTGGGTATATATCCAAAAGAAAACAAGTCATTCTACCAAAAAGCCACATTCACTCACATGTTCATCACAGCACTATTCACAATAGCAAAGAAATGGAATCAACCTAGGAACTCATCAATGGTGGATTGGATGAAGAAAATACACCATGGGCTACTACGCAGCCAAGACAAAGAATGAAATAAAATTCTTTGAAACAACATGGATTCAGCTGCAGGCTATTATGCTAAGCAATTTAATGCAGGAGCAGAAAAACAAATGCCCCATGTTTTCACTCATAAGTGGAAGCTAAACATTAAGCACACATGGATATAAAGATGGAAGCAGTGGATACTGGGGATGCTAGAGGAACCAGGGAGGGAGGGGGTGTGGGCTGAGTGACTACCTATTGGGTTCTGTGCTCACTGCCTGGATGACAGGATCATATGTACTCTAAACTTCAGTGTCATGTAATGTTCCCATGTGACAGACCTAGGCATGTACCCCCGACTCAGATAAAAGTTGAAATTTAAAAAAAATCAATAAATCTATCTGGAATATTTCTAAAGGATGGACTTACTTGAAGTCTTAGGTACTGGGAAAACTCAGTTCTTCCCAGTGGTAACTGAATATCTTTCAAGAGGTCAGGAAAAAAGTACAAAGCTAAAGAATGAAATCTAGAACGAAGGCATAAGGATGTGTCTCACATAACAGTCGCCATTTTAAAGATTCTTTCTGGTTGTCTCACTCCCAAATTTTTGCTTATAGATCATTAGAAAGATCTCGGTCTCATGGTCACCTGAGCTATAAGAAAAACTGGCAATGTGGTATTTGAGATGGGCACAATGGTATCTTGAGTAAAACTGGACTTAGTGTTACTAAGAAAGAAGTATAAAACATATCATCTAGATAACTAGCAGTCTTTGACATACTGACATATTATTTCATAGTGTTTTGCTAAAGACAAAAAAGAAAAACAACAAAAAATACCGCTTGAGTCTTTAGTTTCTTAGTGTAGCACAAGTGCTTAAGCAGATAAATACGCATGAAAGTGCTCCGTAAACTATAGGTAACCATATGCATGAAGGCTATCATTACCACCATGAATTTTTTAAAGATCAGGGTAGACATCATCTGTGCTCCCTTAGGGGTTTGTAAACTTAGAAAATAATTACATAGATGCTGCATTAATTTGAGTACGAAATAAAAGCAAAACTAAACAAACAAAACCAGAACGAATAATCCTAGATTTTAATCCTTTATTTTTAACAAACCTTGAGGGTAGATCTAGCCTCGCCTTCAGATTAGATGGTTAAATATGTCAGAATCAAGACTTGTTCTGGCCTTTGCATAATTTTCAAAGGGCAAATTTATTTTAAGCAATTTGGGGCACCTTTCTGACTCCTCAGGAATGACTTACAGTCAGAATTTACTTATGGTTATTTTAGTTTTTTTTTTTTAAATATATTTTATTTTTAGGGCAGTTTTAGCTTTAAAGAAAAAACAAGCAGAAAGTACAAAGTTCCCATATGCTTCCTCACCTCCAGTGCACGGTTTCCCCTATGAATAACATATTGCATTAGTATGTTATATTTGTTAGAATTGATGAGCTGATATTGATACATTATTATTCATTAAAATCCATAATTTAAAATAGGGCTCACTGTTTGTGTTGTACAGTATTATGGGTTTTGCCAAGTTCTTAATGTCGTATATCCACCATTACAGTATCAAATAGAATAGCTTCACTGCTCTAAAAATTTCCTTTGCTTCATCTATTTATACCTCTCCCATAGTCTCTCTGGTTTTAACATAATTTTTACCACTTGGCATTGAAGACAGGGAGTAATAAAAGTTGAGGAAACCCTGACACTGAACTTGATGATTCCTTCGAAGTTGGTAGCATTGTCCTTGATGCAGTTCGGGTTTAACATGCTCATAAAGACTTTCCAGTAATGTCCATTATAATGAAAACATAAGCATTTCGTAAATATAGTTGTTGTTGTTGTTGTTGTTATGTAGTAGGCACTGTGTCAGGTACATTATCTTCTTAAACCCTCACCAGAAGACTATGAGGTAGTAGAAATTACCCTTGTATTTCAAATTAGAACAATAAGGGCCAATCTAGCAAAGCTCTCTTCTCAAGTTTATAGGGTTAACTTAGGGCCAAATCACGACCAGCTTTTTGGGAATGTGACCAGTACATTTGCATAAGGCCTGGTACTCAGAAAAACCCCACATTTGGCTTAATGCTCAGCTGTCAAGACCTTTAAATTCTTAATCATTCTCTTTTTGAACTTGCAGTAAGTCTTGCTAGACAATGCGGCCTGCATGTGAGCAGAGGAGGTATGCAGTTGCAGGTCTGCTGCTGCTCCTTGCTATTCCTTTCACATTCAGCATTTGCCATGTCTACTATGTGCCTTTCATAACAGGAAAACCTGTACTCAGACCCTGTACTTGGTGTAATGTCCTGCTGTCACCATCTTACGATTCTTGATAATTTTAACTCTGAACTTGTGTTTTGTAAGTCCGATGGAATAATGGAGCCTGTTGCATGATCAGAAGAGTTATCTACAATATGTTTATCCATGGCTATTTCTTGCTTCTGTTCTTGCTTATAGAGTTGGTGGTGCCCCATGAGTACAGAATTCTGGTTTACCCATGATGTGTAGGAGTTCAATAAAACTCAAAACAAGTACAAGGTGAGCATGTTATGTCTATGAGTAAGCCATGTGCTGATATCCCTGAGTGTCCACATTTTTTTCATTCTTTCCAATGCAGAAAGAACGCAATGGCATTCTAAGAAACACAAACACCAATGAACCCTATCATAATCTTTCTTTCTTTTGTTACTTCACTGTGTTAACCAACCACTTACCCTGAAAGTGACGACATGGACAGAAAGGGAAAGATAGGGCTACCCATAGTTCCTTTTCCTTTCAGTTCTTCTTTACTTATCAATTAGTCAAGGATAGAGGGTGTTGGTATAATGTGTGTGTACCAAGAAATCAAATGGGCCGGGCACGGTGGCTCATGCCTGTAATCCCAGCACTTTGGGAGGCTGAGGTGGGTGGATCACGACATCAAGAGCTCGAGACCAGCCTGGCCAACAAGGTGAAATCCCGTCTCTACTAAAAATACAAAAATTAGCCGGGCATGGTGGTGGGCACCTGTAGTCCCAACTACTTGGGAGGCTGAGGCAGGAGAATCACTTGAACCTGGGGGGCGGAGGTTGCAGTGAGCCAAGATTGTGCTACTGCACTCCAGCCTGGGCAACAGAGCGAGACTGTGTCTCAAAAAAAAAAAAAAAAGAAAAGAAAAAGTAAAGAAATCAAATAAAAGTAATATAGTTTTGTGAAGTGTTTCTACCATTCTACTAAGAAAAAAATACATTTACTTGTATGAGCCATGAAATATAAATTGTATATTTTTGATGATCTTACATAAAGTCAAATGGTCTTATATTTCCATTTAAAACTGGCAGTTCTCAATCTAAAAATGAACAGCAAGATTCAGGTTAACAATTTAAATTTTTAATTTTTCTTTACTTGAAATGACATTAAATAGCACATTTAAAAAAATGACAAATCATGAAGAGACCACTGAAGAAAGGAAGAAGTTTCATATTTTAGCAGCTTTAATGACACGTTTATCATTACCACCATTAACGATGATTTTTTTAATGACACGACACTTTTTTTCCCCTGGGAGATCCTCATTTCCATTTTACACTGAGCCTCACATATTGCGTAGTCTGCCCTAGGCTAACAACTGAGTCACAAGATCTGTAAGACTCCAAGATTCATATTATAAACTAAAGGTTCTCAATACTCTTTTATTTCATGCCACACAGAGAAAATGATTATATTTATAAGGAATGCTAACACCGAGGGAAACTGAGGACACCACTTGTGGCCAAAGATGGCCAGCTGGAGGGCCTTCAGGACTGAGAGGATCAATATCTCAGCACAACTGGAAGGGCCTCAGTACACTGCTTGGGTAGCTCCGCATCAAAATTTCTACGTAGGGATGCCTCAATAGTACTTCCTCCTTTCACCCCGATTCTTTTTGTATCTAGTACTCCAAATAGTTACTCAGTTTTTTCAAACAATACTGATAATGATAGTAAAAACATAAAATACATATATAGTTTTTGCTTTGTCCCATGTATGTTTCTCAATACTTCATATATATTAACCAATTTAATTTTGAAAACTTCATGAGGAAAATACTATTATTATTTCTATTTTATATTAAGTTGAATCACATGAAATTGTAGACATTAGACTATTTTAGACCTTCGATTACAGTAAGTTTATATATTTCAACTGAAAAGATGAGAAGACTAAGGGGTAAAGAGATTACATGCATTGATCAAGGTTATTCAACAAATACATGCCAGAGCCAAGATTCAGACACTAGCAGTACAGCTCTGAATGCTGGACTCTTGGCCACTGTGCCTTGTTACCTCTCAATAAAAATTACATTGTATATGATATTGGAGGTGGTTATTGAAAAGATAGTGAAATGCAATTAGGGCCGCAAGTTTTAACAATTTCAATCATTCAACTTGTATTTATCGATTACATATGCTGTGCTATGATATTAGAGTGAAACAAGAGCAGCTTTATCTTTATATAACTTATGGTTCTAACAGGATTAAAATATGTGATAGTCAAGTGTGTATCAGACTCAAGTAGGTGATTATTCTGGTTTTAAGTAAGATCTAAGATGGCAACAGAGAGGAAGGGAGAGAGAAGAAACTACAAGGTAGAAGTAAAGGGAAAGGAAGAATAAGCAGAAATGAGCATGTTGGAGATGCTCAGATAGAAATAGATTTCTGCTATTTATTCTTTTGATATAAGAAAAAAGGAGAAAAAAAGACAGACACTTTGAGATGCTGAACATTGAAGCTGAGGAATCCTAACTCCTGACAGCTACAGTTTTCTCAAAAAAAGGTATTAATGTGAAATGAAATTCGCAAACCAAAGAAAAAATTGAAGTATAAAAAAATCGAGTGTGATTTATGAAATGTAGCAGTTGCATTTCTATCGCATTTTTCTGAGAAAAAGGTTTTTGACATGAAGGTGTGTATGTGTGCATATGTGTGTGCTCAGTTATTATAAGTCACACAAAATGAAATCCAATTCCATTTCATTTTGTCTAAAATCTAAATAATTATTTAATTTTAGTAAATAAATGTTAGTGATTGCTGTCAGAATCACAAAAACTTCACTTGTCTTCATTTCACCACGAAGAGTTGCATCCACGATATCATTTCCGACAACAAATAAGGGCCCACAGTGATAATGAATGGGGTCCGTGGTTTTTGTATCCCCACCCTGAAGCCTCATGCATTTTTTTCTAAGCATTACTCTCCCCACTTTTATAGAGAAAATCCAACTCCTTGCCACATCACATAATCCATCCATATTGTCCATTCTCCCTCCTCCAAACAATCATCTAACGACCTCCTAGCCATTCCCCTTCTCTCATCAAAGACATAAGTACCTTGATCTCCACGACAAACCTTGAGATCAACCTGAATTATCACAGCATTCATTTGGACAACCTGTCCTTCCCTCCAGACTCCCAGTTTATAGAATTCCTCCTGTCCTTTTCCTCATTGCACTCAACAATCCACACTCGCAGGCACATGTTGAACCTTTTTGGCACTTCTGACGGAATCATATCCAAAATCACTAAGTCAAGCACCCCACTTTCTAACTCTCATCATGTCTTCTATCTAGATTGCACAACTACTCTCACTGTGATCATTATTTTAACATATTAGGACTTCTAGTCATTGAGTCCTCTACCTTCTCCCAATCCATCTGCCTTTTCTTTTTATTTACTTTTTATATATTCTAGTTTTCATGATCTATCACATTAATAAAACTCATGTCAGTCCTTAATCTCTCTCAGTCTTCTATCTTTTTGGCATAAAAATCTCAACACGGCATTTATAGTTAAACAAATATTAAATGTGCCCTTTATTTGTCTGCTAATATCATTACTTTTTTTTTCCATTTTGGTCAACTCACACCTGGGCAACAGAATGCTATTTCAAATTTTTTTCCACATTCTTTAAGACCCTTTATCACCACCCTCCCTTCCAACCCACACAGCAAAGCCCGGATGATCTCAGCAGAGAACTGCTCTCCTAAACTCACTGAGAAAATAGAACTCTCAGATTGGAATTCTCCAAATATTCAAACCTGCACGGATCCTCTCTTTTTGTGTCCTACTGAGAGGTGAAGCTAGCTGGACTTCCTGGGTCGAGTGGGGACTTGGAGAACTTTTCTGTCTAGCTAGAGCACTGTAAATGCACCAATCAGCACTCTGTAAAAACGCACCAATCTGCACTATGTGTCTAGCTAAAGGATTGTAAATGCACCAACCAGCGCTCTGTAAAACCGCACCAATCTGCACTCTGTGTCTAGCTAAAGGATTGTAAATGCACCAATCAGCACTCTGTAAAATCGCACCAATCAGCTCTCTGTGTCTAGTGAGAGGATTGTAAATGCACCAATCAGCGCTCTGTGTCTAGCTAAAGGACTGTAAATGCACCAATCAGCACTCTGTAAAATGGACCAATCAGCATTCGGTAAAATGGACCAATCAGCAGGATGTGGGCAGGGCCAAATAGGGGAATAAAAGCTGGCCACCTGAGCCAGCAGCAGCAACCCGCTCGGGTCCCCTTCCAAGGTGTGGAAGCCTTGTTCTTTCACTCTTCACAATAAATCTTGCTGCTGCTCACTCTATGGGTTTGCACCCTCTTTAAGAGCTGTAACACTCACTGTGAAGGTCTGTGGCTTCACTCCTGAAGTCATTGAGACCACGAACCCACCAGGAGGAACAAACAACTCCGGACGTGACACCCTTAAGAGCTGTAACACTCACTGCGAAGGTCTGCGGCTTCACTCCTGAAGTCAGCGAGACCATGAACCCACTGGAAGGAAGAAACTCCGGACACATCTGAACATCTGAAGGAACAAACTCCGGACACACCATCTTTAAGAACTGTAACACTCACCGCGAGTGTCCGCGGCTTCATTCCTGAAGTCAGCAAGACCAAGAACCCACCGGAAGGAACCAATTCTGGACACACTACTGTAAGAATTGAGTTTTCCCTTTTCACTGAATGTTATCTGTCAATGTTTAATTTTGCTAAAGTCTCTCTAATTAAAATAATTGTTTTCCTTAAGCCCTACATTCTCCCCAAAATGGTAGCTCATCTCCTTATTGGCAGAGCCAAACATCTTGGAAGAGTTGTCTAGACATCCCCTTTTCCTCACTTCCCAGCCTGCCTTTATCTTCTGCCACCATCACACTACTGAACAGATTGCGTTATAGCTGCCAATGACTTATATGTCAGCAAGTTGAATGGACAGTTTTTATTTTTCATCTTGCCCCTGCCTCACAGGTCTAGCTGATACTTTGATCATTCTCTCTGTATTACAACAACAACAACAACAACAACAACAACACTTTCCTCTTTTTGCATCTGATGGATATCCATCTTCTTGGATTCCTCCTATTTCTCTGGCTCCTATTTCTTACTCTCTTTTACAATCTTCCCTCCTTTATACATCTGTTAGATGCCACTTGTATCATAAGACACTTTCTATTTGCTAGGAACCCACGTTTTCCTGGAAGATCTCATACTTTACCATATACATGCCCATTATTTATGTCAATATTTCTACCACAAACTTTTCTCCTAACATAGATCGGCTTGGACTTGTGAATGCCACTGCCTTCTGAATAGTCAATTGCATGTTACAGGCCCCTGAGTCTGAATATTTCCAAAATGAAACTTTTCATCTTGAGTCTCTAAATCTATTTTTACTCTTGTGATCAATTAAAGTAGCACCAACCCAGTCTCCCATGTCAGAACTCAAGGTATCTTCCACTCTGACATTTCTCAAATCAATCTGTCCTCAGTTCTTGTCTATTATAACTCCACACTACCTCTTAAAGTTGTCCATTTATCTATCCCATACATAGTTTCTTCCAGAGTACTGGCCACCATCATCTCTTTTCTGTCTCCTTAATAATAATGTTCAGCTCTCAGATTAAGCTCCATTTCTTATTCACTGTGTTACTAGTAAAGCTCTACTGTCTTGATCTTAAACAACTACCAAACTTCTTCAGGTCTCTGTTTTCTGTTTCGCTTAAAGTGAAAAGTAATCATAGCCAATGAAATTAGTTTATTACAAGTGAAAAATTTTGTAATGTGCCACATAAGATATACTTTATAAATGGTATTTCCCTTACCTATAAAGCTGTTCCCTGTGACAGGGATTATAAGAAAATCATATAGACAAACTGCAGTGTGGTGTTTGGTTCATATTCATACTGATTTGTCCAAAATGGAGATGTGACAGGGCTAGTAGTATAAACTGTGTGATGTACCTTCCTTGGTTGGGATGTGGTGATTTAAACCATTCCTTCTATGTGTTATGAAGTAAAATACATTGGGTCATAAAACTTCTTAATTGCAGGTGAGTAGGGATGTGTGCATGTTCGTGTGTGTGTGTGTGTGTGTGTGTGTGTGTGTGTGTAACAGAGAGAGAGAGAGAGATCTCAAATATCAGAAGCCATATTCCTAGGTGAGTACTATATATGGTAGTTAGAGACTAGAAAACGAGTACAATGTAGCTCATCACTGAGTGGGGCCAGGAGATAAACAGGAGCAGAGAGATTCAGAAATGGGAGAGTGAAGAGTAACAGCAACAGACAAATGTGCACATATCTGGCTCATTTGGTAGTTAGAGCTTCAGTGCTTCTGCAGGCTATTTCTACATTCCCAATACAATTTGAATTAGTGAGCTGGGCTGGGAAGGGGTAGAGAAAGCATGATTATCAGCCACGGTGTTTAGCAAACAGTTCTACTCTAGTAAGCTACCTTATGCCTATGTAGAAAGGCCCAGGTTGAAAAGGCTGGGAACACAAAGTATTTATATGATCTTTTTCTTCTTGCACATGTAGCATATAGGTAACATTTGATCTGAGTCTTAATGGACCTGTAAGAGTTCATGAAGTCAAAAGAGGTATAGGCTCTGCACAGGCACTGGCAAGCTGAAAATCTACAAGAAGTTCATTGTTAGCTGAAATTTAAAGCATGTGGTACAGGTATGGATGAGGGACGTTGTGAGAGGGTACATAAAGCAGGCCGGGCGCGATGGCTCATGCCTGTAATCCCAGCACTTTGGGAGGCCGAGGTGGGCGGATCACGAGGTCAGGAGTTCAAGACCAGCCTGGCCAATATGGCGAAACCCCATCTCTGCTAAAAATACAAAAACGAGCTGGGCGTGGTGATGCACACTGTAGTCCCAGCTACTCAGGAGACTGAGGCAGAAGAATCACTTGAACCTGGGAGGCGGAGGTTGCAGTGAGCCGAGATCGCACCACTGCACTCCAGCCTGGGTGACAGAGCGAGACTCCGTCTCAAAAAAAAAAAAAAAAAAGCAGTGACTGTGAGTGGTGTCAGTGGTCAGGCCAGAGAAGAGTGTTCCAAAGGGTTTGGCTATCTTATTTAGGTAATTGGAAATATGTGAATGGTTTTAAGTGGAGTAGTGCATAGTTTTGAAAAACTCTGGTGGCAGAGACAGCAGAAATTAGGAACCTGTGGAAACTGGAAAATGATTCAGTGTCAGTTTCAACCATGTAATCGCATATGTGAGTCCGTGAAAGGGTTGTCTAGCTGCTATAATTTTATACAATTCTGAAGTTTTTCAATTGAGCCAGTGCAGGACTTGCATAGTACTCTCCTTAAAATGGTAGTTGTATGAAAAGTCTCTAATGGGAATATAAATGTCTAAAAAGATTTGCTTAATCCCAGTTTAGATATTTTTTGGTGGGCCCCAAATAGAACCCTGGTCCAATGCCTTCTTTTCTTTCATGACACTAGAATCCTTTTACTAACACAGTAGACTGTCAGAGCTGGCATTGTCCTTAAACATTATTTGGCTCAAATTCTCAATTTCATACGAGAAAATACTAAAGCTTATGAAGGGGGACAAATCTAAGAGGTAATATTTGCCCTGGTCTTCCAATTTCAAGAGAAGGGCTATAACATAGTCCCTCCTTATTGTAGATATGATGCTCTCAAGAATGATTTCAATGTATTATATGCAGAAATGAGCATATCAACTTTAACACTGCCATCTTTCTTATGACCTATGGCCCTGGCTAGTATCTTACATCTTCATTCACTTTATTGATCTCATGATTCCTTTCACCCTCAACAAAGCAAACAATATGAGTTTCAAACTGAGCTGAAGATAGCATTAGAAATGCTTAGTTCATTGTTAATTTATACCCCTGCCTCCTAACCTAGCCACATCCTCTCCCGTTACTGTAACAAAGAGTTCTGGGCTAAATTGTGTCCTCCAAAATTAATGTGTTAAACCCCTGACCTCCAGTACCTCAGAATGTAACTGTGTTTGGAGATAGAATCTCTAACAAGGTAATTAGGATTAAATAAGGTCATTAGAATGTGCTTTAATTCAGTATGACCGGTGTCCTTACAAGAAAAAGAGATTAGGACACAGATACACAGAGTGACGAGCATGTAAAGACGCAGCAAGAAGATAGCTATCTTTAAGTCATGGAAAGAGACTTCAGAAGAAACCAAACCTGCTGATACCTTGATCTTGACTTCTAGCCCCCAGAATTGTGAGAAAATTAATTTCTGTTGTTTAAGCCAAACCATCTGTGGTATTTTGCAATGGCAGTCCCAGCAGACCAATACATAAACCATTGCATAGCAAGCAGTAGGTAGGAGTGTTATGACCACTGAGATTGTCAAACAACACTTGCCCTCAATTCAGAGACCTGTCCTCCTTAGATTGTTTTGTATTTTAGTTTATAATTTCACTATTTTTGACGTATAAAACATGAAGTGTGCAATGAAAATGCCACCAAATGAACCTGGCTCGTGGCTCTCTGCATTTTAAGTATTGCTTGATCCATCCTGTCAGAGTATCCTCCTTTTTGAGCTTATTAGGAATAGCAGCTACAATTTGTCCTGCCCTGGCAGCATTTATAACAGGCCTGCTGCTAATCTCACTTCGTATACTATTTTATCCAATACTTATAACAGTCCTGTGAGCTAAATATCATATTCTTCTCAGCTTGCAGATGAGGAAACTAGGGCTCCAAAAGATTACATAATTTTCACAAGGTGACCCAGATAGCAAATGACAAATCCAGGGCTCAATACCAGGTCTTTTGGATGCCAAGAGTATGCTTTTACCACTATTCTGCCTCAATATAAGAATTCTCATTTTCCTACTCACAGATTCAGAGGGATAGCCATTGGCTGCTCCCGTGGTGTTCCACCAAATAGACTCTATCCATTTCTCAGGTCCACTTCTTATGACTGAAATGATTATTTTGCCTACTATAAAGAGTAAGCTGTGCAGCTGGAGAAATTTCCATCCAGATGCTAGTGTGTCAAAGTGAATTGTTATTACAATAAAAAGTTCCTGTTCATATTTGTTCCTATTTGCATATGTACAGAAGACACAGTTGTTCAGCCAAATCAAGCCTGGTTTGCAAAATGCAGCCCAGGATTCACAAAGCAGTGCTGAAAATAGCCCTTTTGTGGCCTCTTACTGAGAAAACTGCGTAAAATATGCGATGCTCTTGGATTTATCACTGAACAGTTTTACACATTTTATCTGCAATCAACTTTCCTTTGCTCCTTTTCTCCCTCCCTTCTTTCTTGAAATAAACCCTGAGAATCTACTCTGTGCCAGGCACCAGAGAAACAAAGAACAAAAAGTAACAGTCTTTTCCCAAAAGGAGCTCAAATTCTAAGATCAAAAGAGTTCACTCCAGAAACAGGATTTTTCTCAGAGATAAAACTACAGAACAAAGAAGTATACTTGAGGTTGCTGCTTGGGTTATACGGCTCCTTTCTTTGTTCATATATTTTTGTCACACTTATTGCACTAGTGAATTGGAGTTTGATTGTTTTTAAGTCTCATTACTTGGTAGTCTGAATTCTAGAAACTAGAATGAGATCTAACACAAAATAACTACCAACTGAATGTCTATGTGTAATTGCCACTGTCAGCATTGCTAGTTAATATTTGGGAGGGGCTGCATGATATTTAGAACCCACAACATGCTTTTTTAGGGCTGTACAGAGGATGAACAATGGAGTTTCTTCCTCAGCCAGGGTTTCTTAATGTAGTCTTTCCCTTTCCCCATCCTCCTTTTAGAAACTGGTTATGGTTTGTATTACTTTGTTGTGCTGGGAGACTGTACTTGAGTTTTAACGTTAACCCTTTTCACACATAGGCATTGTTAAAATTCAAATAACATTCATGTTATTACATAGCATTTTGTTAGGTCTTCTGTTTCATTATATTAGGTAAAGGGACTCTCAAAATTATAATAAGAGCATGCAGTAATGGTAATATCGTCCTCATATTGCTCATAGGGTAAAATTAGATTGAGTAAGGCTTTGTGCTTCCTACTCCGTGTCTTCCCCTTCCTCTCTCTAGAATATCAATGTAAGGGCATGCACTTTGTTGCTCAAGTCAGGGAGGAAGATTTTCAGTAATGCCAACACAGGTCTGTGCTTTTCCTTGTTCATGCATTTTCTCATTATCCCCACTAGTTAAGAATTATTATTTCTGTTTTACAGATGAAGAATAGAAAGCAAAGAGAGAACAGGTAATACATCTGATATAGTTTGGATATTTGTCCCTGCCTACATTTCACGTTGAATTGTAATCCCCAATGCTGGAGGTGGGGCCTGAAGAGAGGTGTTTAGATCATGGGGGCATATCCCTCATGGCTTGATGTTGTCCTTGTGTTAGTGAGTTCTCATGAGATCTGGTCGTTTAAAAGTGTGTGGCACCTCCGTCACCCTACTCTCTCTTGCTTGCTCCTGCTTTCGCCATGTGACGTGCAAGTTCCTGCTTCACCTTCTGCCAATGAGTAAAAGCTTTCTGAGGCCTCACCAGAAGCGACGTTTCTGGTACAATCTGCAGAACCATAAGCCGATTAAAACTCTTTCCTTTATAAATTACCCAGTCTGAGGTCTTCTTTTATAGTAACGCAAAAATAGACTAATATAAAACCCAATGGTATTTAGTAGAGATGAGGTTTCACCCTGTTAGCCATGATGGTCTCGATCTCCTGACCTCGTGATCCGCCCTCCTCAGCCTCCCAAAGTGCTGGAATTATAGGCGTGAGCCACAGTGCCTGGCCCCAAATGTCTATCTTTAAGCCATAATTATCCCCTAAACTTCACACACTTATGTTCAACGGTCCACTCATTTGTCCACTTGGATGACCAATAGATATCTCAGAAGTGAAATGTCCAGAATGAAGTTTCTGATTTTCTTTTCAAAACCTGCTCCATCCACAAACTCCTTCAATTCAATTAATATCAACTTTATTCTGTGTACTTGTACTAAAATCATCAAAGTCTATCCATCTTTCTTCTCATACATCCCACATATAATGTCCGCAAAATCTTGTTAGTTCTATCTTTAAAAAAATGTAGAATTATACTACTTCTTACCCCTTCCATAGCTACATCTCTAGGCTAAGCCATTTCTCTGGATGACTCCAATGGGCTCCAAACTTATGTCCTTGCTTTCACCATTTACCAACCTTTAGTTTACCTAACAGAGCAACCCAGCCAGAGCGATTTTGCTATAATGTAATCCAGGCTATATCATGTCTTTGCTCAAAACCCCTCAATGGTTCCTCATTTTTTGAGAGCAAAATCCAATATTCTTACAACGTTCCACAAAGCCGTATAAAATAATCTTCCATCTGCACCCCGTTACTTCCTTCAGCTTATCACCTTCTTCTTTCATCTTCTTCTGCTCTGCTCCAGGCAAATTGCTTTTCTTACTGTTTCTCAAATATGCCAGCCATTACATAACCTGATAGCCTTTCCACTTGCTGTTTTCTTTATCTGAAATGGTCCTCCTTCAAGTATATGCCAGGGTTACTATGTCACCTTCTTTAAGTTTTTGTTCAAATGCAACTTGTCCGTGAAGCCTACCTAACCATCCTGTTAAAAACTGTACTTTATTTTCCTATACTTGTGATCTTGCTTAACTTGCTCTGTTTTTTCCTCTATAGCATTTATTTTCCTCTAATGAGCTATAAGATTTACTTATGCAAGATGCTTATTTATTGTGTCTGTTCCATTGGAACTTAATTCTACATAGGCTGGAATTGTTATCTGTTTTATTCAGTGGTATGTTCCAAGCTTCTAAAATAATCTCTGACGCATACTTAGTATTTCATAGTTAGTTTTTGAATGAATTGATAAATGAGTAGAGGAATGAAATAGTAAATCTGGAATTTTAGAGGAGTCAGTGTGTCTCAGAGGCCTGGAATCTGCCTTCTCTAGCAGTAAACATGCTGTATCTCGATTAAACATTGATGTGCTTGTTTAGTTCTACCCATCTCAGGGCCCAACTCCAGAGCTATTTCTTTAGCTCTTCTTGCTGAACTTCTGTTTTTGACAGTTATTTATCATACCATCATATGCTAATGAACATCAATAATTGTCAGAACATTTATTAGGTATATGCTCCAGTTCTGTGTTGTATTGTTCTAGCCCAAAGCGCTTACTTACTTCTCACGTGACCCAGAGAAAATCTTTTCCCTTCTTGAGACCTCAGTTTGCTCATCTATAAAATGAAAACTTTCAACTAGGTGTCTTCTAAGGAATTTTTCCTTCTGGAAATTTGAGTTTATGCCACCACAGCACCGTGCCCATAATCCATATAATGGAAAGAACACAAGTTTTGCAGTCAGAGACATATGAATTTGATTCTAGGCTTCAATACATTTAAAAAGGCCAGTTCAACTTTCTGTACCTCAGATAATTTATCATAAAATATGGATTATCATCTTCTCTATGTCATAACTTTCAGGGCTATTCTGAGCATAAAATTACAGAAAATATTTTGAAATAAATAGCAAAGTGTGGGACACACTGTAATAATTCAGCATGTGTTGTTTTGTGTATAAAATCCAGTAAATCATTTTTCACCTATATGTGAGCTTGTAAAATGTGGGCTAAGGGTAAGGCTACAATTTGGGGACCATACAACACAGCACAATGACTGGTAACAGGATAGGGCCTGTTATTACATTGGCATAGGACCCAACCGGCTAGACTAGTACAAACAGGCTGCACCAAAGCATCACTCACTCTTTATATATTCAGCTGCTGCACCACTGTCATACTTATGTTTGAAATGGGATGCCATCTTTAATGCTTTGAATGTTATGAAAAAAACAATTCCCCGAGACAAATACATATCTGCTTTTAGTTTCTCAGCGTTTCATGCATTTTTCCCTCATCCATAAAATGAAAATGCTTCCCAATAAGTAACTACCATGCTTTCTTTGCATTACCCACTACTTATAGTCTAGTGTTGTGAACACAGCAGGAGGGAAGATATACTTAACTATTGATATTTATAATTCTAGTTTACATAACACTTTAGCTTACAGAACCCTTTATACCTACTTTATACATGGGAGATGAAATAATCCCCATATCACAGATGAGGAAAGCAAAGATCACTAAGATATAGTGACTTAGTGAATGTAACTTAGCTAGCAAGGGCAGAAGTGTGATCCAATCCCCTGTGTCTTGTATTTAAAGCCATTCCTTAGAGATGGAGTCAATCTGCCTCCATAATACAGAAATCTAATCATGTCCTTTTTCTAAAGTCTGCTGTTGTTAGTTATTAGGGCAATGTCTATCATTAGTAGGTGCTAATGAATGTTGGTAGTACATTGGGAACTCCTGCATTAGCTCTTTGCTGTCACCTGGACTGTCTGCAGCCACTTACCGAGAGTCCTCTTTAGCCAATGCCCTCCCTGTATACAAACTGTATCTGGGAGTCCGCTTAGACATACAACAGGTGTGAGCAAAACAGGTTCTGTGCATAGGTGAATAAGACAAACTGCCTTCAATAACTCTCATAAGCATATGTGTTAGCACCATTTTTCTTTCTTTCTTTTTTTAGGAGTTGGCAACTTTTTTTTTTATTATACTTTAAGTTCTGGGGTACACGTGTAGAACGTGCATGTTTGTTACATAGGTATACACGTGCCATGGTGGTTTGCTGTACCCATCAACCCGTCACCCACATTAGCTATTTCTCCTAATGCTGTCCCTCCCCTAGCCCCCCACCCACCAACAGGCCCCAGTGTGTGATGTTCCCCTCCCTGTGTCCATGTGTTCTCATTGTTCAATTCCCACTTATGAGTGAGGACGTACGCTATTTTTCTAGAGCTACTAAATGGCTTTAAAAGAAGAGAAAATAAGGAACAGAAATAGAAGGAAAAATTAAGATAGATATCCAAAAAGAGGACCAAACTTAAGAGTTAGAAGATGTAAGTTCCTTTCTTGGCTTCACTATTTATGGGCCCTGTGGTTTGGACAAATCATCTAATGTCTGAAGCTTAGATTTTCATTTTGAAAATGCAGTTTTTATCAGTCATGGTTCTCCAGAGAAACTGCAATAGATAAACAGATGCACGCGCGCACACACACACACACACACACACACACACACACACACACCTTATGAGATTTATTGCAAGAAATTGGCTTATGCAATTGTATTGGCTGGTAAGTATGATATCCAAAGAGCCGGCCAGCAGGTTGGAACCTTTGGAGCAGAAGTCAATGCTGCAGTCAATCTTCAGGCAGAATTTCTTTTTCCTCAGGGAAGCCTCAGTTTTTACTGATAAGGCATTTCAACTGATTCGATGAAGCCCAACTACATCATTGCGGTAATCGCCTTTACTTAAAGTCAATCAATTATAAATAATAACCAAATATAAAAAATACCTTCATAGCAACACCTAAATTACAGTTTGATCGAATAACTGGATTCTATTACCTAGCCAAGTTGACACATAAAACTAATAATTACAGGATGATGATGATGACGCTATGATGATAATGATGAAAAACATCTTTCAAAATTATGAACATCAGATTCAAACACCCATTTTTTAAGTTCTGGGATACATGTGCAGAACATGCAGGTCTGTTGCATAGGTAAACACATGCCATGGTGGTTTGCTGCACCCATCAACCCGTCATCTACATTGGGTATTTCTCCTAATGCTATCCCTCCACTAGTCCCCCATCCCCTGACAGGCCCCGGTGTGTGATGTTCCCCTCCCTGTGTCCATGTGTTCTCATTGTTCAACTCCCACTTATGAGTGAGAACATGCGGTGTCAAACACCCATTTTAGGGACCTAACACCCTTTCTAGCATAAAGTAGAAGCTCAATAAGTATTATTTGAATATGAATAGAAATAAAAGTATGGGAGTGAGGAGCTATTTATTTATGTTGTGCCTCTGTGTTTTTTTTCCTCTTTTATCCTTCTAACTTTATTTGATTCTAGCATATTGTCATTTACCTATTCTCATAAATCTAAAGCTGAACTGACTTAGGATGAGGGTATAGTTCCCAAGAGTGATTTTTAGATAGACATATTATGCTTGAGAGAGCGGTCCATAATTCCTCTATAGAGATAACACTTCTCACTACTTAAAATCTACTGCCTGAAATTCTAATATATTCTTATATTTCCCATTATGACATCTTAGTTTTTATTTTCCTATAAGCCACAAAAGTTTATTCCTGTTAAAAGAAGAAATCCTTCCAGATTTTTGGGGCTGTAAAGGTTATTACATATGCAGAAAAGACACATTTTCTTGTTATGTCTCAGTGAGTATCCATATAGACTTTTATGGTAAAGTAGAAAAGGCCTTGGCCTTTGGGTGTGGAAAAGTGAGTTTTCATCCTGGTTCTGGTACTTCCTAGCTATATGACCTTGGGCAGCACACGTAACCACTGAATCCAGTTTCCCTATCCATCGTACTATAAAACCAGCCTTGACCATCCTGCAGATTTGGGAGTTTTTTAAAAGAGATAATCCATTTTGAAAAAGTACCTAATATGCTGCCTAGCTTACTGAAGATGCCCAATAAATATTCATTGCTTCAGAATCTAAATACAACATGGGCCTTGAATCAGAACTTCATCTAGATAATACAAAATGAAATGAACAACAAGCCAAACATTATTTTCTGTGCTAGAAATCCTTCAATTTTTCATGGGCATTTGTCCTAGAATTCTCAAGATCTATCTTGTACAGATAATAACATTCTCCTGATTTTTTTTTTTTTTTGTCGGATAAAGGGACTTGGACACTTTTAGCAGAGCCAGTATGATAAGGTTAATCAGAGCTTGGATATAGACCAGCGTATAGAACATTGGATGAGCACTATCAAGCCAAATGAGCAATGAGTAATCAAGATCAACTTGCCAGTAAACAACCAGGCAACAGGAAACAGGGTTAGAAATATAGGCGGTTAGACTTCTATTGCTAAGGCAAAATCAAATTACTTTTCGGAGGATAGGAATCAGACTGCAAGAGCAACAAGAGAAACATAAGAAAATAAAGAGCCAAACTGCCATATGGAGCAGGAAAAAAGCCAAGATGAGAAACACAGGCCTCACGGTGATACCTGCCTCCCCCTTGCCCCGATGCTGGGCTGCAGTTGAAGCTCATGAATGCCCGGTTTGCATGCTTCACCATAGGTCTTAATAAATATCTTGCTTCTCAAGGTAAACAAAGAGGCTTTTTTTTAAAAATTAATGATTGGTAGAAAGAACATTCACATGCTTTAATAAGCATTAATTAGGAAAGACATAAAATTTGTGCTTGAGTTTATTAAACTCACTAAGGAAAATTAAAATAACATGTTTTCAAGGTTTTTATAATATCTTGAAAATGACATATTTTCAAGATTTTAATAATAATATGTTGTATAGGGTTCATTTGTACTGCAAGAAGTAAAGTGTTGCCATCTCAAAATTTATAGAAATCCTTTCAACTTTTATTCCATTTTTCTTAATTACTAGATGTTTACAACAGTATTTTTCACTCCTTTACTTTTCATTTGGAATTTTTCCAGATAATCCTCTTGAGAAGCAAAGCTTGATACAGTTACATGTAAAAGGCAATTATATTCTATAGAGAGTAGAGATGAGTGAGCAAAGAGGTAATACACAATAATCCAGGTACCATTATTTATTATTGTCGATTTGGATCCTTTCTGACAATGATGACATATTCTGACTTAATCCACATTCACTAAGCAGCAAAGCAGAAGAAATCACAATTGAACTCTGGTCCAAGATTTCATTAAATAATAGACCAGAGAAAAGCAGAGGTTTACTTAGAAGTATTTTTTTCAATCACTATTCATAGCACATCATCCCAAGTTAACAAGTGGATCTGATGTGAAATCTCTATTTTTCAGGACAAAAGAAAACTATCAGATATTAGACATTGCACAAAATAATGTGAAAATTGGTCTAATAATGAAACGTTAATTAAGTTGCATATATGCTCATTTACATAAATAATGTGCAGTATTGCAAAAAAGATCATATCATCCTATGAACACGCTCGCTATATACAAAAAGCTCTGTGATGTAGCTTTTAAATATAATTCTTGGACAAGGCTCTAAAGCACTACATTTTTTGTCAAGTGCTTTGTTTGAATCATATCTTCCCTATCTAGATTAGCTTTTCAGTCCGTTTAAGCCTCAGGGTTCACATCTATAAAACAGAAATTGAAATAAATTTCTTGCTTTCCATCTTTGTTCAAGTAAAAGAATGCACGGAAAAGATATTTGTAAGTGGCATGGTGCTGTAAAAATGTATTATTACCTTCAGTAATTATTTTATTCATTCATTTTTATGACTCCCATGTTCCATATAAATTTTAAAAAATTGTATGAATGAAAACAAAAATGTAATAACCATAACTTTTCCATCAATGTTTTGCATGCTCAAATTTGTGATTATAATATAACAAACACATAACAACTTATGCATCTAAGTCAAAGTTGGCCCCTTGAATTAGTTACCATTGAGTTTATATTTAAATTGACATTTATTGGCACCTACTAATTATAAGACATTTGCTAGGTATTTTACAAATGTTATTTCAACTAATCCTTACACAGTTATACATGGGTATCATTAACCGCATTTTTCATGGAAGAAATTGGAAGATATAAGGGGCATCAGTCAAGGTCATAGCAGAGTTTTCTGTTATAGCTGTCATCAGTTCTTAAATTGGAGAGAATTATTTGCATGGGCAAAACCTAAGGAAGGGGTAGGAAGGTCTACTCTGTGATGTGTGTGCCAAGACCCAAGAAAGTAAAGAGTATTCTGGATTTGGGAGATAAAAAAGAAAATGGACTGCAAAAATAAGAGGCTACATTTTGAGTCAAATTTAGAAAACAAATTAGATAATAAAGATTCAGTGAGATACCAAAATTAATGGCCTTAAAAGGCAGAAGAATTTGAGCTTAGTTCAGTGGACATAGTAAATGATGGAGTAAGGTAATAACTTGATGAGACCAGTAATTTAGGAAGATAGGCCTGAGAGTGATTTCCAGAAATTTGCACAAATTTGAAAATCTAGACACAGGAACTGAGAATTAATATAATGCCTCAAATTTGCACACAAAATTTGTTTCTTTAAAAAACATCTTAATGTGCAATGTTTCAGACAGAGATACTGATTCTACTATATTTGAGAAGCATATCATTACTCTATGTGAACATTGGTATGTTTGATAAATTTAACCTGTCAGATGCCAACCAGATTTGGGGCTATATTTTTTCATGATCAATTTTGTATTTGCCATTTTGGAACTAACTTTACATTACATTTACCAAATAAATTGGGACAAGGGAAAATACGTGTTAAATAAGTGAAGGAAATATGTATGACCTTGTTTGCTTCTTTGTGTCTGTGGTGTGTGCGTATGTGTAGAGGTCATTTCTAATCCAAGGTTTACCATTTCTTTCTTAAAATATAAGAAGTTCAATTGGGGCACCAGTGTAATGGTAAACTAAGCATTAACATTTATAATTTAGCATATGGTGTTTTGCAATTTGAAAATATCAATAAAATGCTAATTTAAAGACGGCCTCCTGTTTGGACTGATTTTTATTTTGGACAGTCCTACTTTTGCCTTTCATGTTTACATCACCAACTCATATTTCAAATGTGTGATAGTTACTGTTAGTAATTTGCATTATATTGAATGACATGTTTATCTGCATATTATTTATAAAAAAGTGGAATATCAAACTGAAAATATCCATTTTAAAGGAGATATTTTGACTGAAATTCTCATGGTGAAGAACTGGGTCACCTGCCTCCTCATCCAATGTTCTATAGAAAGTATTGAATATATGCATACAGGCATGCTTACATCAGATTGCTAGACAAGAATGGATCTTATACCTTGAAACCCAGAAGCAGATGGCTCTGAGTGGGTTAAGAGGAAAGGCATTTTAATTGAAATCAAAATGACTATCTATCTAAGTAGGAAGAAAATGCTGAAGAAAATATATCAATGATCATTATTTACTTCTGTATGTAGGGGGGCATGTGATGCTGGGTAAAGGGTGAAGGAAAGGGAAGAGATAAGCAAAAACATTTTAAAAAGTGTTCTTGACACAGACAGCATGTATATGATCTCAGGTATGTTAATTTGTTGATGTTTTGTGTGTTGCGTGTGTGTGTGTGTTGGTACGTATGCATGTGCATGTGAGCAGGAGTGAAGAGATATATAAGATGCTGGTCCCTCAAATGTTAATATCTGGTTATCTTGCAGTGGAGGGATTCTAGCTGTTTTAATCTTTTTATAATCTATATATTATAACTTTTTACAATGAGCATGCATTAATACAATAATGACAAGATAAATATCTGTATGGAAAGATGACAAGGAAGTAGATAAGAGCAGAGTAATGGGAAAATTTGAGCATAAATACATGCGTGTGCACACACATGTACACGTGCACACACACCCACACACACACCCCAAAACTAGAGAACTGGCCAGGCTGGTGGCTCATACCTGTAATCCCAGCACTTTGGGAGGCCAAGGCAGGTTGATCACTTGAGTCCAGGAGTTCAAGACCAGCCTGACCAACGTGGTGAAACCCCGTCTTCACTTAAAATACAAAAATTAGCTGGGCATAGTGGTGTGGCCCTGTAGTCCCAGCTACTTGGGAGGCTGAGGCACAGGAATCACTTGAACCCAGGAGTCGGAGGGTGCAGTGAGCCGAGATCTCGCTACTGCACTCCAGGTTCGGTGACAGAGCAGAGATTCCATCTCAAAAAATAAATAAATAAATAAAAGCACACACGCAAAAACTAGGGAAATTTGGAATAGAAAACAATAACCAACAGGTATGAATCATGAAGAAACTATCAGAGTAATTAATTAACAACATATGGAAAAACTGGGTCAATCTGGCCTGGTATTTTTATTTGTTTGTTCTGATTGATAGTGGCATTTGCATTCAGGAAATAGTTCTAAAAGATGAAAAATTGGTATCTTATTGAAAATGGTTTTGAGCGTAAGTTCTGACACTAGGGAGAAACAGAGAGCAGCCTTCTCTAATGCCAGTCCTTTCAAGTAGGGGGTTGAGGGAAGAGAAAAATTAAATCTAATTCTAGGCTTATCAACTATCTCAGTTTGCCCAGAATGTTCAGTGATAAAATTGGGAAAGTACCAGGCAAATCAAGATGAGTTGATCATCTTAGCTGATTCTTTTTTGTTTGGTTGGTTTTTATTTTCTGCTTTTTAATGAACTCTATTTTTTAGAGCAGTTTTAGGTTCAAGCAAAATTGAGCAGAAGACAAAGGAGAGTTCCCATATACCTCCTCCCCCTAGAGATGCACAGCCTCCCCATTTATCAACATTCCCCACCAGACTAGTACATTGGTTACGACTGATGAACCTGCATTGACACATTGTAGTCACCCAAAGTTCATCGTTTACAAGTCTGCAGCTTAAAAGTTTAGTTTTCTGAAGACAGGATAATATCTTAGGAAGCTTTCAAAGTAAGCAGTTGGACAGGAGAAATATGAAAGTTTCTAGGTAATCATGATCATCAGAAGAAATGGAAAGCTCTTACATTTGAGGGAATAATATACCCAAACACTCATGGCCCATCACTAGTTCTGCCTCTCTCCCACAATTATCAAAGACAGACCTTGATATTCTAGATTATTTTAATATGAGAGCTTGTGGGGTAGGGGGAGAGATGAGAATTTTTTTTTTTTGTAATTTGTGAAAGGGAGTTTTTGGTAGAGATTCACTACAGACATTGATATAATAAGTTTAAATATGAAGATTAAAAAAATAAAAGCAACCAATATACCAGACATAAGATGTAAACTTTAAGAACAGACCAGTGAGATATTAATTGAATATAGAAACAAAATGAATTTAACCAAAAAATAGGACAGAAGAGAGAAAAAAACAAAACAAGAAAGCATGTTTTTAATAGAAACATATGAGACATATCTAGATCAAAATGATAAAAAAATGTTTGAAGGAAACATGTGAAGGAAAAACAGAAAAATAACTAGACACATGCTAACAAGAAGAATACAGGCTCAGCAATATTATAAACAGATAAAGTGAAATTAAAGGTGAAAAGCATTAAATGGAACAAAGAGGAATGTTTGATATTCTAAAATTCTACAGTTCATTAAAAATATTACTCTAATGAAACTTTATTCATCCAGCAACAGAAACTAAAATATTTATAACAAAATTTGTTACAAATACAATGAAAAATATGTAACTATATAATCATAATGGGATATTTTAAGTGTCACACTAGAAATTAATAAATCGCATGGGCAAAAACTGAAGAATTACAAAACTTTTCCCATAATACATTTGACCCTATTTGTGGTCAAATTTTTTTGGCCACATTCGTGGCCAAAATTGTGGATAAATTTTTTCAAATTTATCTGCTTGCTAAAATTAATTTGTAACCCCAAGATTGACACTTGCAATGCTTTTGCAGTTATTCACAGACATGGAAAGACCTGTGAAAAATTTGGATTGCCCGATGTGCACATTTTCAGCTGAGGTCAAAACAAATCCTTGTTTTCAGTTTCATACTGTAAATAAGTGGCCTTTGTAACTTACACGTAGTGCAAAAAATGCTTTTTTTTTTTTTCTATTCTTGTGTCTTTTGTTGGTTATTTCATTTTTAAAATGCTCTCCCAAACATAGTGCTAAAGTGCTGTCTAGTATTTCTAGGCACAAAAAAGCAGTGATGTGCCTTATTAAGAAAATGCCTGGCCGGGCGCAGTGGCTCACGCTTGTAATCCCAGCACTCTGGGAGGCCGAGGCGGGTGGATCACGAGGTCAGGAGATCGAGACCATCCTGGCTAACACTGTGAAACCCTGTCTCTACTAAAAATACCAAAAATTAGCCGGGCGTGGTGGCGGGTGCCTGTAGTCCCCTGTAGTCCCAAATACTGGGAGGCTGAGGCAGGAGAATGGCGTGAACCTGGGAGGAGGAGCTTGCAGTGAGCAGAGATTGTGCCACTGCACTCCAGCCTGGGCGACAGAGCGAGACACTCCGTCTCAAAAAAAAAAAAAAAAAAAAAAAAAAAAAAAAAGCCGATGTTAGATAAGCTTCCTTCTACCATGCAGTATAGTGCTATTGCCTATTAGTTTAATATTAATAAATCAACACTATATATTAAATTAGGTATCTTTAAACAGAAACCCACATAAAGCAAAGTTATCTTATGTTTGATCAGCCGATGAAATTATTGTGACCAAAGGCCTTAAAGGTACTGTTAAAAGAAAATTTTTAGAGGAGTTAAATTTAGCAGAAGAATCTAGAGAGGTTCAGAGAATTCCACCCAGCAATGTGAGCAGGCAGTTTTTATAGAGAGGAAGAGGAAGTGAGGTACATAAACAACTTGATTGGTTACAGCTTGGTGTTTGTCTTATTTGGGCATGGTGCGATAAGGCATTTGCATTATATCAACATGATCTGATCAGTTGGTAGTGTGATTGTCTGAGACTCAGCCATGTGTCATAAGAATGTACTCTTAAATCGCAGTTTGTTGACACGCTAAGTTAGGTTGCAGTTTGCTACTTAGAAACTCAAAGTACAGAGGCAGCCTCAGGCCAAATGCACTTTAATTTTAAACAGTATGTAACTTTTGTATTTCCCCTAGGAGCAATGGTTCACTACCATTAATTCAGTGTTTGCAATGACATTTAGAATATAACTACCATGACTAGAAGAACGGACTGTATATGCGTATGTGGAAATTTGTACCGTATAATGAAACACTACATACTATTTTCAGAGACCAACGGAATACCACCAAAAAATTTCAGATAGTAAGTCATGAAACAAATTCAATGTATTTAAACAGTCAGAAGTCATGTGTTCAATCTCTTGCTAAAATGCAACAAAATTAGAAGTTGCTAATTAAGGGGCAATTCTTCAAATTATACACTGCTTTTTTTTTTCAATTTTCTGATGACATTAACCACCCACTAGAGCAACTAAAATTATAATGACTGACAGCACAAAATGTCAAGGATTTGGATTAACTGAAACTCTCACATATTTCTGAAAGGAGTATAAAATGGTACAATCACACTGGAAAATGTTTTAGCAAATTCTTGTAATTTCTAAAATAATCATCATAATTAACTGGGAAATGGAGAGGAGTGAAGGTAGGTAGTATATTGTTTGCTTTATTTTGGATGTGTTTAAAATTTGTTGTAAAAAATGTAAAAAGTACTCTTCTCAGTATTGTTTTGCTTAAAGAAAACATCAAAACTGAAAGTACAGACTATTTGGAAATGAACAACTGTCTCATCAAAACCTAGAAGTCATTCTGTTCTCCACTCCATGTCTCATTCCCCATATCCAACTGGCCAACAAGCTTTGTCAATTCAGTTTTCTGAATAATTCTCAAGTTGATCCTCTCTTTTTTATTCAAACTATTACTTACCTCATCTTAGACTTCTTTGCTCATCTGTGTTATGACAATAACTTTCTAACCTAATTCTTTGTCTTCAGTTTGGCTTTCTAGTCCAGAGTGATCTTTCTAATATACGGATCTGACCATGTTACTTTACAGTTTACATACATTCAAATGCTGCTCTTTTTCTACAAAGTAAACACCAAGCTCCTTATCCTTTATAATTATCCATATTTCAGTGATAACAAATAGCAATCTGCATAGTAAAAATGGCATTTCTTTCAGCAGTTAAATGGAGCAGATGAATGTCTAATGATGATTGCAGGATTTTTCATATACCAAAAAATTCCCTAAATCCTGAAAAAATGCTTTTAATTTTTAATTTTAAAATCTAATTTTAAAATGCATTTAATATAGTACAAGACACTAAATATCTTACAGGAAACCAACTTGTTAACCCTTTCTTCTACACTTGGAAAAAGTCTGTTGATATTTTTTCATTACATTTAAAATGTAATACTCGTCAGTGAAAAAGACTCAGTTTTATAACCTTCACTACTAGAATAGTAAATAATATACCGAATATCATTGCCACAACTGCTACTGCAGTATATTTTATATTACTCTTGCCTCTTGTGTCATTTACTTCAGATTCAAAGTTTCATGCTTCAACATCCTTTTGGCTAAGCTTAGATCATATGTTGTACCAGGAATAAGAGATGATATCTGACCGCAGCTTCTCACACTGTGACTGATTTTCTAAATATAGAAGTTTCAAATGATGGAAAAGCAAAATAAAATAAAAACCAATTTCAGTTCGTGTCTTACCTCTTCTGATAATCACTGGAACCAGAGTAGATATATATTGTGATTATCTGCATGTTTAGATGAAGAAACTGAGGTGTAAAAAGATTAAGTAATTGCCCTAGATTATGCAATTATTACATGGCAGGCCTTTTATTTGAACCTCAGCAATCTTACTCTGGAGAGCAGCCATGGTATATATTTACAGCAAAATAGTAGCAATGTCCATATGTATAGTGCTTTGAATATTTTCTTGATGTTCAGGTAGACTATGCTTATTTACTGAAATCAGTAATTGCTCTTAAGAATGTGTATTTAATCTGTGTGTAAAGTATTTGGCATTTCTAGAAATCAAAGTGAAAGTTAAAATGAGTTAAAAAAAAAATCCCTTGAGATCTCAGAAGTTGATTCCTGGAGAAATGTACAAATTCAAAATTCAATCACTGGAATAATAAAGGCTGCAATGCTGTAGGATATTTTTAATGAAATCAATGTTTTATTTGCTTATAATAATATATGAGGAGAAACATGATACTGCAGTAAAAGAACAGTTGTCAATTCAGATGAGATAACCACAAATAATTTCAAAAGCTATCTTAATTAAAGAGATTGTGTTAAGTTTCATCTGTATTGAAGAGACAACTGGGACATATTTAAACAAGGTTATAAAAATCAAGCCCTAGAAAATCAGAATTAATTTAAATAAAATGTATGGTCATGTGCTGATGGCATAGTTAATGTGAGTAGAAGATGTAACTGATTTGTAGTGAAGTTTAAAGAAGAAACACTGAGAGCGTTGTAAACACATTGCAAGCATATTCTGTTTGGATTTAACTGTGATGAGATCCTTGTAGGGAAAGAACTAGACCTAAAACTCTCTCAATACTGTCAGTTATTTGTACGACACTGCATATGTATCTTCGAAAACATTAGTGATATTCCAAATATGTCTAAGCAGGGTAAGGTTATAAAAGTAGGATGCTGTGTAATTTGTTGAAAATCTGCTGAAGGTTTTATCATTGTGTATGATTTTCTGTGATGAAGTAGCTTCCTGAGATCACTGAAATTTTGGAACTTGAATCAAGGACTACATTCAATGTTCGGGGGGCCTGTCAATTAAGTGGCTTCCTGGTTTTCTGACATTGTTTCTCAAATTCGAAAATTTATTTTTACAAAATCACATATGTCACAGGGATTCTGTATACAGAGCCTCATAGTAAAATTGTTGATGCTTTCTTGGCATCTAAAAGTTGAAGCCACACTTCACTTTTTATCATCTCAAAAACATGCTAAATATTTCAAAACTAGTTGTGATAGTGGGAAGGAATTATGCAGATTAATATTCTCTAAATTGGCACTCTCTAATAGAATTTTGCAATGATAGTAATGTTCTATATATGCACTGTTCAAGACAGTAGCCACTAGGCACACATGGCTACTTGAGTACTTGAAATGTGGGTAGTGTGACTAAGGGACTGAACTTCTAATGCTATTTAATTTGAAGTAATTTAAATACAAATTTAAATAGTCACCTGTGGTTAATGTATATGTATTGATCGATGTGGATCTAAGACTTTAAAATAGAAAACTTTGTTTGCAGAACACAAGAAAACTTTTCCTTTAATCAAAAATAGTTTATAGCAATTAAGATACGCATTTTATCTTTTCTAGACAAAGAACAATTTTCAATTAATATTAATATGGGAGACTCGATACAACATTACTAAATTGAAATGTGCACCTTTAATAGAAAATATTTTAGACAGGTAGAGCTTCTAAATATCCCCACCTCTCTCTCCACTAATCTCATACAAGGCTTGGCATAGAGTAGGTACTTTATAAATATTTATTCAAAGGATGAATGATAAAAAGAAAATAAAATGAATATCAGAAATACTACTTCAATGGAAAGAACCATTAAATCAGTAATTAAAAATCTACTATGATAGTACAGACTTAGATGCAAATGTTATTTCAGAACTTTGATTTCACTGAAACTATCCAAAGTTCAACCCTGTCCATGAATGTTTCAACTAAATCAATTTTGGCTCATTGTTGATTTTTCATTAATGCTCTGCCCATCTCAGAGCTACTGCATATTGCTTCGCCAAGGGCACAATGCTGATTTTTATTCAATAAATATGTGTTGGACATGTACTAACTTTCACACACTCTGTTGGAGAGGCGGTGCACTGAGTAAGGCTGTGAGCTCTGGAGCCTGATCACCCGCATTGGAATCCTGGCTTTCCACATGTTGTGCAATGTTGGGCAAATTACTTATTCTTGCTATGCCTCAGTTTCTGTATCTGTACACAATTGGGGTAATTATAGGATGTATAATTGGGTTATTTTAAAGGTTAAGTGACTTAATATATGTAACAAATTTAGAATGGTACCCAGTATATATTTGGCAATCAGTGGATAATGGGTATTATGTGTTGAGGATTCAGAAATTAACAAAACAAAGTCTGTGACCTTATACGGCTTAATTGCACTCTCAGTACATGAGGTGATATGGTTTGGATATTTGTCCCCTCCGTATCTCATGTTGAAATGTAATCCCCAGTGTTGGAGGTAGGACTTGGTGGGAGGCATTTGCCTCTTAGAGGCAGATGGTTCCTGAATGGATTAACACCATCTCCTTGGTGATGAGTGAGTTGACATGAAATCTGTTTTTCAAAAAACATATGGTAGCTCCCCCGCTCCCTCTCTTGCTCCTGCTCTCCCCATGTGATGCTCCTGCTCCCCCTTCACCTTCTGCCATGATTGCAAGGTTCCTGAGGCCTTTACCAGAAGCAGATGTTGGCATCACACTTCCTGTACAGCCTGCAGAACCGTGAGCCAAAATAAAATCTTTTTTCCTTATACATTATCCAGTCTCAGGTATTCTTGTTTAGCAATACAAAAGTGGCCTAATACAGAGGGAAACTGGTCTCAACATTTATATTTGTGTCCAGTTGGCCTTTTTTTATTTTTTCACATTTCAAAAGCATTTTGCATATAATTTAGAGAAGTAAGCAAAGGATTGAGAAAAATGACTTGATTACAAAATTTAATAAGAATGTAAACACAGTAAACCTATTTTACCCAGTGAATTTTGACACACAAACATTAGGAAACATAAAAGAATACTCTCTTATACCATACTCTTGGCAAAATTGATGGGCCAGGTTCTTACATAAAAATATTGTATAGTGAAGTTTTTTCTGTTGAAGAACTAACTGTAAAAAAAAAAAACATTTCCTTTATGTCCTTAGAAATATATTCTTTATTCATGAATTATTGATTTTGAGAAAATTCACCTTGGTTAATGTCATATGAAAATTCATATAATCTGAGATTTCACTTCTTAAAGGATCAATTTTATCATCATCTTTAGAGCCTAGAGCACTGATATCTTTTATGCATTCATCTTATTTGTCTAATATTTGTGAAACATTATCCTCTTTCAATTTTCTTCTCTTTGTCACTATATGTGAAAAAAATTGAATTATCAGTTGTGATCAATGAATGTGTTACCATTATCAAAATTCTAGGAGTTCCATCTAGGTCTTGCTGCTCACTGCACAGAAGGCCAGTAATGGAGAGAACGAGTACTGCCAGGAAGAAGGCTTTAACTGAGTCCTGCAGCTGAGGAAACCAAGAGATAAAGTCTCAAATCCATTTCCTTGACTGACTAAAACTGAGGGGTTTACATAGCGAGGAAGAAAGGAAAACAGGAATTAGGGAGAGGTAAGGAAGTAATCATGATGGATGTGGGGTCTGGCATCACATTGTCTGGGTGCAGTGATCTGATGAGTTTCAGTTCCTTGCCTCAGGACCAGTTTCTTGAGGAAGAAACTCAGATAAGATGAATATAAGTTTCAAGTTTTTTTTTTTTTGAGACAGAGTCTCACTCTGTCACCAGGCTGGAGTGCAGTGGCACAATCTCGGCTCACTGCAACCTCCACCTCCTGGGTTCAGGCAATTCTCCTGCCTCAGCCTCCCAAGTAGCTGGGACTACAGGTGCATGCCACCATGCCCAGCTAATTTTTGCATTTTTAGTAGAGATGAGGTTTCACCATGTTGGCCAGGATGGTCTCAATCTCTTGATCTCGTGATCCACCCACCTGGGCCTCCCAAAGTGCTCGGATTACAGGCGTGAGCCACCGCACCCGGCCAGTTTCAAGTTTTAAGACCACAGAGGGTCAATTTCTATGTTTATTTAAAAACTGTAAATATTAGTTCTATGGGAAAATTGAGCTGGTTTCAAATGCTAAAAACAGACTACGAATATATTGTATCTGGTCTTCTTTTATACCTTATTAAAAGATGATTCAATATGTTGGACAGTGCATTAATAAAACTGAAAGTTGTCTATTTCTCTATTGCATCACTTTTGTAATCCATTATTATTCTATTTGCATATTATTTTAGTCTTTTTAAACATAGTTTGGAATTTTTGATAAGTTATCATAAGTAATGTTGAAATAATTTCTGGGATGATAAAATAGAAAAAGCTTTCAAGTTATTGAGAAAATAACTTTACCTAAGATTCCACAATGTTGTCTTAGATTTATTTATTTATTTACCTATTTTCCAGTGGTGCAAACACGGCTGAATGCAGCCTTGACCTTCTGAATTCAGGTGGTCCTCCTGTCTCAGCCTCCCGTGTAGCTGAGACCACAGGTGTATGCCACCACACCTGATTACTTTTTTTTTTTTTCTTGTAGAGATAGGGTTTCACTTTTTTGCCCAGGCTGGTCTCAACTTCTGGAATAAACCAATCCTCCCACCTTGGCCTCCTGAAGTTCTGGGATTATGGGTATGAGCCACCATACCCAACTGTGGTAGATTTATTAAAGGGTCCAGTGAATGCACAAATAATTGCAAGATACAATGAGTTCTATTTTTTTAAAGTTTCTTTTTATTCCTTGGAAGACCTCTAAGAACTAGTAAAAGTCATAAAATATCAATCTTTACAAATATCTAGATTTACTCAAAAAAAGAAATTCAATAGTTAAACTCAGGTCCAATGAATCATAATAGTATACAAAAAGGTAAGATCCAGAGGAGACAGATGTTACATAATTATGTAAATTAGATAATAAAAACAGTGATAAATGCACTAAAGGAAATTTGCAATTACACTAATAAAGGAAAATGGGTTTCTTAATTTAAATTGATGGATCAGAAAAATATCCCTGAAGAAGTGAGACTGAAGTTGTGATCTGAAGGATGAGTAGGAATTAACCAAGATAAACATAGAGGTAGGAGAATAGCAGTATGTGCAGAGGCTCTGGGGCAAGACAGAACTTGACACACTTGAGAAAATGAAATAAAGACTGTGACTACGAGCAGAGAAAAAGTGTTGCTAGTGGCGTGAGATGAAACCGGAGAAACAAACCTCAGTCATCTCAAAAAAGGCCTTATAGGACGCATTAATAGTATTGAATTTTACCCTGAGTTCTGCAAGATGCCAATGACGGGTACTAAGCATGGATCTGATATAATCATACTTATTTTTAAAATTTACTAAAATAGTATATGTTCATTTTTTAAAAATAGTGCAGAAATATAGAAAAAAACTGTAATGAGATACCATCTCACACCAGTTAGAATGGCAATCATTAAAAAGTCAGGAAACAACAGGTGCTGGAGAGGATGTGGAGAAATAGGAACACTTTTACACTGTTGGTGGGACTCTAAACTAGTTCAACCATTGTGGAAGTCAGTGTGGCGATTCCTCAGGGATCTAGAACTAGAAATACCATTTGACCCAGCCATCCCATTACTGGGTATATACCCAAAGGACTATAAATCATGCTGCTATAAAGACACATGCACACGTATGTTTATTGCGGCACTATTCACAATAGCAAAGACTTGGAAGCAACCCAAATGTCCAACAATGATAGACTGGATTAAGAAAATGTGGCACATATACACCATGGAATACTATGCAGCCATAAAAAATGATGAGTTCATGTCCTTTGTAGGGACATGGATGAAATTGGAAATCATCATTCTCAGTAAACTATCGCAAGAACAAAAAACCAAACACCACATGTTCTCACTCATAGGTGGGAACTGAACAATGAGAACACATGGACACAGGAAGGGTAACATCACACTCTGGGGACTGTTGTGGGGTGGGGGGAGGGGGGAGGGATAGCTTTAGGAGATAGACCTAATGCTAAATGACGAGTTAATGGGTGCAGCACACCAGCATGGCACATGTA
This sequence comes from Homo sapiens, assembly GCF_000001405.40. NCBI lineage: Eukaryota > Metazoa > Chordata > Mammalia > Primates > Hominidae > Homo > Homo sapiens. The sequence goes on from NC_000023.11 coordinate 142,378,096, forward strand.
TACATATGTAACTAACCTGCACATTGTGCACATGTACCCTAAAACTTAAAGTATCATAATAATACAATAAAAAAAAAAGAAAAAAACTGTAAGAGTTCTCTTGAACCCATGCTCCAATACCAAAATTTCTGGTTTGCATTTTTCCAGGCTCTTTTATTGATATGCAAATACAATTACAGATGAACATAGTTGTTATACTAGTCATGAATATGTTAGTCATAATCTTCTGAAATTTTCATTCAAGATTACATCTTGGACATGTTTTCATACTACTGTCTATATTGACCCATCTTATTCTGCCAATGGTTGCCTACCATTTTATTGTTAAGAATATACCAGGGATTGCTAAACATGTTCTAAAAAGAGCCAGAAAGTAAATATTTTAGGTTTTGCAGTCCAAAAGATCACATATTCTGCTATTGTAGTGTGAAAGCAGCCATATACAGTGGATAAATGAATGAATGTGGCTTTGTTCACAGGCTGTATATAACGGAGGGAGTGTAGGATTTGGCCCATGGATTGCAGTTTGCTGACTCATGGAATATACTACAATTTTAAAAATAATTATGAAAGTATCATTCATTTTTTTAAACCCAGTCTTCTCAAAATAAAATACCCACACGTATTTAAAAAATTTAAACTACCCCGAAGGGTCTAAAATTAAGGATTTTTTTGTCTCCCACTTTATTCGCTAGTCCCACTTATGTAATGTAAGCATTTTTGCCAGATTGTTTTTTTCTTGCTTTTATTAACACTTTGAATAATATTCTTATATTGCTATTTCTTGATTTAGAGACATGTTGACTGCACAATGAACAAGAGGTTAAAAAAACATGTTGACTACCTAATGCTGAAAAATGAAACTTTTTACTACATTGTTACTTCCTACCTTTCCTTCTCTCCTCCTCTTGATTTTGTTATATTATTTCATTTCTAATGAGGTTTGTATCATGTACAATTGATTCAGTAAAGATGAGGAAGTCTTCTCTGCTTCCTTTCTAGGTTAATTCTTTTAAAACTGAAATAACAAAACAGTATTGCTAAGGTTTGAATGTGTCCCCCAAAATTTATGTGTTGGAAACTTAATCCCCAATGCAACAGTGTTGACAGGTGGTACCTTTCAGAGGTGATTAGGTCATGAGGGCTTTGTCCTCATAAATTGATGAATGTGGTAACTGCAGGAATAGGTTTGTTATAAAAGTTATTTCATGGCCGGGCAGGGTGGCTCAGACCTGTAATCCCAGCACTTTGGGAGGCTGAGGTGACCGGATCACCTGAGGTCAGGAGTTCGAGACCAGCCTGCCCAACATGGTGAAACCCCGTCTCTACTAAAAATACAAAAATTAGCTGGGCATGGTGGGGGGCGCCTGTAATCCCAGCTAGTTGAGAGGCTGAGGCAGGAGAATCGCTGGAACCCAGGAGGCGGAGTTTGCAGTAAGCCAAGATAGCAACATTGCACTCCAGCCTGGGTGACAGAGTAAGACTCCATCTCAAAAACAGAAACAAACAAACAAGTTATTTCAGCCCTCTCTTGCTTTCTCTCCCACATGTGTGCTCTTTTGCCCTTATGCCCTTCTGCCATGGAACAATGTAGCAAGAAGGCCCTAGCCACATGTAGTCCCATGATCTTGAACTTTCCAGCCTCTAGAAATGTAACAAAAAAATCTTTTTGTTGTTTATAAATTACACAATCTCAGACATTCTGTATGCCAGCAGAAAATGGACTAGGACAGAAAATTGATACCGAAGAGTGTGGGGTTGCTATAACAAATATCCAAGAATGTTGAAGTGGCTTTAGAACTGGGTAAGCTGGAAGAATTTGAAGGAAAGGGCTAGAAAAAACCTAGATTGCTGTGAATGAAACATTAAAGGCAATGCTGGTGAAGGCTCAGAAGAAGATAAGCTACTTACCTTGCTGTGATAATAATGTTGGTAGAAATATGAACAGTAAAGGCCATTCTAGGCTGGGTGCAGTGGCTCACTCTTGTAATCCCAGCACTTTGGGAGGCCGAGGTGGGGAGATCACCTAAGGTCAGGAGTTCGAGACCAGCCTGGCCAACATGGTGAAACCCTGTGTCTACTAAAAATACAAAATTAGCTGGGCTTGGTGGTGTGCACCTGTAATCCCAGCTATTTGGGAGGCTGAGGCAGGAGAATTGCTTGAACCCGGGAGGCAGAGATTGCAGTGAACTGAGATCGCACCCCTGCTCTCCAGCATGGGCAGCAGAAGGAGGCTGTCAAAAAAGAGAGAGAGAGAGAGAGGGAGAGGGAGAGGGAGGGGGAGAGAGAGAGAGAGAGAGAGAGAGAGAGAGAGAGAGAGACAGAGAGACAGAGAGAGACAGAGAGAGAGAGAGGAGAAGAGAAAAGAAAAGAAAAGAAAAGAAAAAATGAAAAGAAAAGAGAAAAGAAAAGGAAAGAAAAGAAAAGAAAGAGTATTGGAAACCAAAGTAAAGGCAATCCACGTTATATAGCCGCAAAGAACTTGGTAGAATTTTGTCTGATGTTCTAGGATTTTGTGGAAGGCAGAACTTAAGAGCAATGAACTAGTGTATCTGGAAGGTAAAGTATCTAAGCAGCAAAATGTTCAAGGTGCTTCACAGCTTATTTTGGCAGATTCCAGTAAAATTACAGTAAAAAAGAGAGAACAAAGAAATGAATTTAAGACAGAATTTATAATTAAAAGGGAAGTAGAATGGAAAGATTTGGAAAACTCTCAGCCTGGATATGTAAAGAAGAAAAAAGAATATTCAGGAGAGAATACTACATGCAACCGTTTTCTAAAGAGACTAATATGGGTGAGGGAAGCCAGCATCCAGCCATCAGGACAGTGGGAGAGTGATCCGAAAATCACTTCAGAGATCTTCAAGACAATCTAGGACTTTGAGGGCAAAGTTTCCAGAGAAGTCCCTGGGAGACCTCAGAATTCACTGTTCTGTGCTACCTTGGGTCTCTGCTTCCATAATTCTGGTGCAGTGCCCCTTGGCTGCCTTAGCCATGGCTCAAGCAGGCCCAGGTGTAGCTCAACCAACTTCTCCAGAAAATACAAGCTATGAACCTTCGTGACATCTACATGGTACGAATTCTGCAGGCACGCAGAATGTAAAAGCTGTGAGGGCATGGCTTTCTCCCAGATTTCAAAGAATATTTTGTGCAGCCTTGGAGACGGCTGAGACATGTCACGGGGGTGGAGTCACTGCAGAGAGCCACTGCTAGAGCAACGCCCAGTAGTGCCAGAGAAGTGAAGCCACCACAGTGAGTCCCCAACAGAATAATGCATAGTGGAGCCATGTGAGTGGGGCAGCCCGCATGATCCCAGAAGTGTGGTGCCACCAATATGTAACTCCAGCCTGGGGAAGCTGCAGGCACAAGATACCAGACTGTGAAAGCTGCTAGGTGGACTGAGCCCAGCAAAGCCACAAGGGTGGAGCTGCCTGAGGTCTTGGGGGCCCAACAACTACCTTAGCGTAGATACAGAATGTGAAGTGAAAGGAGATTATTCTTCAGTTTAACACTTACTATTGATTTCCCTATTTGGCTTTGCACTTATTTGGGACCAGTGGCTCCTTTTTCATATTATTTTCCTTTTGAAATGGGAATGTCTATCCTATGCCTGTCTCCCTATTGTATTTTGGAAAAACATGACTTAATTTCACTGATTCACAACTAGGGATGAATTTGCCTTAGGATGAATTGCATTTTGAATCTCATTCATCTGATTCAGTTAAGATCCTGGACTTTGAACTTTTAAATTGGTACTGAAATGAGTTTATACTTTGGGGTGTTGGGAGGGAATGAATGTATTTTGCATGTGAGAAGACCACACATTTTGAGAACCAGGGGTGGAATGCCATGGTTTTAATGTGTCCCACAAAATTCATGTCCGGGAAAGTTAGTCTTCATTGCAACAGTGCTGTCAGACTTTTGGGAGGTAATTAGATCATGAGGGCTTTGTGGTTATTGCGGGAGTGGATTCATTATCATTAGTGTGAGTTTGTTATAAAAGCAAGTACAGCCCTTTTTAGTTCTGTCTCTGCGGTGTGATCTTTTGTCTTTCTGTCTTTCCACCATGGAATAACACAACAAGAAGGTCCTTTTCAGATGCTGGCACTTTGATATTAGACCTCCCAGGCCCTAGAACTGTGAGAAATGCTGTTATTCTCTTTACAAATGCTTTTATTCTCTTTACAAATTACAAATCTGTGGTATCCTGCTATAGCCACACAAAACAGATTAAGACAACTATTAACATTAGTGTAATTATGTAAATATATTTACCTCAAAATCAAGTACTGACAGAACCCATAGAAAAAGATTCTTTTGTTGCTGAGCCCCAGATTCTAGGAGACTACCTCAAGAATCCAAATTCAAGGCATTCTCTTTTCATTTCTCTGTAATTACGTTTGCCTTTTCCAGGTCAAACTCAGTTGCTTATATTTTGAGTCAGTTTTCCTTTATGTCTTTTAAATTAGTTTGGATAAACTCTTCAAGTAATACACATGCTGATACACACATGTAGTATATAAATGAAACATTTTGAGTCAGTGCATGTCTAAAGTGCTTTTATTTTTGCTCAAAGCCTTAATTAAATTTTTCGCCCTCAATTTTTTTTTTTTTTTTTGAGACGGAGTCTCGCTCTGTTGCCCAGGCTGGAGTGCAGTGGCGCTATCTTGGCTCACTGCAAGCGCCGCCTCCCGGGTTCACGCCATTCTCCTGCCTCAGCCTCCCGAGTAGCTGGGATTACAGGCGCCCGCCACCACGCCCGGCTAATAGTTTGTATTTTTAGTAGAGACGGGGGTTTCACCGTTTTAGCCAGGATGGTCTTGATTTCCCGACCTCGATGATCCGCCCACCTTGGCCTCCCAAAGTGCTGGGATTACAGGTGTGAGCCACTGCGCCCGGCCTTTTGCCCTCAATTTTGAATTCAAAGTTGAAAATCATTTGCCTTCTGAATTTCAGACACTGTTCCATCATTATCAAGTATTCAGTGCGATAGCTGAGAAATCTGAGACCATTCTAATCTTCATTATATTGTAAGTAACCAACAAGTACTTTTTTTTTTCTTTAACTCTGGGTTCTTTTTTATCCTTAGAAATGTGAAAGTTTTCAAAATGTTTTTTACATGTTGCTCCTATTGTTTAAATTATTATTATTATTTTGTATCCAGATAAATACATGATAGGGTTTCTTCTGAAGACTTGTGTCTTTATTCTGTGTCTTTATTTCAAAATTATTTTGAAATACATAGAAACATCCATAAAAGATAAATACATAGTTTAATTAATTGCTATAAAAGCAAACACTCATTTAACCACGACTCAGTTTAAGAAATACAATTTTGCTACCCTCCAGAAGCGCTTAATATCTTTCTTCCCAAACACAACTCCTCCCCCATTCCACTAAAGATAATCAGTATCCTGTTTTCTATCACAGTTTCTTGTTTCCTTTAAAAAAATTTTCCCCACCGAAGTATGTGTAAAAACTATAGATTCAATTTTCCTGTTTTTGAGCTTTAAATAGGTTAAGTTATACAGTATGTATTTAGTGTCTGAATTCTGTTGCTTGTATTTGTAAAATTCATCCCTTTTATTCCTGTATAGTCTTCTATTAAATATCAGTTTACTAATTGATAATATTGTTGATGGGAACTGAGGTATTTCTAGTTTGGGACTGCTATAAAAATGTTGTTATAAATATTTTTCTGTCTTTTGATAAACATCTGTTCACATGTCTGTTGAGTTTAAGTAGATTATAAAGCACATACATTAAACTTCACTATGCAAGGCCAAAATGTTTTTCAGAGTTTGCACTGACATGAGAAATACATGAGGGTTTCTATTGTTCTACATCTTAACCAGCAGTTTGCATTGTCTTTTTTTATGTATAAATTTTAGACATTCTGGTGGATATATGGCATACTGTGAGAGAAACAGCTATGCTGGGCTTGGTAAGACTAGTCTACAGATAGTATCCTATAGGAGAGTGAGTAAAAAGCTCCGCTTACTGAGATGAAGAGAGAAAAAAATATATATAGTCTCCAGCGAAGAGGCCTCAGATTTTAGTTAAAGCAAAGAATGCTTTTTCACAAAACTTTTCTTTTTTTCTTTTAGTTAACACTTGTGAAGAACAATACCACTGCCACACCTAAATAATCTGGTCATGCTAACGCTCTTTGCCCTCAAACAGCTTAGAATGTATAGTAGGAAAGATTAGTTCAGACATACATAAAGGGAGTTACAAGAAATAATATATAGTTTGTAAAAATGGATTAAAATGTTTTACAAGATTGCAAAGCAGAAAAAAGTAACTTTTCGATGGGTATATAAGGAATAGTATCTTGGAAGAAGGATATTTGAACAGGAATTTGGAAGAAGGAAGTATTGATAATCAAGAGTATTTATGAAATTATACTTTTTTCCATACTATGGAATGCTTCAAATGAATTATTCACTGCAGCACCCGTATGAGCAGTACTACTGCGTTCCCATTTAAGAGATGGAAAAAAAAAAAGAGAGACTCAAATAAGTTAAGTGACTTTCCCAAAGGCACACAGTTGAGGAATGACAGACCCAGTATCTTAACCCAGGTGTATCCACCTCCAGCACCTATACTCTGAAAGGAAAAATATAATTAGTAACTTATTGAAGACTGATCATGTGCAGTAATTTGTATGAATTACGGCTGGTTTAACAACAACTCTAAAAGAAGTATTGTATTGATATCTCCATTTTAGAACTGAGGAATTTGAGACTTAGTTGTTTTAATTAATTTGCTTTTTTACTATACTATACTTTCATCCAGGTAAGCAAAAAAAAAAAAAAAAAAAACAGAGTAAATCAGGTAAAGACCACAGCACATTCAACACATCCACTGGGATTTTGTCTTTGCGTATAAGTTGGATGATTGGCAGATGTAGAATATAAGACAGAAGGCATAGGTTGTCGCTATGCTGATGTGAGCTTGACTGCCAAATTGAGATGTTTTAACAACATTCTGTAGGCAGTTGGGCACCATTGACTTTTGAGAATAGATATAATAATAATTATATCTTACAAAGGCAAACTTGGTGATAGTGTGTATCATCATTTGGGGTGTCAAGATTGCAGTTTGGAAAACTTGAAAAGGGAGCTACTGCATAAACTCTAGAGAAGAAATAAAGGGAAGAGAGTGAAAAGGAAAATGGAGGACAGGAGTTACACAGTGGGTTGGTTGCAGAACTGGGAGCAGAATTCATGCCTTCAACTCTTAGTCTGATTCATAATCTATGTATCTTTTATTGAATAAACTTTTTCTTGAATCAGATTTTCAGTGAAAATTATTGAAAAAGATGTGGCTATATCAAGTGACTGGTACCTCTGGAGAATTGCTTTTTCTGCAAAATATGTCTGCTGTGGTCCATTTCCCTTATCATATGAAACGCTAATGGTAGAAGAAAAGCAAATCATTCATTTAAAATAATCCTGAAAAATGTATGCATGTAAGCTCTTTTTTTTTTCTCTTTTTTTTTTATTATTATACCTTAAGTTTTAGGGTACATGTGCACAATGTGCAGGTTAGTTACATATGTATACATGTGCCATGCTGGTGCGCTGCACCCACTAACTCGTCATCTAGCATTAGGTATATCTCCCAATGCTATCCCTCCCCCCTCCCCCCCACCCCACAACAGTCCCCAGAGTGTGATGTTCCCCTTCCTGTGTCCATGTGTTCTCATTGTTCAATTCCCACCTATGAGTGAGACTATGCGGTGTTTGGTTTTTTGTTCTTGCGATAGTTTACTGAGAATGATGATTTCCAATTTCATCCATGTCCCTACAAAGGACATGAACTCATCATTTTTTATGGCTGCATAGTATTCCATGGTGTATATGTGCCACATTTTCTTAATCCAGTCTATCATTGTTGGACATTTGGGTTGCTTCCAAGTCTTTGCTATTGTGAATAGTGCCGCAATAAACATACGTGTGCATGTGTCTTTATAGCAGCATGATTTATAGTCCTTTGGGTATATACCCAGTAATGGGATGGCTGGGTCAAATGGTATTTCTAGTTCTAGATCCCTGAGGAATCGCCACACTGACTTCCAAAATGGTTGAACTAGTTTAGAGTCCCACCAACAGTGTAAAAGTGTTCCTATTTCTCCACATCCTCTCCAGCACCTGTTGTTTCCTGACTTTTTAATGATTGCCATTCTAACTGGTGTGAGACAATATCTCACTGTGGTTTTGATTTGCATTTCTCTGATGGCCAGTGATGGTGAGCATTTTTTCATGTGTTTTTTGGCTGCATAAATGTCTTCTTTTGAGAAGTGTCTGTTCATGTCCTTTGCCCACTTTTTGATGGGGTTGTTTTTTTCTTGTAAATTTGTTGGAGTTCATTGTAGATTCTGGATATTAGCCCTTTGTCAGATGAGTAGGTTGCGAAAATTTTCTCCCATTTTGTGGGTTGCCTGTTCACTCTGATGGTAGTTTCTTTTGCTGTGCAGAAGCTCTTTAGTTTAATTAGATCCCATTTGTCAATTTTGTCTTTTGTTGCCATTGCTTTTGGTGTTTTAGACATGAAGTCCTTGCCCATGCCTGTGTCCTGAATGGTAATGCCTAGGTTTTCTTCTAGGGTTTTTATGGTTTTAGGTCTAACGTTTAAATCTTTAATCCATCTTGAATTGATTTTTGTATAAGGTGTAAGGAAGGGATCCAGTTTCAGCTTTCTACATATGGCTAGCCAGTTTTCTCAGCACCATTTATTAAATACGGAATCCTTTCCCCATTGCTTGTTTTTCTCAGGTTTGTCAAAGATCAGATAGTTGTAGATATGCGGCATTATTTCTGAGGGCTCTGTTCTGTTCCATTGATCTATATCTCTGTTTTGGTACCAGTACCATGCTGTTTTGGTTACTGTAGCCTTGTAGTATAGTTTGAAGTCAGGTAGCGTGATGCCTCCAGCTTTGTTCTTTTGGCTTAGGACTGACTTGGCGATGCGGGCTCTTTTTTGGTTCCATACGAACTTTAAAGTAGTTTTTTCCAATTCTGTGAAGAAAGTCATTGGTAGCTTGATGGGGATGGCATTGAATCTATAAATTACCTCGGGCAGTATGGCCATTTTCACGATATTGATTCTTCCTACCCATGAGCATGGAATGTTCTTCCATTTGTTTGTGTCCTCTTTTATTTCCTTGAGCAGTAGTTTGTAGTTCTCCTTGAAGAGGTCCTTCACATCCCTTGTAAGTTGGATTCCTAGGTATTTTATTCTCTTTGAAGCAATTGTGAATGGGAGTTCACTCATGATTTGGCTCTCTGTTTGTCTGTTGTTGGTGTATAAGAATGCTTGTGATTTTTGCACATTGATTTTGTATCCTGAGACTTTGCTGAAGTTGCTTATCAGCTTAAGGAGATTTTGGGCTGAGACAATGGGGTTTTCTAGATATACAATCATGTCGTCTGCAAACAGGGACAATTTGACTTCCTCTTTTCCTAATTGAATACCCTTTATTTCCTTCTCCTGCCCCATTGCCCTGGCCAGAAATTCCAACACTATGTTGAATAGGAGTGGTGAGAGAGGCCATCCCCCTCTTGTGCCAGTTTTCAAAGGGAATGCTTCCAGTTTTTGCCCATTCAGTATGGTATTGGCTGTGGGTTTGTCATAGATAGCTCTTATTATTTTGAAATACGTCCCATCAATACCTAATTTATTGAGAGTTTTTAGCATGAAACGTTGTTGAATTTTGTCAAAGGCCTTTTCTGCATCTATTGAGATAATCATGTGGTTTTTGTCTTTGGTTGTGTTTATATGCTGGATTACGTTTATTGATTTGCGTTTATTGAACCAGCCTTGCATCCCAGGGATGAAGCCCACTTGATCATGTTGGATAAGCTTTTTGATGTGCTGCTGGATTCGGTTTGCCAGTATTTTATTGAGGATTTTTGCATCAATGTTCATCAAGGATATTGGTCTAAAATTCATTCTCTTTTTTTGTTGTGTCTCTGCCTGGCTTTGGTATCAGAATGATGCTGGCCTCATAAAATGAGTTAGGGAGGATTCCCTCTTTTTCTATTGATTGGAATAGTTTCAGAAGGAATGGTACCAGTTCCTCCTTGTACCTCTGGTAGAATTCGGCTGTGAATCCATCTGGTCCTGGACTCTTTTTGGTTGGTAAGCTATTGTTTATTGCCACAATTTCAGATCCTGTTTTTGGTCTATTCAGAGATTCAACTTCTTCCTGGTTTAGTCTTGGGAGGGTGTATGTGTCGAGGAATGTATCCATTTCTTCTAGATTTTCTAGTTTATTTGCGTAGAGGTGTTTGTAGTATTCTCTGATGGTAGTTTGTATGTCTGTGGGATCGGTGGTGATATCCCCTTCATCATTTTTTATTGCGTCTATTTGATTCTTCTCTCTTTTTTTTCTTTATTAGTCTTGCTAGCGGTCTATCAATTTTGTTGATCCTTTCAAAAAACCAGCTCCTGGATTCATTAATTTTTTGAAGGGTTTTTTGTGTCTCTATTTCCTTCAGTTCTGCTCTGATTTTAGTTATTTCTTGCCTTCTGCTAGCTTTTGAATGTGTTTGCTCTTGCTTTTCTAGTTCTTTCAATTGTGATGTTAGGGTGTCAATTTTGGATCTTTCCTGCTTTCTCTTGTGGACATTTAGTGCTATAAATTTCCCTCTAACACTGCTTTAAATGTGTCCCAGAGATTCTGGTATGTTGTGTCTTTGTTCTTGTTGGTTTCAAAGAACATCTTTATTTCTGCCTTCATTTCGTTATGTACCCAGTAGTCATTCAGGAGCAGGTTGTTCAGTTTCCATGTAGTTGAGCGGTTTTGAGTGAGATTCTTAATCCTGAGTTCTAGTTTGATTGCACTGTGGTCTGAGAGATAGTTTGTTATAATTTCTGTTCTTTTACATTTGCTGAGGAGAGCTTTACTTCCAACTATGTGGTCAATTTTGGAATAGGTGTCGTGTGGTGCTGAAAAAAATGTATATTCTGTTGATTTGGGGTAGAGAGTTCTGTAGATGTCTATTAGGTTCCCTTGGTGCAGAGCTCAGTTCGATTCCTGGATATCCTTGTTGACTTTCTGTCTCGTTGATCTGTCTAATGTTGACAGTGGGGTGTTAAAGTCTCCCATTATTATTGTGTGGGAGTCTAAGTCTCTTTGTAGGTCACTCAGGACTTGCTTTATGAATCTGGGTGCTCCTGTATTGGGTGCATATATATTTAGGATAGTTAGCTCTTCTTGTTGAATTGATCCCTTTACCATTACGTAATGGCCTTCTTTGTCTCTTTTGATCTTTGTTGGTTTAAAGTCTGTTTTATCAGAGACTAGGATTGCAACCCCTGCCTTTTTTTGTTTTCCATTTGCTTGGTAGATCTTCCTCCATCCTTTTATTTTGAGCCTATGTGTGTCTCTGCACGTGAGATGGGTTTCCTGAATACAGCACACTGATGGGTCTTGACTCTTTATCCAATTTGCCAGTCTGTGTCTTTTAATTGGAGTATTTAGCCCATTTACATTTAAAGTTAATATTGTTATGTGCGAATTTGATCCTGTCATTATGATGTTAGCTGGTGATTTTGCTCATTAGTTGATGCAGTTTCTTCCTAGTCTCGATGGTCTTTACATTTTGGCATGATTTTGCAGCGGCTGGTACTGGTTGTGCCTTTCCATGTTTAGCGCTTCCTTCAGGAGCTCTTTTAGGGCAGGCCTGGTGGTGACAAAATCTCTCAGCATTTGCTTGTCTGTAAAGTATTTTATTTCTCCTTCACTTATGAAGCTTAGTTTGGCTGGATATGAAATTCTAGGTTGAAAATTCTTTTCTTTAAGAATGTTGAATATTGGCCCCCACTCTCTTCTGGCTTGTAGAGTTTCTGCCGAGAGATCCGCTGTTAGTCTGATGGGCTTCCCTTTGAGGGTAACCCGACCTTTCTCTCTGGCTGCCCTTAACTTTTTTTCCTTCATTTCAACTTTGGTGAATCTGACAATTATGTGTCTTGGAGTTGCTCTTCTCGAGGAGTATCTTTGTGGCGTTCTCTGTATTTCCTGAATCTGAACGTTGGCCTGCCTTGCTAGATTGGGGAAGTTCTCCTGGATAATATCCTGCAGAGTGTTTTCCAACTTGGTTCCATTCTCCCCGTCACTTTCAGGTACACCAATCAGACGTAGATTTGGTCTTTCAACAGAGTCCCATATTTCTTGGAGGCTTTGCTCGTTTCTTTTTATTCTTTTTTCTCTAAACTTCCCTTCTCGCTTCATTTCATTCATTTCATCTTCCATTGCTGATACCCTTTCTTCCAGTTGATCGCATCGGCTCCTGAGGCTTCTGCATTGTTCACGTAGTTCTCGAGCCTTGGTTTTCAGCTCCATCAGCTCCTTTCAGCACTTCTCTGTATTGGTTATTCTAGTTATACATTCTTCTAAATTTTTTTCAAAGTCTTCAACTTCTTTGCCTTTGGTTTGAATGTCCTCCTGTAGCTCGGAGTAATTTGATCGTCTGAAGCCTTCTTCTCTCAGCTCGTCAAAGTCATTCTCTGCCCAGCTTTGTTCCGTTGCTGGTGAGGAACTGTGTTCCTTTGGAGGAGGAGAGGTGCTCTGCTTTTTAGAGTTTCCAGTTTTTCTGTTCTGTTTTTTCCCCATCTTTGTGGTTTTATCTACTTTTGGTCTTTGATGATGGTGATGTACAGATGGGTTTTTGGTGTGGATGTCCTTTCTGTTTGTCAGTTTTCCTTCTAACAGACAGGACACTCAGCTGCAGGTCTGTTGGAGTACCCGGCCGTGTGAGGTGTCAGTCTGCCCCTGCTGGGGGGTGCCTCCCAGTTAGGCTGCTCGGGGGTCAGGGGTCAGGGACCCACTTGAGGAGGCAGTCTGCCCGTTCTCAGATCTCCAGCTGCGTGCTGGGAGAACCACTGCTCTCTTCAAAGCTGTCAGACAGGGACATTTAAGTCTGCAGAGGTTACTGCTGTCTTTTTGTTTGTCTGTGCCCTGCCCCCAGAGGTGGAGCCTACAGAGGCAGGCAGGCCTCCTTGAGCTGTGGTGGGCTCCACCCAGTTCTAGCTTCCTGGCCCCTTTGTTTACCTAATCAAGCCTGGGATTGGCGGGCGCCCCTCCCCCAGCCTCGCTGCTGCCTTGCAGTTTGATCTCAGACTGCTGTGCTAGCAATCAGCGAGACTCCGTGGGCGTAGGACCCTCTGAGCCAGGTGCCGGATATATTCTCCTGGTGCGCCGTTTTTTAAGCCCGTCGGAAAAGCGCAGTATTCGTGTGGGAGTGACCCGATTTTCCAGGTGCCGTCAGTCACCCCTTTCTTTGACTAGGAAAGGGAACTCCCTGCCCCCTTGCGCTTCCCGAGTGAGGCAATGCCTCGCCCTGCTTCGGCTCGCGTACGGTGCGCGCACCCACTGACCTGCACCCACTGTCTGGCACTCCCTAGTAAGATGAACCCGGTACCTCAGATGGGAATGCAGGAATCACCTGTCTTCTGCGTCACTCACGCTGGGAGCTGTAGACCGGAGCTGTTCCTATTCGGCCATCTTGGCTTCTCCTCTGAAACTCTTCGCATGTGAGCTCTTTTCACATAATTACCTGATTTGGATATAAAGTTACATAATTAAATGACATCTAAAAGACCAAGAATTAGGAGGGTATGAAAACGTGCATTAATCATGAGGAAATGGCTAAAAAGAGCATCTTAAATCTTCAGTGGTCATTCACTTAAATAATAGTGGACCATTTCCCATCTGTCATATTCTATGAAGATTTGCTCTGCCGTTTGCTCAGATGGGTTGTCCGTGAAGTGCAGTTAGCATTGTAGTGTGAAATGTCAACCGTTCTGCCATGACAGAATGAATCTAGGCAGCAAACATCTGATACCGTGAGATCCTTATGGCTGTTGAAGAATAAATGTGGCAACAATTATGTCCAGGAGGCATAATCAGTGCTTACAACGGCCAAAACAGGATTTTGAGAATATCCATTTAAAAGTCTTGTCAATTACTTTTAATGACAATAGTATAGCAACTAATTGACTTCATCAAGTGGCTACCTCTGCCAAATTGATAGTTTAATTAATGCTAGTCACATCAGATTTTTCCTTCAAGATACACACATATATACACATAAACACACATATTCTGTAAATATATATGTATATATCTATCTATATGTATTTCTTTATGAGTTGAGTTCCATTTAATTACACATTAAAATTTACTTCCAGCTTTGTGACAAGAGATGCTATTTCCTATTTCTTAGGAATGTGCTTTAATTCCATTTTGTGGGATTTTTGGAATAATGGACTGTATAAATCTGTTTGGTTTCGCCATAGCTAACACTTGCTGAGATCCTACACTTTCCAGTTATTATATTAGGCATTGTAACCCAATGAACATGCAATCCTTTTGCCCTATGATGTAGGGTTATATCATCCTGCTCTTGGGTTTTACATGGACTTCCCAGCAGCCCATTGGAATTTATAACCTTGTTTCCAGGCTGAGATTGGTTTTCAGTTTGAAGTAATCTTATTTATCTATTTCTGTCTTTGTTGCTTGTGCTTCTGAGGTCATATACAAAAAAAAAAAAAAATCCAGACAAATATCAAAGAGTTATTTTTCTGTTTTCTTCCAGGAGTTTTGTGGGTTCAAATCTCATATTTAAGACTTAAAACTATTTTAATTTTTATGAATGGTATAAGATAGGGGTCAAATTTTATTCTTTGGAAGGTGGAGATCCAGTTTTTCCAACACCATTTATTTAAGAGAATATTCTTTTCCCATTGTTTGTTCTTGGTGCCACTGTCAAATATTAGTTATTCGAATATAAATGAGATAATGTCCTGGCTGTCTATTTTGTTCCATTGCTCTATGTGTTTGTTTTCATGCTAGTAACACACTACTGTGATTACTATAGCTTTGTAATAGACTTTGCAATCAGGAAGAATGAAGTCTCCTGCTCTGTACTTTCTTAAGATTGATTTGGCTTTTGAGGATGTTTTGTGATAAAATAATTTTAATATTGCTTGTTTTTTTTCATGAAAAATGCCACTGGATTTTTGATAAGGATTACATTAAATTTATAGATGACAATGGATAGTGTGGATATTTTAACAGTATTAATTCTTCCAGTTCATGCACACAGGATATCTTTCCATTCATTTGTGGCTTCTTCAATTTCTTTCATCAGTGTTTTATAGTTTTTTGTGTAGAGATCTTTTGCCTTCTTGGAATATATATATAATATTTATTATAATTATGTATAATTGTATAATTTATATATTATAATTATATATAATATATTATGTAATATATTATATAATATATTATATAATATATTATATAATATATTACATAATATATTACATAATATATCATATAATTATATATTCTATATTATATAATATATATAATTATATATAATATATATTCCTAAGTATTTTATTTTTTGTAGCTGTTGTAAATGATATTGCTTTCTTGATTTCTTTTTATATAGTTTGCTATTAGTGATAGATAGGCTAGTAATTTTTGTATGTTAATTTTTTTGTCCTGCAACTTTACTGAATTCATTTATTAGTTGAAGTAATTTTTTCCGTGTAGTCTTTAGAGTTTACCATATAAAAGATTATGTATTCTGCAATCAGAGACAATTTGCATTCTCCTTTCTGATTTATATGTTCCTTTTATTATCTTTCCTAATTGCTCTAGCTGGGACTTCTAGTACTATGTAAAATAGATGTGAGAGTGGGCATCCTTGTTTTGTTCTTGATCTTAGAGGAAAAGCTTCAGCTTCTCACTGTTGAACATGATTTTAGCAGTTAACTTGTCATATATGGCCTTTTTCCTGTTGAGGTAAATTTGTTCTATATCTACTCGTTGACAGATTTTATCATGAAGGGCTATTGTATTTTGTCAAATAGCATTTCTGCATGTATTCCAATGATCACATGGTTTTGTCCTTCAGTTATTTTGTTCTTCATTCTGTTAATGTGGTGTACCACATTTATAGATTTGTGTATGTTGGACTATTGTGGTATTCTGGAGATAAATCCCACTTCATCAAGGTGAATGATCCTTTTGACGTGTTTTTGAATTTGGTTTTATAGCATTTTGTGGAGAATTTTTGCATCTATGTTCATCAGGGATATTGTCTTGTAATATTATTTTCTTATAGTATTCTTGTCTGACTTTGATATCAGGGAAATGTTGGCCTTGTAAAGTGAGTTTTGAAGTTGTCCCTATTCTTTAATTTTTTTATTATACTTTAAGTTCTAGAGTATATGTGCACAACGTGCAGGTTTGTTACATATGTATACATTGGCCATGTTGGTTTGCTGCACCCATTAATTCGTTATTTACATTATGTATTTCCGCTAATGCTGTCCCTCCCCCATCCCCCAACGTAAGAAGGATTGGTATCTGTTTTTTCAGCATTTGGTAGAAATCAGCAGGGGAGCCATCAGGTAGGTCCTGGGCTTTTATGTGATGGGAAACTATTACTAATTCAATCTTTTTACTTGTTATTGGTCTGTACAGATTTTCTACTTCCTCTTGATTTAGTCTTGGTAGGTTTTATGTGTCTAGGAATTTACCCATTTCTTCTAAATTATACAATTTATTGTCACATAAGTTTTCATAATAGTCAATTATGAAATTTTGTATTGATGTGGTATTAGTTGCAATGTCTCCTCTTGCATTTTTTTTTAACTTTATTTGAGACTTTTCACTCTTTATCTTAGTCTGGCCACAGGTTTGTTGATTTTTTTGTACTTTTTCAAAAAAGAACTTTCAGATTCATTGATCTTTCCTATTTTTTTCTATTCTCTTTGACTGATTTTTGCTCTGATCTTTCCTCTTTTTTTTCCCCGTGGATGCTGTGCTTAGCTTGTTCTTTTTTTAGTTCCTTGGGTTTTATCATTAGGTTATTTGGAATCTTTTTTCTGTCTTGATGTAGGTGTTTATTGCAATAAACATCTCTCTTAGAACTGACTTTTCTGCATTGAATACATTTTGGTATGTTGTGTGTCTATTTTCGTTTGTCTCAAGCTATTTTTACATTTCCCTTTTATTTTCTTCTTTGACCCTTTGGTTGTTCAGGAGCATGCTGTTTAAGTTTTATATATTTTCATATTTTCCAAAATTTCTCTGTTATTGATTTTTAGTTTCATAACGTTGTGGTTAGGAAAGGTACTTGAAATGACTTCAATGTTTCTAAATTTGTTCAGACTTATTTTGTGGCCTAATAAATGATCTATTCTGGGGAATGTTATGTGTGCCATTGAGAAAAATGTGAATTCTGTTGCCAGAATGAATGTTGTGTTCGGTCCATCTGGTCTAAAGTGTAGTTCAATGTTTTCGTATTTATTTTCTGTCTGGATGATTTGTCCATTGCTTCAAGTGGGGTGTCAAACTACCCTACTTTATTGCATTATAATCTGTCTCTTCCTTGACATCTGTTAATATTTGCTTAATATATGTAAGTGCTCTGATCTTGGATGTGTATATGTTTACAACTGTTATAGATATCATCTTTATGAATTGAAATCTTTCTAATATAAAATGACCTTTTAAAGTTTTTAAAGCCTATTTTATTTCATATATGTATAGCTTCATTTCTTCTCTTTGGTTTTCATTTGCATGGATATATTTTCTGTACTTTCACTTGTAATCTACTCATGGTCTTAAGTATGAGTTGAGTTTCTTGTGGGAGCGTATAGTTGGGTCTTTCTTTTTCATTTATTTATTTGTTTATTTATTTATTTTTGAGACGGAGTCTCGCTGTGTCACTCAGGCTAGAGTGCAGTGGCACAATCTTGGCTCACTGCAGCCTCCGCCTCCCAGGCTCAAGTAATTCTCCTGCCTCGGCCTCCCGAGTAGCTGAGATTACAGGTGTGTGGCATCATGCCTGGCTAAGTTTTGTAATTTTAGTAGAGATGGGGTTTCGCCATTTGGCCAGGCGGGTCTCAAACTCCTGACCTCAAATGATCTGCCTGCCTCAGCCTCCCAAAGTGCTGGGATTAGAGGCATGAGTCACTGCACCGGGCCGGGGCTTTCTTTTTAATTTATTCAGATACTTTGTGTCTTTCGATTAAATAAATTGATCAATTAACATACAAAATAATTATTGTTAGGTAATGACCTAATACTGCCATTTTGTTCATTGCTTTCTTATTGTTTGGTAGATCCTCTGCTCCTTTTGCTTTTTTCTATTGAGATTAAATGATTTTTCTCTAGTGGATTTGTTTGATTTCTTACTTTTTCTCTTTTGTGTATCTACTTTAGATTTTTGCTTTCTGGTTACCATAAGGCTTACTTAAAACTACTTATAGTTATACAAGACTATTTTAACCTGATAACAACATAACATTGACCACATAAAATAACTCTAGACTTTTACTCAACCTTGTTACATTTAATGTTTTGATGTCACAGTTTGCATATTTTTATATTTTATATCCCTTAAGAAATTATTCAAGCTAATAGTATTTTGTTTTTCCCTTTAACCTTCATACAGAAAATAAAAGTGGCTTACACACCACCAAAATAGTATTAGTGTATTCCAAATTTGATTATGCACTTGCTTTTACCAGTGTTTTATAGTTTCAAATATTTTTGTATTACTAATTAGAATTATCTTCTCTTAGCTTGAAGAACTCCCTTTAGAATTTCTGTAAGACATGTCTGGTAATGATAAGCTCCCTTTAGCTTTTATTCTTCTGGAAAAGTCTTTATTTCTCTTTCATTTATAAAGTACAACTTTACTGCATACAGTATTCTTTGTTGACTGTTATTTTGTCCTTCAGCACTTTGAATATATCATTCCACTCTCTTCCTGGCCTATAAGATTTCTGCTCAGAAATCTGTTGCTAGATTTATTGAAACTCCCTTATATTTGATTTGCTTCTTTTCTCTTGCTGCTTTCAGGATCCTCTTTGTTTATTATTTTTGATGAGTTGATTATAAGATATCTTGGTGTAGTCCTATTAAAATTGAATGTGGGCTGGGCGTGGTGGCTCACACCTGTAATCCCAGCACTTTGGGAGACCAAGGCAGATAGATCACCTGAGGTCAGGGGTTCGAGACCAGCCTGACCAACATGGAGAAACCCTGTCTCTACTAAAAAAAAATAAAAAATTATCCAGGCATGGTGTTGCATGCCTGTAATCCCAGCTACTCGGGAGTCTGAGGCAGGAGAATTGCTTGAACCCGGGAGGTGGAGGTTGCGGTGAGCTGAGATCGTGCCATTGCACTCCAGCCTCGGCAACAAGAACAAAACTCCATCTCAAAATAAATAAAATTAAATTAAAATAAAATAAAACTGAATGTGATTGTAGATTTTTGATCATCCTGTAACTGGATATTTATATCTTTCCCCATAGTTGGAAAGCTTTATGCTATTATTTCTTTAAATAATCTTCTAACCCTTTGTCTCTATTTTTCATCTTGAAATACTTTAACTCAAATATTTGCTATTTTGATACTGTCCCATAATTCCTGTAAACTTTCTCCGTTCCTTATCATTCTTTTTCTTTTTCTTTTCTTTTTTTTTCTGTGACCGGGAGATTTCAAATAACCAGTCTTCAAGTCTATGGATTCTTTCTTCTGCTTGATCAATTCAGTCATTAATGCTCTCTATTTCATTTTTATTTCTTTTATTGTATTTCATAGCTCTGGCATTTCTGTTTACATCTTTTAATAATTTCAATTTGCCTGTTAAATATCTATTGTTGATTATTTATTAATTTCCTTATTTCATTAAATTATATCTCTATATATTCAAAGTTTGCTGAGTTTCCTTAAAACAGTTATTTTGAATTGGTGTAGTTCATTTAACAATTTCATTGGGGTCAGCTACTAGGAGATTATTGTATTCTTTTAGTAGTGTTATGTCTTCTTGACTTTTCATGTTTCTTTGTGTTGATGTCTGCACATTCTTTGGAGTAGTCACATCTTGCAGACTTTAGGGATTAGTTTCGTTGCCTGTGGGGAGGTGTGAGAGTGCTTGCTTGATGAAGTGTGGTAGTTCTGGCACCAGATTGTGCTGCCTGTGTAGTCCCTGTGAAGCTCTGGCAGCTGAGGTCAGTGTTGACAAATATTTCAGGGATGCATAGTGGCCAGTTCTTTGAATTTATATCATGGCAGCATGGGTTTTGGGATCATTGGTAGCAATGGTTGCTAATGTCCTCGCAATCTTTTTTTCTTCCACAAGGGAATTTGTGGCTGAAGGGATTCCCCTTAGATTTGGGTCTGGTTTGTGAGCTCACTTGCACTGGTGGTAACATCAGTATCTGATTAGTGTAACCCATGGAGCAGTCATTTAGCTGAAGCCTGAAGTACAGGCATGCATGAGTGACTATGGCTCTGGGGTCTAGGGTGATAATGGCAATTGTGCTCAGGGTACTGATTCCCTGGCTGCTTAGTTTGTAACAGAATATGAAGCATGGATGCCTTTAAAGCACCTTTGGGAGATGAGAATGGGAACTCTGGTTGGGGCAGCATTAGAATGACTCCAGAGTCTGGGTGGTGCCTAGCTCTTTGTGACAGCTGAGCCAGTGCTTGGAGTGCAGAACTTGGCTCTGGGACCCAGAGTGCCAATTAGTTTGCTCTGATGGTGACTCTGATGTTTGAAGTATGGCACATGTGGTACAGCCTTGGTGCCTGGATTCAAAATATAGGCATGTGTTAGCTTCAGCAGCTCCAGGGTTTGGACAGGGTCTATCTCTCAATAATGGCTGAGCAGGTGCCTGGAATATAGGCACACACAATGAAAGCTTGACTCTGGGACTCAAAGAGTGAATTAGCTCACTATGGTAATTACTTTGGTGTCTGAGACATGGGTGGATACAACACAGCCATACAGCCTGGATCTAGAGTGTGGGCACTTGTGGGGTGACCATAGCTCCAGGATCAGGGCACACATTTATTGTGGAGAGGCTCATTTTCCAATGTAGTTCAACCATGCTTGGGCTGGAGAGGGATGTGTAGCCATGTGTCCTTCTCCATGGTTCTTTGTTAGGAATGATCAGTGGCAAGAGATGCCAGTGTTCTCTGAGGAGCAGGCCACTAGGGCCCATGATGGTTCCTGCCTTATGGATGATATTTCTTGTCTCATTTTTTTTTTTTTTGCTCCTGTCTCCTGGTGTCTTAATTCTGCCGTTCTAACCAGCAATTCTTTCTATGTGGATATTTTCCATTTTTCTTTCCAGTGTTGCTGCAGATTCTTTAATGGTCTCCTGGACTATTTTGGCTTGTGCATAGCTGTCTACATATTTTTTTTTTAATTTTTAAAGTTTTTGTGGGCACATAGTAGGTATATATATTTATGGGGCACATGATATGTTTTAATACAGGCATGCAATGTGAAATAGGCATGATAGAGAACGGGTTATTCACCCCTGAAGCATTTATCCTTTGACTTACAAACAATTCAATTAGATTGTTTAAGTAATTTTAAAATACACAATTAAGTTATTATTGACTGTAGTCAGCCTGTTGTGCTATTAAATAGTAGTTCTTGGCTGGGCACAGTGGGTCATGCCTGTAATCCCAGCACTTTGGGAGGCTGCAACAGGCGGATTGCTTGAGCTCAGGAGTTTGAGACCAGCCTGGGCAACATGGCAAAACACCATATCTACTAAACCACCCCCCCAAAAAAAATTAGCCAGGAATGGTGGTGTGCGCCTGTAGTCCCAGCTACTTGGGAAGCTGAGGTGGGATAATCACCAGAGCCCAGGAGGTGGAAGCTGCAACGAGCCGAGATTGCAAGACTGCACTGCGGCCTGGGCAACCCAAGTGAGATCCTGTTTCAAAAAAAAAAAAAATGTAGATCTTATACATCCCTTCAATTTTTTTTTTTGTACCCATTAACCATCCCCACCTCCCCTCCAATTCCCTACTACCCTTCACAGCCTCTGGTAACCATTCTTATACTCTCTATCTTAATGAGTTCAATTGTTTTGATTTGTAGATCCTACAAATTAGTGTGAAGGTGCAATAATTGTCTTTATGTGCCTGGCTTATTTCACTTAATATAATGATCTCCAGTTCTGGCAATCTTGGTAACATCACCTAAGCAGGCTACTTTCTGATACAGGAAGCTTCCCTGCTCCAGCTTCCCCACCCCATCCAAGCAAACCTAAACATACACAATCATTATTATAATTTCCATGTATAATATTATATATTTCTGCCAGTTAAAAATAATACCTCCATATCCACCCACAGTAGATATTTAGTCACTGGAATATCAAAGAGAAACATCAAAAACAAAGAGTTAGATAGAAGAATGTGTCAGGGATTGTGGAAATTGGCTTCTCTTCCTTAGAAACTCTTCATGCTGAGCCATAACTCTTATAAAAATATTTTAAAAATTATCTTGAAACTGAATAATTTTGTTTGGTTTCCATTGTGTAATTCTCTTTGATTTGATTCATAAGGTAAGAAAGAGCTTTTTGCTTACTGCACTAGCAATGCTCAGTGTAAGAGCATTTCCAATAGATGCAAGCTGTGTTGTTGGCATTAGGATTTTGGAGCTTAGGCACGTGACTCTCCCAAATTCCTAATAGCATGAAGTCTCAACCTGTGGAATAGAATTTAGTTTTTTCACACACTCAACATTAAAGTATAGCTGATCTGTTTTATAACAGATCGTAATAATAATTTTCTAGTTATAGAATAATTCATCTATAAAGTCAGAATCTAGAAAGACAAGGCAATAAAAGTAGAGAATGTTTTTATAGAAGTTATTTTCTTTTGAACCAGTCTTTATGATCAGTATGTAGACATCATTAAACATTTCTTAATATACCCATTCATATATATATTATTTAACAGATAAAATTTTGATTGTTGAGTTGTGAATTTAAAGTATTCCTGAAGATAAAAATTGGAATTTACCATAAAATCCTACAGAAACTAAAATTCAAACAAATAATGTATACCCATTTTCAAGTCTTTATCCTTAACTGTGAATGGTCCTTTATCAAATAAAACAAAAAGTTCAAATAGCATTCTTTTAAAACCACTTCAGAAGGCTTTTATGAACAGTCATAACAGAGATATGCATTAGGTTCTGCCAATATTGACATCTCTTCAGATAATCTTCAAGATATTTTGAAAGCTGAAATGATAATCAATTTTAACACAGATTTTCCATTGTTGAGCATTACATTGTCACTTTTATATATAAAAAGTCATTTTGTACCTAATATGATATAATAACTCTTTATAAACTATGGGCAAATTGTTCAAAGCTTGATCGTATTTCATTTTCTCACACGGGGGCTAACTTTTAAACATCAAAGCTACAGAATGCTAATCAGCCTGGCTGCTAGGGCTGGTGGTCTTCTAGCATTTAGAGTCAGTCAAGTGTCTTTGCAAGTGACAATCATGTTCAAATGTGTTTGGGTCAACTGGAATAATATTCCTTACTATTCTAATATTTTACAGTTTTGCTTTTCCATGAAAAACATCTATTTTGTCTGTGTCATCCTTATGCCAAGCTTCTATACTTAGGAATTATGGATATCTAGTATACAGAAGTTGTATTTAATAATATCAAACAGATGGCTATTGCCAATTAGCAAGCGTTCTCCATCTTATAGACACAGGTCTCCTATCTTTGTTTCCATGTGTTTCTCTTTGAAATTAGAGCAAATATTAACAGCAGCTATTTTTATTAGCCCATAGTAGAGCAATGAGAATTGAAAGTTATTTCTTTATGGCCTCTGTTCTGATACAATTCAAGCTGTTATTCAGAGCTTTGCAAAATCCAAGAGACCCTTTGTACGGGGAACGTAGTGGTTACTCACACATGTGTCATGTTTTGCATATTTAAATAGATATTTTCCATAGCCCCATTAATGACTTAGTTGTTTAATAGAAACAAGAAATTATGTGTGTTGACTCAGCTTTAGAACTGACAGTAGTCAAAACATTAAAGGTAGTAGTGTACACATCAATAAAGCAAAACCCTATTGAAGTTCACCTTTACACAGCATGAAGCACAGCTTTGAGAAATTTGACCCAGGAGGGGACAGAATATAAAAATATGAAAAGTTTCCACATATTTAAACAAAGTATGGAAGTCATGGGCCTTCGTATGATATGTCTCTTATTGTCTTTGTCAGAAGATAAGTCAAGAATTACTTGGTCCATGTGACTGACCCAGGGAGTAGTGTTTGTAATATTAGGTATACAATTTTAGAATATATATCAAGGATTCACATAAAGAGGCATAGACTTTCTTCTATTCAACAGACATTTACTTTATACCTAATATAAACTGTGCTAAGCATCGTGAGTAGTAAATCACAGAGAAATAAATGTAAAATGGATGAGTACATAGAAGGGATGAAAAGGCATGGAGTTAGATTAGACTCCAAAGAATAAAATGTCTGCTGATAAAGCACAAAGATGCACCTGTGTTGAACACTGCATAATTAGATTTTTCATCAGTCTTTTCTAAGTATAGCACATTCTCTTTTTTGAAAATTTGTTTTCTGTTTCTTATTTGGCCTGAGAGTTACTTTGATAATCTATGGTGCCATGGTTTAACCAAGACAGGATCACGGCAGTATCATCTTGTGTGACCAAGCAAATTTTTCTTGGCAGCAGTTATGATATCCAGCAGCCACTTATGTAAGTATAAAAACATTGATGTTACCACAGATTTTCATCCATTGCTCATAAAGAATATAGGAGCAAAGCAGTACAGGCCCTGCTCTGAAGAACAGACGGAATGTCAAGGTCAGATATGTTTTACAGACGTGTGTTGTGGTTTTGTAATGAAGTAGGCAGAAGATCTGTTGGGGTAGAGTGGTGTAGACATTTGACACTCTCTTTAAAAGACATTGTGAATAATTTAGCTTTACAAAACATATCCTATTAAGTGGGAGAGGAGGAGAACATGCCAAGGGAATGGATACAGAAAAATGGACAACAGAATAAAGCTAAACATATATTTGATTCATTCCCATAGGGTTATCTTTAACATATTTTATAAAGTGGTTTATGATAAAATTTTACCATAATATATATATATACATATATAAGTTTCTTCACTGAGAGAACCATTTATAAATATAAATTTCCTTTCTTATCTGCACTGCTCATAATTCACACAAAGTTGAAGAGAAGCTATATCTTCAATGAGTTAAGCAAACACTAGCATCATATTCTGTCATATCAAAGTTTAAGTCTGGGCCTTTAAAAAAAACTGTGAACATCATTCCCATTTCTGGGGACAGTCAATGTTTCTTGGAACTTAATTCGAGCGTCCCCAAACACCTGAGTTGTCATTCATTAGCTGTGGCATGCACTTTCACACATCCAAGTCTTTGAATATGCTGTATTCATACCTGGAATGTTCTTCTTCTCATTCTCTGGATGACAAATTTCTACTGTTTGTTCAAAGATTAACTTATGCACTACTTCCTCAAGAAAGCCTTGCTAGGCGTTTCCCTTTTATACTGACACTTTATAGAACTCCACAACACATACAGTGTACCATGAATGCTGCCTTCAGGACTGATAGAGGGCAGTGGCCTTGCTTACCTTCTCCACTGATGCAGGAATACTCCATCCTTTGGGTTCCCATAGCAATTTGTATATAGTTCAGCTTGATTATTTTTAAATTCTGCTGTATTACTACTTGTTTAAAAATTTGCAGCCGGGCACGGTGGCTCATGCCTGTAATCCCAGCACTTTGGGAGACTGAGGCAGGTGGATCGTGAGGTCAGGAGATCGAGACCATCCTGGCTAACACAGTGAAACCCCGTCTCATCTAAAAATACAAAAAAAAGTAGCCGGGTGTGGTGGCGGGCACCTGTAGTCCCAGCTACTCAGGAGGCTGAGGTAGGAGAATGGCGTGAACCTGGGAGGGGGAGCTTGCGTCACTGCACTCCAGCCTGGGTGACAGTGCGAAACTCTGTCAAAAAAAAAAAAAAAATTGCCTGATTTTCTTAAGCTTTTTGGAGCAGCCACTGAGACATTACACTCTTTTATTCTTCATACTGCATAGCACGAGGCCTGGAAAATAGTTGTGAAATAAATCCTTAACTTCAGATTAAAGCGATGAAGAAAGTTTGAACTTTGATCAGCCTAGATACATAAAAAGACTTTTTTTTCAAAAGAATTAAATAAATTTTATAGGACTTCTGAAGACAAAATTTAAAATTGTTTTCACAAGTTGACAGATAAACCATATCAACATTCAAACTGATATTCCATTGTCAAAATGAATGAATGAATAAATGAACAAATAAAAGAAGTTAAGAGGGAAATTTATAGCACTAAATGCCCACATGAGAAAGCTAGAAAGATCTCAAATTAACACTAAAATAACAAAAAATAACTAAGATCAGAGTAGAACTGAAGGAGATAGAGACGCAAAAAACCCTTCAAAAAATCAATGAATCCATTAGCTGATCTTTTGTAAAGAGTAACAAAATAGGTAGACCACTAGCCAGACTAATAAAGAAGAAAAGAGAGAAGAATCAAATAGACGCAATAAAACATGATAAAGGGGATATCACCACTGAGTCCACAGAAATACAAACTGCCATCAGAGACTATAAACACCTCTACCGAAATAAACTAGAAAATCTAGAAGAAATGGATAAATTTCTGCACACATACACCCTCCCAAGAATAAACCAGGAAAAAGTCGAATCCCTGAATAGAGCAATAACAAGTTCTGAAATTGAGGCAGTAATTAATAGTCTCCCAACCAAAAAAAAAGCCCAGCACCAGAAGGAGACACAGCTGAATTCTACCACAGGTACAAAGAGGAGCTGGTTCCATTCCTTCTGAAACTATTCCAAACAATAGAAAAAGAGGGACTCCTCCCTAACTCATTTTATGAAGCCAGCATCATCCTGATATCAAAACCTGGCAGAGACACAACAAAAAAAGAAAATTTCAGGCCAATATCCTTGATGAACATAGATGTGAAAATCCACAATAAAATACTGGCAAACCAAATCTAACAGCACATGAAAAAGCTTATCCACCACGATCAAGTCAGCTACATTTTCTCTCATTTTGTAGGTTGCCTGTTCACTCTGATGAGAGTTTCTTTTGCTGTGCAGAAGCTCTTTAGTTTAATTAGATCCCATTTGTCAATTTTGGCAAGACTGGTTCAACATATGCAAATCAATAAACATAATCCATCACATAAGCAGAACTAATGACAAAAACCACATGATTATCTCAATAGATGCATAGAAGGCCTTTGATAAAATTCAACACCCCTTCATGCTGAAAACACTCAAAAACCTAGGTATTGATGGAACATATCTCGAAATAATAAGAGCTATTTATGACAAACCCCCAGCCAATATCATACTGAATGGGCAAAAGCTGGAAGCATTCCCTTTGAAAACTGGCACAAGACAAGGATACCCTCTCTCACCACTCCTATTCAACATGGTATTAGAAGTTCTGGCCAGGGCAATCAGGCAACAGAAAATTTAAAAAGCATATTCAAATAGGAAGACAGGAAGTCAAATCATCTCTGTGTGCAGATGGCATGATTATATATTTAGAAAACTCTATTGTCTCAACCCCAAAACTCCTTAAGCTTATAAGTAACTTTAGCAAAGTCTCAGGATACAAAATCAATGTGCAAAAATCACAAGCATTCCTATACATCAATAACAGACAGAGAGCCAAATCATGAGTGAACTCCCATTCACGATTCCTACAAAGAAAAAATACCTAGGAATACAACTTACAAGGGACGTGAAGGACCTCTTCAAGGAGAACTACAAACCACTGCTCAAAGAAATAAGAGAGGACACAAACAAATGGAAAAAAATTCCATGCTCATGGATAGGAAGAATCAGTATCGTGAAGATGGCCACATTGCCCGAGTAATTTAAAGATTCAATGCCATTCCCATCAAGCTGCCATTGATTTTCTTCACAAAATTAGAAAAGACTACTTTAAATTTCATATGGAACCAAAAAAGAGCCCATATAGCCAAGATAATCCTAAGCAAAAAGAACAAAGCTGGAGGCATCATGCTACCTGACTTCAAACTGTACTACAAGGCTACAGTATCCAAAACACCATGGTACTGGTACCAAAACAGATATATGGACCAATGGAACAGAGCAGACGCCTCAGAAACAACACCACACAGTTACAACCATCTGACCTTCGACATATCAGACAAAAACAAGCAATGGGGAAAAGATTCCCTATTTAATAAATGATGCTAGGAAAACTAGCTAGCTAGCCATATGCAGAAAACTGAAACTGGACCCTTTCCTTGCACCTTATACAAAAATTAAGTCAAGATGGATTAAAGACTTAAACCTAAAACCTAAAACCATAAAAACCCTAGAAGAAAACCTAGGTAATACCATTCAGGACATAGGCATGGGCAAAGTCTTCATGCCTAAAACATCAAAAGCAATGGCAACAAAAGCCAAAATTGACAAATGGGATCTAATTAAACTAAAGAGCTTCTGCACAGCAAAAGAAACTCTCATCAGAGTGAACAGGCACCCTACAAAATAAGAGAAAATTTTTGCAATCTATCCATCTGACAAAGATCTAATATCAAGAATCTACAAGGAACTTAAACAAATTTACCAGAGAAAACCAAATAACCCCATCAAAAAGTGGGTGAAGGATAGAACAGACACTTCTCAAAAGAAGACATTTATCCAACAATCATATGAAAAAAAGCTCATCATCACTGGTCATTAGAGAAATGCAAATCAAAACCACAACGAGATACCATCTCACGCCAGTTACAATGGCAATCACTAAAAAGTCAGGAAACAACAGATGCTGGAGAGGATGTGAAGAAATAGGTACACTTTTACACTGTTGGTGGGAGTGTAAATTAGTTCAACCATTGTGGAAGACAGTGTGGCAATTCCTCAAGGATCTAGAACCAGAAATACCATTTGGCCTGACAATCCCATTACTGGATGTATACCCA
Organism: Homo sapiens; assembly: GCF_000001405.40. Lineage (NCBI taxonomy): Eukaryota > Metazoa > Chordata > Mammalia > Primates > Hominidae > Homo > Homo sapiens. The sequence continues at coordinate 142,407,021 of NC_000023.11, forward strand.
AAGGACTATAAATCATTCTGCTATAAAGACATATGCACACACATGTTTACTGCAACACTATTTACAATAGCAAAGACTTGGAATCAACCCAAATGCCCATCAATGATAGACTGGATAAAGAAAATGTGGCACATATACACCATGAAATACTACACAGCCATAAGAAAGGAATGAGTTCATGTCCTTTATAGGGCTATGGATGAAGCTGGAAACCATCATTCTCAGCAAACCAACACAGGAACAGAAAAGTAAACACTAGTTGAACAATGAGAACACATGGACACAGGGAGGGGGACATCACACACCAGGGCCTGTCAAGGGGTGTCGGGCAAGGGGAGGGAGAGCGTTAAGACAAAAACCTAATGCATGCAGGGCTTGAAACCTAGATGACAGGTTGATGGGTTCAGCAAAGCACTGTGGCACATGTATACCTATATAACAAACCTACACATTCTGCACATGTATCCCATAACTTAAATTATAATAATAATAGTAAAAAAGAATTAAATAAATTTCATAGAATTTCTGAAGATAAAATTTATAAATGTTTTCACAGGTTGACAGATATGCCATATCAACATTCAAACTGATATTCCAAAAGCAAAATGAATGAATGAATAAATGAACAAATAAAAGAAGTCTTCCCTTTGTACTCTGTAACACTGAAGGCTCGATATCAACTCTTTGTTCAAGTATCCCTTCAGCCATACAAAAACATTCAAGCCTTCTTTTCTCATATTACCTGAGGCCTGAGATTAACAATTCATTTGTGAAGACGACAGAGACAGGCTTTTCCCATAGTCTTCATTTGCCACTTCTCTCACTTAATGGCCAAAATTAAATATATAGTGAATGGGAAGTGAATATGGGATTTCATTTGACCAATAGGAGCATGAGGATAAGGCAAAAACTCAGAGATTTTTTATCAGTCCCTTGAGTCCTTAGAATGAGTTAGGGTCTGGAGCTGTCAACCTATGAAAAAGAAGTATAATATGGGCTACTTACCTGCCTCACAGTGCTATTGAAAGATGTAATCAGGGTCTTTAAGATTCTTTCAAATAACAATTCTGTAAAGTACTCAGAGTTATGTGACACTAGTTTTTAGAGAAAGGTTACACATTTACATTTAAGAGTTAATATGAAGCTATATAATTGGTAAGAAAACCCACACAGATTATAATCAAATCCCAAGTGAGTTTATTGTAATTATATTTAATTCATCAAATGACAAGAAATTTAATAAAGACTAGGGCCTGGCGCATCTCCTGAAAAGAGAAAGATTCTGATCAGTCTAGGGTTTGCATTTTTATTTTTCTCATTTTAACTTTCAAATAGAAAAACTGGAAATTAATAGATCTGACCTGAGATCCATGGTGAAGAGAAAAGTTTTGGATTTTTTATGTGTCTTACTTTAAGCAATTCACAGTTCACTTAAAGCAATAGTGCTGAAAGTCTATTTAGAGTTGCTTTCCAATGTTGTAATGTTGGTTGTGGTTTGGAAAATGAAGCCTAGGCATTTCATAAAGAGTTTTATTGTAATCAAAATAAAACAAGTAAAATAAAATGTTACTTCAAAATCAGAAAAACAGGAAAAATGCTGATTCTATGTCAATGAATTCTAAGGTATTATACCTGTGGTACCTGCCTCTGCGTTTTGGATGAGGGAGTTCCCTATCCAGAGAATATCCTCCTGCTACCTCTTGCTTGGTCAAATCACACTCAGCAAGGCCCAGTTCTACTGCCTGCTTGTCTTCTTGAGTGCCAGATAAGCTGCAATATGATAGAATACCAGGTAGACTTCTGAAGATTTTGACTCTAGTCTTGGACTCACAGATGGCTCTGCTGGACCCACTGTGTGCCTAGAGGACCTCACTCTCCTAAAGGGAAGAATACATGCCTGGCTGGCTTTGCCACCAGCTGATTGTAGAGCCCATGGCCTTGGGTGAACATAGTCAGAAGTCAGGGAGTGGTGACAACAGACCTTGGGCAAGGGCCAGCACTGTGCTGGCTTCAGGTCTGACCCAGCACAGTGATAGTGGTGGAGGCCACAGGGCTGCTTGTGTCACTCCATCCCCAGCTGTAGGTGGCTCAGGAGAGAGAGAGAGAGAGAGAGAGAGAGAGAGATATGCTCGATATGTTTGGGAAAAAGTAAGGGAAGAGGACAAGAGTCTCTGCCTGGTAATCTAGAGAATTCTCTTGGATCTTGTCCTAGACCATCAATGTGGTACCTCTATGAGTCTGCAAGAACTGGGCTTGGGGCACCCCTTAAACCAGATACAGCTTATATAACATGACTTAAGTCCTTTCCAATATATGCAAAGTCTCCCCAAGAAGGATGGCTACAAATAAGCCAAGACAGTGAGGACTACAATAAATACCTAACTCTCCAATGCCCAAACACAGAGGAATGTCTATTAGCACGAGTAGCATGAGCACTATCCAGAAAAATATGACCTCACGAAATGAACTAAATAAGGCACCGTGGATCAATCCTGGAGTAACAGAGATATGTGACCTTTCAAAAAGATAATACAAAATGGCTGTTTTGAGGAAACCCAAAGAAATTTGAGATAGCATAGAGATGGAATTCAGAATTCTATTGGATAAAATTAAGAGATAGATCAAAATAATTTTAAAAATCAAGTAGAAATTCTGTAGTTGAAAAATGCAATTGGTGCACGTAAGAACACATCAGGGTTCTTTAATAGCAGACTGAAACAAGCGGAAGAAAGAATTTTTGAGCTTGGAGACAGGCTATTTGAAAATACACAGTCAGAGGAGACAAAATAAAAAAGAATAAAAAAAATGAAGCATGCATACAGGATCTAAAAAACAGTCTCAAAAGGGCAAATTTAGGAGTTATTGGCCTCAAAGAAGAAGGAGAGAAAGAGCTAGGTGTAGCAAATGTATTCAAATGGATAATAACAGAGAATTTCCCAAACCTAGAGAAAGATATCAATATCCAAGTTCAAAAAAGATATAAATTGCCAAGCAGATTTAACCCAAAGAAGACTACCTTAAGGCTTTTCATAATCAAACTCCTAAAGGCCAATTATAAAGAAAAGATCCTAAAAACAGCAAGAGAAAAGAAACAAATACCACACTTTAGAGCTCCTATAGATCTGGCAGCAGACTTTTCAGTGGAAACCTTACAGGCCAGTAGAGAGTGGCATGACATATTTAAAGTGCTGAAGGAAAAAAAAAAAAACAAAAACAAAAAAAAAAACTTTTACCCTAGAATACTATATCTTGCAAAAATTTCCTTCAGATATGAAGGAGAAATAAACACTTTTCTAGACAAACCGAAGCTGAGAGATTTCATCTATACCAGACCCCTACTACAAGAAATACTGAAGGGAATACTTCGATGAGAAAAAAAGGACATTAATGAGCAATAAATAATCACCTGAAGATATAAAACTTACTGGCAATGTTACATACATAGAAAAACACAGACTATTATAACACTGTAACTGTGGTGTATAAATTACTCTTATTCTAAGTAGAAAGACTAAATGATAAACCAGTCAATAACTAAAACAACTTTTCAAGATGTAGTCAGTACAATAAGATATAAATAGAAACAATAAAAAGTTAAGAAGTGGGGAGAACAAAGTTAAAGTGAGTTTTTATTAGTTTCATTCTTGCTTGTTTGTTAATACAAATAGTGTTAAGTTGTTATCAGGATAAAATAATGAGTCATAAGATAGAATTTGCAAACCTCATGGTAACCTCAAACCAAAAAGCATACAATAGATATACACAAAATATAAAGTAAGAAACTGAACCGTATCACCAGAGAAAATCATCTTCACTAGAAGAAGACAAGAGTGAAAGAAAAAACAAAGAGAAGACAAAAAGCAACCAGAAAACAAATAACAAAATGGCAGGAGTAAGTTCTTTCTTATCAATAATAACATTGAATGTAAATGAAATAAAGTCTACAATAAAAGGCATAGACTGGCTAAATTAATGAAAAAACAAGACCCATTGATCTATCGTCTACAAGAAACACCTATAAAGGCACACATAGTCTGTGGCCATACCACCCTGAATACGCCCAATCTTGTGTGATCTCAGAAACTAAGCAGGATTGGGCCTGGTTAATACTTGGATGGGAGACTGCCTGGTAATACTGGGTACTGTAGAGTTTTTTCTTATTTAAATAATAAAAAAGACACACATAGACTGAAAATAAAGAGATGAGAAAAGATATTCCATGCCAATGGGAGCCAAAAAAGAGCAGGAATCATTATACTTGTAACACACAAAATAGATTTTAAGGCCAAAACTATGAGAAGAGACAAGTAAGATCACTGTATAATGTTAATGGGGTCAATTCAGCAAGAGGACAAAGCAATTTTAAATATGTATGCACCCAACATTGGAGCACCCATATATATAAAGGAGACATTATTAGAGCTAAAGATGGAGAGAGAGAGGCCCCAATACAATAATAGCTGGAGACTTCAACACCCCATTTTCAGCACTGGGCAGATCTTCCAGCCAGAAAATCAACAAAGAAACATCAGACATAATCTGCACTATAGACCAAATGGATCTAATAGATATTTACCGAACATTTTATCCAAGAGCTGCAGAATACATAGTTTCCTAAGCACATAAATCATTCTCAAGAATAGACCATATAATAGGTCACAAAACAAGTGTTAAAATATTCGAAAAATTCAAATAATATCAGCAATTTATTTGACCACAATAGAATAAAATTAGAAATTAATAACTAGAGGAATTTTGGAAATTATAAAACTACATGGAAATAAACAATATGCTCCTTAATGACCAGTGAGTCAATGAAGAAATTAAGAAGAAATTTTAACAATTTCTTAAAATCAGTGTTAATGGAAACACAACATACCAAAACCTATGGGATACAGTAAAAGCAGTACTAAGAGGAAAGTTTATAGCTATAAGTACCTATATCAAAAAAAAGGAAAACATTAAAAACATCTAACAATGTGTCTTAAATAACTAGAAAAGCGAGAGAAAAGCAAACCCCAAATTAATAGAAGAAAAGAAATAATAAACTTCAGAGCAGAAATGAATGAAATTGAAGTGAAAATATACAAAAGATAAATGAAACAAAAATATTATTTTTGAAGTTACAAAAAGTTGACAAACCTTTAGCCAGGCTAAGAAAAAAAAGAAAATCAAAATAAATACAATCAGAAATGAAATGGAATCATTACAACTGATGTTGCAGAAATTCAAAAGAACATTAATGACTACTATGAGCAACTATATGCCAATGAATTGGAAAATATAAAAGAAATGGACAAATTTCTAGATAGATAAAACCTACAAAGATTGAACCAGGAAGAAATCCAATACCTGAACACACCAATAACAAGTAATGAGATCAAAGCTGTAATAAGAAGTCTCCCAGTAACAAAAAGCCTGGGACCTGGTGGCTTCAGTGATGAATTCCATCAAACATTAAAGAGCTAATACCAACCCTTCTCAAACTATTCCAAAAAATCAGGAGGAGGGAATACTTTCAAACTCATTCTTATGAATCCAGTAATACCCTGATACCAAAACCAGACCAAGAGACGTCAATAAAAGGAAACTGTAGGCCAGTATCTCTGGTGAATATTGATGCAAAAATCCTCAACAAAAGATTAGTAAACTGAATTCAATAGTACATTAAAAAGTTTATTCATCGTGACCAAGTAGGATTTATCACTGGGATGCAAAGATGGTTCAACATACAAAAATCAATCAATGTGATACAACATACAAAAATCAATCAATGTGATACATCATATTAACAGAATAAAGGATAAAAACCATATGATCTTTTCAATTGATGCTGAAAAAGCATTTGATAAAATTCAACATCCCTTCATGATAAAAAACCCTAAAAAATCTGGGGTTAGGAAAACTATATCTCAACATACTAGAAGCCATATATGACAGACCCACAGCTAGTATCATACTAAATGTGAAAAACTGAAAACCCTTTCTCTAAGATCCAGAACATGACAAGGATGCCCACTCTCACCACTGTTATTCAACACAGTGTTGTAAGTCCTAGCTAGAGCAATCAGACAAGAGAAAGATATGAAGAGCATCCAAATTAGAAAGGAATATCAAATTATCCTTGTTTGCAGATGATAAGATCTTATATTTGGAAAAACCAAAAGACTTCACAAGAAAACTGTTATAGCTGATAAATTCAGTAAAGTTGTACTATACAAAATCAACATGAAATATCAGTAGCATTTCTATATGTCATGAACAATGTGAAAAATAAGTTTAAAAAGTAATGTCATTTACAATAATCACACATACAATTAAATACCTAGGAATTAAATAAAGAAGTGAAAGATTTCTATAATGAAAACTATAAAACATTGATGAACTAACTAGAAGAGAACACCAAAAAATGAAAAAATATCACATGTTCATGAATTGTAAGAATCAATATTGTTAAAATGTCCATATTACACAAAGCAATCTACAGATTCAATTCAATCCCTATCAACATGCCAATGACATTCTTCACAGAAATAGAAAAAAAAATCCCAAAATTTATATGGAACTACAAAAGATCCAGAATAACCAAACCCATCCTAAGCAAAAAGAACAAAACTAGAGTAGTTACATTACTTCAAATAGTACTACAGAGCTAGAGTAATTAAAACAGCATAGTACTGGCATAAAAACAGACACACACACACCAATGAAGCACAATGGAGAACTCAGAAACAAATCCACACACCTGTAGTGAACTCATTTTTAACACAGGTTCCAAGAACATACACTGGTGAAAAGACAGTCTCTTCAATAAATTTTGCTGTGAAAACTGGATATCCATATGCAGAAGATTAAAACTAGAACCCTATCTCTGGCCATATACAAAAATCAAATGAAAAAGGATTAAATACTTAAATGTACAACTCAAATCTTGAAACTACTATAAGAAAACTTCAGAGAAAATCTCCAGGACATTGTTTTGCGCAAAAATTTCTTGAGTAATACCCCACAAGCACAGGCAACCAAAGCAAAAATGGACAAATGGGATCACATCAAGTTAAAAGGCTTCTGCGCGGCAAAGGATACAGTCAACAAAGTGAAGAGACAACCCACAGAATGGGAGAAAATATTTGAAATTTATTTACCTGACAAGGGATTAATAACCTGAATATATAAGGGGCTCAGCAAACAACTCTAGAAAAAAAATCTAATAATCTGATCAAAAGATAGGCAAAATATTTTTTTATTTATTTTTATTTATTTTTTATATTTTTGAGACAGAGTTTCAATGTTGTTGCCCAGGCTGGAGTGCAATGGCACAATCTCGGCTCACTGCAACCTCCATCTCCCGGGTTCAAGTGATTCTCCTTCCTCAGCCTCCTGAGCAGCTGGGATTATAGGCGCCCACCACAATGCACAGCTAATTTTTTGTATTTTTAGTAGAGACGGGGTTGCATCATGTTGGCCAGGCTGGTCTCAAATTCCTGACCTCAGGTAATCCACCCACCTTGGCCTCCCAAAGTGCTGGGATTACAGGCGTGAGCCACGATGCCCAGCCCAAAAGATGAAAATAGACATTTCTCAACAGAAGAAATGCAAATTGCAAACAAGCATATGAAAATGTGCTCAACATCATTGATCATCAGAAAAATGAAAATCAAAACTACAGTTATATCATCTCACTCCAGTTAAAATGGCTTATATCTAAAACACAGTCAATAACAAATACTGGCAAGGATGTGGACAAAAAAAGAGCCCTCGTACACTGTTGGTGGGAATGTAAATTAGTATAACCACTATGGAGAACAGTTTGGAGGTTCCTCAAAAACTAAAAATGGAGCCACCGTGTGATCCAGCAATCCCACTGCTGGGTATATACTCAAAAGGAATGAAATCAGTATATTGAAGAGATATATGGTTGTGGCAGCACTGTTTACAATATCTAAGATTTAGAAGCACCCTAAGTGTTCATCAACAAATGAATGGATAAAGATAATGTGGTACATATACACAATGGAGTACTATTCAGTCATAAAAAAGGAATGAGCTCCAGTCTTTTGCAACAACATGGATATAACTAGAGATCATTATGTTAAGTGAAATAATCCAGGCACAGAAAGACAAACATCGAATGTTCTCATTTGTTTGTGGGATCTAAAAATCAAAACAATTGAACTCATGGACATAGAGAGTAGAAGGATGGTTACCAGAGGCTTAGAAAAGTAGTGGGGTACTGAGGGGAAGGCAGGGATGGTTAATGGGTACAAAAAATAATTAGAATGAATAAGACATACCATTTGATAGCACAACAGGGTAACTATAGTCAATAATAACTTAAGCGTACATTTTTAAATCACTTATAGGGTATAATTGGCTTGTTTGCAACTCAGCGGTTAAATGACTGAGGGGATGGATACTGCATTTTCCATGATGTGCTTATTTTATACTGCATGCCTGTTTCAAAACATCTCATGTACCCCATAATTATATACACCTACTATCTACCTACAAAAATTAAAAATAAAAAAAAAAGAAAGCAAAAGTGTGCTGGGTTGGGCCTTAAGCCTGGACTATGCTCAGATGTGGTTTTGTCTCAGCTCCGGCCACTAGTCTCAATGCTATCCACAAAAGAAGAAATTAAACCAGGGCAACGAAAAATTACCTCTGAGACCTGTGGTCACCAAAAAGATAGTCAATGTGGGGAAAGGACAAACCCCAGTAACTATTAAAACTAGAAGATATAACATAAAGGAATTGTTCTATTTTGTAGATTGGTATCATAAGCTTCCTAAAAAGCCTTTACTATAATGGAATGTAAAAATAACTATTTTAAGGGCATTATACTTACTTTTAAATGCTACAGAATGAAAGAGCATGTTTGGGTTGACACAAGGCCCACAGATCACTATTAAACAATCGCTAATGTGCATATGTGATCCACATTCACAGTACTTATTCCTAAGAGAATGACCAGCCTAGTGGACTGGATAAATGGCCACCATAAGGTCTGTTTACCCCGAGAAGGGGGCTGCCCAACTCTCCCTATATAATGTCAAGTGGAGCACCTGATGAAGGAGCTGATATGTTTCATATTCAAGCAATATGGGACTGGATTTATAATAAGCAGGATATTTTCCCACTGAATATGCCTATTACCCAGGTTATGGTCAATGTTGGGGTTAAAGAGGCCACTTTTACATTATCACCTCAGGTGACATTATTCCTGCAGAATTATACAACTGTTTGAGAAGCCTTATTAAATTTGCTGTCTCTCATGGGACTTAACAGATACTTAATAAAATATTAGGGTAATTAACAAGAAAAAGAAAAAAAAATAGGAAAGGCAAAAGGGAGTCAATGGACTCACTCCAGAAAGGTGATGAGTTTAAAAGAAAGTTTTGTACAGTGCTATCAAAGGTAGAGTGAGCCAAAGGGAACCCTTACTGGTTCCCCAACATAAAAGGCCCTGCACCAGTTTTCAGCGTATGCCTCAGATTGGGGAAATTTTAAAGACATCAAAAGCCAAAGGTTATAATGAAAAATCTGACATTTCCTGAGGCAATGTTGAGGCAAGATAAAAATTGACAAAAGAGCCTGGGTCTCTTGGCTCAACTCTGTTCTTGGAACCCTGATATTTTTCCACCAGGAAAGGTAAAATGGTCTGAGGGTAGAAAAGAAAAGCTCCTGGGACCAGAATATCAAAATGTACAGGTTATTACAGATTATGAAATTTGAGATGTTTAAACAGGCTTTATGTAAGGTAGGCGTGACTCTTTTACCTAAATGTCTTATGAAAATTGGTATTGTATCTAACTGGGGGATGTGTCCCGTGTCTAGTACTATAAAACTGAAGGCATATAAATCTGCCCTTTGAGAAGTATTCACTGGACATGCTAAATGAGAACTAATAAGAGTGCCTGAGCCTGCAGAATATAGGATAAAAGCTGAAGTGCTAGTCGAGACAAATCTTCCACTTCATAGTTCTTTGTGGAGCGTTTATTGAGCCTTATGGCAAAAGACTGTGAGCACTTCCAAAAGACAACTGCTGGACTAGAGAATTTCCACTTAAGGGACATTTATTGGCATGTTATGGAATGGTAACTGAAGCTACCCCTATGCTAATGGAAATAATGGTGCCCAAAAGAGTTCCATGATAAAATAAAAGTGGTTTACATAGGATCTCGTTACCTGGGGATACAAGGAGGAGATACTCATGAGCAGGAGGCCTTTTCCCCACTAGGGCTGACTCTATGTGAGGAACTGCTAGATTCTACAATGCCTGATAAACAGCTCTTATCTAACAAGAGCTGCTTAGAGTGTGAATGGCAGTTCCAAGGTGAATAAACGATATCTTGTTTGGAAGGCTGCTGCTCTGGTTAAAGAAGGTCAAAAAAAAGTTTTCTTTTGAGTTATTTATAGTTTAGAGCATTTGGATGAACTATGTTTTTGTAAGCAAATTTACCTTTCTCTCTTTGAGTTCCCCAAAATTCAAGAACTATTCAGGATTTTATGAGTTTAGTAAGAATGTTTTCTTTTAAAACAAGACAATTGGAGACACTGGTTATTTTACCAAGACTTTGACTAGAATAACATATTTTTAAGTAAAGTTTCAGCAAAGCCAACTTAAAAGAGTCTATGCGGCCAATGAATTCTTACTGCACTTTATGCACATAATCAAGCCAAGTATAATAAGCCTAAAACTTACTTTGCAAACAAATTGGTCTTACTATAATTTCCCTTTAGCAGAAAAAGAGGGCCAGAAAGGGAGAAGAAAATCATTTCAATGGAAGAGTGTAACACTTGTTACTAGATTTCAGCCCTGACTTTTGTTTTTGACTGCAGCGGATTGAGTCACGAATTATTTCTTGGCTGCAATAATTCTCTGAAGAGTACCAGATTATAATTTTTCTTCATAATTTTAGTTGGTGCTCTAATGGAATAGGTTCCTTTCTCTGTTCTGTCACACAAATACTCTTTTGATTGTCAAAATATTGTTATTTCTCTCACCGAGGAAACCAGAATCATGGTATTCTGAAGACTAGAGATGTGAATCTCCCTCATTTGGCATACCACTGGGTGGGATTTGTTTTTCACTGCAAATTCCCTGCTGCTAACTGCTGCTAAGATTGTACAAACACCCTTATTCTAGACCCAGGGACTATCATGGAAGAGGTAGACACATGAGATTGTAGTAGCTGGTTTGAAAGATAAAATTAGTTCAGGCCCTCTAAATCAAGAATGATTACACACATGCCTAACCAGCTGGTAAAACAAGGGACCTTGCCTTCTGAGCTATTGTGTCGTACCATTTCAACCATCCCAACCATAAAGAACTTTCTGCTTCTTGTAGAATTAAAATTAGTGCTGGGACAATATAAAGATACCTCATGAGAAAGCCTCCTGGGTATAATATTCCTAGTTATGAAATTTATGCAGATATATATTAAAAAATTTTATCAGCCACCTTAGGGCAAATTACTAACAGACTGCAAAAAGCACTGCAGCACAACAAGCCTCTAAAATGACTTAGCTTAAAATTTTTTTAACAGCGCTTATTTTTTGTATGGCTAGTTACTATGTATCTGTAACTAAAACCAAGACTACAGTAGGTCAGTTTTGTGACCTCATCCTTGGCTCTTTGTAGGTCTTTTACTTAAAAAAAAAAAAAAAAAAGTTTAAAGGTTAATGAATGTCTATTCACCTCCATTCCCGTCTGGCCTAGAATATTTAAATTGGCTATAAGTCTTTTGACTATAAGTCCCTTGGACATGGGGGGAATCCCACCAAGGGACAGGATGGACCTAGGGCAGGCAGTCATGCCACCCTGGCAGTGCTATGGGGAAAAAAAAAAAATTAGGTGACCACTGATGTTGCCCCTGGCAAATCTTGGTTGGAAAGAGGAGAATTTATGCCCAAAAATTAAATTCTAAGACCCCACAACGATCTGAATGGATCACTCCTGTTGGCCAAGGGTATTCCAAAGTTAACCTGAAAAATTTATTCAGGCTGTAATGGAAGTGGGGTCAGACTTACATCATACCCCCCTCCCTTTTGGAATTCAGGAAAAGCCCACCAGTATTAACATCAATACAGATCTTAAGTGTGATGAAAAACATTTACTACCTATTCTCTCTGATGCCTGCTATTTGGAGGGTTCATCTGCATGATAAAACCTTGATCTCCACAAACCTTTATCATGACCCAGACAATCCTTTCTGTTGATAATAACTCAACCAATTGCCAATAAGAAAAGTATTAAACCTACCTATGACCTGGAAGTCCCCACTTCTAGCAGTCCCATCTTTCCAGATTGAACCAATGTACATTTTACATGTATTTGATTGATGTCTCACATCTCCCTAAAATGTATAAAACTAGGCTGTGTCCCAACTACCTTGGGCACATGTTCTCAGGGTCTCCTGTGGGCTGTGTCATGGGCCATTAATTACTCATATTTGGCTCAGAATAAATCTCTTCAAATATTTTACATAATTTGACTCTTTTGGTTGATGCCACAATTAGAGCATATATTTTGATATTGTGAAAGAACTTTGTACACCATCCATGATAGCCAGTTTTCATTTTATAAATATAGGAATTGAAAATGTCAGGGCTTAGAAAATAATACCCAAAAATATGATGCTTTGACATACTGATCTAGAGAATCAGCCCCAATGTCTCTCACACAATGAGGTTGTTCTCTGAAGTCCCTTTATCTACCTAGAAGCCTGACCAGGCAAAGAGTAACACAATTGCTTTTGATCCCCTCCCTGAAATGTCATTAATCAGAAAATATTAAAATTGGTATTACAAAGGAAGAGACTGAAAATTAAAAACCACACATAGAGACAAGAGGAACTTCAAACTTTGTCCCAAACCATTGTTTGTTCTCTAGTCCTCATTAAATTCTCAAAGAGAATCATGTACTATCAATTGCCTGAATATTGGGCCCATTCATACCTCCTGAAAATAATTTACTATCACTCAAAATTGCCACATTTCCCCCATCTCCCTTCTGCTATGAAGAAGGGTATATAACCATTTGAACCTCATTAACTTATTGTATAAACACTTTTCTGTGATTCTACCAGTCTTATGGACATTAAATAAATTTGTATGGCTTTTTCTCCTGTTAATCTGCCTGTTGTCTATTTCCAGGAAATCATCAGAGGACAGAGGGTAAAGCCTTCCTGTTATCCTTACAAAACCAAGGGAAGGAAAATAGATTTCTGTAGATCATACAACTTGACTAGTGAAACTAACAGAAGTAGAAATGGAACACTCTTTCTAACCATCTAAGTGACAGTGCTTTATTCAATGAAATACCATTCTTATTAGTGAATTATCCCTCATCTAAGATCCTGCAGCCATTTTCTGTGACTCATTTAAACATCAGTCATGACTACCCTGTCCCCTTTCTCATATTTCTATTTTTTATCATTGTTTCATCTTTACCACATTTGTTCCATTTTCTATGTTGACAACTGGACTTTTTAACTTGATTGTAATCTACTCATAAGCAAGGATTTTATGCTTCCTTGTTTATGCCGTCCTTCAGAAGGATGTGTATTAAGTAGAAAACACATGTCAACTAAGTTTGATTTAATCCTTTCAGAAAGGTAACCATTAACTTTTTTTTTATTATTATACTTTAAGTTCTGGGGTACATGTATGGAATGTGCAGTTTTGTTACATAGGTATACATGTGCCATGGTGGTTTGCTGCACCCATCAACCCGTCACCTACATTAGGTATTTGTCCTAATGCTCTCCCTCCCCTTGCCCCCGAACCCTGACACGCCCCAGTGTGTGATGTTCCCATCCCTGTGTCTATGTGTTCTTATTGTTCAACTCCCACTTATGAGTGAGAACATGCGGTGTTTGGTTTTCTGTTCTTGTGTTAGTTTGCTGAGAATGATGGTTTCCAGCTTCATTCATGTCCCTGTAAAGGACATGAACTCATCCCTTTTTATGGCTGCATAGTATTCCATGGTGTATATGTGCCACATTTTCTTTATCCAGTCTATCATTGATGGACATTTGGGTTAGTTCCAAGTCTTTGCTATTGTGAATAATAGCACAATAAACATATGTGTGCATGTGTCTTTATAGTAGAATGATTTATAGTAGCCATTAACTTTTTTAGGATGTTAATATGTGAATTGCCTTGAATTAAGGTTGCACTAAAGATTTTCTTACAGAAAGATAAATACTTAAAAATAATGTTATCACAGCTTGTTTAGATGAAGAAAATTTATCTTTTAAAGTAAATAAATGTATACTCCTTTGACTTTATGAGTTTTATTTCCATTTATAAATATACAATGAAGTAGGCTGTATTAATTTAATATTTAACAAGTCATCTTTCTCCTTTCCTAATAGTATTGCACATTTTTTTTTAAAAAAAAGATGTATAATGTATTATCTTCTTTAGACTTAGAGGTTGCATTTATAGACCAAATTATGGCAATTCAAAATATGACTTTAGGATACCAGATTATGCCACTTCAAAATAAACCTTTATGGTGTAAGTGTTATTTAGAGCTGATTACTTTGAGAAACTGCAGAACAAAAGAAACTCTTTAAACAGAGTAGAAGTTATCCTACTATAAGGGAAATTTATATCTATAAAGAAAATCTCCATTTGTAAGGGTATTGCCCCATGTACCAGAAAGGGGATGATCACTCTAAATCAGTAGAGACCTTTATCAATGGAGGAGGCACTGACAGAGATTTTCATGACAAATCTATCCTTATTCACCATGCTTTTTCTGGGTATCTCCCCATAACTGGCCTCCCATGTCCTTCTTTGTTTGTTGCAGTAGACAATGGCAGTTAAGCCTGAACTTTATGCCATATCTTGAAGAGTCACTCATCCCCTGGGTGTCTTCCATGCATATGTGATACATACATGTTAATAAACTTCTGGTTGTTTTTCTCTGGATAATCTGTACATTGTTAGAGTGTCTGTCCCAAGTAAAAACTTAGAAGAGTATAGAAGCAAACTTTATTTCTTCCTACACAGTTATTAGGACCCAGAAAACAATATCCCAAATAAAGGCCTCAGAAGCAGCCTCAGAAATAAGTTTCTTTGTGACCTTCTGCCTTCCTGTTTCTGGCCTCTGATTTTCCCTTAATGCTATGTACAGAAACCAGAATCCGTCCTCCCTAAGGTAGATCATAGAAACCAGGACTCCTTTCCCACTAAGCTAGCCACAAAACCTAAAAATATTACTCTAACTTTCCTGAATCTTTCCATGGAAAAACTGACCATACAGAAATTTTCTGACCTACCTTGTTTGATTGTAGGTTGTAAGACTCCCATTCCATAGAGGGTCCTGCCCCATATCCAGAAGGAAGGAGTGCATGCTCAGAGAGGACGACAACAACAAGAATCCAGACAGACAAGTACTGCTGAGTTTCCCTGCTCAGTCTATTGACATTAGATTATCCCCTTTTTGTCCAGTCATATTTCTATGTGGCTTTCCATACTTTGTTGACCGTAAGTGCAAAAATAGAAAGTTTTCCCTATATCTTTGGATCTTCATTCTTCATTCTTCATTCTGAAGGCTCGTATATCATGTAAAAATATGGTCAAATAAATTTGTATGCCTTTTCATCTATTAATCTGCCTTTCGTCAGTGATTTTCAGTGAACTTTCAGAGGGGGAAGGCAAAGTTTTGCTTGACACCAACATAGTAAAGTCAAACTTTCAAATGTAATGAAACAACTGTCTTTTGGGAAAGCATGCTACAATATCCATTTTACATAATTTAGGCTTTATATTTATTCTCTATAGATTTTTTTTCTTTCTTTCCAGGTAGTAAAACCAAGGCTCTTGCAATTAGTTGCCACATTTTTTACTTAGTCTAAATTAGTAAAAATAAATACTTCATTCAGAAAACCAATAAAATGTGCTTTACATAACAGCTGCTTGTTTGTATTTTAGATTCTGGAACCATTTAAACTCTCTAAGTAGCTTTGTATTTGGTCAAGCATTTCCCCTCTATTTTTAAGTGTTTGATAAAGTTAGGCAGGTTTAAAAGTAAGGTGATATGTTGGCAATTCTAGGAGCGTAAATTCAACTTACTAAGTAGCAATGCAATGTCTAAGGCCAGACTTTAAAAAGAAGAAAATCAATGAGTAATGGTTAATTAAACAGAGTGCATACCTCTTCAATTAGTTTAACCAAATCCCCTGAGGTTCAGACTGGTAGTTTTTGCCAACTGGCATTCTGTTTGTACAGACATTATGTTAATGAAGAAAATGGTTTCTTATTTCTTGTTCAAAGTGGGTAAATGTTGATAAAAAGTAAAAAAAAAAAAAAAAAAAAAGTAAAAAGCCAATGTATGAGTTTTATGCACGTCCGTGTGAAGAGACCACTGAACAGGCTTTGTGTGAGCAACAAGGCTGTTTATTTCACCTGGGTGCAGGCAGGCTGAGTCTGAAAAGAGAGTCAGTGAAGGGAGATAGGGGTGGGGCTGTTTTATAGGATTTGGGTAGGTAAAGGAAAATTACAGTCAAAGTGGGGTTGTTCTCTGGCGGGCAGAGTGGGGGGTCACAGGGTGCTCAGTAGGGGAGCTTTTGAGCCAGGATGAGCCAGGAGAAGGAATTTCACAAGATAATGTCATCAGTTAAGGCAGGAACAGGCCATTTTCACTTCTTTTGTGGTGGAAAGTCATCAGTTAAGGCAGGAACTGGCCATCTGGATGTGTACGTGCAGGTCACAGGGGATATGACGGCTTAGCTTGGGCTCAGAGGCCTGACATTCCTGTCTTCTTATATTAATGAGAAAAATACAACGAAATAGTGGTAAAGGGTTGGGGTGGTGAAGATTTTGGGGGTGGTATGGAGAGATAATGGGCGATGTTTCTCAGGGCTGCTTCGAGTGGGATTAGGGGCGGCGTGGGAACCTAGAGTGGGAGAGATTCAGCTGAAGGAAGATTTTGTGGTAAGGGGTGATATTGTGGGGTTGTTAGAAGAAACATTTGTTGTGTAGAATTATTGGTGATGGCCTGGATACGGTTTTGCATGAATTGAAAAACTAAATGGAATAAGAGAAGGAGAAAAACAGGTATTAAAGGACTAAGAATTGGGAGGACCTAGGACATCTCATTAGAGAGTGTCCAAGGAGGTTCAGCATAGTCCTGCCAGCAAAGATTATTTATTTACTTTAAGAGGGAGTTAAGAGTGGCGGTTTGGGGATAGCACCAGGAGCTATCAGCTGTGATGTCTTGGAGAAACAGTGTAAACCAGCAGTGTAAACAAGAGCAGGGCATGTATGAGTAGTTGAGAATGGTGAATAGGAGTATGACTAGACAGAAGATAGTAGGGATGACAAGTTTTTTTGGGGCACAGTCCAAGTTGGTCTGGTGTCTGGAATGAGACTGGGGCCTAATAAAAAGGAGCGTCTATACAGGAGCTTAAATGGGCTGTACCTTGTAGCATTCCGAGGACAGGCCTGAATTCTGAGAAGGGAAAGAGGTAAAAGTATTGTCTAGTCTTTTTAAGTTGGTGGCTGAGCTGGGTGAGGTGTGTTTTTAAAAGACTTTTAGTCCTTTCTGCCTTTCCTGAAGACTGAGGACCGTAAGGGGTATAAAGGTTTCACTGAATACTAAGAGCCTGAAAAACTGCTTGGCTGATTTGACTAATAAAGGCTGGTCTGCTATCGGACTGTTTACAGGTGGAAAGGCCAAACCGAGGAATTATGTCTGACAGAAGGGAAGAAATGACCGTGGTGGCCTTCTCAGACCCTGTGGGAAAGGCCTATACCCATCCAGTGAAAGTGTCTACCTAGACCAAGAGGTATTTTAGTTTCCTGACTCGGGGCATGTTGAGTAAAGTCAATTTGCCAGTCCTGGGCGGGGGCAAATCCCTGAGCTTGATGTGTAGGGAAGGGAGGGGGCCTGAATAATCCCTGAGTAGTAGAGAAGTAGTAGAATAGCAGATGGAACACTGAGAAGTTATTTCTTTGAGGATAGATTTCCACGATGGAAAGGAAATGAGAGGTTCTAAGAGGCGGGCTAGTGGCTTGTACTATAGCTGTGCTTTTGCTGGTGTGTGGCGATTAGGCCTGATGGAACTGCCATCAATAAACTAAGTGTGATCAGGGTGAGGAACAGGAAAGAAAGAAATACGGGGAAATGGGGTGAATGTCAGGTGGATCAGAGAGGTACAGTCATGGGGATCAGGTGTGTTATCAGGAATAACGTGGGAGGCCGGATTGAAGTCCGGGCCAGGAACAATGGTAATTGTGGGAGACTCAACAAAGAGGGAGTACAGCTGAAGGAGCCGGGTAGCAGAAAGTATATGTGTCAGGTGTGAGGAAGAAAAGAGATTTTGGAAGTTATGAGAACTGTGGAGAGTGAGTTGAGCAGAGTTTGTGATTTTAAGGGCTTCTAAAAGTATTAGGGCAGCGGCGGCCACCACACACAGACTTGAGGGCTAGGCAAAACAGTCAGGTCAAGTTGTTGGATAAGAAGGCTACAGGGCATGGTCTTGGTTCTTGTGTAAGAATTTTGATAGCACAGCCCTGCACTTCGGCTGTGGGTAATGAAAAGCGTTGGGATGAGTCAGGGAGAGCTAGGGTGGGGGCAGTTTCTAAAGCTGTCTTCAAGGAATGGAAAGAGGAGTGGGGAAAGGATTTAGGATCTATGGGGTCAGCTGGATTTCCTTTTGTGAGTTTATATAATGTTTTTGTTAGGATGGCAAAACCAGGTATCTAAAGTTGAAAGTATCTAACCATGACTAGGAAGGAAAAGAGTTGTTGTTTTGTAGAAGGTGTTGGGGTTTGAGAGATCAGCTGGACACGATTGGCAGGGAGAGTACGTGTGTTTTTATGAGAATTACGCCGAGATAGTTAACAGATGAGGAAGAAATTTGGGCTTGACTGAAGTAATGGAGGCTGTCTGTGAAGCCTTGCGGTAGTATAGCCCAGGTAATTTGCTGAGCCTGATGGGTGTCAGGGTCAGTCCAAGTGAAAGCGAAGAGAGGCTGGGATGAAGGGTGCAAAGGAATAGTAAAGTAAGCACGTTTGAGATCCAGAACAGAATAATGGGTTGTGGAGGGAGGTATTGAGGATAGGAGAGTATATGGGTTTGGCACCATGGAGTGGATAGGCAAAACAATTTGGTTGATAAGGCGCAGATCCTGAACTAACCTGTAAGGCTTGTCTGGTTCTAGGACAGGTAAAATGGGGGAATTGTAAGGAGAGTTTCTAGGCTTTAAAAGGCCATGCTGTAGCAGGCCAGTGCTAATAGACTTTAATCCTTTTAAAGCATGCTGTGGGATGGGATATTGGCATTGAGCAGGGTAAGGGTGATTAGGTTTTAATGAGATGGTAAGGGGTGCATGATCGGTCACCAAGGAAGGAGTAGAGGTATCCTATACTTGTGGGCTAAGGTGGGGAGATACAAGGGGAGGATGTGAAGGAGGCTTTGAACTAGGGGAAAAGGCGGCAATGAGGTGTGGCTGTAGCCTAGGAATAGTCAGGGAAGCAGATAATTTAGTTAAAGTATCTCGGCCTAATAAGGGAACTGGGCAGGTGGGGATAACTAAAAAAGAGTGCTTAAAAGAGTATTGTCTAAGTTGGCACCAGAGTTGGGGAGTTTTAAGAGGTTTAGAAGCCTGGCCGTCAATACCTGCAACAGTTATGGAGGCAAGGGAAACAGGCTCTTGAAAAGAAGGTAATGTGGAGTGGGAAGCCTCCGTATTGATTAAGAAGGGGAAGGACTTACCCTCCACTGTGAGAGTTACCTAGAGCATTTGTGATGGTCCTGCAGGCTTCCGAGGCGATCGGGCAGTGTCACTCTTCAGCTGCTAAGCCAAGAAGATCTGGGAAGGAGTCAGAGAGCCTTGGGCCAGAGTTCCAGGGGCTCTGGGAGTGGCTGCCGGGCGAGTTGGACAGTTCGATTTCCAGTGGGGTCCCACACAGATGGGACACGGCTTAGGAGGAATCCTGGGCTGAGGGCATTCCTTGGCCTGGTGGCCAGATTTCTGGCACTTGTAGCAAGCTCCTGGAGGAGGCGGGCCTGGAAGAACACCTGGCCACTGCGGTTTAGGCATTTGGAAGTTCTTGTGTGCTGGAGATGTGGCTGGGGTTTGTCTCACAGTGGAGGCAAGGAATTGCAACTCAGAAATATGTTGCTACTTGGCTGCCTCTACTCTATTATTGTACACCTTGAAGGCGAGGTTAATTAAGTCCTGTTGGGTTTGAGGGCCGGAATTTAATTTTTGGAGTTTTATTTAATGTTAAGAGCAGATTGGGTAATAAAATGTATATTGAGAATAAGACGGCCTTTTGACTTTTTAGGGTCTAGGGCTGTAAAGCATCTCAGGGTTGCTGCCAAACGAGCCATGAACTGGGCTGGATTTTTTATATTTGATGATAAGAGCCTAAACACTAACTGATTTGGCAGAGGTCGGATAAAGAAAAAGGAGCATTAACCTTGACTATGCCTTTAGCTCCAGCCACCTTTTTAAGAGGAAACGGCTGGGCAGGTGGGGGAGGGCTAGTCACGGAACAAAACTGTAAGCAGGACCCGGTGTGAGGAGATGAGGTGATAAAAGGATTATAGGGTGGGGGAGTGGAGGCTGCTAGGCCTGGCGAGGAGGGGAGAGGTCAGATGGGTCTGTAGAAAAGGAAGATTAGAAAGACTCAGCGACGCTTGGGGTTGGGACTGAGGGGACAGGAGAGAGGGAAGGAAGATTTGGGACGAGTTGCATTGGGAACAGAGACTAGGGAGGGACTGATGTGTAAAACAATGCCTGGACGTCAGGCACCTCAGACCGTTTGCCTATTTTACGACAAGAATTATTTAGATATTGTAGGGTAGAAAAATCGAAAGTGCTGTTTTCTGGCTATTTGGAACCACTGTCGAGTTTGTACTGGGGTCAAGCGGCATTGTAGAAGAAAATAAGGTGTTTAAGTTTTAGGTCAGGTGTGAGTTGAAGAGGTTTTAAGTTCTTGAGAACACAGGCTAAGGGAGAAGGAGGAATGGAGGGTGGAAGTTTGCCTATAGTGATGGAGGCAAGTTTAAAGAGAAGGGTAGAGACACGGAGAAGGGGGTGGGGAGCAGCCAAAGCAGGCATCCTTGCAATTGACTTGCCACCAATGGAACCTGGGCGAATAATCAGAGAGGTGTCCCTGCAATGATTATACACCAAGGGAAGGCTGCCTTCCCGAGTCTGTGACCAGCGCCGGAGTTTTGGGTCCACGGATAAAATATGTCTCCTTTGTCTCTACCAGAAAATGAAAGGAATTGAAATTAAGAGAATGGAGAGATTGAAGTGTGGCGCCAAGATTGAAAGGAGAAAGAGGTTGAGGGATAGTGAGGAGAGGTTGAGGGATAGTGGAGAAGAGAATAAAAAGAGGCCACTTACGGGATTTAAAATTGGTGAGATGTTCCTTGGGCTGGTCGGTCTGAGGACCTGAGGTCATAGGTGGATCTTTCTCACGGAGCAAAGAGCAGGAGGACAGGGGATTGATCTCCCAAGGGAGGTCCCCTGATCCGAGTCACGGCACCAAATTTCATGCACATCCATGTGAAGAGACCACCAATCAGGCTTTGTGTGAGTAACATGGCTGTTTATTTCACCTGGGTGCAGGCGGGCTGAGTCCGAAAAGAGAAGTCAGTGAAGGGAGATGGGGTGTGGCCGTTTTATAGGATTTGGGTAGGTAAAGGAAAATTACAGTCAAAGGGGGGTTGTTCTCTGGCGGGCAGGAGGTGGGGGGTCACAGGGTGCTCAGTGGGGGAGCTTTTGAGCCAGGATGAGCCAGGAGAAAGAATTTCACAAGATAATGTCATCAGTTAAGGCAGGAACAGGCCATTTTCACTTCTTTTGTGGTGGAATGTCATCAGTTAAGGCAAGAACTGGCCATCTGGATGTGTACGTGCAGGTCACGGGGATATGATGGCTTAGCTTGGGCTCAGAGGCCTGACAATGAGTGTCTTAATATCTATTTGTTAAGGCTTTGCCTCCTTCACAAAGAGTTTGAGGTAATATATTCACTAGCCACTTGTGATCACAAGTAGAAAAAACTCACTGTGGTAAATACACCCAAAGGTGACCCCGAATGAATCACACTCTTGTACAATCCTCTCCACTTAAGTCTAAACAGGACCTGTGACTTGCTACTGTTACTGACCCAAATCCACATCTGCTCAGTCAGCTCAGTAAAACCAAACAACTACGCTGAGGTTTTGCAGTGGGAGAAAGAAGGGCCTTAATTTGCAGGGTGCCAAGCAATGACAAACAGGCAGCTCGTGCTTAAGACGTGACCTCCTTGATGGCTTATAAGCAGGAATTTTTAAAGGCAGCAGTAAGTTTCAGGAAAGCAGAAGTTACAGGCTTTGTAAATAAATACATGGTGTTATACATTGGTTTGGCCTAAAAAAGCAGGGCACCTTGAAGGGGAAATGGTGGTTTACAGGTTATAGGTAGATTCAAAGACTCTGATTTGCGATTAGTAAAGGAAAGTTTGTCTAAAAACTTGAGGTCAGCAGAAAGGAATGTTAAGGTATGGCCTGTGGGGACATTATTTACTTCAGGCCCTTCAGGAATAATTTAGAACAATATTCTTTGTTTTCCTCTGATCTGAGGTCTGTATGCAAGCAAATCCATTTGGTTGGGATCTGGGTTTCTGAAAAACAACTCAGGGACATATGTTAAGATGCTACCTTTAGTTTCTATAGGAAATAAAACATCTTGTGACTTTAACTTTTTGGCTATTGTTTTAAGCTATTTTTTCCTTCTTTCTTATCAAGTCGCTCATTGATTTCTCAGGGCTAGCTAGGTACCTGGAATTTCCTTTGGAGGAATTTAAGATGGGGCCTAGGCAAGCAGGACCATAATAAAGATCCCTGCTTCATCTCATAACTAGTGTAATAGGGTGAAGAGTATGAAATGTCACTCTTATTATAAGCCTCCATCTTGGCAGGCTGGAGGAAGAAATTCTCCTCTGGTTCTTCAAAAATCCAGCATTACTGTCGTAAGTTGTCAAAGGAGAAGGCCGCACGGCAAGGAATTGTGGGGTCTCTAGGAATTGAATATGGGTCCTGCCTTAGCCAGAAAGACACCAGAGATGTGAATTCTACAACTGCAAAGAACTCAATTGTTCCAACAAGATGATTCAACTTTGAATAGGACTCTAAGACCCAGAATAGAACGCAGCCTGGCCAACAGGTTGATTGCAGTTGTTTGAGACCCTGAGAAAAAGATGTAGCTAAGCTCTACTCAAACTTCTAACTCACAGAAACTATAAAATCATAAATGTGTATAATTTTAAGCTGGTAAGTGTGTGGTCACGTGTTGTACAGAAATAGAAAACTAATGTATGAATTTACTGCAATAATATGGTAGTACATGCTGGATGAGAACATGAATTCAAAGCTGGCAAGGACTGAAGTTTCTCTAGAACTCATAACTGTCACTCATGGGTTCCTTGCTTTTCTCCAGGCTTATCCTCTGTTATACTACGTATTGTGTAGCTTCAGTAATAATTTTGACTTGCAACACATTTCTGACCTACACAGTCATAGCTTAAAGCATCATGTGCTTTAAACTATGGCTTTCATAAGTAATTGCTTCAATTATCACTTCTATTTTTTTCTTTTAAAAATAGGAAGTCAGTGTATAAAGAGTCCTTCTGTGGTGTGTGTGTGTGTATGTATATATATGTATATGTGTCTATCTATCTATCTACCTATCTATATAAATAAAATCAGCTGTGGTCAAAACATGGTGGAGTGACTGGGTAAAAATCACATTCACCAAAGGCTTGTCTTGAAGGCTTATGTACTGGATAGTTTATTTTGGAAAAAAATTGTGGGCAGACCAGCAGTAAATTTGAAAGCTTTAGTATATATGATTGAAACTGTCATAAAATATTGAAGGATAATGAATGATTTCTAGTTGACAGACTGAGCTAATATGTTTACACTATATTTTATGTAATAAAGTATAAGAAACAATAGTATTAAAGTAATAACTTTATACAACAGTGCTGGAAGGCAAGAGTGTCATGGAGAGACCCAATATTTGAAGTAATTAAAAAATATCAGGAGAGAAAGAAGACAAATAGAATTAAACATACAGAGAACTAATTTGGGAGAAAATTTAGGCTGAAAACTGTCAGGCCTCTGAGCCCAAGCTAAGCCATCATATCCCCTGTGACCTCCATGTATACATCCAGATGGCCTGAAGCGACTGAAGATCCACAAAAGAAGTGAAAATAGCCTTAACTGATGACATTCCACCGTTGTGATTTGTTTCTGCCTCACCCTAACTGATCAATGTACTTTGGTATCTCCCCCACCCTTAAGAAGGTTCTTTGTAATCCCCCCCACCCTTGAGAAGGTTCTTTGTAATTCTCCTCACCCTTGAGAATGCACTTTGTGAGATCCATCCCCTACCCACAAAACATTGCTCCTAACTTCGCCGCCTGTCCCAAAACCTGTAAGAACTAGTGATAATCCCACCACGCTTGCTGACTCTTTTCGGACTCAGCCCACCTGCACCCAGGTGAAATAAACAGCCTTGTTGCTAACACAAAGCCTGTTTGATGGTCTCTTCACACGGGCGCGTGAGACAAAAAATATTTGCAGTAAAGGACTATTATGCAAATATTTGCTGATTGCTATATTTTAATTTGTTTGGCCCCATCCAAATCTCATTTTGAAATTTGATCCTCAATGTCGGAGGTAGGGCCTAATGGGAGGTGTTTTGGTCAACGGGGGCAAATGCTTCATGAATCTCTTGGTGCTGTCCTCACAGTAATGCTGGGGGGTGGTTGTTACAAAGAGCCTGGCACTTCCCTTTTTTGTCTCTCTCTTCCTGTCTGCCATATGCTCCCCATACACACCTGCTCCCCTTTGCCTTCTACCATGAGTGGAAGCAGCCTAAGGCTCTCACCAGATGTGGGTACTGGTTGGTCATGCTTCTTGTATAGCCCAGAAAACTAAACTCTTTAAATAGATTACCCAGCCTCCAGTATTTCTTCATAATAATGTAAATGGACTAAGACACTGATTCAGAGGTATCAGCTTAAATTCAAGGGCTATATGAGACACTGTCTTATGCCCTAAGCCATAATCTGGGTATTTAGCAGATGACCTGTGTTTAGACAGCTTAGCTACTTGTGGATGCTGCCCTTTTCTCCTCATGCTCTGCAGTGAACAAGAATTGTGTTTCTCTTCTCCTTTGAATTGTCTTTTCATGTCCTTTTCCCCTTTTCTCTATTGGGTTGCTTCTCTGTATTTATTGAGTTACAATTATTCTTTATATATTAATCAGTAAGGTTTTATCATATATGTTTTAAACCTTTTTCAAGTTTACTATTTAACTGATTTTACATAATGTTTTGAACCAATAGCATTAATAACAGTTAATACTTCTTAGAGTAAGTAGAATAACTAAAATATATACTTTGATATTTTGCTATGTAGCTTAACTTATCAATCTTTTTGTTTGTGGCTTCTGTTTTTGTTTGTATGTTACAAAGTGTTTTCTCAGCTTGAGATTATATACATATTAACCTAGTTTTTAAAAATTTAGGTCTTTTATGGCTTGCCTGTTACATATATTTTTAATGAATCTAGACTTTGGGTGCGTAGTATATTTATCAAATTTGTATTATATAAATAACATATATACATATATGTATATATACACACACACACAAAATGCATTTTTAAAATAGTTGACTAATTGGCTCCATAACATGTTAAATACACCATCTTCTTCTTGTGATTTTAAACCATTTTTAGTACATATTTAATTTCTTTTTATTATATACTTAATTATTATATAAACTAAGATTTTTGGTGGACCTCCTATTGTCCTTTTCATTTCTATATTGCTTTATGATTTAATAGAATATTTAAATAATGGATACTACATGTTTCCGTTTGTTAGTATTTGTATTTTATTCTATTTGAATTATACAAACCTTACATTAAATTTTTAAGCCACTTTTTAATGAACTAATTGAGATATTGATTGTATAGTATTATATTTAATATTGATTTGGACAAATTTGCTCTGAGAAAATTTCAATGGTTTGGGCATCTACTTAAATATTCACATAATTTTGTTCCTTTGTCTTTTTAG
Organism: Homo sapiens; assembly: GCF_000001405.40. NCBI lineage: Eukaryota > Metazoa > Chordata > Mammalia > Primates > Hominidae > Homo > Homo sapiens. The sequence goes on from NC_000023.11 coordinate 142,433,129, forward strand.
TAAGTTCGTTTATATTAAAATTTTCTTAATTTTAGAACAAGATGGCAGACGAGGAAGTCTCTAGTTCTGGTCCCTTTTACAGAAAAAACAATGAGCAATTATCTACAGACAAAAATACCTTTGTGAATATCCCAGCACCCAAGGGTGAGGGAAACCACTCCTTCAAAACACAGAAACTAACAAAAACATCATTCCAAGGGTAAGAGAAGCAGTTTCTCTTTGACCACATTCCTCTTCACCAAAACTGGCACAGCACCACAACAAAAAGGAACCCTTGGGCATGTAGTTTCTCGAGTGGGGAAAAGACAGACTGAGGTAAACATTAAGCTTCCCCAGCATTCTGGGGTGTTCCCTGGGAGGTCCAATTTGTCTCACCTTATGAAGAACATTGGGGAAATTTTCAGGGCTAGACCACTCGGGGTTACTAGGAACAAAGAAGAGGGATGGGAATCACAACCCCTGAACGTGAATCTTGTAGTGGCACTGTGTCCCTGCTGGCAACCTCACCCAACTAGAAAACTCAACTAATGATAATGCCCAGCTGCAGCGCTGACCCTATGGCCAGAAGTTCTGCCCAGCTAGAGTTCCCAGCCAGCATTTCAGTCTGGCTACAGAGCCAGTCTGGTGACCCTGCTTAATTGCTGAACAGAGTTAATGACTGTACCTGACCACAGAGGACAGATAGTAGCCCTGTGTGGGCGAAGATATAAGAAAGGGAGTTCTGATTTTCATTTCTCTATTGACCAGCGATGATGAGCTTTTTTCATATGTGTGTTGGCTGCATAAATGTCTTCCTTTGAGAAGTGCCTGTTCATATCCTTTGCCCACTTTTTGACGGGGTTGTATATATACCCAAAGGATTATAAATGATTCTACTATAAAGACATATGCACAGGTATGTTTATTGTAGCACTATTTACAATACCAAAGACTTGGAACCAACCCAAATGCCCATCAATGATAGACTGGATAAAGAAAATGTGGCACATATACACCGTGGAATACTATGCGGCCATAAAAAGGAATTAGTTCATGTCCTTTGTAGGGACATGGATGAAGCTGGAAACCATCATTCTCAGCAAACTAACACAGGAACAGAAAACCAAACACCACATGTTCTCACTCACAAGTGGCAGCGGAACAGTGAGAATACATGGACACAGGGAGGAGAACATCACACACCAGGGCCTGTTGGAGGGTAGGGGGCAAGGGGAGGGATAGCATTAGGACAAATACCTAATGCATGCTGGGCTTAAAACCTAGATGACGGGTTGATGGGTGCAGCAAACCACCATGGCACATGTATCCCTATGTAACAAACCTGTATGTTCTGCACATGTATTCCAGAACTTAAAGTATAACATATACATACAAAAGGGAGTTCTACTTAATTCCAAAGCAAAGTTTGTGGCCTCACTCACCTAGGGAAACCATCCAGCATCACCACCCTGCTGCAGAGCATATCATGTGGCCCCCTCTAAACATGGAACCCAGTCAGCAGGCCTACACAACCTCAGAGCATGGGCAGTGGCTTCTGAAGACCAGAGATGCTGGCAGCATACCCCACTTCCCTGTAGACACTACCAGATGCCCAGTGAAAACCTCCAGGGTGAGTTGACTAATGAAGGCTTTTCCCTGCCTAAGTAATCTTGTAAAGACTGGAAGAGGTGAGTCTTTCTCAAATGCAGGGACGTCAATGAAAGAATACAAGAATCTTGAAGAATCAGGGAAACATGAGACCACCAAAGAGCTAATATAGATCCAGTATATTAGATCTATGTTATAGCTAATATAGATCACCAAACATAAAGAAATGAAGATCTACAAAATTACTGACAAAGAATTCAGAATAATCCTCTTAAATACGTTCAGTGAATCACAAGGAAACACAGACAGCTAAATGTAATTAGAAAAAAATGAGACTGAAACCATTAAGAAAACCAGAATTTCTCCAGCTAAGGAACCCAATGACTAAACTACATTTCAATGAAAGCTTCAACAGTAGATTCAATCAAGCAGAGAGAAGACTGAGTGAATCAATAAAATTGACATATTACACTAACAGAATGAATAAATATCGTATGATCATCTCAATAGAAGAAAAAGCACTTGAAAATATTTGACATATTTTCGTTATGAAAGCTATCAACAAATTGGATGTAGAAGAAGTGAACCTCAACATGATAAACTCATATGTGAAAAGCCTACAGATATTATCATACTCAATAATAAAAAGCTGAAAGTGTTTCCTTTAAGATCAGGAAAAAGACAAGGATATTTCTATTCAAGTACTGACAGTTTTAACCAGAGCAAGTGGGCAAGAAAAAGAAATAAAAGACTTTGAAATTGAAAAGGAAGAGGTTAAATTGTTTTACTTTGGAAATGGCATGATCTAATATACAGAAAACCCTAAAGACTGCATGAAGAAAATCTGTTAGAACTAATAAACAAATTCAGTAAAGTTGCAGTTTACAAAATCAGCATACAAAAATCAATTTTATTTATTCACCCTGACAATTAACTATCTAAAAACCAATAAAACAATCCCAGTTACAAAGCATCAAAACAATAAAATACTTAGGAATAAATTTAAGAAAATGAAAGATATGAACATTGAAAATTATGAAACGTTGATAAGAGAAATTAAGAATGACATAAATAAATGGAAAAGTATCTTATGTTCATGGATTGGAAGAATTATATTGTTAAAATGTCCATACTAGTCACAGCAAACTACGGATTCAATGCAATTCTTATCAAAATTACAATGACATTGTTCATAGGAAGAGTAAAAAAATCAAAAATTTCTATGGCATCACAAAAGACCCCAAATTGCCAAAGCTATCTTGAGAAAGAACAAAGCTGATTTCACACTTCCTGATTGCAAAGTCTGTTACAAAAGTGTGTTGATCACAATCGAAAAAAGAATAGAGAGGCCAGAAATAAACCCAATTATATAAGGTCAACTAACACTTGACAGTGGCATGAAGAATAGACAATAGGGAAGAGATATCCTTTTCAATACACAGTGTTGGGAAAACTGGGAAAGAATGAAATTGAACCCCCTTCTCATACTACTCATTAAATTAACTTAACAGGAATTCAAGTCTTAAATTAAGACCGAAAACTACAAAACTCCTAAGAGAAAACATAGGGGGAAAATCTCCATGACTTCAATCTTGGTGATGATTTTTTTGGATAAGACACTGAAAATACAGGCGAAGAAAACAAAAATAAACAAGTGAGGCTACATCAAACTAAAAAAAATCTGCACACAAAGGTAACAATCAACAAAAGAAAAAGACAACCTATGAAATGTGGTAACATTTGCAAACCATATATCTGATAAGGGGTTAATATCCAAAATATATAAAAAACTCATACAACTTGATAGCCAAGGAGCAGATTACTCCATTAAAAATGGGCAAAAGACCTGAATAGACATTTTCCCAAAGAAGACAGACACATGGCCAATAGGTTCATGAATGAAAAGTTTCTCAACGTCACTAGCAGAGAAATGAAAATTAAAACCACAAGGAGACATCACCTCACGTTTGTTAGAATTACTATTATCAAAAAGAAAAATAGATGAGTGTTGGTAAGAATGTGGAGAAAGGGGAACCCTCGTTCACTGTTGTTAGAAATGTAAATTGGTACAGCCATTACGAAAACCAGTAGGGAGGTTTCTCTAAAAATGCAAATTAGAACTGCTGTAGGATCCAGCAATACCACTTCTGCATATATATCCTAAGGAAATGAGGTCAACATCTGAAAGAGGTATGTGCACTTTAATGTTCATTGCAGCATTATTCACAATAGCTCAGATTTGCAAACAACTTAAGTGCCCATCAATAGATGAAAGAAATGTGAGACTCATACAAAATAGCATATTATTTATTCATAGAAAGGAAGGCAGTCTTGCCATTTGCAACAACATAGATGAACCTGGAGGGCATTATAATGAATGAATGAAGCCAGACACAGAAATGTAAATTCTGTATTGTCTCACTTATATGTGGAATCTAAAAAAGTCAAACTCATAACAAAGAGGAGAATGGTGATTGCCAGGGTCAGGGAGTTTAGGGACACGAGGAGATATTGGTCAAAGGGTAGGTACAGATGAATAAATTCTGGAAATCTAATGTACAGCATTGTGACTATACTTAATAATACTCTATTATATGCTTGACATACGTTAATGAATATATCATAAGTGTTCTTAACACACACACACACACGCAGATTAACTTAGGTGATGGACGTTTTAACTTGACTGTGTTGATCATTTCACAATATATACATATATAATCAATTATTTCACCTTAAATATATAAATTTTATTTGTCAATTATACCTCAGTAAAGCTGATAAAAACATTTTCTTAATTTTAAGTGTTCTATCATTCCCAGATAAAACAAAATACTGCATTTAATCATGTGTCTAAATATAGGTAACTTTAGTCCTAAGTGAGATTGACCTATATACTTCTTCTCATTTGTCTTTATCAGATTTTGCTGCCAAGGTTATGAAACCATAAATTTGAAAATTTCAATTTTTACCTTTACTCTGGTGTTTATATAACATATTTCTTCAATTTCAACAATGATAAAACTATGTGCAGCTGTTTTCCTGACCATATTATTTAGCTTTTTCTTAAGTTTTGGTGGTTTTCTACTTCAACCAGTTTTGTTTAATTTTATTTCCTAGTTTATCGTCAGTTTGTCAAAATTTAACATTGAAATTATTTCTTATAGTTTATAAATACATCTGTATCTGGTTCATAACCTATTAATATATCTAATGCTGTCTATACTTATTTTTTTCATTTTGTCTTGATTACACTACCTAGATGTTTTAAAATTGACCTTTTTCTTTTTTTCTAAATAAGTTATTTAGCTTATTTATCAACTTCATCAGTTTCCTGTTTTCGATGTTATCAGTTATGATCTTATGGTTCTAGTCTATTCGTTTTTCATTGAATTTGTTGTTCTTTTTCCAATCTTTTGAGATTAATGTTTTGAGTGTTTTCTTGTAGTAAAAGCATTTAGCCCTAAAGGATTAGCACTCTTATACTTTGGCTTCATATTATGTATTTATTAAGTACTATACTTTTGTTATTTTGTGAATGATCTCATGTAAGTTTTGATTTCCTATATTATCCAGTAGTTTTTCAAATAGAAGATTTCCATTTTGTTTCTTTTGTTTTTAAATTTTAGCTATTAATTTTCACTTTTTATTATACTCACATGGTATGCCTTACACAGTATTCCTTTTTGGGAATTTACTTATAAATAGACTACATGTTAATCCAAAAATGGATAAGTGCTATCAGAACTTTCTCTCCCTCCTAGAACCTAAACCAAAACCAAAGGAGTATGTTGCAGTAAAGAACCAACGATGTTGGGCTGGGCGCAGTGGCTCATGCCTGTAATCCCAGCACTTTGGGAGGCTGAGGCGGGCAGATCAGCTGAGGTTGGGAGTTTGAGACCAGCCTGACCAAGATGCAGGAACCCCGTCTGTACTAAAAATACAAAATTAGCCAGGCATGGTGGCACATGCCTGTAATCCCAGCTACTCAGGAGGCTGAGGCAGGAGAATCACTTAAAACCGGGGAGGCGGAGGTTGCGGTGAGCCGAGATCCCGCCTTTCCACACCAGCCTGGGCAATAAGAGAGAAACTCCCTCTCAAAAAAAAAAAAAAAAAAAAAAAGAAAGAAAGAACAATGTTTTCCACTTGCTATAAATGTTGAGAAATTTCTTCTAAATTTAATATTCTTGGCACTTGTTTCCTACATGGCAGAAATACTGCCATCTCATTTTGAATATTAATCAATAATTTCTGTAATAAAATTTATTTCTCTTAGTCTATACATATTTGCAAATAAGCAGTCTACAGCATTATTATTCAAGTATTGTTATGTATTTCCTGAAATTATCAAGTGATGAAATTTTTAATAGCAATAAATACATAAAAAGCTATCTTCTGGTCTTATCTGATAAAGGGTTTTCATCCCTCTGAATAACTTTTATTAGTATCTGTGATGAAGATTATGTTAGTCTTTCTCATTTTTCCCTTAGGAGAAGTAACACTGATATATTTATAAGGGAATTTAAAAGCTGTAACCAGCATCTATATTTGCCATGTTTTCTGAGAGATCTAACAATTTGTCAAATTGAATTAAAATATGTGTACATTATTAATATTCATGGCACTTCTGAGCTACGAAGTGTGTTAATTTTCAGAATAAGTCTTGTTTAAAAGAAAAATGTCTGCTAACCTGAGGACAATTTTGTTTTTATTTGAGGTGCAGTAAAAGGAAAAAACAAGGAACTAATACAGAGAATAAGATTTATTGGGAAGCTTTCAATTCAAGAAAAACAAGCATTTGATAGGAAATGAGATAATATTTCAACTATAATTTTTTTAAATATCTGCCTCCAATAAGTGTTCTAGGCAATAGCTTCAAAACATTCTAAGTATTTGCTGTTTTATTACCAAAAAGTATTCCTGGTGAAGACATAGACTCTTCCCGCAGCCCTATCAAGGATCGTGCTTTAGGAGAACAAATATAACACTGGTTTGAGAGCTTTGTGTCAGATTGTCATTAAGCCCAACACAGTTTTCATCTTCATTCACCTCATATCTGTTCTGCATTAGTCATATTTCTTTTTTTCCTCTATACTCCCAAATCTGTCAACTGTTATCGTCTCATTTTTCTTCTTTTCACCTTATATGCTTCGTAATTTTTCACCTTTTAAAAATTTTAGTTCGCTATATTCACATTGCTATTTGGTTTCCATTAGTCTTAAGCTTTGAACATTTGCAAGTTAAAACAGTCTAATTCTTACTCTCACTAGCTATTGATGTTAGAAAAGTGGCTTAGCTCCTCTGAGCATCAGTTTCCTCATCTGTAATCAAACAGAGTTATTCATGCCTACTTCACGAGTTTGCTGTGAATATTAGAGATATGATGTGTGGTGTGCCATTCTAGTTCAATTCCTCATATATAATAATTATCCACATAATATTTTTTTTGCTACTTTAACACCTTGGAATAGCCAGATTCTGGTTTCATATTTGGAATTGTGAACAGGTTTTCCAGAAGGAAAATAAAGTAATATATTTGAACTGTTTGTCACGTAGATCTAACTCAAATATAACACAAGATAAACCTTCCAATAATTCATTCCAAAATTCACCTTTCACCTACCTCACAAGGTCATTTATACTAAAGAGGAAAACATAATAAAGAAGGTAGGTTGTGAAATAACTTGACCACTCATTAGGCCTCTGTGCAAGCCCAAGATTATGTTAAATTAAATAAACAACTATTAAATCCCTACTGTGTGCCAGGCACGAGAGAAGATGATGAAATTTGAACAAGTTTAGCTATAGTAGGTAAGGGTGGTTAAACATAGTTATTCACAATCTGCATTGCTTTATCCCCACACGAATTCACTTATTCTTTGTGGCATCCTGGGAAAATCCAACAGAAATTCTCCTGTTCATATATGGAACAACTGCAATGTCTAGACCTTCATTAAGTTTTTAACAATAGCCCTTTATTTCATGTAGCACTGAACAACTTATAAAGCATTTCACATTCAATACTTCATTCACCCCAGTGACAGTTTTAGGAGGTGGGTATTATGGTCCCCCTTTACAGATAGTCAGTGTATACATTTTCAAGTCAACACAGCTAAGGGATAGTGTGGATTTGAATTGAGATCTGTTTGACGCCAAAGCCTGGGCTCTGTTTTAATGTGGCCTATCCTCTTTCTACTCCACTACTTTGTTTAGATGTTGACGCAGATCTCCTTTAAATCTGTTAAAAGGACTTGATTGGGCAAAAATGTCACTAGGATTTTGTTTTTCTCTATCACCATGCCATTCATCATTTTTTTATCAACATTTTTTTCACGATCATAAATGGCTAGGCAATGTGGCAGGTGCTTGGCAGAGAGATAAAAGGATGCAGGCTGTGTTCTTCAGGTACTCAGCCTGATGGAGAGATAGATGTGTCATGTGGTCCCACTACCCTGTAGGAAACCCTGGGACTGAGGAAAGTGCCCAGACCCATAGGAGCCCAGTAAAGGGAGGGAGAATCCACTTAGCAGGAAGGGTCATCCTCATGCCCTGCCTGTATTAAAAAAAGGAAGACTGATGAAAAAGCAAATGATCCAACAAACAAAAACAAAAGAGAGAAGAAAAGAAAAGGAGGAGCTTTAATTGCTCCAAATCTATAGAATGCAGCGAAAGCCCTTCATGCTGACAGAGCACTCCTAGATCTTCATCAGCTTTAAGTTAAGAAAATTGGAAGTTTCTTTCCTCCTTCATGCTTCTACTCTGAAGAGGTGTCTCTGAAGTACTTTCTTTGGCTTAACTTCTTTCTTTTTCTTTTTCTCTTTCTTTCTTTCTTTCTCTTTCTTTTTTCTTTTCTTTTCTTTTCTTTTCTTTTCTTTTCTTTTCTTTTCTTTTCTTTTCTTTTCTTTTCTTTCTTTCTGAATGTTCTTAAGTCCATAGAGCATGGTTAGATTATGTAATAAATTTTGTTTGGAGAAATTATTACTTCGAAAAATGTCAAATTTGATTTTCATCTCAAACATCATGCTGTATACCAAAGGAGGGTGGGGAGACTTAGATGTATTAAAGGGTCTTTAAATACATCTTTAAAGATGTATTAAAGGGTCTTTAAATACATCTTTAAAGATGTTATTAAAGGGTCTTTAAATACATCTTTAAAGATGTTATTAAAGGGTCTTTAAATACATCTTTAAAGATGTATTAAAGAAAGATACCTTTCTTTCTTTCTTTCTCTCTCTCTTTCTTTCTTTTTATTTATTTCTTTCTTTTTTCTTTCTTCTTTCTTTTCAGGGTTTCACTCTGTCGCCCAGGCTGGAGTGCAGTGGCATGATCACAGTGCACTACAGTCTCGACCTCCCCGGGCTCAGGTGATCCTCCCACCTCAGCCTCCAGAGTAGCTGGAACTACATGCACGAACCACCACCTGGCTAACTATTTCCTTCTTTTCTTTTCTTTTTTCTTTTCTTTTCTTTTCTTTTCTTTTCTTTTCTTTTCTTTTCTTTTCTTTCTTTTCTCTCTCTTTTTTCTCTCTCTCTTTCTTTCTTTCTGTCTTTCTTTCTGTCTTTCTCTCTCTCTCTCTCCCTTTCTCTCTTTCTTCTTTCTTTTCAGGGTTTCACTCTGTCGCCCAGGCTGGAGTGCAGTGGCATGATCACAGTGCACTACAGCCTCGACCTCCCCGGGCTCAGGTGATCCTCCCACCTCAGCCTCCGGAGTAGCTGGAACTACATGCACGAACCACCACCTGGCTAACTATTTCCTTCTTTTCTTTTCTTTCTTTCTTTTCTCTCTTTCTTTCTTTTCTCTCTTCCTTCCTTCCTTCCTTCCTTCCTTCCTTCCTTCCTCTCTCTCTTTCCTTCCTTCCTTCCTGCCTTCTTCCTTTTTTTTTTTTTTTTTTTTTTTTTTTTTTTTTTTTTTTGTGGTGATTTCGCCATGTTGCCCGGGCTGCTCTTAAACTCCTGGGCTCAGGTGATCCACCCACTTTGGCCTCCCAAAGTGCTGGGATTACAGGCTTGAGCCACCATTCCTGGATGTATTTACTTCTAATACTCCATCAGACCTCACTTTTCTTTTGAGCTCTAATTCTCTATTTCTACATATGTGGAGGATATATGTTTAATTGTACAATATATGTGCTTTTCCAATTTCAAAGGAAATACATATTTACAATAGGAAATTGGAAGAAATTTTTTAAAATGTAAAGAAATTAAATGTGCTAAGTATAGGACATTTCCTTTCATTCTTATTATTATGCATATCTAGGTATATACTTTTTACTGTTAACACTGTCAACTTTTATTGCTGTCTTTTTATTACTTCTGTTTTCTTTATGAGTGAACCATCCCTTTCTAACCTAAAAATAAGTGTTAATCCCCTATTTTTCATAAGTTTTTAAAATTGTACAACCCTTTAATACATCTAAGTCTCCCCACCTTCCTTTGGTATACAACATGATGTTTGAGATGAAAATCAAATTTGACATTTTTCGAAGTAGTAATTACTCTAAACAAAATTTATTACATAATCTAACCATGCTCTATGGACTTAAGAACATTCATTTTGCAAAGACTACATTCAGGATGTTAGAAATGCTGCGGCTTTCTCTTGTACTCATGGTGGATATGCCTAAACATTCACCGCACTCTTCCCTATCAAGCCTGTATCTGGCCTCAGAAGCCTTCTCAACTCCAGGTCCAGATGGCTACTAGTATCTAATCAAACTAATATATATGATGAAACCTATTTGCAGAATCTTGATTAGGATTAGACAGAGTTTGGTGGTTTCCTATGTGAATATTGTAATGTATTCAATATTTTAATCCATTGATCTGTCTCTTGGTTCTTATTTCAGTTTTGTAAGTCAGCCATGGTAGTTTTATAAAGATTTTTAGAAAAATTTTGGACTAGTCTTATCACTTCTAAAAATAACACTTATGTTTTCTTATGATTAAAAATTAATATATACATCTAATCGAAAGTCTAGGAGATACAAAGACAGAAGCAGAATAAAAATCACCCATAATCACCACCTACATAAGAACACCACAGAAATTTGATATATACCCTTGCAATATATTTTATTGTGCTCACATTAACATAAATACAGACATATTTTCTCATGCAAAAGATAGCATATTGAATATATTGGTATGCCTTTTAACTCATATAACACTGTGTTAAAATTACCTCTCATGTTATATATTTCTACAAAATTATGTGTCATTAATGAGTAAATATTATTCACAGTCTGTTTGCAGTGTTTTTATCCATATGTCAAATAATTATTGAGCACCTGCAGCATGCGAAACAGTGTCCTAGAAATTGGGAATATATGAGTGACTAAAACAGGCAAAAGATCCTGTCCCCAAGGAGCTTCTAGTCTACTGAGTGTGTGTGTGTACGTGTGTTTGTGTGTGTATACAGACAACATAATGAGTAAATTATATAATACTTAGAAGGTGGTAAGTGCTATGGAACAAGATAAAGAAGAGGAAAGAGAGTAGGAGTAAATGGAGAAGGTCATGTTTGATGAAAGGCATCTGTGCAGCTATCTTGAAAAAGAATATTTAAATAGGGAAAGGGCCATTACAAAGGCCCTGTACACAGAAAGGTAAGAATACCAGTGTAGCTGAAATCAAGTGTTCCATAAGGGTATAGGCAGTAATAGGAGTTTGGAGAAAGAGTTAATGTAAATCTACATCTTGTAAGCCATCATAAGCCAGGGCTTTTATTCTGAGTAAAATGAAAAGTTGTCTCTGGCTTGGATGAGGATGGTAGCCATGCAGGCTGTTATGTATAGATGGATTCTGTTTATATAATTTTTCTTTTTTGAGACAGAGTCTCACCCTGTCGCCCAGGCTGGAGTGTAGTGGTGCGATATTGGCTCACTGCAACCTCCGCCTCCTGGGTTCAAGCGATTCTCCTGCCTCAGCCTCCCAAGTAGCTAGGATTACAGGAGTGTGCCACCACGCCCGGTTAATTTTTGTATTTTTAGTAGAGATGGGTTCTCACCATGTTGTTCAGGCTGATCTCGAACTCCTGACCTCAAGTGATCCACCCGCCTTGGCCTCCCAAAGTGCTGGGATTACAGGTGTGAGCCACCGTGCCTGGCCGGATTCTGTTTATATTTTTAAGTGCAGTCAAAGGGCTTTCCGACAAATTTAACTCATACATATATTTGTACATTTATTACTCAGATTATAACATCTTTATATAATTATTTATTTCTAATTTTCTCTTGATGTATCATATTTTGACTGTTACATATGATCTTCACTGCACTGGACTGTGCTATGTTTTTACAGTATTTTCTTTCTTTTCATTCTTCCTTCTTTCCTTCCTATTTTTCTTTTTAAATTCAATTTATAGAACTTCTCGCTTTTATATACTTTGATGTCATTATCGCACACAAAGCCCCACACTTGCTTTTTTATTATAGATAATATATTTTATTGATATACATTATTATTTTATTTCATATAGTGCTTTCCCTGAATTTTGTTTATTGTTTTATTGTCACTATGTCTCTCATAAGTAGCTAATTTTAGGATAAAACAACTGAAAGCCTGAGGATATTTTTTTTCAATAAGATAGTTAATAAATGTTCATTTGTCATTGCTAATGTTATGTTTGATTTTGCTTCTCCCACCTTCTTATAAGCTGACTTTTATTGCTTCTTATTTTTAAATTTCCATTTAGATGTTATCCTTCAGTTTTATTGAGGTAAAATTGACAAATAAAAATTTATATATTTAAGGTATACAATGTGATGATTTATGTACACATTGTGAAATAATTACCACAATCAAGTTAATTAACGTATCTATCATTTCACATAGTTACATTTCTTTATGTGGCAAAAACATTCAATATCTTCTCTCTTAGTAAATTTCAACTATAATATACAATGTTATTACCTAGACTTTTTATAAGAATTTTTGTTCATTATTATTTTCTGCAGTGATTTAAAAGACAGGCAATCTGAATTTAATTCCAGAAGTGGTGATCTCAAAACTTTTCAAAACATTCTTAATTTTATATTGAACTTGCCACCAAAGTGAAAATAATAATGTTTTTATTGTTTGTTGTAGAAAGCAGTTAACAAATATCATCCACCTCTTTCTTCATTTCTGCAGTCTTTTATTTATCCTGTGATGACCTTTTTTTTTATAAAAACATCTTATTCAAAGTAAACATATCATCAAATATATAACCATATTTAGAAAAATTATTTCTACCCCCCAGTTCCATATATTTTATTGGATTTCATACTTAATCAGTTTCTTCTAGAAGTGATACCCTCATTCTTTAGTTCTTCAGTGATTCTTTTTCTTAAATTTCTTCAGGTAAGGCATTTAAGTAATTTCTTTGGAAAGTGTAATTTCTGAAAATTTGAATGTCTGATGATGACAGCCTCATGCTTCAATCCCTCCAATTAAGAACTATGATCTCATCCTCTCTACCTTTGACCTCATTCCATACCATTTTCTTTCTTTTTTACTCCATCTTAACTGCGTTGGTTCCCTTGCCACTTTTCAAACACACCAGGCATGCTCCTGCCTTGTGGCTTTTTCTCTATCATTTGTGTGTGAAATGATCTTCCTTGGGGCTTTGCATAGCTTCCTCCCACACTTCATTCTGCTATCTGCTCAGAGAAATATTATTAGGGAAGTCTTCCTTTTCACTCTCTGTAAAATAGCAATACTCCGCTCTTCACTGTAGTACGGTCTAATGCTTTTGCACTGTTTTCATTTCTTTTATAGCACTTATACTACTTGACATCACATGTTTATTTATTGCCTATCTCCTTCCACTGGAAGTAGAGTTTATGAGAGCAGAAACATTGCCTGTCATCTTCATTAAATTATTGCCATTCCCTACAACAGCACATGACACATGGTAGACTCTCAGTAAAGAGGCTAAGACTCAATAAAGAGTGACTCTCAATAAAAGAGACTAATGCAATAAAAACGCTCACATATTTGTTGAATGAAATAATAAATTAAATTTATTTCCATGGCCTTTAAATGGGGTGGCTATTTGATATAGATCTAGAATTTGGTGGTAATTCTCTTGAACAATCCTTTGCGGTGTTACAACTCTGCCTGGCCCTGCCACTTTGCCAGTGCTTGGGTTTTCTTAGTTTGCTCAAATCCTAGGTCACTACAATGACCTAATAAGTTTCAAATATTTCTGGCCTATACAAGTTAGTGAGCATATGACTAAAATATAATTTCAGAGCCCCGTAGTCTCCTCATGTTCATCTCGCACCTTCTGAATGAAGACATGTTAAGGTGGATTTTGTTTCTCTCCTACTTACGCCAAAGGTGTCTTACTCTTTCTCAAGAGGAATAATGTTGAGTAGCTCTCTACATCCTTCATCAGTTTGATCCAATTCTCATTATATCTAGTGAGAATTCCTTGACATTTCTGATAACTAAATAGTATCCATGCCTTTTTTTCCAGTATTCATTTTTTGTATATTCCGTTACTAGTTTGAATGAAAAATCAGGAATGTGAGAATGAGGATGGCAGTGATCCCAAAGCTATTATTCTTGGAAGTTCTTCATTTTAGTTTGTCATTAGATATTGATACAATACCTCTAACTGGATCTCTCTGGCTTTCTTACTTAGTTTAAAAATTCTGTCCTTTCCTTAGTCATCCGGAATCATGACTCCGAGTCATTCTGCCTTTCTTTGCTGGTGCTTATCTAAACATTCAAGCATCTGTTCCTTTATATTTTATTTCTTACGCATTCATTCTTTTCTATTTCTAGGATCAAAAACTCTACTTCAACTGTTTACTGCTTCAATGCAATCATTTGATTATAGCATTCCACATTTCCTTTTTCCATTTGAGTTCTCTACCCCTGGGCCCACTTTTGGCACAAGGGTTAAATTACCCCCCTTCACCACCACTACCAACAAACATCTGATTCCTTATTAAAATCTGCTTTGACCTTCAGTGACTCTTCAATCACAGCACGAAATCAATGCTACTTTCCCGTATTATTAGGTTGGCGCAAAACAACAGCAATTACTTTTGCACCGACCTAGTATCTCCCTCTCGACCAATCCCAACCCTCTCTAAATTCTAGGGTCTATGCTGCCAACGTATGGCTCAATGGCAGGGATAAGTCTGAGAAAGCAGTGAGCAGTAAAAAAAAATGTATATACGAGCATAGGAGAAAGATACTTTTTTTCAAATTCTTGTTTGCAGATTGTGTGATTTCAAGGACATTAAACTAATGAAGACTCAGATTCCTCATTTGTAAAACAGAAAAAGCAGTACATACTTTCTTATGTGTTAAGACATTGAACATGGTTGGAAATAACAACAAAAATCAACACAATCTCAGTTTCTCATTTCATTTTTAGCACATTGAACATTTAATGTCTAATATATTATTAGTTCTTATTCTTGAAAGCTTAGTGGTAGAGCAGTTACTGTGCCAGGACTTGGTTGCTCTAGATAAATTTTATATTACTGACTAGGACTATGCCAGAATGTCCTAATTTACCTATAGTACATTTAAATTCAGTACAGCGAAAAGATAAAACACGTATTACTCTTTCGAAACAAGCCACTGCAGATCAGGACTGTTGTTGTCACTGTATTTTGGAAGCAAACAGCACAAAGTGGCTTTGAACATTCTGTTTTTGAATGTTATTTTTATTTTGCCTTAAATGTTTCAAACCTATTTCCAGTTATCCAAGAGTGATGCACAGGAAATCCATGGTAATCTCCTCCTCCCAGTGGCACTGGCTATGCTAGCAGCTTGTACTCAGTTAAGGGCATATAAAACACTAAGATTTCATTGGTGACATCGTCCAAGGAAACCTGGGGACAAAGGAAAAAACAGTATCCTCTCGACAATCACAAATCACTGATGAGATGTGAAGCTGGGCCACGAACCTACTTTTTGAGCCCTGCAGAAGAAGAAAGAGGAGCTTTTCTCCATTCAAATATATTAGATCTGTTATTAGGTGGGAAACAAAAATTAAGATGTAACTAAACTTTAGATAACTTGTCGGCCTCCACCTTCCTCAACCCCACTAAGATTCTGGCAATGATTTTTATAATGAGTTGGCCAAATCTCGTGTAGTTCTTAGACAAATACTTGCTAGGGCAATCAGGATAACTGGAGTACAACCCTCAGAATTAGGGTGTGTTTTAAAATTAATCTTATCCCAAGTTTTAAATCTGGCATGTTCATTAAGCTGAAACCGTCTCCTTAAACTTTGTACTTTGTGCTTGCCAATACTGTACAAATATTACCCATGCTTATTTCTCATCCTGTATACCTGGCTGGACTTTAATAATCGGTTATGAGCTTTTCCCTTTTTGGAAGCCAAATGTGGTTTTATAATCCTTTTCAAATAAGTGCTGGGGGCATTCTCTACTATTAATTTCAATTGACACCTAAGATGAAGTTCATTTGCAATGCTTGCATGAGCCTCTGCTCTCCATAACTGTAAGCAGTGGCTGGGGTCTTTATACTAGGAGGACCATGGAAAACCAGTAACATGCATCAGAATGCAATTCTACTCTCGTGATACCAGCTATCATCCACTTAAATAGCAACATTTGCTTAGGTTGAAATCCAGTTCACCATGCTACTTTGGGCACTGATTGCTGAACTGATTGTTGGACTGATGGCTCTTTGTCCCACTCTAGCCATCTAACGTTAGAGACTGATTAGCTTCTTCATCTTTGCTCCACTTAAATCCTGGCTTTTTGCATATGTCTACTGACCTATTTCACTAATGTCCCAGGATACTTTGATATTAAATTTAAGTTTCATTATGCTGAGATAGAGAGTTTGAAAGGAGGCTATTTTTATAAATCTATATAGTTTATTTGACAAAAAGTCAAATATTTACTCAGTAAAAGATTACTGAACATATGCTATGGACCAGGAGATGTTTGAACACTGACGACACAGAAACAATTCTGATACTATCTCTGTCCTCAAGGAGCTCACATTTTAGCAGGAAGGATAAACTTTGTACACAAATAATATAAATAAAATAGTAGGTACAAAGTTCAGAGAAGTAAAAATGCCCAACTGAAAATGTGAGGTTGTTATTATGGGAGCTTACAAGACAATGAGGTCAGGTTGCTCCAGTGTAGTGTAAAAGAAACAGAAACTCATTTTGAATACTAGCAGAGTGGCCTCATGAAAGCCATTAGATGGATCGGTAAATTTTTCAACTAATTTACAAAAATTAATGGTAGTTCTAATTAAGGAACCGCATGAAATACCTAATTTCTTCCATTATACTTTACTGAATTTCATGGCTATAGGATAACCCAAATATTTCAGAATTTACTACTTGTCACTAATAAGTAAGCACACATTTTTTTTCTCATAAACCAGTGGATCCCATTGGTTAAACTGCTTGCATTTTAGCCCCTGTCTTGGAATCTCTGAAGGGCTGCCTTACATATGTGCACTAACCTGACTGTTAGCTGGAGTCACCATACGGCTGTGATTTCTCTCTTGAACTTACTTCCATTTGTCTACATCTGCTGCATATGAGTCTAGTTGAAGACATCTTACAAAGATTATAACCAGTTCTAAGAAAATTATTTCTTATACTAAGCATGTTAAATGTAGATGCTTCTAGCCCTCCGAGTGCCAAAACATGTCTACATTTTATGCAGAGGTGGAGAAAAATTGTTATAATTTGTTACCTGGAAACTGAAGCAGCTTAGCTTTGCTTGTGCCTAGAATCTACATTTCCCTTCAAATTTGTGTCCAGCCTTGCCCTCAACCCTTCCCCAAATCATAAGCAGTTTTAATAATACACAATTTACCATCTTTACTATTTTTAAGTGTGTAGTTCAGTGTATACTTAATACAGAAACACGTGTTCTTTTTTTTCCTTTTGTCCTCCCCTCCCCTTCCTGGCCCTCAGCAACCATCAATCTATTCTCTGTCTTCATGAGCTCCACTTTTTATCGCTGACATATGAATGAGAACATGCATTATTTGTTTTTCTGTGCTTATTTCACTTAACATAATGGCCTCCAGTTCCACAAATGTCTGGCTCTTCTAACATTAGGAACTCAAAGGAATCCCTGGGACTAGACAAGTATGAATGTCTTACCAACCTAAATATCTTCCTCGTTTTTGCTTATAGTAGTATTCTTCTCTGTCCAAACCCTCCCTCCTCTATCAATTACAAATAAATGGTCCCAATTTATTAAGATACTAAGGGATTGAGTCTAAAAGCTTAGTTAACAGGGCTCCTGCTCAGTGAAAAAAATTAATAAGATCCTTTTCCTGGAAGATTATAAAATGTAGAAATATTCTTGCAAAAGTTTCATGACATATCATTAATGGTTATCAAGGTATATTTTTGATTGCTCTTATTCTAACCGTTCTCATCATCACAGTCAATTGAACATAAATCAAATATCTGAAACTAATTGGTACAGCTCTGTAGTCACTGATAATCTCATCAGTCAAATTGAAACTCAAATTTGCCTTGAAGCATTAAGCAAAGGATATTTAAGACAACACAAACTGCTGAAGAGAAATAAGTCACAATGACTTAACACAACAGGAATTTCATTCTTAGGTGAAGTGCAAAACAAGTATTTCTAATGGAAGGGAGCTTTTCTCCAAGAGTTCATCCTGAGCCCTATACTTCTTTTATCTTCAAACTTTCAATCTAGAGTGTATTCTGAAGTATCAGCAATCTGAAATTCTTTTCAGGTGACGAGGAAGTGTCTAAAGACACTTTTCCCCATCTAACCATGGCCCTTCCATTATTTCATGTTTTACGAAATATTTATTGGAAGTCTATAATGTGTCAGGCACTGTGCTAAAAATATTTCTAGCAGACAAAAAATATTTAAGCAGACAAAAATTGCTGTCCTCACTGAGTGTATAGCCAGGAAAAGAAAACAGACACCAAAATAAGTAATTTTTAGCTTACTTAAGACACAATTATCTACTTACTGGTAATGATTACTATGGAAATAAATACATCTGAATGCATAAAGAGGACATGTGACTTTCTCTAAGGAAATAATAGTTGCATTGGAATAGTAGGCAAAGTTTCTCAAACAGAAAGAATGCAGTGTGCCTGGCGTGTAGTGAGCAAAGGTGGAATTAGCTACAAAGTGAGACTAGAAATAAAGGCAGGGATGTGATGTGTTGAAGGTTTGGTGTTTACTCTGAATTCAATGAGAAATCACTAGAGTTTTCAACAAGATGTTGATCTAATGAGATTTGGAAAGATCACATTGACTGCTATGTGGAAGAGTAACTAATGGGAATGTGGGCATAAAACTTGGGAGCACAGTTAGGAGATGGTTGTAACAATTCCGGTGAGAGACATTGGTTGGCTAGACTTGAGCACTATGACTTAAGGTATGGGTAGAATGTAGTATACGGGTTTTGGTGGTTGACTGACAATAAGGATATGTCAGAGAGGAAGGATTCAAAGTTGAATGCCAGGTTTGTGGCTTCAACAACTAGATATGTAGTGAGGACAGCATATTAAGTTCAGTTTTGGCCATTCTGAGCTCGAGTTCCCAGGGAGAGATCAAATTGTTATTTACTAAGCAGGCAGTTCAACATATAGGTCAGTAGCTCAAAAAAAATGGCACATTGGAGGAAAAGGTTTGGGAGTCATCAGCATATATATATGTGCTATTTAATGCTTTGGTACTGAATGAGATCAGGTAGAAAAATGGCCATATCACTTACAGTCCAAACCTGGACTCTTTTGAGAGTTAAAGGGAGAGAATTTTGAGAGTTGATAGTTATGCCAGAATGACCAGAACTGTTTTATGTAAAGCACAAATGTCCTTAGCAAATATTTAAAGGTCAAATAGGGAAGGCGTTGTCAGCAAGGAAACAGAAAGAACAGTCAATAAGGAAGGAGGAAATCACAGTGAATTGTAGTGTCACAGAGGGGAAGTACTACTGAGAGGTCAGTTGATTTCCTATGATGTCTTTTGTCATATACTTCCATAGTACCCTGTACTTTTTCATCATTTAACTTATCGTTGAAATTTTATTATTCGATATCTTTCTTTCTATGAAGAGAGTGCATGACCCACAGTTGACAATCAACAAATATTTATGGAATGAATAAAGAAAAGATGAAAAAAGCAAAAAGTATCCACTGAATTTAGCAAAACAGCGATCATCAGTGCCCTTATTAAGAACAGTTTTGGTGGAGTCGTGAGGAACTGAGTCAATTTGCCTTAAGAAAAATGTGAGTGGGTGGCAAGGAAGGGAAGACAGTAAAAATTGACAACTCTTTCAAAAAGTTTGTCTGTGAGCCATTGGCTTAATGGACACATGTTTTAAGTAGGTTGACTATTCCTTTGGGTCCTAGGCAAATGTCAGCTGTGATAGATTTTTTTCTGAAAGTAATTTGACTAGATAAGGGTATACATGCCTCATTTATGAGATTTTAAATGGCTATGTGGTGGATCCATAATTACATAGTACATATTTTGCTTAGAATAAGCATAGCTCCCTTAAGAAGGTCATATTTTAACTCAGAGATATAATCAAGTATTTCTCCTGTGACAAAATGTAGTATTTAGGAAAAGTATTTTAAGGGCCATAGATTCCATATCTATTCCGCTTGATGCTTACAGTTCTTTACCAAAAACAAATGAAACCACCAGAAAGTTGCATGAATTGAGCAGTTCTTTGTCAGATCAGCAAGCATTTTTATTCCTACTCTGCTTGCTAATGGCAGTTTGGAGAAATAGCTATGTGGATTCTAACTCTCTCTTTTCCCCCGTATCATCATCGTTGAGAATAATTTTTTCTATATTACTCAGAGACTCTCTATATCAAGCACTGTATAAGCCATTTCTTTTTGAATTTAGTGCTGGAAGAAATTGTATCTTTAGAAAAAAGTTAACGTTTCTTCTTTCCTCGAACAGGATCTTTTAGAACCAACTGTTTTCTTTCTTCCATGGCTGTCAAAGAGCATGGCTGAACTTGTGGTTAGCACGTTTTTATTGTTCATTTTTCTATTTTTGTATTCTTATTTTATTATAGATTGTATTTTCATTTAATTTGTCTAAATAATTTGTGGATACTTAGAAAATGGACTTTGATTTCAGACTTACTCAATTAGCTACTTTCCCCTCCCACCCCTCAAATAAAATTACAGGGTCATTACTGACAGGCAAAAAGAAGTGATAGGCAGGAAATGTGTACAATGATAACATAATTTAAATATGCATTACATTCCCACATACGCACACAAAAATATATATGTATATGCATATATATGTGTGGGGTGTGTGTGTATGTTACAAAGACAATTAAAATATTTCATGTTATCGACCAAATATTACTGTCCTTGAGGCCACCTAGCTGCAATATGCTGAAAGATTC
The DNA here is from genome assembly GCF_000001405.40 of Homo sapiens. Lineage (NCBI taxonomy): Eukaryota > Metazoa > Chordata > Mammalia > Primates > Hominidae > Homo > Homo sapiens. The sequence goes on from NC_000023.11 coordinate 142,454,092, forward strand.
AGATAGCAATCACCTGATCTTCTGTCATTTCTGCTAGTGCAATCTCCAGCTTGTGCCTCTTACAATCGTACAGGAAAATAACCAAGCGAACACCAAACAAAAAAGAAGAAACATATACTGCTTCTCAATGGCTATACATATGAAAATATAATTATATACTTGTATAATGTAAATTGATTTCTGTTAAATGAGTCAAGGCAATATCTGTAAGAAATAGATTCCAGTAAAATATGCTAGTGCACAACTATGCACAAACACATTCTCACCTTTGAGGATATATCAGGGTCCTAATATGGTTTGTTATTTAAGTCAATACAAATTACTGCCTTACCATCTATCAATTTATTTTAGTTGCAAGGACAATATGATATTATATTTCATTATTTATTTTTAAATATTTCTTTTTTGTGCTAAAAGCTTTAGGCTGACATCAAAAAGTCCTTAATCTTAAAGTTCGCTATATCATTGTTTATAACAAACACATCTTTTGCAAAAGAAGGTTTAAGTTTATATTGAAATCACCTTTTATTATACTAGTAGAATGGTAATAGAAATTACCATTTCCTTAGCTGTTTATATCAACTGTCTTTTCAGTTATTCACCAAGGGTCTACATTTAGCTATTGTCTTGCTAGATTACCTCCCTTAAGTACTTTAATATTTTGCAAACAACTAATTAACCTTTTGAACCCCATTAAGGGACAGTAAGAAGGAAGACAATTACTGAGACTGAAATTTGGTCAGGAGGCTGAGACTAATACAGTATTATTAGGACAGAAAGGAAAACCCTCTAATCTTTTTAATGACTACAGATGATCAGAGCAGCTGTCTTAAATCTTTTTTATTTAATTATTTTTACAGTAACCCAAATCTGGAAGACAGGGCTCCAACAAAGGGCTGGGTCACTGGCTCTGCATTAACCCTGAGGAAAACGGCCACCTCAAAAGCATCAACTTCAACCCTCCTTGCAGGAGGAGTGGCTACAAATTATACTTCCTTGTATTCACATATCACTCGACAGTTTGCAGAGGGCTGTCACCTATATAATTTTATTTAATCATTAAAACTAATTCTGTGAGGTAAATAGCTCAGTATTATTATCTCCATTTCAGAGACAAATAAAGTACCTGAGGGATAAATTACTTCTCAACTATTGTGCTACTATTAAAAATTAGAGCCCAGATTCAGTGATTGGACCACAATACATTTTCCGATGGCACAGCTTGATCACTGTACACATTAACAAAAGATCCTCTCTTTTCTCATGCATATCTGATGGCCTTTCTAGCTCTGATGATCTGCAAATCTACGCAAAGTACACACTCCCGGCCTGTCAATATTCACCGGGCATTATATTCTAATATGGGGCTTGTTCTTCTTCTTTCCTTCAGGAAAGTTCCTAATAACTGCCACCCTGAGTGACCTGCCTGACTCCTTCTTCTATGATAGAAATGTGCTGCCTAACATATCTCTATAAAGAACATTATAAGAAAACATAGAATTTGGCAATCAAATCTTTACTGAACACTAACTACTTAAAGAAATATGTGCTCAGAATTGAGATAGGGGGAAAAAAACCCCAGAAATTAAGAAACATGTTCTCTCTAGGTGAGTAAGCCAATTAAACTGATAATTTCCCAGTTTTTTAATCCTCATGAGTTATAATTTGTTGAGAGACGAGGGAGTGAAATGGTCTGGGAACAGAGAGTAAGGGTATAGGCATAGGGAGAGATGAGAAGTGTTCATATATGTGGCACTATATAAACTGAGATTAAGTTAAAAAAATGTGCTCTGCTTTGTAAATAAAGAGGTAGAAGACCCACTTAGAATGGACCAGCAAAGCAGAAACAGTTATCCACAGCCTACTAAGATAGGAAATGAGAAGTTGAGAGCAGGGCTTGTGACAGAGAAAAGGAAAAATTGTCTCCTCACTCTGGGAGGAGGTGAAGGGACTGGATTTCATTCAGTAAGGTTTTAGCTAATACAAATACAGGATTCTCAGTTAAATTTCAATTTCGCAATAAAAATATGTTTTTTGGTGAATGCTTTGTGCAATACTTGGGACATACTTTTATTTATTTATTTATTTGAGATGGAGTCTCGCTCTTTCACCCAGGCTGGAGAGCAGTGGCGCTATCTCGGCTCACTGCAAGCTCCACCTCCCAGGTTCACGCCATTCTCCTGCCTCTGTCTCCCAAGTAGCTGGGACTACAGGCACCCGCCACCGCGCCCGGCTATTTTTTTTTTTTTTGTATTTTTAGTAGAGACGGGGTTTCACCGTGTTAGCCAGGATGGTCTCCATCTCCTGACCCCATGATCCGCCCGCCTCGGCCTCCCAAAGTGCTGGGATTACAGGCGTGAGCCACCGCGCCTGGCCGGGACATACTTATATTTTAAAAAATTGGTTGTTTATCTGAAATTTGAGTTTAACTGGACAACTTGAATTTTTTTCTGACAACTCTATTGGCATGAGACATGTTACATGTTTTTTCTGACAACTCTATTGGCAGGAGTACTTCTGTTTAGAGGACGTAAAGTAGTCACAACAATATGATTGTGGACGGTAGGTCAGAGAAAGATACTTAGTAGGAAACCCTTATGGAGAGGCTTTGGACTAGGGAATGTGAGGGCTGCCCTTTCCAGTCTCCACCTTTAAGTTCCACCACATACAGACTTGGGGATGTCATTTATTTTACCTGGGTCTTGGTTTCCACTTTTGTAACATATGAGTGACACTAAATCAGCCTCATTGAGGTGTTGTGAGCATTGAGAATATATACATAAGCACACACACATGCACAGAGGTAGATAGGAATACAAAGATGTTTTATATATTTACAAATATGATATATGTAAATAATCCTTGGCATATGGTAATAACCCAATACATTTTGGCTATTATTATCCAAATTTCATATGCTTTCTGCTGGATTACATCCAGGAACGATTAATGGAACACATTAGAATTTCCTGAAGACCTTTATATTTAAGGGACAAGCTAGAGCTTCCAGTAGTCACATGGGAAGATATTATAATTTAGAGATTAAAAGGAAGTATGAATATAAACTGGATAAAATTTAAGTTGTTAATTTATATTTCTTGGCTAATTTCATTGATTAATATATTCATTCATTTGTGCATCCATTCAGCAAACATTCATTGAACAGTAAGGATAATGCCTGGTACATACTGATTGCTCAGTACATGTAAATCTTCATGTGTGGGATCACTTAATTATTAAAAACTGTTGGAAGTATTATGAACAAAATTTGCTAAGAGAATAGATGACAGGGTTTATAGCAGGCCTAGTCAGGAGCATTAGAAAAGTGATATTTTAGCTGAGCTCTGACGCGTGAGTAAGCATAAGCCAGTCAAAGTTTAGAAGGAAGAATATTCTGAAAGAGGGAAAGGATTTGAAAAGACCTCAATGTGGGAAAACGTAAGGCGTATTTTCAGTACCAGCAAGAGCCCCAGTCTGGAAGAAATGCAGAAAGCAGATTGGATGTTCCATAAAATGTAACGGCAAAGGGAGGTAACGGTAAGGTCATGAGGATCTTGTAGGCCTGTAAAGATTTGGGGACGTTTTTGTCAAAGAAGAAAGGCACAAGTAAGCAGAAGAGTGACATCATCAGGTTTTTGTTTCTAAAAAATCCCTCTAGCTTCTGAAAGGAGAATGGCTTGGACTGTATCTATGGCATCAAATTATATTTATTATGCTACTAAACATGTAAACTATTTGTAACTGATTTCCTTAACCCGGCCTTCAAGAACTTATAAAACATGCATCTATCTTAAGAAGCTGCCACCCCATTCCAACATATCTCCTCTCAGTAATCACCATCTGGAAAGCCTGTTCCCAGGCTTCCTATGTGTAAATCTAACCCCCGAATTAGAGCTGTGCTAAAAGCCATTGCCTCCATGTGCCCCCTTCCTGATCCCCTTAACTTCAAGTGCTAGCTTCCTCTGAATTTTCAGAGAACAGATTCATTGCCTCTCTTAAGGTATTTTCTTATATCATGTATTACAGTTTTCAACTGCCATTCTTTCTTTGGGGGATGTGGGGAAGGTAGAGATGGTTAATGGGTACAAAAAATGGAAAGAATGAATAAGACCTACTATTGGATACCACAACAGGTTGACTATAGTCAATAATAACATTATTGTACATTTAAAAAAGCCTAAAAGTCCATATTATTGGATTGTTGGTAACACAAAGGATAAATGTTTGAGGAGATGGATACCCCATTCTCCATGATGTGATCATTACACGCATTGTATGCTTGTATCAAAACATTTCATGTACCCCATAAATACATACACCTACTATGTACCAACAAAAATTAAAAGTTAAAAAATATTCATCCTTAACACTCTCACAGGACTGCCTTGAAGGCAACCACTCATCTCCTCTATCAACTTTATGGATGTGCTACATGTAACATAATACTTACAAAAAATTAGTGAGTAAATACTCTCAAAACAAAAGAATACAAAGTAGAAGCAAAATAATGGGCTGAATTGGCATTATTTATTTTGAATCTCAGTTGTCTCTATGATTGATCTTTTTATATTAGCAGTGATGTTTTATTACTTTCATGTAAAATAATATGCATTACTCTGAGGCTATGAAAAAAAAAAGAAATGTTATTTTCTTTTAAAAGGGATTTCAGTTCAGCCTGAAGGTGACCACTTTCTATTCTGAGATTCTATCCAGTTTCTGGATGGATAGAACAAGATAACTTGCCCATCCCAACCCTCCCCAACACCCGACCCTTCCCCACATCCCCCACCACACACACAAAGTTATCACCTGTAAAGATGCTACAAGAGTGCAATAATGCAATGGATGATTATGTATCCTAGACTCAATTTCCAGGAGGTGGCTATCATTAATAAACTGTAAGTTTTGTCAAGGCTCTAGTATAGATCTATACTTCTACAGGAGATTGAAAATGTTGATATTCATGAGATTATATATTTTGTGCCCTTCTACCATCAACCCCATCCTCTATACACACACACACACGCAAACACGCATGCATGCACGCATGCACACCCACCATTTTCCACCATCCACAGCTGAGATAGAGGCATTTCTATGCCCAATGATGTCTAAATTCTTCTCAGTTTGCTATTTTCTTTTGGAGACTACATATCAAGGCATAAAGGAAGAGCATTAGGCTTTATTTCAGGGGGCCTGCACTTTTGAGTATATCATTTCCTACCATAAATGTAAGATGGTAACACAGAAGCAGACCCCCTGAATAGGATCTGGCAGAGAGGTACAAATGATGGTTAAGTGTAACTCCTGCTATCCAGATGCTTATTATTTAGTTTTGTTAAGATATACCAGTATCCTTAATTTTAATCTATAATTTATGAAAAACACCTAGAACTTGTGTTGGTCGTGGTGTTTTCCTTGTCCATTCCACTGTCCTTTCAGAATGGTAGTGTATCATTCTCACTGTAAACTTGATTCAAGAGATGAAAGTTTTTAGGTGGCTTCTCTCCTGAGATTACCATAACAGGACATGCATTGAGTATTTTAATACATTTATCAATGATTTTAGAAACTAAGTTAACTATCTAAAGTTGTCCCCCAAAAATGGAGGAGGTCAAAGACAGCATGCCATTTTAACTGGGACTGAAAATTTGCAACTGATGCTCCTCTGATATGTCAAAACCATTTTAGCATCTTATGCAGATCATAGATAACGTGATGAGTAATATGATCTAAAATAGAAACATAGGGATCACTACTTGGCTGAAAAATTAGGTTCAAGGATAACGTGTCCCAACTTGAAATGACAATTTCTTTTTTTCCTCCAAGGTAATATCTTGAGCCAGATTTTATACCTGAATATAACTCAAAATGACAGCAACATTTTTGAACCTCTTCATATATTGTAAATGAGTTCCGTATAGTTTGTATCGGAGGTAGTATAATCTGCATGTTGTACCTAATTACAGTAAAAAAAAGGGCTATTTTTTCATTCAAGTGCAACTAATTGTCAGTATGTGGAATTGTGCTGGCAGTCTGTTTATACACATTATAGAGGACTCACCTATTCATCTGTTTCAATGTTTTTTGTTTTTTGGGTTTTTTTTTAGAAAACATTCCAACACACAATGTCTTTTACCATGTAATAGTTGATAATTAGATATGAAATTTATGGCAATAACATCAACAGGACCAGAAACTCATTAAGAGAAACAGGTGGTACTGGGGAAAAAAACGTTTAGCTTAATGTAAAAAGGCTGCCTTGGTCTTGTATTTTCCATATTCTGTTGGGAGAGAGCAGTGGTGAAGGTATATGCCTGGAGGCTTTACCATATACGTTACTTTAGAGCCTGAGTAACTGAGAATGGTGATATCGAATTGTGGTTTAGAATGTAGTTCAGATGGTGTCTTAACATTTGGGCTGCTGTAACAAAATAATATAAACTGGGTTACTTATAAAGAACAGAGATTTAGTTCTCACAGTTCTGGAAGCTCAGAAATCCAAGATCAAAGCAGATGTTGTGTCTGGTGAAGGCTTATTTTCGAGGTCATAGATGGTGCCTTCTTGCTGTATTCTCACTTGGTGAAAGGGTCTCTCTTTGCCCCTTTTTGTAATGGTACGAATCTCCTTCATGAGGGCCCTGCCTCTGTCACTTCCTCCTAATACTATCACCTTCAAGGTTAGCATTTTGACTTATAAATTTTAGGGAGATAAAAAATCATTCAGATCATAGTGAAAATCGTATTGGGAGAAAGACAAAAGTAGATCTGACTGCTTGAATATGGTAAAGTGAAGTGGAGGAACAAATCAAGTCATGATCATAAGGTGGTAGACACATGTATGTATACAAAATTGCTTCTAACAAATGTAATTTCAGAAATACAATCTCTTTTCAGCAAAACTAATATAGTGTCCACTTGGTGGGTAGGTATGTATTGGGATGAGTTTGGTGATCAGGGGAACATGACCCTTTTGTAAACCGTAGTATTTTCTCAGAGTCTGCATTATATCAAATTTACGCTGAATTTTATGTTTAAATGTCTGCTTCACTATAAGACAGTCTAGGCCCTTTTTAAATAAGGGCGTCTCTGTATTACAGCACTTACAGAGTGCCTGAAACTTTGTGGAAAAGAAATAAGTAGATAAGGTCAAACCTGTATTCAGATATATTTTACTTTCTCTCGTCAGTAAAATTATTTCTCTCTTTCCTCCATTAAGCTATTGCTTCCTTGGAGTTACAAAATATTCCTGGAATGTAGTAGGCGCTAGGTTTAGGTTTTCTAGGTGAATGTTTGCATTTGCTACCCAACTTATCCTACCACATTTTTATTCTGTAAATTTCACTACATTCAGACAGCTTTCTAAAAATACATCATGCATTAGAGGACAATGTGGTTTTATTTTTAAAATAATATATACTCTGCATATATTCCATGTGGATTCACCCACAACTGCTTAAACAGTTTATATAGTTTCACTTTTGTGCTTTAGGTATGGAGTAAGATTTAAAAAATACAATGTCCTTTTAATAGTTTCTTTTGTGCCACGTCATCGTAAATCATAATCTCTAAATAATGAAGCTGAGCGGAGTTGAGTCCTGATTTTCGTAGCTCAGGTCAATAAGAATGTTTTTCTTCATCTTGTTGTTTTGTTTGTTTTAACACTAAAACAAGCATTGTTTTAGTTTCTAAAGCCTATCCTTAATAAATCATCCTTTTGAGGCACTCATGAGGATAGCAAACAAAACATATCGTTTCTATTTCTTTTCATGTTTGTGTCTGAGGGTGGCACTGTATGGTTTTTCTTCACAAGAATCTCATTGACATCATCAAATAATTTATTATTTAGAAAGGTGGGGCGATACACTGACAAAAGAAACATTTCTTCTGCTAAAGTGAAAATAAGTGCTTAGGAAGAAAATTATACTTTAGCTCCAAAATGATGCTTCATTCTGCAATGTATTATATTATATTTTCCTTGAGTTATTATTAAATGCCTTTATTAAAAATTGTTATTTATGTTTTCCACAAATGTTAAGGCAGGCATGGCTTAGTTCGACTAGTAAAATGGAAAAACAAGGTCAGGTAGTTTTTCAGAAGTAATTATTATGTACCTGCAATCCTATGAGAACGTTTAGCAAATTGAGGCTTGGAGCGCTCAACAGCACTAATCGATCACTTAAGTCACACTTAGGTGATTGCTAATTAGTCATAGTAGATAAGCAGGCACAAGTACAAAGAGTAGACCCACTTGATTAGCTACAAAGGGAAAACTAAAACAGAAGGCTCTGAATACACAGACCAGGGTGATTCCAATTAAACAGGCATCCAGAAGAAAGGCTCCCACACATGCTATAGTTTAGATGTCTGCCCTCTCCAAATATCATGTTGAAATTTAATTCCCAGTGTGATGGTGTTGGGAAGTGAGGCATAGTGGGAGATGTTTGGGTCATGGGGAAAGATCCCTCATGAATAGCTTGGTGACTTTTCTTGGGAGTGAGTGAGTGCTTACTCTATTAGTTCCTGTGAGAACTGGTTGATATAAAGAGCCTGGTGCCTCCTCCTGCTCGCTCTTATTTCCTCTCTCATCATGTAATCTGCTTACACCAGCTCCCCTTCACCTGCCCCTATGATTGGAAGCTACCTGAGGCCCTCACCAAAAGCAGATGCTGGCACTACGCTTCTTGTATAGCCTGCAGAACCATGAGTCAGATAAACCTGTTTCCTTTGTAAATTACCCAGCCTCAGATATTCTTTTATAGCAATACTAAACGGACCAAGACAAAACATAATTATGAGTATGAGGGTCTCTCTGCATGTGCAATTGTAGATCCACTATTTAAGTAGGATTACGCCTGTTTCTGTGCTTTGCTAATAGGTAGCTTATTTCAATGCTAGGGGGACCTCCATGGAAAAGAGAAGCATGACAATATTTTTGACACCAGTAAGAGAAAAGCTTTTAAAAATTACTCTCTCTTTGTCTCTCTCTCTCTCTCCCTCTAGTTTTAGAGCTAGAGTTTCACTCACTGTAACCTTGAACTCCTGGGCTTAAGCAATCCTCCAGTCCCAACCTCCTGAATAGCTGGGACTATAGATGTGCACCACCAGACCCAGCTAATTTTTTTAATTTTTTCTTTTTGTAAAGATGGGGTTTTACTATGCTTTACAGGCTGGTTTCAAACTTCTGGGCTCAAGTGGTCCTCTTGTCTCGGTCTCCCAAACTGCTGGGATTACAGGCATTAGCCACTGTATCTGACCTAAAATTATGCAATGTTAAGTTCATTTTGAATTAATTTTTGGTCTTTCCCATACTTGAGAATTCCACATTGAAGTTGGTTTAATGTTACATTTCCTCATTATTTCACTTTACAAGTTAATCATACCAATCAAACACTCATTGCTAACTGATCTTTTCTTGGGGAATACTGGGGCAAGAAACTAGAACAGACAGGAAGTTACCAGTGGAGTTTCAAAGAATCTGAGGAAAATGTGGGCATGTATTTTTTTTTATTGGGGACCAAAACGAAAGAAGTAAGTGGTTCTTTCAAGTGTAACTATTTTCACCACAGAGAAAGTAGCAGAAGTCCTTCAAGGATTTACTTTCTGATATCTGAGAGTACAACTTCCAACTCAGATCTAGCTTAATTGTTTAGGAAAAATAATTTTTTAAAATTATACTTTAAGTTCTGGGATACATGTGCAGAACGTGCAGATTTGTTACATAGGTATACACGTCCCATGGTGGTTTGCTGCACCCATCAACCCATCATCTACATTAGGTATTTCTCCTAATGCTATCCCTCCCCTTGCCCCCAACCCCCCAACAGGCCCTAGTGTGTGATGTTCCCCTCCCTGTATCAATGTGTTCTCATTGTTCAGCTCCCACTTATGAGTAAGAACATGTGGTGTTTGGTTTTCTGGTCCTGTGGTAGTTTGCTGAGAATGATGGTTTCCAGCTTCATCCATTTCCCTGCAAAGACATGAACTCATTTCTTTTTTATGGCTGCATAATATTCCATGATGTATATGTGCCATATTTTCTTTATCCAGTCTATAATTGATGGGCATTTGGGTTGGTTCCAAGTCTTTGCTATTGTGAATACTGCTGCAATAAACATACGTGTGCATGTGTCTTTATAGTAGAATGATTTATAATCTTTTGGGTATACACCCAGTAATGGGATTGCTGGGTCAAATAGTATTTCTGGTTCTAGATCCTTGAGGAATCGCCACACTGTTTTCCACAACGGTGGAACTAATTTACACTCCCACCAATGGTGTAAAAGCATTCCTATTTCTCCACATCCTCTCCAGCATCTGTTGTTTCTTGACTTTTTAATGATTGCCATTCTAACTGGTGTGAGATGGTATCTCTTTGTGGTTTTGATTTGCATTTCTCTAATGGCCGGTGATGATGAGCTTTTTTTCATATGATTGTTGGATACATAAGTGTCTCCTTTTAGAAGTGTCTGTTCCTGTCCTTCACCCACTTTTTGATGGAGTTGTCTGTTTTTTTTCTTGTAACTTTGTTTAAGTTCCTTGTAGATTCTGGATATTAACCCTTTGTCAGATGGATAGATTGCAAACATTTTCTCCCATTCTGTAGGTTGCCTGTTCACTCTGATGATAGTTTCTTTTGCTGTTCAGAAGCTCTTTCATTTAATTAGATCCCATTTGTCAATTTTGGCTTTTGTTGCCATTGCTTTTGGTGTTTTAGTCATGAAGTCTTTGCCCATGCCTATGTCCTGAATGGGATTGCCTAGGTTTTCTTCTAGGGTTTTTATGGTTTTAGGTTTTACATTTAATTCTTTAATCCATCTTGATTAATTTTTGTACAAGGTTTAAGGAAGGGGTCCAGTTTCAGTTTTCTGCATATGGCTAGCCAGTTTTCACAAAACCATTCATTAAATAGGGAATCCTTTCCCCATTGCTTGTTTACGTCAGGTTTGTTCAAAAATCAGATGGTTGTAGATGTGTGGTGTTATTTCTGAGACCTCTGTTCTTTTCCATTGGTCTATATATCTATTTTGGTACCAGTACCATGCCCTTTTGGTTACTGTAGCCTTGTAGTATATTTTGAAGTCAGGTAGTGTGATGCCTCCAGCTTTGTTCTTTCTGCTTAGGATTGTCTTGGCTATACGGTCTCTTGACAAACCCACAGCCAATATAATACTGAATGCACAAAAGCTGGAAGCATTCTCTTTGAAAACCACCTCAAGACAAGGATGCTGCCTCTCACCACTCCTATTCAATGTAGTATTGGAAATTCTGGCCAGGGCAATCAGGCAAGAGAAAGAAATAAAGGATATTCAAATAAGAAGAGAGGAAGTCAAATTGTCTTTGGTTGCAGATGACATGATTGTATATTTAGATAACCCCATCATCTCAGCCCAAAATCTCCTTAAGCTGATAAGCAACTTCAGCAAAGTGTCAGGATACAAAATCAATGTGCAAAAATCACAAGCATTCCTGTACACCAATAATAGACAAACAGAGAGCCAAATCATGAGTGAACTCCCATTCACAGCTGCTACAAAGAGAATAAAATACCTAGGAATACAAACACACAAGGGATGTGAAGGACCTCTTCCAGGAGAACTACAAACCACTGCTCAAGTAAATAAGAGAAGACACACACAAATGGAAAAACATTCCATGCTCATGGATAGGAAGAATCAATATAGTGAAAATGGCCATACTGCCCAAATTAGTTCATAGATTCAGTGCTATCCCCATCAAGCTACTATGGACTTTCTTCACAGAATTATAAAAATGTTTTAAGAGACATTTCATACAGTGCAACGTGTAGTCTGTATAATGTAGCAACAGTAGTTAGTTTTCAGAGACTAGAATGCATCATATTCAGATTTATTTGATTGTTTTGACTGATCAGGACGTTAATTCATTTTGACGTTTTAAAAACTAAATGATTAAGTCAGTGAAAAAGAAAAGGTAAAATGTATGATTAATAGTGGTATACACTTGGGGTTATTTTTAAAGTTCCACCAAATGCTTGCCATGTGATATTGAACAATGTAATCTAAACTCATTGTATCTCAATTTCCAGACACATGAAAAAATGCTTATCATCACTGGCCATCAGAGAAATGCAAAGCAAAACGACAGTGAGATACCATCTCACACCCGTTAGAATGATGATCATTAAAAAGTCAGGAAACAACAGGTGCTGGAGAGGATGTGGAGAAATAGGAACACTTTTACACTGTTGGTGGGACTGTAAACTAGTTCAACTATTGTGGAAGACAGTGTGGCGATTCCTTAAAGATCTAGAACTAGAAATACCATTTGACCCAGCCATCCCATTACTGGGTATATACCCAAAGGATTATAAACCATGCTACTATAAGGACACATGCACACGCATGTTTATTGCGGCACTATTCACAATAGCAAAGACTTGGAACCAACCCAAATGTCCATCAATGAAAGACTGGATTAAGACAATGTGGCATATATACACCACGGAGTACTATGCAGCCATAAAAAAGGATGAGTTCATGTCCTTTGTAGGTACATGGATGAAGCTGGAAAGCATCATTCTGAGCAAACTATTGCAAGGACGGAAAACCAAACACCGCATGTTCTCACTCATAGGTGGGAATTGAACAATGAGAACACTTGGACACAGGAAGGGGAACATCATACACTGGGGCCTGTCGTGGGGTGGGGAAAGTGGGGAGGGATAGCATGAGGAGATATACCTAATATAAATGACGAGTTAATGGGTGCAGCACACCAACATGGCACATGTATGCATATGTAACAAACCTGCACGTTGTGCACATGTACCCTAGAACTTAAAGTATAATAAAAAAAAACAAAAATAATTTAAAAAAATCTTAATAATATTGCGAAAGGGGTTGAGCTCTTTATTTCATTCTCAGTTTGGCCGCTGTTGGTGTATAGCAGAGCTACTGATTTGTGTACATTAATTTGGTATCCTGAAACTTTGCTGGCTTCATTGACCAGTTCTAGGAGCTTTCTGGATGAGTCATTAGGGTTTTCTAGGTATAGGATCATAACATCAGCAAACAACAACAGTTTCACTTTCTCTTTATCAGTTTGGATGCCTTTATTTGTTTCTCTTGTCTGATTACTCTGGCTAGGACTTCCAGTACTATGTTGAATAGAAGTGATGAAAGTGGGCATCCTTGTCTTGTTCCAGTTCTCAGGGGAAATGCTTTCAACTGTTCCCTATTCAGTATAATGTTGGCTGTGGGTTTGTTGTAGATGGCTTTTATTACCTTAAGGTATGTCCCTTCTATGCCGATTTTCCTGAGGGCTTTAATCATAAAGGGATGCTGGATTTTGTCAAACGCTTTTGCTAGTGAGATGATTATGTAATTTTTATTTTTAATTTTGTTTATGTGAGATATCAAATTTTTCACTTACATATGTTAAACCGTCTCTGCATCCCTGGTATGAAACCTACTTGATCATGGTGAATTATCTTTTTGATAAACTGTTGGATTTGGTTTACCAGTATTTTGGTGAGGATTTTCAAACCTATGTTTATCAGTGATACTGGTCTGTAGTTTTCTTTTTTTGTTATGTCCTTCCCTGGCTTTGGTATTAGGGTGATACTGACTTCATAGAATGATTTACAGACGATTCCCTCTTTTTCTGTCTTTTGGAATAGTGTCAGTAGAATTGGTACCAATTCTTCTTTGCATGTCTGATGGAATTAAACTGTGAATTTGTCTAGGCCTGGACTTTTTTAATTGGCAATTTTTAAATTACCATTTCAATCTCATTGTTTGTTTTCGTCTGTATAGAGATTCTATATCTTCCCGCTTTAATCTAGGAGGGTTGTATATTTCCAGGACTTTATCCATCTCCTCTAGGTTTTGTAGTTTACGTGCATAAAGGTGGTCATAGTAGCCTTGAATAATCTTTTGTTTTTCTGTGTTATCAGTTGTAATATCTTTCGTTTTATTTCTAATTGAGCTTATTTGGATCTTCCCTCTTTTCTTGGTTAATCTCCCTAATAGTCTATCAATTTTATTTATCTTTTCCAAGAACCAGCTTATTGTTTCATTTATCTTTGTATTTTGTTTTGTTTGTTTGTTTTAATTACATTTAGTTCTGCTCTGATCTTTGTTGTTCCTTTTCTTCTGCTGTGTTTGAATTTGGATTGTTCTTGTTTCTCCAGTTCCAGGAGGTGTGACCATAAGTTGTCTATTTGTGCTCTTTCAGACTTTTCGATGTAGGCATTTAATGCTGCGAAGAAATCATTGATTATACAAACAAATGTAAACACATCCCATGCTCATGGATGAGTAGAATTAATATTGTGAAAATGACCATATTGCCAAAAGCAATCCACAAATTTAATGCAATTTTCACAAAAATACCACCATCACTCTTCACAGGACAAGAAAAAATAATCCGAAATTTCGTAGGAAACCAAAAAAGAGCCCACATAGCCAAAGCAAGACTAAGAAAAAAAAATCTGGAGGCATCACATTATCTAACTTTAAACTATGCCATAAGCCCATAGTAACTAAAAGAGCATGGGACTGGTATGGAAATAGGCACATAGACCAATGGAACAGAATAGAAAACTCAGAAATAAAGCAAAACACTTATAGCCAACTGATCTTTGACAAAGCAAACAAAAACATAAGGTGTGGAAAGGACACCGTATTCAACAAATGGTGCTGGGGTAATTGGTAAGCCACATGGAGAATGAAATTGGATGCTCATCTCTCACCTTATACAAAAATCAACTCAAGATGGATCAAAGACTTAAATTGAAGACCTGAAACCATGAAGATTCTAGAAGATAACATCAGAAAATCCCATATAGACATTGGCTTAAGCAAAGACTTCATGACCAAGCACCCAAAAGCAAATGAAACTAAAACAAAGATAAATAGATGGTACTTAATTAAACTAAAAAGCTTCTGCACAGCAAATAATAATAATAATAATAATAATAATAATAATAATAATAATTAGCAGAGTTAACAGACAATCCACAGAGTGGGAGAAAATCTTCACAATCTACACATCCAACAAAGAACTAATATCTAGAATCTACAAAGAACTCAAATAAATCAGCAAGAAAAAAACAATCCCATCGAAAAGTGGGCTAAGGAAATTAATAGACAATTCTCAAAAGAAGATATACAAATGTCCAACAAACATATGGAAAAATGCTCAACACCACTAATTATCAGGGAAATGCAAATCAAAACTGCAATGTGATACCACCTCACTCCTGCAAGAATGGCCATAAATAAAAAAAAAAAAAGATAATATATATTGGCATGGATGTGGTGAAAAGGGAACATTTTTACACAGTTGGTGGAAATGTAACCTAGCACAACCACTATGGAAAACAATGTGGAGATTCCTTAAAGTACTAAAAGTGGATCTACCATTTGATCCAGCAATCCCACTACTAGGTATCTACCCAGAGGACAAGAAGTCATTATACAAAAAAGATACTTGCACATGCATGTTTATAGCAGCACAATTTGCAATTGCAAAAACATGGAACCAGCCTAAATGCCTATCAACAAACGAGTGGTTAAAGAAAATGTGGTGTATATATATATGATGGAATACTACTCAGCCATAAAAAGTAATGAAATAATAGCATTAGTATCAACCTGGATAGAATTGGAGACTATTATTCTAAGTGAAGTAACTCAGGATTGGAAAACCAAACATTGTGTGTTCTCACTAATATGTGGGAGCTAAGCTATGATACACAAAGGCATAAGAATGATACACTGGACTTTGAGGACTTGGGGGGAAAGGGTTGGGGGTGGTGAGGGCCGAAACACTACACATTGTGTGCAGTGAAAACTGCTTGGGTGATGGCTGCACCAAAACCTCATAAATCATCACTAAAGAAATTATTCATGTAACCAGACATCACCTGTGTCCCCAAAACCTATTGAAATAAAAAAAAAGATATGGAAAACATGCTAATAATATAATTTGGAATAAATGAAAAAGCATATGCAAAGATCTTAATAGAGTGCCTAGCACATATACATACTCAGCAGAAATCGGGTTCCTCATTCTACTGTCCTCAGGCCACTGGGTTTATGGACAGTGAAGTAAATTGATTTATTCATCTTTGGAAAGTTTACTGATTAGGTTTATGCTCAACCTATGATCTGAATTTTAAAATAGCCTTTATGTAGGCAATTTATTCAAAGAAATAGAGATTAATAGCTGATCTAGGTAACATTATGCTAATTGAGTGTGATTTATTCCATGCATTTTCAGTCTCTGTTTTTCTTAGGTCAAGCCTAATATCTTTTTCTAATTTCAAGTGAGTCTTTCCAAATAAAACATTTTATATTTTGTGAATGTAAGTGAAGTATTCTACTATTTTTCCATACATAGGTATATCTCAACAATTTGCATATTGCCTCCTCTGGCATTATAATTTCTAGAACAAATATCGATAAGCTTATGTGTTGGGAGAGGGAAGGTAAACCAAGTAGCCTCCATTACATGGGGTGTCATGGATAGAGAAGTTGCAATGGAATGATGACAACCAGGATAAGGGAATGAGGAAGTGAAATAAGAAGAAGAGGTGGTGAGGAGGAACCAACAACTACAATAAAAACATCTCCTTTTAACATAATAAATGTATACATGCAAACATTCAAGAATCATCATATATCAGTAACTCTCTGGACCACAGTCTTGAGTGAACATTATCTCATTTCATTCTGATAAAAGTGCTATGCAATACTGTCTCCCATGTTCTAAGACAGGGGTCATCAAACTTTGGCCCTCACACCAAATCTGACCACATGGATTTCTTTTTTTTTAATTAAAGAATTACTGAAATATAGCCAAGTCCATTCATTTATGTAATGTCTATGGCTATTTTCTTGCTGCAACAGTAGAGTTGAAAAGTTGTGACAGAGACCATATGGGCTGCAAAGTCATCAATATATACTGTATGACCTTATAGAAAAAGGTTGTCAACCCCTGCTTTAAGAAGCAACTAGATGAGTTTAGCTACCAAAGATGATATTTTTCTGGAAAGAGAGAAAAAATAATCAGTTATCAAAATGAAAAAAAATGAATTAGGAATTAAATCCAATTAATATGCAATTGTACTGTATCCTATGTTACTTCATTTCAATACTCACAATAACCCTATGAAGTAAGTATTAACTTTTATACAAATACGGAAAATAAGGCTCAAAGAACTTAAGATATTCATTTCCACAAAGTTGCATAGTTACGCAGTGAACAGAGCTGATATTTCAGTATACACTTGTTTTACTTAAAGTCCAGTGCTATTTCTACCATGTTTGCAAACCTGATTAAAAATATATGTAATTAACAGCAGGGGGATAATCAGGCCACATTTTCTGAGTTCCTTGGCTGGGAGGATATCTTGTTTTCTCAACACACAGTGAGGACAAGTGGATAAGAAAGACTGAAACTCCCTGTCAGAAAGGGAGCAAAGAGAAGAATTATTAAAGAAGAATCATGGTAAGTATCTGATATATGGTGAAACGCAGAAATATTGCCATAGGGGAAGTGTAGTAGGAACTTTGATAATAAGTTCATTAGGGAATGCACAAAATGATTAGTGATCAAATTAAATAATTTTTGCATGGCCTCTATAGTGATAGTATTGACTTCTCACATTAGAGTTTGGGGGTGGGGGACACTGATGCAGAAGCAGTTTCTTTGTCATTAAGAATGAAGTCACGCTGCTTGTTGTCCTTCAGTCAAGCTCCATTAAATTAGTTCTCCAAGTCGCAATGCTATTTTGGTTTGGGCTAGGGTCTGCAGTAATTCTACCATGCAGCACTATTGAGACCCACATTTTCAAGCAGAAAGCACCATTCCCAAAGCCTACCTCAGTCATTTTGAACAGGCTCTTCCTTCTGTAAGAATACATTCCTCTCCTCAGCCTGGCAAAACTTCTCATCCTTCAAGACTCAAATCGATTGCTGTCCCTGACTTTTCTGCTTGAGTGGGTATATTATGTTTCAGAGTGTGTATTGCCACTTATCTTACTTTATCTACCTGTTTCTCACTCCAAACTGAACTCTTTGAGGGCACAGACTGATGCTTACTAATATATTTTATGCCAGAATCTAGTACAATACTACACAGATAGTAAATGTTTTATAAATATTTTCAATGAATTAATACTTTGAAAATGGAATTTTATGTTTAGGCTGTTTAAATATATAATTCTTTATTATTGGAACTAATTTTTTTTTCTTTTCATTCAAATCATGTGAATTTCAGGTCTCTTCCCCTCCTACCTTAAACCCCACCAAATGGGTAAACCAGATAAAGCATGATAAGGGCCAGATCTATTAGATGAGTATTGTGTACTCCAATCTTAACCACCTACCTGACAAATACTACAGGCTCAATAAACATTTGATAAAATATTTGCTGAGTAAATGAATCAACAAAAGTGATTTAAATAGGAGGCAAGGCTATTGTCTTAGGCAATATATAAAAGCAGAATTAGGAATCCAAAGAGTGATTCTTTTCTAATTCCATAATGTTAACTAACAAACTGTTACATAAAGGGAGATAGGACTGTGTGGAAACAAAGCAGGTTGCTAATAGGGAGTTAGAAATCTGGCAGAAACCTCTAGTAATGCAGACGGTGACTCTATTCGGAGAGTTACTTGGCATATCAAGCTTGCATCTCTGGAAAGTGTCTGAGAAGTATTTGATTCAAGTTCTAGGCCTCCTTTTCAATGGAATAAAATGTAACTTGACTTTCCACACTCATTCTGCTGAGCTGCAATGCAGTAATGACAGTTACTGCACAGGCAGAGTGTATTGGTGCTTACTGAGTAGAAGACAAAGACCTATCTTCTCACACAGTATTCCTGAGAACGAGTAAGATGTCAACAACATCTATTGAAAATCTGCTGTGTGAGAATCCTTTGCTATCAGCCTTATACCATTCAGGTCACTGATTCTAACTAAAAACTTAACCTTGTGCAATGTTTGAACTGGATTTGAACAAGGTATATATTACATTTTGACTTGTCGCTATGCTGTGGAATGAGGGTGAGGATTTGAGTGAGGAGGGTGACTAGAATCATTTTGCCCAGCATAAACGAACCGCTTAATGGATCTACAGTCTTGGTTTTCAGCCAGAGTTTCATATTGGAACTGTCTGGATAGGATTTAATCTAATTTTATTCAAAATTACCTCATTTTTAACCACTCCCTACCATTACCTCCTGGGATGGGTTTCTGCTATGCCCTTGTTGAAAGGGGGGGGGGGCGTGGTAAATGTTTGAAGAGTAAAACTTTAATTTAATTGATTTTATTAATAAATTAATTTATTAACTTAATTTTAATTGTGGCTCCCTTTGTCCTCTGCACCGTGAGAATAATTAACATAGTATGCACATTCCTACAAAGCTCCCATAATCTCTCCTGTGTTGTTCACATCCATAGAATTATTCTCGTACATGGTATTATACAGTAACAAAGAGTATGAGGTCAGTATTTGAGTCTGGGTTCAGGAACCTATTTATTGAGTGACTTTGAACAAGTCAGTTAAGCTTTCTGATCTTCAATTTATTCGTCTTTCAAATGGAAATAATAGTTCCAATATCCTAGGCTTAATGTGATGATTAAAGGAAGGCAAGTATACAAAACTCAGCAGATGCCCAGAAGAGTCTTTGTATCAGCAAGAATTCTGCCAGAAAAAAACCAAACACTCCATGCATTATATCAGGAAGGGATTTAATGCCAGGAATTAGATGCTTACAAAACTTTTGGAAGATTATTTTTGGATGAAGGCCAGGGAGGACCACTGCTGGCTTTCAAGATATCAGGAGGTGCAGGAAATGCAGGTAGCAGTTCCTGATGATCTCAGCTGCCTGCAACATCAAAGTGAATGGTATGCAGGAATTTTTGCTGAAACCACTACAAACCACATTTTCCACTTTCTTATGTATTTCTGCTTCTGATTGAAGAAAATAATGGCTTCTCTTTCTCTTCAGCCTCTTTAAGTTTATACAAAGTTTTCACATTAGTAAACTCCAAATTAGAACACTCCTGGCAGAAAAATGTGGTTTCTAGACTTCTTGTCCCTAAGATATAGGGAAGAGCATGGAAAGGAATGGGAATAGTGTTGATATGCCAAAAGATAATCCAGTATAAAACTTGACAAATGGTTATTAGAAATTTTCATTTATGTTTTTTGTCCTTCTGCCTCAGGACTAGCACTCCATTTTCCAAATAAGACTTGGCATTCTATTCTGGAATCCAGCTCTATTTGGCTGAGGTATAATGACATCTCACCAGCCTTGTGTAGCAGAAAGAATACAGGCTTTGGAGGCAGGCAGCCATAATGGTGTTGGGACACTTACTCCAGCATCTGCAACAAGTATTAGCTGGGTGTCCTTGTACAGCGCTGGATTTCTGGTGATCTCTCTAGGACCAAGGGTTCCAGTGGAGCCTCTCTCTTTCTCTCTTTCCCTTGTCTTCAGCTCCAGACTAGTTCTCTCTCTCTCTCTCTCTTTCTTTCTCTCTCTCCCTCTCCCTCTCTCTCTCTCTCTCTCCCTCCCACTCTCTCTCTCTCCTGTTATCTTCCTTAATTCCTCCAGTAAATTCCACAAAATTATGATATCTAATCTGTCCTCTTTTAGACTTCATTAAATGAGGTTGCCTGAAACAGAAAAAATGATAGACTAGAAATCAAATCGTAACTGCAACACACAGAGGCTGTACACCATTTCAACTTGAACTTATTCTTGCTGTGACTTAGTTTCATTATTTTTAAAATGGCAACAGTATCTACTTAAATCGTTCCCCTTCTGTGTTGAGCCAGTTGATGGAATAATTCAGCTCGTATGGATTTCTCAAGGCAAGGGCTATTGGTGGGAAGATTTTGCATTCAGAACTGTCCATGAGTCAAAACAGAGTGGTCAAGAAAGTTTGGAGGTCAAGAAAGATAGACCAACGTTAATAAGCCAAAGAAGCAAATTTTTGAAACATGGATGACCTGGTGCTGGTATGGTTAATTGAAATATGAGAGCAAAAAGGTTGAAGAACTACAGAGGTAATGGCAAAGACGTAGAGGCTGTGTGAGTGAATATTGAAGTCAAACACAATGGCCAGTGCATGGGCATCTTATGTACCTCTGACACGTGAATTCCTAGGACACTCAGATCCATTTAATGGGCTGAAACAGAACAAATTTTATTTCACATAATTGTTCTGATGATTTAAAAAGTTTAAAAAGAGGCTTAAAACATTATTAATCATTCTTAAATAAGGGATTACTAGTAGTAGCAGTAGGAGTAGTAGTAGCAATGAGATGTATTTCTATATTCATTTGTTCATTTATATTTTCCAAGAACAAACACTCTTGCAGTGGTTGTGCCAAAATAGGCCTGCATTGAATGAATTCATTGTGGGTTTATGCATGTTTATATTGTTTTAAAATCAGCATCCACGTGTGCTATGATGAAATTCCTAGTGTATTCTTGGAATTAAACAATTATGGTAAATTCAATATCAATATGTATAACTCTTTCTTTATACAAGTCATTGCTGTGTTTACAAAGAATGAAAAACACAAAATATGGTATATGATACCACTTATATAGATTATTTTCTACATGGGAAAACCAGAAATTATATGCCCAGAGTACTGGAAACAATTATCAGCAAAGACATAGAGTCTAACAAACATATATGATACAAAGCAATGAAAAAAAATCAACAATGACACAATCTTATCATTGCCTTATAGCTTCCTTTCTTGTTACTTAAGTATGCCAACATCTCAGTTGCCAGGGATAGTTTTTATGTAGCTCAAAGGGCACTGGATTGGGAAAATAGATTTCAAGAGTTCAAGTTCATCTTTGTTAGTCACTATAAATTCGGACAACCCATTTTTCTTCCAGCACCTGGTCTTATCATCAGTAAAGGGTAATAACTCCTATCATGGATCCCCTTTCAGTTACTCTATGGTGATACTGACACAACTGTGACTTCTGATATTCCTGGAATTCCGTCCTTGCCTACATCCTACCTTATGTATTCACCTCTCTTTTTGGCCAATAGAAAATGTATTCCTTTTCTCATACCTCATTTCTTTGCTGAGGCATCTAGTACTCCTTCAGATGCCTTAACATCCTCTCATCCCCAGCTTTAATATATTGTGTAGATCCTCCCGGAGAAGTTTATTGGGACAATAACGACATGTTTCTCAAAGATGACTGCTATCAGTTCCTTCCCACTCTATAGGTATAAGCCTTTGAAAAATGGAGTCTATTCCTCCACCTTCTTGAATTTGTGTTAGCCTGTGACTGCTTTGACCGATGGAATATGACAGAACTGACACTGTGTAACTTCTGAGGTTAAGTCATAGATAACCACGCAGCTTCTGCCTGGCTTATCAGAACTGCCACTTTTTAGAACTCTCACTCTCTGAGAAGCCAAGGGCCATGTAAGCAGTCTACCTTCACTGAGACGATCATCCTGTGAGGAAGCCCATGCTCATGCTACTCGTATGGAACATAGTGTGGAGAGAAACAGCAGTGACAATTCCAGCACCTGGTCTTACCAGTAAAGGGTAATAACGCCTATCGTAGAGTTATTAAACACAGCGCCACACTGCTGGTGGTGCTGCATTCAGGAAATGCCTTAACAACAGAACATTTTAATACTTTTTGTTTTATTATGAGCTTAATCCCTCTGCTTCCAACCTACCCAGATATGTTTTTATATATTTGCTAGTTGGTGAAGGAACTTAGTTGTATGACTAGCATCATGGAGAAAGTGATACTCAAGCAGCACCCAGCTATTCTAACCCTCCCAGCCCAGGCACCAAACATAAGAATACAGAAGCAATCATAAGAGAGGCCCCACAAAGAATAATTCAGCTGAGCTCATTAACCCACAAAACTTGGGAGATAAGGGTTAATTTATGTCACTGATTTTTACGGTGGTTTGTTATGCAGCAATAGATAAACAGAAACATTCTCTTCTTTCCAGAACACATAATTACATAAGGTATTACTTTAGAAATGATTCACATATACTTTATACTCCTTCTGGTACTAGTATACCTTCCTATGAATGTGAAATATATATTGGAGGAGTAAAATGTACTAGTTTAAATAATAAATACATAGAACGTATTTGGTTTAAAAAGATGTGAAGATATAATTAATTAGATAATTATATACACTCAGAAGTATTTTTGTGTTATCACAAATATAACGTGTTAAATTGGTGGAATTACCAAAACTTGCCTTGATGTGTTAGACAAATGAATACAGAGATAAGACGAAGGAATGGAGGAGGGAGAATATAGAATGCTTACTTGTTTTTGTGATCAAATAATAAGGCAAGCCAGTTTTAGAATTTTACTGAATGTAGCAGAAAACCCCGGCAATAATAATCTTTGATTAAATTATCCTCATGCTCCCCTACTTTGGGAACCTCTTTTCATGATACTGATACTGTGATTACAAACACACGTACACACATGCATAAATGTGGTGAGTCCTAATCCAGGGAAGAATGATATGCTTTCCTAAACTCTAGCATTAAGAGAAAATTGGGATGGATTGTGAGAGTAGCAGAAGAGATGACAGAACTTGAAATTATATATGAATGGCCTTGAGTAGTAAATAAAAATGATACACAGAGCCAAGGTATTTTAGATCCTCGTCACTCAAAGTGTGGTCTCTGTACCAGCAGCACCAGCATCATCTGGGAGCTTGTTAGAAATACAGCATGTCGGAGGAGCCAAGATGGCCGAATAGGAACAGCTCCGGTCTACAGCTCCCAGCGTGAGCGACGCAGAAGACGGGTGATTTCTGCATTTCCATCTGAGGTACCAGGTTCATCTCACTAGGGAGTGCCAGACAGTGGGCGCAGGCCAGTGTGTGTGCGCACCGTGCGCGAGCCGAAGCAGGGCGAGGCATTGCCTCACCTGGGAAGCGCAAGGGGGCAGGGAGTTCCCTTTCCGAGTCAAAGAAAGGGGTGACTGACGCACCTGGAAAATCGGGTCACTCCCACCCGAATATTGCGCTTTTCAGACCGGCTTAAGAAACGGCGCACCACGAGACTATATCCCACACCTGGCTCAGAGGGTCCTACGCCCACGGAATCTCGCTGATTGCTGGCACAGCAGGCTGAGATCAAACTGCAAGGCGGCAACGAGGCTGGGGGAGGGGCGCCCGCCATTGCCCAGGCTTGCTTAGGTAAACAAAGCAGCCAGGAAGCTCGAACTGGGTGGAGCCCACCACAACTCAAGGAGGCCTGCCTGCCTCTGTAGGCTCCACCTCTGGGGGCAGGGCACAGACAAACAAAAAGACAGCAGTAACCTCCGCAGACTTAAGTGTCCCTGTCTGACAGCTTTGAAGAGAGCAGTGGTTCTCCCAGCACGCAGCTGGAGATCTGAGAACGGGCAGACTGCCTCCTCAAGTGGGTCCCTGACCCCTGACCCCCGAGCAGCCTAACTGGGAGGCACCCCCCAGCAGGGGCACACTGACACCTCACACGGCAGGGTATTCCAACAGACCTGCAGCTGAGGGTCCTGTCTGTTAGAAGGAAAACTAACAACCAGAAAGGACATCTACACCGAAAACCCATCTGTACATCACCATCATCAAAGACCAAAAGTAGATAAAACCACAAAGATGGGGAAAAAACAGAACAGAAAAACTGGAAACTCTAAAACGCAGAGTGCCTCTCCTCCTCCAAAGGAACGCAGTTCCTCACCAGCAACGGAAGAAAGCTGGATGGAGAATGATTTTGACGAGCTGAGAGAAGAAGGCTTCAGACGAACAAATTACTCTGAGCTACGGGAGGACATTCAAACCAAAGGCAAAGAAGTTGAAAACTTTGAAAAAAATTTAGAAGAATGTATAACTAGAATAACCAATACAGAGAAGTGCTTAAAGGAGCTGATGGAGCTGAAAACCAAGGCTCGAGAACTACGTGAAGAATGCAGAAGCCTCAGGAGCCGATGCGATCAACTGGAAGAAAGGGTATCAGCAATGGAAGATGAAATGAATGAAATGAAGCGAGAAGGGAAGTTTAGAGAAAAAAGAAAAAGAAATGGGCAAAGCCTCCAAGAAATATGGGACTATGTGAAAAGACCAAATCTACGTCTGATTGGTGTACCTGAAAGTGATGCGGAGAATGGAACCAAGTTGGAAAACACTCTGCAGGATATTATCCAGGAGAACTTCCCCAATCTAGCAAGGCAGGCCAACGTTCAGATTCAGGAAATACAGAGAACGCCACAAAGATACTCCTCGAGAAGAGCAACTCCAAGACACATAATTGTCAGATTCACCAAAGTTGAAATGAAGGAAAAAATGTTAAGGGCAGCCAGAGAGAAAGGTCGGGTTACCCTCAAAGGAAAGCCCATCAGACTAACAGCGGATCTCTCAGCAGAAACCCTACAAGCCAGAAGAGAGTGGGGGCCAATATTCAACATTCTTAAAGAAAAGAATTTTCAACCCAGAATTTCATATCCAGCCAAACTAAGCTTCATAAGTGAAGGAGAAATAAAATACTTTATAGACAAGCAAATGCTGAGAGATTTTGTCACCACCAGGCCTGCCCTAAAAGAGCTCCTGAAGGAAGCGCTAAACATGGAAAGGAACAACCGGTACCAGCCGCTGCAAAATCATGCCAAAATGTAAAGACCATCGAGACTAGGAAGAAACTGCATCAACTAATGAGCAAAATCACCAGCTAACATCATAATGACAGGATCAAATTCACACATAACAATATTAACTTTAAATATAAATGGACTAAATTCTGCAATTAAAAGACACAGACTGGCAAGTTGGATAAAGAGTCAAGACCCATCAATGTGCTGTATTCAGGAAACCCATCTCACGTGCAGAGACACACATAGGCTCAAAATAAAAGGATGGAGGAAGATCTACCAAGCCAATGGAAAACAAAAAAAGGCAGGGGTTGCAATCCTAGTCTCTGATAAAACAGACTTTAAACCAACAAAGATCAAAAGAGACAAAGAAGGCCATTACATAATGGTAAAGGGATCAATTCAACAAGAGGAGCTAACTATCCAAAATATTTATGCACCCAATACAGGAGCACCCAGATTCATAAAGCAAGTCCTGAGTGACCTACAAAGAGACTTAGACTCCCACACATTAATAATGGGAGACTTTAACACCCCACTGTCAACATTAGACAGATCAACGAGACAGAAAGTCAACAAGGATACCCAGGAATTGAACTCAGCTCTGCACCAAGCAGACCTAATAGACATCTACAGAACTCTCCACCCCAAACCAACAGAATATACATTTTTTTCAGCACCACACCACACCTATTCCAAAACTGACCACATAGTTGGAAGTAAAGCTCTCCTCAGCAAATGTAAAAGAACAGAAATTATAACAAACTATCTCTCAGACCACAGTGCAATCAAACTAGAACTCAGGATTAAGAATCTCACTCAAAGCCGCTCAACTACATGGAAACTGAACAACCTGCTCCTGAATGACTACTGGGTACATAACGAAATGAAGGCAGAAATAAAGATGTTCTTTGAAACCAACGAGAACAAAGACACCACATACCAGAATCTCTGGGACACATTCAAAGCAGTGTGTAGAGGGAAATTTATAGCACTAAATGCCCACAAGAGAAAGCAGGAAAGATCCAAAATTGACACCCTAACATCACAATTAAAAGAACTAGAAAAGCAAGAGCAAACACATTCAAAAGCTAGCAGAAGGCAAGAAATAACTAAAATCAGAGCAGAACTGAAGGAAATAGAGACACAAAAAACCCTTCAAAAAATCAATGAATCCAGGAGCTGGTTTTTTGAAAGGATCAACAAAATTGATAGACCGCTAGCAAGACTAATAAAGAAAAAAAGAGAGAAGAATCAGATAGACACAATAAAAAATGATAAAGGGGATATCACCACCGATCCCACAGACATACAAACTACCATCAGAGAATACTACAAACACCTCTACGCAAATAAACTAGAAAATCTAGAAGAAATGGATACATTCCTCGACACATACACTCTCCCAAGACTAAACCAGGAAGAAGTTGAATCTCTGAATAGACCAATAACAGGCTCTGAAATTGTGGCAATAATCAATAGTTTACCAACCAAAAAGAGTCCAGGACCAGATGGATTCACAGCCGAATTCTACCAGAGGTACAAGGAGGAACTGGTACCATTCCTTCTGAAACTATTCCAATCAATAGAAAAAGAGGGAATCCTCCCTAACTCATTTTATGAGGCCAGCATCATTCTGATACCAAAGCCGGGCAGAGACACAACCAAAAAAGAGAATTTTAGACCAATATCCTTGATGAACATTGATGCAAAAATCCTCAATAAAATACTGGCAAACCGAATCCAGCAGCACATCAAAAAGCTTATCCACCATGATCAAGTGGGCTTCATCCCTGGGATGCAAGGCTGGTTCAATATACGCAAATCAATAAATGTAATCCAGCATATAAACAGAGCCAAAGACAAAAACCACATGATTATCTCAATAGATGCAGAAAAAGCCTTTGACAAAATTCAACAACCCTTCATGCTAAAAACTCTCAAGAAATTAGGTATTGATGGGACGTATTTCAAAATAAAAAGAGCTATCTATGACAAACCCACAGCCAATATCATACTGAATGGGCAAAAACTGGAAGCATTCCCTTTGAAAACTGGCACAAGACAGGGATGCCCTCTCTCACCGCTCCTATTCAACATAGTGTTGGAAGTTCTGGCCAGGGCAATCAGGCAGGAGAAGGAAATAAAGGGTATTCAATTAGGAAAAGAGGAAGTCAAATTGTCCCTGTTTGCAGACGACATGATTGTTTATCTAGAAAACCCCATCTTCTCAGCCCAAAATCTCCTTAAGCTGATAAGCAACTTCAGCAAAGTCTCAGGATACAAAATCAATGTACAAAAATCACAAGCATTCTTATACACCAACAACAGACAAACAGAGAGCCAAATCATGGGTGAACTCCCATTCACAATTGCTTCAAAGAGAATAAAATACCTAGGAATGCAACTTACAAGGGATGTGAAGGACCTCTTCAAGGAGAACTACAAACCACTGCTCAAGGAAATAAAAGAGGACACAAACAAATGGAAGAACATTCCATGCTCATGGGTAGGAAGAATCAATATCGTGAAAATGGCCATACTGCCCAAGGTAATTTACAGATTCAATGCCATCCCCATCAAGCTACCAATGACTTTCTTCACAGAATTGGAAAAAACTACTTTAAAGTTCATATGGAACCAAAAAAGAGCCCGCATCGCCAAGTCAATCCTAAGCCAAAAGAACAAAGCTGGAGGCATCACACTACCTGACTTCAAACTATACTACAAGGCTACAGTAACCAAAACAGCATGGTACTGGTACCAAAACAGAGATAGAGATCAATGGAACAGAACAGAGCCCTCAGAAATAACGCCGCATATCTACAACTATCTGATCTTTGACAAACCTGAGAAAAACAAGCAATGGGGAAAGGATTCCCTATTTAATAAATGGTGCTGGGAAAACTGGCTAGCCATATGTAGAAAGCTGAAACTGGATCCCTTCCTTACACCTTATACAAAAATCAATTCAAGATGGATTAAAGATTTAAACGTTAAACCTAAAACCATAAAAACCCTAGAAGAAAACCTAGGCATTACCATTCAGGACATAGGCGTGGGCAAGGACTTCATGTCCAAAACACCAAAAGCAATGGCAACAAAAGACAAAATTGACAAATGGGATCTAATTAAACTAAAGAGCTTCTGCACAGCAAAAGAAACTACCATCAGAGTGAACAGGCAACCTACAACATGGGAGAAAATTTTCGCAACCTACTCATCTGACAAAGGGCTAATATCCAGAATCTACAATGAACTCCAACAAATTTACAAGAAAAAAACAAACAACCCCATCAAAAAGTGGGCGAAGGACATGAACAGACACTTCTCAAAAGAAGACATTTATGCAGCCAAAAAACACATGAAGAAATGCTCACCATCACTGGCCATCAGAGAAATGCAAATCAAAACCACTATGAGATATCATCTCACACCAGTTAGAATGGCAATCATTAAAAAGTCAGGAAACAACAGGTGCTGGAGAGGATGCGGAGAAATAGGAACACTTTTACACTGTTGGTGGGACTGTAAACTAGTTCAACCATTGTGGAAGTCAGTGTGGCGATTCCTCAGGGATCTAGAACTAGAAATACCATTTGACCCAGCCATCCCATTACTGGGTATATACCCAAATGAGTATAAATCATGCTGCTATAAAGACACATGCACACGTATGTTTATTGCGGCACTATTCACAATAGCAAAGACTTGGAACCAACCCAAATGTCCAACAATGATAGACTGGATTAAGAAAATGTGGCACATATACACCATGGAATACTATGCAGCCATAAAAAATGATGAGTTCATATCGTTTGTAGGGACATGGATGAAATTGGAAACCATCATTCTCAGTAAACTATCGCAAGAACAAAAAACCAAACACCGCATATTCTCACTCATAGGTGGGAATTGAACAATGAGATCACATGGACACAGGAAGGGGAATATCACACTCTGGGGACTGTGGTGGGGTCGGGGAAGAGGGGAGGGATAGCATTGGGAGATATACCTAATGCTAGATGACACATTAGTGGGTGCAGCACACCAGCATGGCACATGTATACATATGTAACCTGCACAATGTGCACATGTACCCTAAAACTTAGAGTATAATAAAAAAAATAAATAAATAAAAATAAAATAAAATAAAATAAACTGTCCTAATGCCAAAAAAAAAAAAAAAAAAAAAGAAATACAGCATGTCAGTCCCCATCTCAGACTTACTGACTCAGAATCTGCATTTTTATCAAGAACACAAGGTTATTCATACGACACTTAAGTTTGAGAAATACTTATCCAGAGCATTTTGGGTATGGGATTTACCTGCTTTTTTTCTTACTGTCATAGTCATAGCAAGTATAAACAAACCAAGTATAAGTCAATTCAAGTTGCCCTACCTGTCCTGCCAGTTGTCTTTACTGAATGGAGAGAATTTTGCACTGAGGGCTGACAGGACTCATTACATTGTTTGTCTCTGGGAGCTGGCTGAGCTTGCAAGCGTTTGTGGCAGATTGCCATTTGAATTGTTTTTCCTGTCTCTTTCTGTTACCAAAAAGTATAATATTGCACAGGGGGGAAAATGTAGAGGAGTCAACATCTTTCATCCCTGTCTTTCTAGTAAGAGGTAGACTGTGTTCCAGGCTCCTTCCAGAATTTGCTGATAATTTAATCTCAGGGATCCAAATTGTCTCACAATCTGGTTTTCTTCAAGGATCTCCCCCTAGTCCAGGCAACCTGCATATACATACTCATATCTCAATTATGTAGAGAGTTCATGGCCTTTGCATGGATCTTGAGAAGGGTTGAAATCTATTGGTTTGTAGTGAGATGAATCAGAAAACAAGGGCAGAAAAAATTTAAAACCTACATTTTTGTATTGTTACACAAGAGACATATTTTCGTATGTAATGGCTAATAATTACATTAAAACAAAAAAAAAAACACAACAAATGACAGCGGCCAGTCACAAAAAAGGGACTTCAGCTATCTCCACTTGGCAGTGTGTCTGCACTTCAGGTCTGACCCATCCAAGACTTGTGCTGTGTATTTTTTACCCACTATTCCTCTAGATCTGAGACGTAGAGTCTAGGGCCACGGAGGATTGATAAAAGACCTCTGCCTCTGATAGTCCCTTGGTACTTGAACAAAAATTAATTACCCCGAGTCCCATATATGGTTTCTATGGTCATTTGGCACTAAAAATGCATTTCTAGAATTATTGAAATTATGTAGAACAACTTTGTGGCACCCATGGGTGTATTTTGAAGGATGAAAGAAAAGCAGTTTGGTGTGGTGATTTGGAGCCAGGTAGATTTCAATCTAAATTATTTCTCAGTTTCTTACTCATATTTTGAACTTGGAAAATTGACCTTATATGTGTGAATTTCTAATTTGTTATAAATAAAATAAGGATAATGTGGTATGAAAACTCTGATGGGACAAGTAAACAAGGTTATGGGGGCCAAAGAAGGACTGTGTGACCTGGACGTGGGGGTTGAGAAGAGGCTTTCCTGAAGGAAATGAGATCTAAGTTAAGACAATATACTTTATACTTGAAAATTGCTAACAGTGTAGAATTTGCATTCTCATCAAACACAGAAGAAAAAATTATACATATGTAAGTTTATGTATATATATAAACATCTTTATATATATCAACAACATATATATAAACAATATAGAGATATAAACAACATGATGTTTTGATACATGCATACATTGTAAAATGGCTAATTATATATATATAATTAAGCATGCATGTATCAAAACATCGTATCGTTTATATCTATAGTTTATATGTTGTTTATATATGTTGTTATTATATATAATTATATATAATTAATTATGTATTTGTTAATTGTGAATATATATAATTATATATAAATAATATATATTAGCAATTTCACAATGCATGCATGTATCAAAACATCATATTGTTTATATCTATAGTTTATATGTTGTTTATATATGTTGTTATTATATATAATTATATATAATTATGTATTTGTTAATTGTGAATATATATAATTATATATAAATAATATATATTAGCAATTTCACAATGCATGCATGTATCAAAACACCGTATTGTATGCTATAAATACATAGATGTTTTTTGTAAAGTAAAAAAGAGACCCTAACATTGGTGACATCCCAAATGGATGAAGGGATTGGTGATAAAAGGAGTGTTTCCAGTAGAGGAACATGCGTGAAGGCACAAAAGCAAGATGAGCAGGGTACTAAAAGTGACCTCCAATGAGTTTGACATGGTTAGAGAACAGAGTACAGAATTAATGGTAGAGTAATTAGGAAACAGCCTAATAAATGTGGGAGAGTGAAGAAATTTGAGGTTATGGACTGTCTAAATCCATTTGTGTTGCTATAAAGGAATACCTGAGACTGGGTAATTCATAAAGAAAAAGGGTTTATTTGGTTCACTGTTCTGCAAGCTGTACAAGAAGCTTGGTGCCAGCATCTGCTTCTGGTGAGGGTCTCAGGCTGCTTCCACTGATGGTGGAAAGTGAAGGGGAGTCACGTGTGCTGAAACCACAGGCAAGAGAGAAGCAAAAGAGAAGAGAGGGAGGTGCCAGGCTGTTTTTAAGAATAAGTTATCTATGGAACTCTTTCAGAAACGAATAAGGCAAGAACTCGCTCATTACTGCAAGGACAGCACCAAGCTATTTATGAGGGATCCACCCGCATGACCCAAATACCTCCCATTAGGCCCCATCTCCAACATTGAAATCAAATTTCATCATGAGATTTGGAGGGTCCAATAGCCAAACTGTAGCACAGAGTCAAGTAGATACCAGACAAAAAGGTCTTACGTGACCTGCTACAGTGTATACACTATATTATGAAGGTAATAGGAAATCATAGAAAATTTTTAAGCACAGAGGTGATATCAGTTTTTTAAAATCTAAATCACAGTATAGAGTGCATTGAGGTAAATGTATTAAGAAGGGGGAAATTGGAAAATAGGAAAACAGCTAGAAAGCTAGTACAGTAATCTAGTAATATAAAAAATAGGATGGTGCTTGATTGAGGATAGTGGTAGATAAGAAGAAAAGGAAACAGACATCAGACAGACTGGAAGGTAGAATCAATAGGACCATGATTAAATGGCTGTTGTGGAAGTGAGAAAGCAAAATATTGTTTTAGACCAGAGGTGTAAACATATAATTTATTATCCGAATGAAGACACTTTATAGAGTACATGGAGGCACTGTTAAGAATTACACTTGACAATAACAAGCAAAATTTAGGAATCTAGATCAACCTAGGATATATGATCACTCAGAATAAAGGAAACTGGAAGCACTGGACAGATCATGTTTGGGAGAAAGATGGTGAACTTGTTTGGTCTCCCAGCGGCTGCCTTGGCTTCTGTGCCTAGATCTCCCCAGTAGGTAGTCCTTTAAAAAATCCTTTAAAAAAAATCAGTAACCCTCTGATCAGTAGTCCTTTAGCTAACCAAATGTCTCTCATCTCCAGCCTCTTCTTGGGGGAAGGGATGGTGGCTTACCGTTTCTAAATAGCCTCTTCTTAGCTAAGAAAAAAAAGTTACAAAGACTTGTTTTAAGCAGCAAGGAAATCCTCCATTTTGTAACATTTGTTAGAGGAAGGAAGATCCATAAATAGGCTACAGGATCATATTAAGAAATCACTAAGTATTTTCTATAGCTGCTTTGTCTTCAGAATGCTCTTCAATTCACTTTGTTTATGGATCACCAATGTCATTGTGACCTAAAGTCTCTCTAATGACCTAGATTTGTTTCTCTCAACCAACTCAGTGTTTCATCCAGTAGGGAAATTAGCTGATCTTATTTCAGCTTTTGTTTTATTTTGCTTTTATTTTGTTTTGGTCTGTTTTGATTTTTATATGTAATATCGATACTATTTTCATGAAAAACATACTATATATATAACACTGACTTTAATAATATCTTGTGAAATTGTATTACCCACTGATTTTGTTGCATTTTTTGTGAATTCAGTAAACATTTCCTACTCAATGTCCTCATCCATTTTGTACTTTCACCTATCTACTTCTATGGTGTTAGTAAATATCAAGGAACTCTCTACAACTTAAATAATTGTATCATAGAAAAAAATATCAGTAACCCTCTGAATTACTTCCAGGAAGACTTATTTCATTTAACTTTGATTATTATGACTTAATGAGATGCAGTGACAGGTTTATTTTCCTTTGGGGTTTATTCATTTATGCAAATGGATTTATAATTTGCAAAGGTTCCTCTTACATATTGATCATGCTTTATAACTTTAAAAAAACTAGTGTGTCTTTACCTCTTCTATTTGGTCCTTAACTTTCAGTGTTTCCAAATATTGCCATATCTAAACACAGAGAATGCACCTTGAAATATTCTCACTTTGAAAAACCCATTAACGGCTTACAAATACCTACAAAACTTGTAATACAGCAACCTTTAGTTTTCTTCTTTCCATAAAAATGCACCTGGAAGTGCTGACTCTATGATGAACTATTGATTCCATATAATCTCAAATGGAAGAGGGGTGGTTGGGGTCCTGATGACCTCATCTGACTATTTTTTAACAGACGTATCACAGGAATATGCTAGGTACATTAATATCACCTAACTTAAGCCTGATAACCATAAGATATAGTTATTCATATTATCCTAATTTCAGAAATGATATATCTGAGTCTTAGAAATGTTAAGTAACTTCTTCAGGTTCGTACAACTAATACATTAAAAAAAACAGATCTACAAACTTGCTTCTTTAAAATTTATTCCAAAGTACATGCTTTAACAAGTATGTCATGCTGCTTTGATAAAAAACTTGTAGTTCAGTGAATGGATGGCTTTGAATCCAAAACAGTAAAGGATTTATTTTAAAGTGGTAATCTTCATTGTTGTTATGATTTTACCCTTGACATCGTCATAATAATCATCATCAAATATAATTAAAGACTCCAGCTTTCCATGTTCTTTCCTTTTTTCTTAAAAAAATGTACAGTTCTATTAATAATAACCTCACACTAAGGAGATAATTTAAAATGTGCTTATTAGGTGATTTTCAGAAGGTCGTCATTTAGCCATTAACTATTGTGACAATATTTATTTTAAATTTAGTTTTCATCCTCTTAATGAACAAGTACTTCTGGGGCCATTACAGTTTTAGGAAGACTAATCTATTCCAAAGTGGTAGTTTTAACTGTCTTAAATGATAGAATGAAACATATCTTTCTGGGTTAATCTTTGAGCTTCTATGTATTCACAGTGTTTCTGGTATTTATTCCATAATTGGGGACTTTTTACCTGAGTTTCAGAAGATGGTAACCTGAATTCATATTCATGACTCCCTCTTTCTCTTAGCTCTTCTCTAGGTACCCCAAACAATAAGAAAAGCTCAGCTTCTTTTTTTTCTTTTTTTTTTATTATACTTTAAGTTTTAGGGTACATGTGCACAACGTGCAGGTTAGTTACATATGTATACATGTGCCATGTTGGTGTGCTGCACCAACAACAGGCCCCGGTGTGTGATGTTCCCCTTCCTGTGTCTATGTGTTCTCATTGTTCAATTCCCACCTACAGGCCCCGGTTCAATTCCCCACAACAGGCCCTGGTGTGTGATGTTCCCCTTCCTGTGTCCATGTGTTCTCATTGTTCAATTCCCACCTATGAATGAGAACATGCAGTGTTTTGTTTTTAGTCCTTGCGATAGTTTGCTGAGAATGGTGGTTTCCAGCTTCATCCATGTCCCTACAAAGGACATGAACTCATCCTTTTTTATGGCTGCATAGTATTCCATGGTGTATATGTGCCACATTTTCTTAATCCAGTCTATCATTGTTGGACATTTGGGTTGGTTCCAAGTCTTTGCTATTGTGAATAGTGCCGCAATAAACATACGTGTGCATGTGTCTTTATAAGCATGATTTATAATCCTTTGGGTATATACCCAGTAATGGGATGGCTGGGTCAAATGGTATTTCTAGTTCTAGATCCCTGAGGAATCGCCACACTGTCTTCCACAATGGTTGAACGAGTTTACAGTCCCACCAACAGTGTAAAAGTGTTCCTATTTCTCCACATCCTCTCCAGCACCTGTTGTTTCCTGACTTTTTAATGATCGCCATTCTAACGGGTGTGAGATGGTATCTCATTGTGGTTTTGATTTGCATTTCTCTGATGGCCAGTGATGGTGAGCATTTTTTCATGTGTCTTTTGAAGCTCAGCCTATTTTAACAACCTTAAGAGGGTGTCAAATATGAAGGCCTGGAGCACTCAAGGAGAAGTGGGGCAGCAGGAGGACAAGACTATAACAAGAAAGGATCATAGACCCAGAAGCTTTCTACTGATTGGGATGAAGACCTTAAATCCCATGGTACTTGATGGGCCCAGTCAACTGACCAAAGTGGGGCATCTCAGTACTTGGAGTGGCAATTCTCCTTGTTTATTTGCTGAATTTGCTAAGTCAATTCTGCCTTCAGTGAAACTGTGCTGCTGCTTCTAATTTGAAGCAACTTGGAAAGATTGCTCTATCCAGTCTCCTATGGAAAATCCTGAAAACCAACTACTCTTCCTTTGAGGATCTAGAGGAAGAGCAAGTTTACCAAACTTGTCTTCTAGGAATTAACTTTTCCTATATGTTTGGTCACCACCAGAGACTTCTGTATCAATGTATTAGCTTGGGAAACCAGCTGTTGTTTTAAAAGTTTACTGGATGCACAGGTTGGGTTTTCTGAAAGCAGGTGCTGAGACACAGTCTGGGATACAAGATGTTTAATTAGGGATCAATACTTGTGTAATGAATGAAGGTGAAGCAGGATTGGGCAAAAATAAATGTTAAACTGTGATTCAGGCCTAACAAAGCCTTAGTCAATCCTTACGGAAGCTCCAGATTAAATATTGCTCATCAGAGATTCCCTGCATAGGACTAGAATGGCTAGGAATCTATTTCCCCACCTAACTCAATTATCAGATGCAGTCTGCCCTGGGAAGTTTGTGACCTTGGGAGAAGCGGGTTTCTGCACTTGAGCCAATCTCTAAAGGTGATAACTAGTAGAGGCTGTCGGCTGACCACACTTGTAAAAGCTGGACGGTGAGTCATTTCTTGAGTGCAGATCAAGGTAGCACATCCCTATTTCTAGATCTGAAGAAGCAGATCTAAACAATCCAAGACAATGTTATGGGGGCCAAAGAAGGACTGTCTAACCTGGACATGGGGGATGAGAAAAGGATTGTTTAGATCTACTTGGATTGTTTAGATCTACTTCTTCAAATATTTTAGGGGAGCATCTCTTCCAAGATTATGGTAGACCATTTTCCTGAAAGGAAGGTTACAATAGGGATGCTCAAAGAACAAATTAGAGCCCCTGCTATCACAGTTAGTCTTGGTATGGTAATAAATGCTTATTCTCTCTCTCTTCCACTATTAATTCATAACCTCTTATGCTCAGCTACCACCTCACAGGTACTTAGGTAAATGACACAGAACCTCATTTCTGATAGGCCTAAGCCCCTTGTCACCATGCCTTCTCAGACCAAAGTCACTGTACCCTGCCATTCATTGTTAAAATTGAGCAATGGAGTATTAGAGGATGTCCAGGTAGATCACCTGGGTTCTACATATTGCCAGACTAGTGTCTCTTCTTTTCTTTTTGCTGGTCCCTGGATACGAAGTGTTCAAAGTACCTAGGAAACCATGATAGCCTGTAGTTCGATGAAACGTTTTCCATCCCCTGACAGAAGTGTTTCCACTTGGGACCATGATCTCTTACCCAGCAGATCCCAGAGTTGACAGGAAAGGAAGCGAAAAGTCCTGCAGTAAGTCATTCAGAGAGATGGTATGAGGGGTGGCTCTTGCTTTCACCTTTTGGTTCCCAGACTCATGAAGTCTTATTTTCCATAGAAAAGTTATACAAATCAGATAGCCTAAAGGATACTATCCCAATCTCACAGAACATCACCTCTATAGAGGTGATTAAGATAGGGCCTCAGTTGGCCATTCTAATACAATGTAAGATTAGTAGCCTCTGGGTCATGCAGAGGGTGATATAATCATTGGATCCTTTTGTCATGGGAATGCTCTCATACCTCTTATAATGTGGATTTGGTCTTCCAGTCTTCCAGTCTTACATGATGTTATACATAATCTCATGCAAGTGGATCAAAAACTTTGTAAGCCTTCTGATAGTGGTGCTAGCTGCGACCCTGCAGGAAAGGCAAACAAGAAATTATTGCCTATTATTGTAAGAAATAGATGGAAATGGTGCAGCCAGGGAATGGATAAGAAGATGAGCAGGGTGTGGGGGATGGAAATGTATAGCCCTGAAGGAATATGTGTGAAAGTCGCATCTTAGAAACATAAGTCCATGGGAAGGCTTAGATATAATCAGAATATTAGGGAATTCCCCTCTCCTCCACACCTTCCCATCACATCCTTGAGGTTTCAGTATAATAACAGTGGATTACAGCTGAAAGAACTGCAAGACATAGACACTCTCTGAAGAGGAGTATTTAAGAAAGCTGGAAGTCAAGAGTGGGGATAAAATCAATTATACTAGAGGGAGTTGAACCTTCTGGCACCTGTAGCTACAGCAAACATTAAATACAAGCTAACTTCTAGACAAATAAACATAAAACCTCATACAAATGGCCTATTTACTTCAGTCCCTCTTACACAATAAATTGCATTAGACATTCAACCAAAAATTATAATGCATACAGAAGGGAAAATACACCCCCCCACACACACACTTACACACATACACACACTTACATGCATACACACACACCTGGCCCTACACAACAGTCAAAAAATCATCTGAATACACAAAGCAATCATCAGAGCCAAGTATGGCACAGATTCTCTTAATATCAGACAGAAAATTTAAAATAACTATGATTACTATATTAAAGCATCTAATGAAAATAGAGGACAACATGCAAGAATAGATGGGTAAAACAAGCAAAAGTGAAAATTCTAAGCTAGAATTCCCAATAATATGTTAGAAATCAAAAACTCTTCACGATAATGAAGAATGCCTTTGATAAACTAATCAGTAGACCTGACATGGCTGAGGGAAGAATCAGTGAGTGAAGATAGATTAGTAGAAACTTCCCAACATGAAATGCAAAAGGAAAAAAAAGAAAAAAGTAAAACAACAATAATTGTGGGATAATTTCAAAAGGCCTAAAGTATGCATAATTAGAATATTAGAAAGAGAATGATAAAAGAATGGGGAAGAAGAAATATTTTAGGTAAAAATGGATGAGAACTTTGCAAAATTAGTGACAGACATGAAACTACAGAATCAGGAAGATAAGAGAACATCAATCAGAAAAACAAATTTTAAAAACTACAAATTAGTTACATAGTAACCTGCAGAAGATCCAAAGACAAAGAAAAAAATTGAAAGAAAATATTGGCCAACAGAATCCAGTAGCATTTGCAAAACATACTATTGTTTTCAAGTGACATTAACTCCAAAATTCCAAGCGAAGTCCTAACATGAGAAAATTTATTCACACAATTTAGTATATAAGCCAGAGAAAAAAACTGGCAAATCAAGCATTTAATGAAATTTGGAAATTTTTTATTATATAAGCTCATAATCAAATTGGAATAGATGGATATCTTGTTAGAGAAAATTTTTTAAAAAAAACTGTATAAATCAAATCAGATCTCACCTTTGTGATCAAAGAGAAATACCAGAGTAATGGTTTTCAAAGCTGAATGTTCAGAAGAGTCATCTGAGGAGTTTGGTTTAATGAGGAATTTAGGCAATGCCCCCAATACCTGAGAGTGTATGTTTATAGGAGAGACTTGGGAATTTGCATTTTATTAAGAATCCATGTAATACTGATATAGTGGTCTATGAATTGCACTTTGAGAATCTACATTAGAGGCATGGATTTCTAAGAGAGGCAATATTGTATTGTAGAAAAGAGAACAGTTTCTGAGGTCACATTTTCTAGCTAGAATTCTTATAAGGTCATTCTGAATATGAAATAAACTTATTAGGAAAGCACTTAGAATAGTGTCTTGCATATGGCACATTCTGAAAAATAGTCATCATTATTCTTATTAGTATGAATGTCTCTATCATGAGTATCATTTAACATTGTTCTGAAAGAAGTCAACAATGCAATTACATAAGGCAAAGAAATAACGAGTTTTAGAAATGATGAGACATATCCGCATTAGGATTATTTGAATATCATATGATGTCGCAGCTGAAAATCTCAATGAACAAAAAAGCCATTAAAGAAACCCAGCATGTGACTGATTATAAAATTAACATAAATTATATATAACATATTAATGACATATAATTTATAAAAGCAAGCACAGGGACGGAATAACCAGAAATTGACTTTACAGTAAATGTACAGGACAGTTTAGGAGAAAACTTTGAAACTTCACTTAGGGAGATAAACCATACTTAAGTAAATGGCAAGAAAAGCCTTGTTCTTGCTTAGTAAGACTCCATATGGTAAAGCTGTCAATGTTCTCAAATTAATCTAAAAATTAAATTTTATCCTAACTAAAATGACAGTGTTATTGTTTATTAAAAATTTTGCAAACTGATTTTGGAAAAATAAAAATGTGAGGATACAGCTGGGGTGGGGATAGGGAACAAAACTGAAAATGAGTATGGGGGCAGAAGGGGCAAGCATAGCTGATATTAAATTTACTCATAAATTAGAGTAGATAAAGCATTATAGCACTCATGTAGATTTGGATCAAATATAGGATAATAGAGAGCCAAGAAACAGAACCCCAAATAGATGTAAACTTAGAATATAGTAAAGAGGGAGTACAGATATGCGCATGTGCACACACTCACACGCACACATACACACACACACTGCCTTCAGGGTCCCATTGGGCTTACGATGAAGTAGATGTTGGTCAGAATATCTGGCCCTCATAAACCCAAATAACTACCAGGCTGTAATTATGTTCTAAATTCCCAGAAACTAGAATTGGTTCCATACCAATTTCTAGTCATGCTTGAGGTTTCTGTGAGTTTAACTTTCTCCATTGAATTTTTGGTGGATCTGTGTTTCTGGACCGTGACCTTTACAAGTATTGCTCCAGGGTTATAGATTTTTTCTCTCTCTGTCTTTATTTCCATTCCCTGGCTGCTGCATTTCTAATCAATTTCCTAGAAGCTCTGACTCTTCTTGACTAGATTTGTGCTTTTATCTCCCTTAGGTGAGACAGGAAGATTGGAAGGGGTAGAATGGAAGGAATATTTTTTTTTTCTCCTCCTGCATGAAGATCTGGGAAAGTCTTTTATTTCCTGGAGAGTTGTTTTCTGTTATGGAAAAGAATATGGATGTATTTCCCAATGATTACTCTTCACGTCCCCCAGCCAGGGCCAAGAGAAGATCTTTCTCAGATGCTTATCATAAGAATTTAGTGTTCTTGTAGTGAAAGTTTACATAGTTGTGGAGGCGTCCCCTAAAACTTTGGCCCCAGGAATTTCTCCATCGGGTGCCAGTACACATTCAGCCTCCCACAGTTTGTCAAAGTAGCCGTGTTCTTGCAGCTAATGGATTTGAGTGGCATTTTTCTAGGTAAGCAAATCTTGAGTCCTCTCTGTGGATGTTCCTGTATTTCTGGATTTTTCAGTGACAGCTCATCTTGAGACCTCAGTTCTCTGGTTTTCTCTGAAAGTCACTGATTTTATTTGTCCAGATTTTTAAAATTTATTTATTTGTTTTGTTTTTGCTGTAAGAACAAGAGTGAAGACTTCCATGCACTTTGCACATCAGAACTGAAAATAGAAGCCTTGATACATTCACTGTTGCTGTTTCTAATGTCTTTCCAAATAATGCCTACCTTTTCTTAAAGAAATTGTTCTTTTTAGACATGCTCAGTTGTCATCTTCATGGGTGATTTGATTTTAACCCTGGATAATCCATTTAGTTTCTCTTTATTTTCCTCTACTATGCTTGGTTGCTAGAAATATAAATTGTACTGGCCAGTTATAAAAATTGCTTGCTGTATATGCTAATTAGTCCACATTTGAATAAATAATTTGCAAATATATATTGAAATTATATACCAACTGATATAGGAACATCATCACATTCATCTATCCATCGAACTCAGTGGAAAGTGACCAGTTGTGCAGATAATTTGCATCCTAGGTTATTCTCCTTTCTCAGAACTAAGAGCAAAGAATTCTTCCTACAAAAGCCTTTACTTCGTCATTGTCTATTATCCAGCATAGTTTAATTAAGAAATTACTTTTGAAGAGAAATGATGCTAATCGTAGGAATTTATCACTATGCTAAATCTACCGAAATATTACTTAAGATAAGTAATATCAAGGATGCTCAAAAACTAGCAAAAGGAATCATTAATCAAGTTGCTTAGATTTTCATAGTAATTTTTTGCTTAATAAACCTTTAACTTTGGTGACATTTGCAGATTTCATTCTCTATTAAATGCCACCAAATGATGATCGTAATTGGCTTCTGATACATCAGCACCTAAATGTTAGAGAAACATGGTAATTAATGACATGTGCCAGGCTAGTCAGACCAGACTTGAAAAACAGTGCTAACACTTACATGGTATGTAAGCGTGCATATTTTAAATCACTGCATCTCATTTTCCTAATATAAGTGTGAATTATACTACAAATCTTTAGGATCATCATGAATTACACTTTAATGCATAAGGTGCCAAGCATACCATAGATTGTCAATAAATGGTACAGTGGCAGGATTTCTAAATGGCCCTCCAAAGATGCCCCACCTAGTCCTGTAACCTGTGAATGTAAGGAGGTATCACTTCCATTATTGTATTATGTTATGTTTTTATTATACTTTAGGTTCTGGGATACATATGCAGAACATACAGGTCTATTACATAGGTATACATGTGCCATGGTGGTTTGCTGCATCCATCAACCCATCATCTACATTAGGTATTTCTCCTAATGTTATCCCTCTCCTTGCCCTCCAACCTCCGACAGGCCCCTGTGTGTGATGTTCCCCTCCCTGTGCCCATATGTTCTCATTGTTCAACTCCCACTTATGAGTGAGAACATGTGGTGTTTGGTTTTCTGTTCTTATGTTAGTTTCCTAAGAATGATGGTTTCCAGCTTCACCTATGTCCCTGCAAAGGACATGAACATATCCTTTTTTATGGCTGCATAGTATTCCATGGTGTATATGTGAAACATTTTCTTTATCCAGTCTAACATTGATGGGCATTTGGGTTGGTTCCAAGTCTTTGCTATTGTGAATAGTGCCGCAATAAACATACGTGTGCATGTTTCTTTATAGTAGAATGATATATAATCCTTTGGGCATATACCCAGTAATGGGATTGCTGGGTCAAATGGTATTTCTAGTTCTGGATCCTTGAGGAATCACCACACTGTCTCCCACAATGGTTGAACTAATTTGCACTCCCACCAACAGTGTAAAAGCGTTCCTGTTTCTCCACATCCTTTCCAGCATCTGTTGTTTCCTGACTTTTTAATGATCACCATTCTAACTGCTGTGAGATGGTATCTCATTGTGGTTTTGATTTGCATTTCTCTAATGACCGGTGATGATGAGCTTTTTTTCATATGTTTGTTGGCCGCATAAATGTCTTCTTTTGAAAAGTGTCTGTTCATATACTTCGTCCACTTTTTGATGGGGTTGTTTGTTTTTTTCTTGTAAATTGGTTTAAATTCCTTGTAGATTCTGGATATCAGCCCTTTGTCAGATGGATTAACCTAGTTTGATTATTATATATTGTATACATGTATTGAAACATCACCTTCTACCCTATAAATAAGTGTAATTATTATGTGTCAGTTAAAAAAAAGGTAAATCAAGCTAAAAAATGAAATCATCACATAAATGTGGCAGCAGAATGAAGATTGCAGAAGGGTCACTGAAAAGTAAATCAGAGCATTAGAAATACAATCCGAAGAACAGAGTAAAACATTGAAAAATTAAACAAGGAGAAAAATTAAACAAATATACACACACAAATAGCTTGAGTCTTATTGGAGGGGAGAGAGAGAATGAGTTAGAAAAAATATATGCATTTAAAGAAATATTGGCTAAATATTTCCTATATTGGTTGA
Source organism: Homo sapiens (assembly GCF_000001405.40). NCBI lineage: Eukaryota > Metazoa > Chordata > Mammalia > Primates > Hominidae > Homo > Homo sapiens. The sequence continues at coordinate 142,497,840 of NC_000023.11, forward strand.
AAAACATAAAACTACATATCTAAGAAACTCAGTGAACACAAGTAATTACAAAGAAAGCTACACATAGCCTCATCATTGTTGAACCGCATAACATGAATTATAAATAGAAAAATTTCAAAACATGCAGAGAAAAATGGCAAATTACACAAAGAGGAACAACGGTGTGAATTAATATCAGCTGAATTTTCATTAGAAATAATTGAGGCCCTAAAACAATGGCATATGTTTAAAGTGCCCAGAGGAAAAAAAATAACCCACATTTCTATATTCAGTGAAAACAGCCTTGGAAAATGAGGGCCAAAAACTATATTTTCAGAAAACTGAAATTTGAAAAAATTTGTCACCAGGAGTCCTGCACTACGAGAAATATTGGAGGATCATTTTCAGGCAAGAGGGTAGTGGTATCAGATTGGAATAGCACTTTGGATATAGTTAAATATATGAGCACATATAAATCATTAATTTTTTAACTTCTTAATTCTTTAAAAGACATGATAAAGAAAAGTAATACCGTATTACAGGGATTTCACCATATTTTTAAAAGTAAAATGTAGCACAAAGGCTGGGAAATAAATAGAATTATACAGTTTTATGATTCTTTCCTTTTACATAAACTAGTACAATATTTATTCTAAGATGCTAATGAATAAGGGTGGATATTGGAATCTTTAGAATGATGATTGAAAAATAATAAACAGACATAGCTAAAATAATACAGTCATTAAAATGCAATAATAAAATTATTCAGTTAATCCAAAGGAGTCATTTAGGAAGAGTATTAAACTGTTCTTGGATTGCTATCAAGAAATACCTGAGCCTGGGTAATTTACAAAGAAAAGAGATGTAATTGGCTCACAATTCTGCATGTTTTACAGGAAGCATGGTGCTGGCATCTTCTTTTCTTCTAGGGAAGCCTCAGGAAGCTTACAATTATGGCAGAAGGTCAAGGGGGAGGAGGTACCTCACGTGGTGAAAGTAGGAGTGAGAGCGAGAGTTGAGAAGGGGGTAGCTCCATATACTTTTAAATGACCATACTTCACAAGAACTCACTCACTATTACAAAGACAGTACCAAGCCAGGAGATACGTCCCCATTAACCAAATACATCTCACTAGGTCCCAACTCCAGCATTGGGGATGACAATTCAACATGAGTTTTGGATGGGGACAAATATCTGAACTATAGCAGGAAGGTAAGCAGGAACACAGGAACACACACACAAACACACATGCACAGAGGATAATAGAAAATAAGGAACAAGTTGGTAAATAAAATACCAACTGTACTGTTCAGACCACAAAGTAGCCCCCCATGATTCCTACCTCCTGGTGTCCATGCCCTTATGTAATCTCCTCCATTTGACTGCAGGTAGGACTCATGACTTGTTTTCAACCAATACAACATGGTAAAGTTGATGGGATGTCATTCTCATGATTACATTGGGTTATAGAAGACTTCATCTTAGTAGACTGGAACAAGAGTTTCTCCTTGCTGACTTGAAAGAGTAATGCCCCAGTTGTAACACACATAAATGTCTCTGGACATCACCAAATGTCCCCTTAGGGACAAAGATACCCCGCTATTGAAAACCACTGCATTGCATGCTCATACTAGAATAGAAAAAGTTTTTAAAACATTGATCTAAATTTTTACCTAAAAACCTAGAGAAAGAATGCAAGTTAAAACGTAAATATATAGAGGAAGTAAATTATTAAGCCTAAGTCATTGAAATAGAAAACAAAAAGTAGGTAAAATTAATGCACAATTGATTCTTTAAAGATTTTAACAAATAAACTCCTAGCAATACTGACCAAGAACAGTAGAAAGAAAACATAAATTGTCAATACGAAGAAAGAAGGAGGGAACATCACTACCAATCCTTCACTTAATAAGATGATGATAAGATAATGTTACGCATAAGTGGCCCTCAATAAATTGAACAGTTTTGATGAAGTGGACCAAGTTCTTGAAAAACACAACTTACCATAACTGACTCAAGATGAAATAGAAAATCCAAATACTACTGTATGTAATGCACAGATTTAATTCATTATGAAAAGTCCCAGAAAAATCTAAAAAAAAAAAAAAGAGGCCCAGATGATTTTAATGGTGAATAGTATGAAACACCAAATGAAGAAATAATATCGATCTTACAAACAATAATTCTTGTTATAATATTTAATATATCTCAAATTGTTTTATGAAGACAACATAATCTTCATACTCAAATCTGATAGACATTACAAGAAGATAGAATTAGAAACCAAATCCCCCGTGAAAATAGACGCTAAAATCATTTATAAAATACTATCAAATTAAATAAGCAACTTATTTATTTATTTATTTATTTATTTATTTATTTATTTATTTATTTATTTATTCTGAGCCAGATTTGTGCTCTGTTGCCCAGGCTAGAGTGCAGTGGCATGATCTCAGCTCACAGCAACCTCCGCCTCTCAGGTTCAAGCAATTCTTCTGCTTCAGCCTCCCTTGTAACTAGAATTACAGGTACACACCACCACACCCAGCTAATTTTTGTATTTTTAGTAGAGACGGGGTTTCGCCATGTTGGCCAGGCTGGTCTAGAACTCCGCTGCGTGGGCCTCCCAAAGTGCTGGGATTACAGGCCTGCCCATCCAATAAGCAACATATTTTAAATGATGTTACTGCATCTCTAAGTGCGATTTGTTCCAGCAATACCATTTTGGTTTACTATTGTAAATATAATTATTGTGATTTCCCGCATTAACAGAACAAAGGAGAAAAAAACACATTTTTATCTCAAAAGTTGGAGAAAATGTATTTGAAAAAATTCAACACCAATTTGTGAGAAAAGCTTGAGCAAACTACGAGTAGAATGAAATTTCTTTTTTCTGATTAAAGGCACTCATGGAAATTCAACAACCAACTTGTTATTTAATGATTAATACTTAATATTTTTTCCAGAAATCAAGAAGAAGGCAAAAATTTCTACTCATACCACTTCTGTTCAACATCATATTGGAAATTCTAGCCAAAGCAGTACAGCAAGAAACAACATTTTTAGGCACACAGATTGAAAAGGAAGAAGTGAAAATGCCTGAATTTATAGATAAAATTATTTATTGTATTGAAGTGAATATTTACATTTGCTGGGTATGAGGTCAATATAAAAATATCCATTTATTTTTATTCTAGCAGAAAACAATTGGAAGACAAAATAAACTGACAACAACTAGCTCTTACAATGACATCAAAAAGGTAAAGGACAAAACCTTTATCTTGAAAACTGTAAACATTGCTGAGAGAATGAAGAATCAAAAGGAGAGACTAACCCAATTCGAGATTGGGAAGATTCAATATTGAGAAGATGCCAGTTATTTTCTTTTTTTTTTCTTTTTTTAAATTTTATTATTATTATACTTTAAGTTTTAGGGTACATGTGCACAATGTGCAGGTTAGTTACATATGTATACATGTGCCATGCTGGTGTGCTGCACCCATTAACTCGTCATTTAACATTAGGTATATCTCCTAATGCTATCCCTCCCCCCCGCCCACCCCACAACAGTCCCCAGAGTGTGATGTTCCCCTTCCTGTGTCCATGTGTTCTCACTGTTCAATTCCCACCTATGAGTGAGAATATGCGGTGTTTGGTTTTCTGTTCTTGCGATAGTTTACTGAGAATGATGATTTCCAATTTCATCCATGTCCCTACAAAGGACATGAACTCATCATTTTTTATGGCTGCATAGTATTCCATGGTGTATATGTGCCACATTTTCTTAATCCAGTCTATCCTTGTTGGACATTTGGGTTGCTTCCAGGTCTTTGCTATTGTGAATAGTGCCGCAATAAACATACATGTGCATGTTATTTTCATATTGATTTATACAACTGTATTCTCCTTACTTAAAACCACAGCAAGATTTCTTCTACAATATTGAAAGCTGATTCTAAAATTTATATGAAAATGTGATATACCTAGAGTAATGAGAATGATATTAAAAAGAAGACCAACTTGAAAACTCACACTTTCTCATTTCAAGATGTACCAAATGCTAGGAATTAAGACTGTATGACATTGTCATACAGATATTAAAGAAAATTAATGGATCAGTATAGAGACTGGACATATACTCTTATACACATGGTCAATGGATTTTGTTAAAATTTTCCCATCAATTGAATTTAAAAAGTAACTTCTTTTGAACATCCAGTACTAGAAAAACAAGATAACCGTGTGTGTGGAGGGGTGCATCCAAACACTCTTGAACTATACATACCACTCTAGACTAATTTGAAATTAATCATGGACGTAATTCTAAAAGCCAAAACTATAGTTTTTGAAAGAATATGTGGGAAAGCATCTTCATGAGTTAAGCAAAGACTTCTTAGGATACACAAATCCTTTGTATAAAAGAAAACATTATGATAAAGTGAATCCCATTAAATTAAGAAGTTTTTATCACAAATCATTATAAATAAAACGAAAAGATAAGCCATAGAATAGAAGATATTTTCAGCATATATAACTATCAAAGATCTCACAACTGTAATATATAAAGTATTCTTCAATTAAATACAAAAAGTCATACAACCAAAGATAAAAAAGAAAATTGAGTTCTTGAACAAACACTTCACCAAAAAAGATGTGCAAATTGGCAATAAGCTTATGAAAAGTTGCTCAATATCATTAGTCATCAAAGAATGCAAATTTGAAACATAATGAGATACCACTTCACACCCACTCAAATGGCTAAAATTAAAAAGACTGACAACTCTGAATATTGGCAAGGATATGAAGCAGCAACATCTTTCATACATTTCTGGTGGGAATGCAGAATGTTAGTCAGTTGGGAAAAACTCTGGCATTTTCTCACGGAGTTCAACAGGCATTTTCTTATAGAGTTCAACAGGCATTTTCAACGTGATTTTGGAACTCCTCATCATACTACCTCTCCAAGAGAAATAAAATTTCTGTTTACACAGAGACTTTACAGGTATGATTCATAGCAGTTTTATTATATTATTTTAAAAGTGGGGAAAAACCCCACAGATTTCCAACAGGAAAATTGATCAATAATTGTATATTCATATAATGAAATAATACACAACAATTATGTCAGTTAATACTGATATGTACAACTGCAAGGATACATCTTGAAAAAATCTTGTTGAGTATAGAAGCTGATAATAAATAATATAATAGTATTAATATTTTTTACGGACTTTAAGAACAAGCAGAATTAATCTTCAGTGTTAAAAATTGTAAGAGGAATTTCTTGTTGGCAGTAGGAGTTGGCTAGAGTGGGACATTAGGGAACTTTCTAGGGCGATAGAAGTATTTTATGTTAATTGGTATTCGGTTACATGGGTATACACAGTGGTGTCGTGGAGTCAGCTCTTACCAAGTTCTACCGTGCCAATTATGTGCATCTCTTTCCAACCTTCCTTTCAATACCTCACAGCAGTAGCTTGAAGTAGCCTACTGGAATAGTGGTATCTTCAGCATGGAAATCAACAAATGCTACATAGCATGGTTTTATTTTTCAGTAGTCTGGTTTACTAGCATATCACTGGACTGTAGAAAGTTGTAAACTATTTATTGAACTGTTTACTTAAGGTCTGTGGTATTTTCAGTTATCTCCCTAATTCTTTCCACCATAGATCTACATATGCGATGTCCCCTTTCCCATTCTTACCTAGTTTATTGTGGGGCAAACATTAAGTTTGTATTCAAACCAGGATTGTGCTTTATTCAAGAAAAAAAAGTGGGATGCTGTATTTTTAAAGGTATTTATTTGTTCTCAGTATATACAGCTGCATGTGTACTGGATTTTCTGACTCTTTCCGGTTGATAAAGGCCTTGTCTAAAGTCTTTTTTATTATTCAGTTATGTTTATTCTTTTATTTCAAGCATTTGAAAGAAATGGATGTTCCATCTCTAAATTAATAAGGAAAACACCTTCTTCGCAACGTGTCACATCATTGTTTGTGTGTGTGTATGTGTGTGTGTGTGCCCATATGCAGGAATGTGTGTGTTTTATTTTTAATTGTACAAAGCGGGATGATTAGGAACCATTTAACCAAAGTAGTGTTCCTATTTATATTACTACAATTTGAGCACTTGACAATTGCATATACCTTTATTTATTGATTTTTGAAAAAATGATTCATATTTTTCAAAGAAGAATTAATGCCTTTTTAAAATAGTGCCTGTAATTGTACTTGAGCCTGGAAAAAGCTCATACAATTTTATTGCTTTGCTAAAATTACGCGTGGAATTAGTTGGAACAGAACATTCTCTGCAAGTGAATTGTCTTTTACTGTTCACTTTAAGTTCAAAACCAGACTATTAAAATCAGGAAACCCACTGTCCTCACATGAAAAGCTTTCAGACAATAAGTATATATTAAAATGGACCAAGATGTGTTTTCATCCTTAATCAAAATAAAAGCATTAGAAAAAATATGATGAATGATAATGATGTTATTTAATGGGTTTCATCTTTTCTATTTCAAGTGGACAGGCTTGATTTACTTCTTTGAGGCAGATGACGCATATAAATTGTATGCTGAACTGGAGATCATTTTCTTTTGTTGCATCCCAGACAGTGCCTTATTTACATGGCATGTTTCAGCTTAGTATCTGTAAGGCAATTAGATCATTGGAATGCTTTCTCCGTTGGTTGACACATTTACTTTTTGTGGCTTTGTAGTGGAAAAACCATTATGGCCCTTTTGTTACCCAAAGGCATGTTTCCCTGGCGAAGATTTCTCCTAGTATTTCAGTAACTATGGATTCTGTATATTTCCTGGTGTTTAAGGGCATGCAATTGGAAGTTTATCAGACCTAAGCTAGAATCTATGCTCAGCCAATTGCAGGCTGTATGACATTAGACAAGTCAGTTAACTTCTCTGAGCCTCCATTATGAGGATAGTGAGGTTTAAATGAGATAATATAGTCCTGGCACATAATATGTGATCAGTAGTATTTTATAATTTATTGTTGCTTTAATTAAATCCACTAAGTTATTAGGACAAATATCCTGGCTTATGTATTTTTACCTCTTTGCCCAAAACAAGGCCTGAAACATTTTAAATGCTCAATAAATATCATATATCGATGTACTACAGACTATGGGTCATTTGCATTTTGAAATAACTTTTATACTATAGGGGATTTGAAACATATTAAAGGATAGAGAGAACCCCCTTGTATCTATCACTCAGCTTCACCAGCTATGGACTCACAGTCAGTTTTGTTTTATGCATACTCCTTTAAACTTGCCCCTTCCCTCTTTCTTGAAGCAAATTGAATTCATTTTTAATCTTTTCTCCAGTAGGGCTCCCCTGCCCTTCTCCAGCTGTTAAACTCAGGAGATAGAAAGGCTTTTCAAAAGGAGCATAAACAAAATAGAATTGTAAAGTGATATCTGCTGCCATGATCACAGAAAGCATTTCCAAAGCTTAAGAGAAAATATGGATTTTCTTCTGCTTTTTTTTATCCCTTAGGGCAGATAACTGAGGCTCGATCAGAAAACAAGGGACAGGTGGCTAGAGTTTAGAGTTTTCCTGAAAATGACATACATAACAATGGTCAGGATTTTTTTGGGGGATTAAAGGGAACTATCTGCTTTCTTTGCACTTGCAGATAGAGACTATGAAATTTGGCCAACAATATAAGGATTAAATTAATTTGTGGACATTTAGAGTGGATGAAGTAGCTATTCACCATACAACTGTGAGCAACACTAAAAATGTTCTAGTTAGTATCAGTCATTTAATATAAAAGCCATAAAAATGTTTCAAATTATGCCTCTTTATTACTCACCAAGTTCCTTCTTTCTCATGAAATGCCTGTTTCTGTTGTTTATTGAACTCCATTTATTTTAGCGCTAGTGAATAAATTCATTAGTTTTATGTAAGAGTTGTGAGAAATAGCAGAATTTGCAGTTGCAATATAATCCTAATCACAGGCAATATTCTGACTGCTCCATACTTCCTAGTATTTACTCCTTAAAGAGAGAAGACGGTGGTAATGGCAGTAGCAACTCTTAAATATTTTGGGGAGGTTTGACATTATTTCTTGATGTAATAGCATATTTCCTTAAAGGTTATTTGAACTCACGTTGTGTTATACAAGAAAAGGGCAGAATAATTTTTGTTGTGGCAGGATTCATTGATTTGGGGTGGCAGTATTGACTACATGTGCATTTGAGATTATTACAAACAGAAACTGTGCAAGCATATCCTGGTTGTATTGGCAGGCTGTCTAAGATGCTGACAGCTGTCTCATGCCAGCACAGAAAACAAAATTGCTTTATACCTTTGGTGAGATATTAAAGTCCCTACCTAGTCTTCATTCTTTTAAGTATTTATATTTATATTAATACTCATTCCATCATTCAATCGTATCTTTGATAAACAGTGGTTGCAAATTTACTTGGTACCTTGTCTTGTACTAGGCAATGGGAATCCAGCACAGTGCCACCCTTAAGGAGCACTCAGTCTGGATGAGGAGGCAGATATCTATACCACAAACTATAATAGTTTGACAAGTAGAGGACCAAACTGACCCTACCTTCAGCTAACTTGGAAATAAGTATGGTGTCCAATTAGTACTATAACATTTAATATCCATGTACATGGATTTTTGAGAAAGCATTGCTTTATATAATTAAAAAACAAAATGAGACACTGTCAATTAATTCTTGACATTTTACAAAACATTTCAAATATATTTTATCATTGGGGCCTCTCAGTGAGCCTATAAAATAAGTCGTAGTATATTTATCCCCATTTTCTCCTACTTTTTACTACAAAACTCCTTCAGTTGTCTATATTTACCAACTTCTACTTCTCCAATTTTTTATCGGCTTCTTTTCAATTAGGATTTTATCAACACCACCCTAGAAAATCTGCTCTGGTCAAGACACCAAAGGTCTCTTTGTCACAAAATCCAGTGGCAATTGTCAGTCTTCATCTCTTTTTTTCTCCTTGTTGCACTTTATGTGGCTCTCAGGACCCATTCAAATAATCCACTTCTTACCTCACTGGCTATTCCTGTCGTTTCCTTTGCTGAATCCTCTTCTCCCCAACCTCTTCATATGGAAGTGTCCGGGGTTCATTCTCGGGTTTCTTTCCGTCTTTATCTACACTCAATGGCTAGCTACATGATCTAATCATATTACTTTAAATGCCATCTATATACTGCTGAAAACTCCCCATTACATATTTTCAGTACAGACCTCTCCCCTGAAATCACAATTCGTATGCATAACTGCCTAATTGATAAGCACCTTTAAATTTCTAGTAGAAATTTAACATGTATAAGGCAGAAATTCCAATTTCCACCCTGCTACCTCGAGGCATGCAAAGCCATCAGTCTCCTTACCTACACAAGTGTCAATTCTATCCTTCTGCTTGCTTTAATCAAAAATTGGAGTTGTATTTGACTCCTTATGTTCATATACGATTCATATTTAGTCCATTAGCATATCACATCAGCTCTGTATTCAACATTTATTCATTTAACATATATTTATTAAGTACTTACTAAGTGCTGGGCACTGTTATACGTACTGGGAATAAAATGGTACTGAAAAAGACAAATGTCCCTATCATTTGGAGCTCCCATTTCTATTGGGATGCTTATATCTGAGTAGCTGTACCTTTAAGATATATTCAGAACATGACTACTGCTCATAATTTCCACCACTACCACCCTAGTCTGAGTCACCATCACCTCTTTCCCAGATTACTGTAAAGGTTCTTGAACTCATCTCCCTGCTTCTGCCCACGACCTTCTACAGTTTATTCTGGACAAAGCAGTTAGAATAATCCTTTAGAAACACAAATCAAACAAAGTCCCTCTCTCCTCAGAAGCAAGAATGTTCTTTCTCTAGACATCCACATGGCTGTCCCCATTTCTTCCCTTGGTTTCTGCTCAAATATCACCTTATTGGTGATGCCTACCTTGATGACACTATAAAAATTGCACATGAATGTGTATTTACACGCATGCACACACATACACCAATTATTCATTATCCCTTTATCTTCATTTAGTTTATCTTCTGAGAATATATCACATAGCTATGTGTTTAATTTTTCATGTCCTTCTTCTGTCCCTTAAATGTAAGCTTCATGAAAGGTGGGATTTTCTCTTTTGCTTAATTGAATGTGTGCCTTCAAGGAGCAATCTGTCTGGTGGGAAAACTAGTAATATATTGTGTAACTCAAGAAAGGATGGAATTATGGAAGAAGTAATTCTTCATTCTGATTAGGAAGTTCAGAGAAAATGTCACTTACTGGGTGGCATTACAGCTTAGCTTTGAAAGATACTAGTTATTGTAATAGCTAAAGAATGATAATAAAAACAGTCCAGAAAAAAAGAAACAATTATATATGCAACTATATATGAAAGAGTACAAGAATTCATTAACATATTGTGCATTCAGAGGTGGTGACTGGGGAGTCATAAATACGTATGAAAGAGTTTAGAAAAAAATAATGTTGATAGTTTAGATAATGTGAGACTGGGGAGGGTTCTGTGTTATTCCAGGAATTTAGAAATTATTTTATAGGCAAATGGGAAGCCATTATTGGACTTTGGAAGGGGATAGGCATAATTCTGTTTGTATAATAGGAAGATTAATCTAGCAATAAGTTGAAGACTGGATTGAAGAGGTAAGACGTACATTATGAGACTTTTGAAATAAGTCTAGATGAAAAATGACAACCTGCATTGCTCTGCTTACTAGCTATGTGGCCGTTGCTTTTCAGAATCTTTCCTAACTGGTGCTGTTTATAATTTTCTTATCTCAGCAGTGGGGGGATGATGTCTCAGCACTGTGATTGCCTCTTTCTGGCCAGATGTGGCCCATTCTCCTGTTATGCAATATTAGGCAGACAAGAGGGAGAGGAGCGAAAGACATGTTTGGTTTGGGATAAAGTATACATAATGGAATTATTAAAAATATATATGTTAGTATCAATTAAAAATCCAAGACAGAAGAATGTTGAGTAGTTTATAATCTCTCGATTTTTGTAATTTTATATAACAAATAAAAGAAAGTTTATGAAGAATTATTAAGGGTATAAAACATCAATTCATTCATCAATTAACAAAACAAATATGTATTTAGATGCTACTTAATATATCAGGCACTATTCAAAGTTTTGGAGATAGGTCAGCATAAGAAACATCCCATTCTCAAGGAACCCACCTACTAGGGGTAGAAAGCTTATTCTGTGATGATCATTGAGAAGAAAAACAGAATGTAAACATACAAATGTATATTTTAAGATAGGAAGAGGTACTAATATAGATATAGGTTAAGAGTAGAAAAGATACAGAGAAAATATACCAAAATGTTAAAGAAAATTTTCTTTATAATAGAAGTACAAATGCATTTCTATTTTGTTATGTAAGCTTTACTTAATTTGTAACAAATGCTACTTTTATCATCAGTGCATTCATGTAATGGCTGTGTTAAAGATTACCGCAAAATTAGTTATTTAAAAACATTCATTTATGATATCACACTTTCTGTGGGTCAAAAGTATAGATCTGGCTTAGCTAGCTCTCCTGCTCAGGGTCTCACAGCTCGCAATCAAGGTGTCAGGTTGGCTGCACCTGAGGACTCAAATGTGGAAGGATCTGCTTGCTTAGAAGCAAGTGACAGATCCTGTCCACATGCAAAAGTTAGACAAATTATGTTATGATGTCTGCCACAATCAGAAATATCAAGAACTTAATAAAATTGGATGGTGAATACAAAATAAGTTGCATTAGTTGGCTTTTTCTTTTTTCTCTTTTTTTTTTTTTTTGAGACAGAGTCTCGCTGTCGCCCAGGCTGGAGTGCAGTGGCTGGATCTTGGCTCACTGCAAGCTCCCCCTCCCGGGTTCACGCCATTCTCCTGCTTCAGCCTCCCGAGTAGCTGGGACTACAGGCGCCCGCCACCACGCCCGGCTAATTTTTTGTATTTTTAGTAGAGACGGGGTTTCACCGTGTTAGCCAGGATGGTCTCGATCGCCTGACCTCGTGATCCACACGCCTCGGCCTCCCAAAGTGCTGGGATTACAGGCATGAGCCACCGCGCGCAGTCGGCTTTTTCTAATTTTTCATATGGAATCAATAATTCTGAAATTCAAAGACTTAGAAAACAAGGGATTATTTCTCCCTCTCTTTGCCCTTTGGTTACAGGTCAAGTTAACTGATGATTTCCCATGTCTCTTCATTCCTGGATCCAGGCTACAAGAAGCAGACAGCATCTGGGATATGCCATTCTCTAGCCAAAGGGCAAAGCAAGAGAGTTGGTAGAAACTCAAGATGCTGTTAAAGCAGCTGCTCTGAAATGGCACATATTTCATCGGGCAAAAAGAGTCTTATGACTGAGTTTGATGGCAGTGGGACAGGAGAATGCACTCTTGACACAGTGGTAACTGCAAGTCTTGTGGCAAAGGGTAAGGCTTGCAATAGTAGAAAGCGCTTTCAGTATGATCTGTCACCATTTAATGAGGTTTATCCTGGATTGAGTAAAATTGGTATTGAAACTTGCCAATAAAGTTTTATGCAAAAAAAGTATTCCGATATACCAGATAAATTGTTTGATCCAAAAAGCTGATAAAATGTTGAGTTCTTATTTGAATAACCAAGAAATCTTCTGTTCTCCTTATTTGTGAGTAAAACTTGATACCCTCCATGACACTTCATTGTGTTTTAATGTTATTTGCGCGATAAATATGGGAATATTAATTTATTACAATTGTTGCAACAATATTCTATTAATTTAACCTCTAGGAAAGATATAATATACCACTTGTTGATTGTCAAAACAAGAAAATAAATACAAAGAACCATGTGCCTGACCCACTGGGTGCCAACTGAATAAGCAGTAGAAAGTTTATGTCAAGAGGTATAATCAAAATAGACTTGAGAAAACACTTTACAGATGTCCCATTGATTTTTTAGCTAAATCCAATAAGTTTTTGCTGAGCTTTCCTCATGCCAGGCATGTGCTTAGTCTATGATATGAAAAAATTTTGCCCTTAATGAATTGTCTCGTAGTTGTAAGAAGTGAATTGGGGAAGTAGTTGCCCTAAGAATTTGGACTTCCTTAATAGCAGCTTGTTATTGAAAAGCTTTAGGCAGGACAGTGACACAACAGACACTTGTTTTAGACCAAAGCTTGTGAAATGTTAATGTGCATGCAAATCACTGGAGAGATTGTTAACTTGCTTATTTTGATTCAGTGGAACGAAGATGGAGCCTACAATTCTGTGTTTTTAACAAGCTTCCAGGTGATTGATATTGCTAAGACCATATTTTGAGAAACAAGGTTTTAGTTAGGCCGTTGTCTCCAGCTTGCAAGGAAGATGGCTTAAAAGGAAAGGAGAATAAAGGCATCTATATGCTCAAGTTCGCTGCCCTTCATCTTATAAGTGGTCTTTATAACTTGTGATCATTATCTCTCCATTTATAGAAAACACATAGATATTGCTATCAACCGATCCCTAAGGTGGTCCGTTTAGAGTGTGATTTAGGCCCTGGCTAAGTACTAAAGTACAGTATGGGAAATCTGCAAGCACCGTGACTCTCCAAGTGTTCTGCCCTACAGTTGGGTAAGCAAATAGAGGTTCAAAACTGCAAACAAACAACAACAAAAAAGTTGAAGTAGAAGTAAGATCAATCAATTGTGACCTAAAAGCAAAAGAGCTTTAGTATTGAAGTTGAAACAGCTGTTGGGGAGTAAGGCAAAGATAAATTCACAAAGAGGTAGGTGAATAAGGAAGATGGGCGCACAGAATCTAAATATATTCTAATCTCAGAAAAAAAAAAACTCATCACAATTCATGCATTTTTTTTAGTCCAAAGGAATATTCATTAATATCTACAAGGATTATTTTTGTCTTTGCAAATAATAGTACTCTGAGAAAAAGACTGCCTTCCTGAAATCCTTTGACTTCTGGAATTGCTCACTTAACAGGCATTTCAAAGTCTATTAGATAGAACACTTGGAGATCATATAGTTTCTACTCTGTTTTATAGATTAGGAAACTGAGGCACATTAGAGGAGCTGGGACCCTGTCATCTGATCTTAGTTCAGTGTCCAGAGCCCATGGCCCAAAACTAATAGAAAAAGAAAAAAAAAATACAGAAAATGCCTCACTCTTCCTTTGAGTCTAAAATGACTGGGATGCTTAGTTTAACTTGTCTGTAGAAGTTAGCAATACTTCTAGAAATACATTAAATATCACTTGGGATATTTTATTTATTTAAATTTATATTTGTCAGCACTGAAAATGAAAAAAGTAAGCTGTGACAAGCTAATGTGAAAGTTATCATTTTAAAATATTCAGTTTGACATATTTCCATAAAAGCAAGCTGTTCATAACTGCAGATTTATGGATTATGTCTCAATGTTGTGTGTCACTGAAATCTGCAGTTTAAAACTCAGCAATAGGAAGGAAGCTGGTCATCGTTAGGTGATGATAATGTACATCAAATTTGAAATTTTTTTCAGGGACAGGAGGAAAGGGTAGACATGAGTGGGTACGAATTCCAAAACAGCACGTGCCTGTGTTTCCAATGATGTATTGCTTGCTTGTCAAAGCCATTAGACAAAGTAGCTCTCCTTAGAACTAAATTGAAAACTATGTATACATATTTGCAATACTAATGTTCAAAGCCCATAACTCTTAAACTGTGTGCAAAAGAAAGCATTTAGTGAATTTCTACCCATGATCATGTGTATATGCATACATGTTTATTCTTTTTTTTCTTTTCTTAAATTAAATAGAATGTAATATATCAGGCTTGCTAAATAATCATTGTCTAAGAAAAATTACTCTTTTCCATGCACTAATAATTATGGCTCAGATTTTCAGTGGCCAAAATTATTTATAAAGTGAGGTTGTAACTTGAGGTAATTTTCTAGTTAATTCAGATCAGTAAAAATAAAGTTTGAAAGTATAAAAAAAAATAAAAATTATTGTGATTGCTTGTATACACCGATTAAATTCATCAAACGTTTGCTTAACTTATTATATCATTGTTTTAAGCAGTGACTGTTATGCCATCATGGTCAATACCATGTTGCTTTGAAGGTAGGTCAGACTGTCCAGTGCTCATCTCTGTATATCCTCTGCTAACGTGCCAAGAACTATTTGAGGGATCTGTGAGCAAGCTCTGCTGGCAACAGTTTAGGTTAATGGTTCTCAATGGAACGGTATAGTGTCTCTAAGGGGATACTTTGACATATGTAGGAATTATTTTTGTTTTTCAATGGTGTTGGAGGTAGTACTAGTCTTACTAGACAGGAGCCACAAGAAAGTATTGACTTAAAATATCCTACTAGAAATTCATAATTCCCTTTTGTTAAAGACTATTTTTTAGATGAGTTTTAGGTTCACAGCAAAATGGAGAGGAAAGTATAGCGATTTCCCATATAGTCCCTGCTCCCAAACATGCAAAGCCTCCTCCATTATCAGCGTCTCCACGAAAGTGGTACATTTGTTACAACTGATGAACCTACATTGACATACATACATCATTATCACTCAAAGTCCATCGTTTACATCATGGTTCACTCCTAGTGTTGTACATTCTCTGGGTTTGGACAAATGCATAATGACATGTATCCATCATTATAGTATCAGAGTAGTTTTACTGCCCTAAAAATCTTCTGTTCCTTACCTATTCATTACTAGCTCCCTTCTCACCCCTGTCAATCACTGACCATTTTATTGTCTCATAATTTTGCCTTTTCCAGAATCTCATAAATTTGGAATCATACAGTATGTGTCCTTTTTCAGATTTGCTTTTTTCACTTAGTAATATGCATTTACATTTTCTCTATAGTTTTTCGTGTCTTAAATATGTTAAAAAGCAATAAGTGCTGTTGGAAAAAAAAAAGAAAAGAAGCAAGCAGGATAAGAGCAACATGGAACGCCAAACATGGGAAGAGGGCAAATATTGCACTTTAAAATAAAGGGGTCTTGAAAGGCTTAATTGAGAAGGTGACATTCATGAAAGGCTTGAAGGAGGTTGAGACATGAGGATAGTTTAGAATAAACATGTCCTTAGGATATGCCCTTGTATTAGTCTGTTCTCACACTGCTAATAAAGACATACCCAAGACCAAGTAATTTGTAAAGGAAAGAGGTTTAATTGACGCACATTTCCACAGGGCTGGGGGACCTCACAGTCATGGTGGAAGGCAAGGAGTAAGAAAGCCACCTGATACATCAAAGCAGGTAAGAGAGAATAAGAGGCAGGCAAAAGGGGTTTTCCCTTATGAAACCATCAGATCTCATGAGACTTATTCACTACTATGAGAACAGCATGGGGGAAACCACCCCCATGATTCAATTATTTCCCACGAGGTACCTTCCACAATACATGGGAATTATGGGAGCTGCAATTCAAGATAAGATTAGGATGGGGACACAGCCAAACCATATCATCCCTTACCTGGCTCCTCCCAAATCTCATGTCCTCACATTTCAAAACCAATCATGCCTTTCCAACAATCCCCCAAAGTCTTAATTCATTTCAGCATTAACTCAAAAGTCCACAATCCAAAGTCTCATCTGAGACAAGGCAAGTCCCTTCCATCTATGAGCCTGTAAAATCAAAAGCAAGTTAGTTACTTCCTATATAAAAGGGTAGTACAGGCATTGGGTAAATGCAGCCATTCCAAATGGGAGAAATTGGCCAAAACAAAGAGGCTACAGGCAACATGCATGTCCAAAATCCAGCAGGGTAGTCAAATCTTACAGCTCCAAAATGATCTCCATTGACTCCATGTCTCACATTCAGGTCATGTTGATGCAAGAGGTGGGTTCCCATGGTCTTGAGCAGCTCTGCCCCTGTGGCTTTGCAGGGTACAGCCTCCCTCCTGGCTGCCTTCACAGACTGGTATTGTGTCTGCAGCTTTTCCAGGTGGATAGTGGAGGCTGTCAGTGGATCTACCATTCTGGGTTCTGCAGGAGGGTGACCCTCTTCTCACAGATCTACTAGGCAGTGCCCCAGTGGGAGACTCTGTGTGGGAGTTTCAACCCCATAGTTCCCTTCCATACTGCCCTAGCAAAAGTTCTCCGTGAGGGCGCCACCCCTGCAGCAAATTTCTCCCTGGATATCCAGATGTTTCCGTACATCCTCTGAAATCTAGGCAGAGGTTCCCAAATCTCAATTATTGACTTCTGTGCACCTACAGGCTCAATACCATGTGGAAGCTTCTAAGGCCTGGGACTTGCACCCTCTGAAGCCACAACCCAAGCTGTACCTTGGACTCTTTTAGCCATGGCTAGAGTGGCTGGGATGCAGGGCACCAAGTCCCTAGGCTGCACACAGAAGTGGGGCCCTGGGCCCCGTGAGCTCAGAAAATCATTTTCTCCTCGGAGTCGTCCAGCCCTGTTATGGTAGGGGCGGCTGTGAAGTTCTCTGACATGCCCTGGAGGCATTTTCCCAATTGTCTTGGCAATTAACATTTGTCTCCTCGTTACTTCTGCAAATTTCTGCAGCTGGCTTGAATTTCTCCCCAGAAAATGGGTTTTCTTTTCTATTGCAACATCAGGCTGCAAATTTTCCAAACTTTTATGCTCTCCTTCCTCTTGAATGCTTTGCTGCTTAGAGACTTCTTCCGCCAGATACTCTAAATCATCTATTTCAAGTTCAAAGTTCCACAAATCTCTAGGTCAGGGGCAAAATGCCGCCAGTCTCTTTGATAAAGCATAACAAGAGTGACCTTTGCTCCAGTTCCCAACAAGTTCCTCATCTCCACTTGAGACCACTTAAGCCAGGACTTCCTGGTCCATATCACTATCAGCATTTTGGTGAAAGCCATTCAACAAGTCTCTAGGAAGTTCCAAACTTTCCCACATTTTCCTGTCTTCTTCTGAGTCCTCCAAATTGTTCCAACCTCTGCCTGTTCCCCAGTTCCAAAGTTGCTTCCACATGTTTGAGTATCTTTACACAGCACCCCACTCTACTGGTACCAATTTACTATATTAGTCTGTTCTCACACTGCTAATAAAGACATGCCCGAGACTGGGTAATTTATAAAGGAAAGAGGTTTAATTGACATGCAGTTCCACATGGCTGGGGAGGAAGGCAAGGAGGAGCAAAGCCAGTGTTAATGGCAATAGGCAAAGAGAGAATAAGAGCCAAGCAAAAGGGGTTTCCCCGTATTAAACCATCAGATCTCATGAGCCTTATCTACCACAAGAACAGTATGGTGGAAACTACCCCTATGATTCAATTATCTCTGACTGCATCCCTCCCTCAGCACATGGGAATTATGGGAGCTACAAGTGAAGATGAGATTTTGGTTGGGACACAGCCAAACCATATCAGCCCTCTTTCTTCTGTACTTTCTCTTTCAGTAACATTTTCTCTTGGTTCTCTCTCCTTCCTCATCCTTAATGGTTTTCTCACCCTTTCTTTTCTGTTGGTTTTCTATGTTTCTTCTAGGCTGCACACTGGCTATTACAGGCCATCTTAAGTATTGCTTAGGTCCTTTAAGATTAAAGAGGTTGCTGGCCCACTGTTTAAAATAGATTTACACCAATTAAAGCTGTTAATAATTTTGAGAGCACCAATCTTTCTTGTGTGGTCACATGAACTCTGAGGCTATATGCTGTTTGAGGGTGTGATCAATTTTGCCTCAAAACTGAAGTAATCCACCTTCAGTCTCCTCACCCTGTTACTCCCTCAGTGTCTGCTTAGACCTCTCCTCATAGAATGTCCTCAAAAGGCTTCTGATGAGTTTATTTTAGCTTCACCTATAGAGCTGAAAAATAAAGCACCACTATTAGAGTTAAGTGGATGATGTAATTCCGATACTTCTCTCTCTCAAACACACACACACACACACACACACACACACACACACACACACACATGCACACACACATATATGTGCACCCAACAACAGCAATAATAAAAGACGTGGCTATGTAGAAGTCAGCCAATTGCTCCCAAATTTTATTTTGTTTTCAAAAAAACCATGTTCATAATTCTGTCTCCTGGGACACAAAAAGTAAGATGAAAGAGAGATCTTGCAGGAACTTTATATTTCAGATGTATGAAAGAGTCCCAAAGTAATAAGTAGACACCCATAACTAAGATTAGTATTTTAAATATTGGAGGAATTTTGGAGACTGGCTGTATACACAAAATTTAGAGTTTATGTTGGGTTTCCAGCAGTCAATATTGTCTTACACATAAGAAGCAGTATCCCAAAGTGATTCTGTTATTGTTTGCTTTAATGTGTAAGTGTACAACAAAAAATAACACCCTTCATTTCTTTTCCAAAACACTTGTTTTTGTTAAGTCAGTAATGTACTCAACATGCTTAATGGTTTGCAATAAACATGAAGCTTCCTATCCAATAATCTTCCCCTGTCAATTTATGGGAGGTGTTTTTTTAATTATTATTATACTTTAAGTTCTGGGGCACATGTGCAGAACGTGCATGTTTGTTGCATAGGTATACATGTGCCATGGTGGCACCCATCAACCTGTCAGCTACATTAGGTATTTCTCCTAATGTTATCCCTCGCCTAGTCCCCCACCCCTCATAGGCCCTAGTGTGTGGTGTTCCCCTCCCTGTGTCCATGTGTTCTCATTGTTCAACTCCCACTTATGAGTGAGAACATGTGGTGTTTGGTTTTCTGACCTTGTGATACTTTGCTGAGAATGATGGTTTCTAGCTTCATCCATGTCCCTGCAAAGGGCATGAACTCATCCTTTTTTATGGCTGCATAGTATTCCATGCTTTATATGTGCCACATTTTCTTAATCCAGTCTATCGTTGATGGACATTTGGGTTGGTTCCACGTCTTTGCTACTGTGAACAGTGCTGCACTAAACATGCATGTGCATGTGTCTTTATCATAGAATGATTTATAATCCTTTGGGTATATGCCCAGTAATGGGATTGCTGGGTCAAATAGTATTTCTAGTTCTAGATCCTTGAGGAATCGCCACACAGTCTTCCACAATGGTTGAACTAATTTACACTCCCACCAACAGTATAAAAGCATTCCTATTTTTCCACTACCTCTCCACCATCTGTTGTTTCCTGACTTTCTAATGATCTCCATTCTAACTGGCATGAGATGGTATCTCATTGTGGTTTTGATTTGCATTTCTCTAATGAACAGTGATGATGAGCATTTTTTCATATGTCTGTTGGCTGCCTAAATGTCTCCTTTTGAGAAGTGTCTGTTCCTATCCTTTGCCCATTTTTTGATGGGGTGGTTTGCTTTTTTCTTGTAAATTTGTTTAAATTCTTTGTAGATTCTTGATATTAGCCCTTTGTCAGATGGATAGATTGCAAAAATTTTCTCCCATTCTATAGGTTGCCTGTTCAGTCTGATGATAGTTTCTTTTGCTGTGCAGAAGCTCTTTAGTTTAATTAGATCAATGGGAGGTGTTTTGTAGAAACAGGAACGGTTGCCTCTTATCCGTGCCACTTTTGTGTGTGGCTGACAAGCAAATATCAAGAGCACTGCATATATCAAGGCCATTGTCCTTGGCCAAGGACAAAGTGTTTGTTCTTGATAAGGTCCCTAACTGGGTGACCTTAAATAATTTCCTTAAATTCTGTGAGTCTCAGTTTTCTTATATCTAAAGTAGGACTAATAATTTCCCCAGAGCATAAATCAGGAGTTTTGGGGAGAACTAAGGGAGATTATATTTAGAGGTACTTTGAAGCTAGAAGTTGCTAAATAAATATTAGGCATGATTATGAAGGATTACTGTTTATTTAATGCAAGAATAATAGAAATAATACTGTTTGCACTGGTTACATTTATTGTGTTGAAAACATCTTTGCCAGGACTTCATGGCAAGTTGTCAACACACATATACATAACACCAAAGTTATTGCAATCTTTCATATTTTCTCCTGCAATTGTGTTTCATGGAATATTATCTTTTCTAGCAGGTATTTCTTCCTCAGTCGTCACTACTGAAATACCTGAACCATAATACAGGAATAATCACTGATGTTTTTACTGACATGCTTTGCACAAGCTTATCAGAATATATACTTATTTAACAGGAAGTAAATATAACAAATCTTACTATTCAGAAAGAACTTGAAATACTTGCCCCGTGACCCTAATATTTCAAGTATTGGCAGGCAATACTCAGTCAATATTCTTTTTAATAATCTAGCTCAGTCAGTGCCTTGAGTCGTTTACCCAAGTTCCTCAGCTGTCAAATTTACTCATCATCGTTCCAGGATTTACAAGAAAGTATATGTCTCTGAGGGTCTTTCTTCAACTTTGTGCTGTGCAGTCTGGCACATTATGATATAAGCTGTTTACATCTCATAACCTTCTGTGCGAGAGAAAAAGAGAAACACTGCTTCCCTTATGTTCTCTGCATGTTACTGTCTTCTTCTTCACTTTTGTGACTTTTCTTTTGATGATATGGTAGTTGCTTCTGGCCTTCCTTGAGGGTGTATGATCCCAAGAAACATTCCAACCCAACATGGTCCCTATTTAATCTCAACTTGTATAAACATGCATCATGGTTTTGCTTGATTGTGATCTCGTATTCTGTTGGTATATGTAATTCTACTTGTGGTTACATGCTTATATAAGCTGTAAGGTTGGATCTTAATCCATATAGATTCCTATCAGTTATCAAGGCCATCTTTAGAGCACGAAGCTATCTCCAATCCAGCACAGAACAGATATTTGCCTATGGGTCCTGTTAAAATTAACCTTCCTCTGCCATTCAAATGAAGGCAACACAGTTATCCTTTAATTGGACCAGATGTTCTGAAGTGGCAATAAAAGTTCCAACTAAACAGAGTGATTTAGATGACAAAATAAATTTGAGGCCTTCCACTGTGAACTCAATTAAAAGATGCTATGTTTTTGTTTGAGAAGAGTTTGTCAGCTGCACAAAAAAATGATTGCAATGCTATGACAAATCAAAAGACGCTTTTGCCCAGAATTATATGTGTCCTGCATGCAGGCATATACCTATCTGTGTTATACTGTGGAAAATCTCAAATTGTAAGTCACAAAAATGAAGCGATGGACTTAAAAGCTTTATCTGCACTCTGGACTGCTGAAAATAGAGAGAATCTTCCCAATTCTCTGGCAAGATTTGATTACTCACCTCAGTCAACATGTCACATGATGAATACTGTGCATTTTCAAAAGCAAGTAGTTGAGTTTGAAATAAGGGCACTTAAGCCAGGCACTTTGGTCTGAGTCTCACCAAAATAGATGTTGCTGGCTTAGGCTTGGTGAAAGGTTGACAACTGTATTAGTCCATTCTCACACTGCTATGAAGAAATACCTGAGACTGGGTAATTTACAAAGGAAAGTGGTTTAATTTACTCGCAGTTCCACGGAGCTGGGGAGGCCCCAGGAAACTTACAATCAGGGTGAAAGGGAAGCAAACACTTCCTTCTTTACATGGTGGCAGCTAGAAGAAGAATGAGAACTGAGCAAAGGGGAAAGCCCCTTATAAAACCATCAGACCTCATGATACATTACTCACTATCACGAGAATAGCATGGGAGAACTGCCCCCACTATTCAATTACCCCCCACTGGGTCCCTGTCTCCACACGGGGGGATTATGGGAACTACAATTCAATATGAGAATTGAGTAGGGACACAGACAAACCATATGATTCCACCCTGGCCTCTCCCACATCTCATGTCCTAACGTTTCAAAACACAATCATGCCTTTCCAACGATTTCCCAAAGTCTCAACTCGTTCTAGCATTAACCCAAAAGTCCAAGTCCAAGGTCTTATCTGAGAGAAGGCAAGCCCCTTCCACCTATGAGCCTGCAAAATCAAAAGCAAGTTAGTTACTTCCTACATACAATGGACCCCCATTGTATGGCATTGGGTAAATACACCAGCTCCAAATGGAAGAATTTGGCCAAAACAAAGGGGCCACAGGCCCCATGCAAGTCCCTCCTAGGACTCTGGGTCTGTGATGGGAGGGGCTGCTGTGAAGGTCTCTGACAAGTCCTTGAAACATTTTCCCCATTTTTGGTGATTAACATTTGGCTCTTTGTTACTTATGCAAATTTCTGAAGCTGGCTTGAATTTTTCCCCAGAAAATGAGGTTTTCTTTTCTATCGCATTGTCAGGCTGCAAATTTTCCAAATTTTGGGGCTCTGCTTTCTCTTGAATGCTTTGCCACTTAGAATTTTTTTTTTTTTTTTTTTTTTTTTTTTTTTTTTTTGCCAAATACCCTAAATCATCTCTCTCAAGTTCAAAGGTCCACAGATCTCTGGGGCAGAGGCAAAATGTCACTAGTTCCCAATAAGTTCCCCATCTCCATCTGAGACCACCTCGACCTGGACTTTATTTTCCATATCACTATTATCATTTTGGTAAAAGCCATTCAATAAGTCTCTAGGAAGTTCCAAACTTTCCCACATTTTCCTGTCTTCTTCTGAGTGCTCCAAATTGTTTCAATCTCTGCCTGTTAATCTAGTTCCAAAGTCACTTCCACATTTCCGGGTAACTTTTCATTAGCACCACACTCTCTGCAGTACCAATTTACTGTATTAATCCGTTCTCATGCTGCTATGAAGAAATACCCAAGACTGGGTAATTTATGGAGGAAAGAAGCTTGATTTACTCACAGTTCTGCAGGGCTAGGGAGGCCTCAGGAAATTTGCCATCGTTTCGGAAGGGGAAGCAAACTCATCCTTCTTCACACGGCAGCAGCAAGGAGAAGAAGAATGAGAACGTAGCAAAGGGGGAAGCCCCTTATAAAACCATCAGACTTCATGAGAACGTATTCTCACAAGAATAGCATGGAGGAAATCGTCCCCATGATTCAATTACCTCCCACCAGGCCCCCCGCTATGCAATGTGGAGATGATGAGAACTATAATTGACGATGAGATTTGGGTGGGGACACAGCCACACCATATCATTCCTTTTTAACTTTTTGCCTGAAAAATATAGGCATTGAGGAGGCTGAAAATACCCTGTCATCAGTTCCCCTCGACAATTGACATTATTTCAAATGGTGGCTGATTTAGGCAATTTAAGATTTAGTTTCTGCCGTGTTCACCTGGATCTAGGGTCCCTGAGGCATTCATGCCTATTGTATTTGAGTGTTGTCTTTATTTTGCTAATGCAACCAAGAAGACATTACACTTGTTCTTATCATACAGATATTTTAAAAGCAAGTTAGTAAGACAGTCATTATATATGAGAAAATGTAGCTGAATTTTCTATGTATTAGATACAGTTTGAACAGTCATTAGCAACATGCTACAAAGTTACTCTGTCATAATATGTACTTCTACTAATAATATGGCAGGCATGCCATTTCCTTAGTCTATTAAAATATTTTTTGATTCCACTGTGGATACCTGAACATCATCTCCTTATGATTCGTCATATAAGCACTCACAATGTAAGCAACTAACAACACACAAATGGATTTTGTTTGCAAAATTCATTTGCATTCATCACAACTAACATTTGCACAGCATTTTAGAAAGCTATGGTACACATGCTGCATTCTTGGACTCTTACAATTCTTCTCTGAGGGATGGATGGTGGATATTGTATTATCAGAGTCATTGGGTTGGCTAAGGGGTATGCGACGGCCTGCATTATTTCCACTCTGTTCTGCTTCTATGAATTAATTATAGCAGAATCAGTTATAAGTTGTGGTTGAAAACCTCACATTATAAATATTTAAAATATTAAAAATTTCAACAAATTGCATATGTATTGACCTAAAAAACAATTAGTTAAAGCTGTATACCACTTTAGCTACAGTATTATTGACCCTTTCATGGCATTGATTAGTGAAACATGTAATCATATCCCTAAAATAACCACTGAAAATAGTTTGAATCAAAATGTTGACAACTGGCAATGTGGGGAATATCCTGCTGTGAATTGAGATCTCAGCGTAAAAAATTCCACCTGCCATCCTGAATAATTTTGTCAGCTCCATTTCGTTTATTTCAGTAACTATTTTCTCTGCTATTCAAGATTTTAGTGGTTAGGTGGGGCTAGGAAAGTAGAAGTTGCAACTTAAACATTTTCCACATATAGGTTATTCTCTGCCCTGCATATTTTTCAATTTTACTTACATCTGTCTTCAATAATCCATTTTTTTTTTGAGACAGAGTCTCACTCTGTCGCCAGGCTGGAGTGCAGTGGCACGATCTCGGCTGTCTGCAACCTCTGCCTCCCAGGATCAAGCGATTCTCCTGCCTCAGCCTCGCGAATAGCTAGGACTATAGGTGTGTGCTGCCACGTCTGGCTAATTTTTGTAGTTTCAGTAAAGACAGGGTTTCACCATGTTGGCCAGGGTGGTGTCAAACTCCTGACCTCGTGATCCTGCCGCCTCAGCCTCCCAAAGCTCTGGGATTACAGGCGTGAGCCACCATGCCTGGCCCAATTATCAATTTTTTAAACAATGGATATTATTATTTTAAAATCACACAAAACCCAAGTATTAAAACCTACCTTTAAGAATGTTGGAGGTATCTTTTTTCTTGGGATTTAATTTTATATTACATGTGTTTACAAAGTTTGTAATTCTTTTTTATTCTGGCTTTGTATTGTATTTGAACATTTCTCATGAAAATTACATCTATTCATGACTACATATTAAATACAACCAGTTAGAAAATACAAAAGTATTCCACTAATGAAAACAAAAATAAAAAATACATAAAATTTAATTTAAGATAAACTATGCCGTCTTTCATTTAAACAGCACAGAACTTTACAAAGCCTAAATAAATGGGCTGGATTACTGTTAGTCAGAGGGCCAGTAAGAAATCAAAGAAGGACTCAGCTGGGACTTCAAACATATTTTAATCAGAGGACTACTGAGAGTTGTGCACAGGGTTAAGGGAAGCAGTAATGAATGTTGGGATACATAGAGACTAACAGAATGTTGAGATAACATAGAGACTGACAAAAGTGTGGAGCCATTACCACATCAAGATCTGAAAGGGAAAGGGACAAGAGCAGCTTTATGAGAGCCTGGTTAGAGAGATGGAGTTGAGGAGAAGAGATGTGGTCAGGAAGCAGGGGAAACTTAGCCACTTCCAGAAACATGGCACTGTAGCAAGAGGAGCCGTGAGAAAAAATCTTTTACCATCCCGCATGTTTTTTCAGTTCTTTACCTTGGCTGAACCTAACCAGAAGTCAGATGGAAAGGAAGCCTGAACTATAGAGTCTCCTGACAGAAAGCAGTGTAGAAATGGGTAGACCATAAGGGATGGGGTAAGCACAAACATGGACTAACCAAGACAGGTGTAAAGATCAATTATTCTAAAGATGTCAACTCTCTACCAATTTAATTTAGAAATGTAACACACTCTCAAAGTACCAATTGGAAAAATGTTTTCAGAGGGAAGAAAAGAACTTGATGAAATTTCTTCTGAAGTTTATTGCTAAAGAATGAAATCATTCAAGAAAATATTGAGGGCAAATAAAACAATAATGAGAGGAAAATTTTTCCTACTAGATAATAAAATACATTATAGAGCAGGCTCGTTAAACAGACTAGAACATCTGTATGCATTTCTTCACTTAATTAATAATAATGAATATTTATTATTTGTCAGGCACAGAGATGAGTGCTGAGTATGAATTTGTGAATTCAATGAACAGGGACCCTGGATTTTTGGTATATTCAGGCTTAGAAACCAGGAAAAGATTAACACAGGAAGAAAAAGGGGAGCAAGCATTTCATAAAGAATAACTATATATGACGGATAAACATATGGGGAAAAAGACAATCAAACAAATGCAAAATAAAGAAAGATGTACCTTTGAAACTGACAGAGATGACAAGAGAAAGGTGAATCCCAGAAATGCAGGGTCCAGGAAGACGTCTTGTCTCATAAAATTTTACATGCTGGCTCCAGAACTGTTCTGTATTGTGCAATATAAACTTTATTTTAAAATGAGCATCTCTTTTGTCCTAGCAAATATTCCTCTAATAATGTGTTTATATCAGCCAGGAAAAAAATTCAAGTAAGCAGAGCCAGGAAATTAGTTATAAAAGTATTAGAATAGCTGAAAAGACAAACAGGACAGTGAGACAATGGGCCACAGGGCAGAGATGTTGTTGGCACAGCCTAGACCATTGATGGGAACTGAGGTCACAAAGGTAGAGGTTATGCAGGAGCTGGAAACAACACAGGAGCAGCGCTAACTGCCAGAGACCCCCTGAAATGGACAGAGAGAGGGAAAAATGTTCTGCCTACTCTCCCTTTTCTACTCTCCACCTTCCTCTAGTATCTCCCACTAACTATAACTACCTGGAAGCCCATTGACAAGGGAGCTGGAAAATGCAGTTTTCAGGGATTAGACTTCTCTCCATTCCCCTGATTCCCCTTCCCTGTGCCACGTGTCATGCAGAGCTGAGCAGGGAAAGGGAGAGAAACATACAGGAGGGCAAATACATAAGTGGACTTGCAGTACCCTTACGGAAGGAATTGAAGAGCTTCGCTAAAATGTAGGTACTGTAAGTTTTTCAACTTTCTTCTTAGTGATGAGGAAAATATAAAAACGATGCCATAAAGTAACATTTTAGTTTATTTTAAATGGCTATAAAACTATATATAGAATCTGTGATGCTATGGAATAATATTATTTATTTTGAAAAACTATATATGTGTGTGTATGTGTATATGCCTAATATATATGTATACACACATATACCTATGTATGTTTGGGTGCGTGTATGATAATAATAATAATAATAATAACAACAAGGAACAGTGGAGGACGTGAAAAGGAGATTGGGAATGGAAAGTCACCAGATCATTTACACAGACTGTTGCTAGGTGTTATTTTAGATTATTTCCTTTTCTTTCTCTTTTTAATTTTCTTTTTTATTTTGATTTTCAGTTCCGGGGTACATGTGCAGGATGTGCAGATTTGTTACATAGGTAAATGTGTGTCATGGTGGTTTGCTGCACCTATCAAGCTATCACCGAAGTATGAAGCCCAGCATGCATTAGCTATTTTTCCTGATACCCTCCCTCCCCCTACACCCCCCTGACAGGCCCCAGTGTGTGTTGTTCCCCTCCCTGTGTCCATGTGTTGTCATTGTTCGGCTCCCACTTACGAGTGAGAACATGCGATGTTTGGTTTTCTGTTCCTGAGTTAGTTTGCTGAGGATGACAGCATTTAATTTTCCATGCTTTCCTATAATGTCCAAAAATTATTTTATATATATATATAATATATACCTATACTATATACATACCTACATATTCTTTGTATTAAAAAATAATATAACTTTTTTCTTCTAAACGTTTTAATTTTTTTACATTTATAGGTATATAAAATTATTTATTTGCTCACTTTCTGTTGGACACTTAAGCTGATTCCAACACTCCCCTACAAAAAGCAATATCTTGTCACAAAGAGAGGTTAAGTTTTTATGAAGGCTTGTAGATATATTTCTTTTCTCAGCCCCTTCCCAATTAAAGGAATTCTTGTGAAATTCATGAGATGAGTTTTCTTTCCATATGAGAACGCATTCTCTACAGTAATACTTAACTATGACAATACATTTGAATCACCTGGGCAGCTTTTTCAAAGTACCATCACTTAGGATACACAGAAAACCAATTGAATCAGAATCTCTAGGGGTTGCATCTTGGAATTCAGTAATTTTTTTTTTTTTTTTTGTGATGGAGTCTCGCTCTGTCGCCCAGGCTGGAGTGCAGTGGTGCAATCTCGGCTCACTGCAAGCTCCGCCTCCCGGGTTCACGCCATTCTCCTGCCTCAGCCTCCTGAGTAGCTGGGACTACAGGCGCCCGCCACCACACCCGGCTAATTTTTTGTATTTTTAGTAGAGACGGGGTTTCACCGTGTTAGCCAGGATGGTCTCGCTCTCCTGACCTCGTGATTCGCCCGCCTCGGCCTCCCAAAGTGTTGGGATTACAGGCGTGAGCCACCGCGCGTGGCCGGAATTCAGTAAATTTTAAAAGTTACCTAGATGACTTCCGCATGCAGTTGAGGTAAAAACTCCTGCTTCAGGTTTGCAAGTAGAACAGAACTGAATGTATTCTAGAATGCGGGGCAATACTCACACTTAAACAGAAATTCAGTTTCCCCAAAATAGATGTCACTAGCCAAATTAAATAGAATACACCCACTGATACAATGACAATTAGAAGCGGAACAGGGAGTTGCATAACTATGTAAATTTATTAGAGTAGGTTTAAGATAAATGTTTTTAAATAATTATGGCAGGCCCAAGATGACCCAATATGTCAGTAAAAGCCTGAACAGTACGTGTTAATTAAATAGTGATTTAATAAGATCCTCCTGCCTTTTATTAAAAAAACTGATATTCCATGGTTTCTGGTCCAAAGAGTTTATTGGAGTAAAAGCTAAGGTGTGTAAAAGCTTATGAAGTAAGGCTTCAGGACCTTACTTCATAAGTAATCAACTTATTTGAAGAACCAGTTGCTGATTAGGTTAGGCAGCAGCCAAATAAAGCCTTGAATCTTTCAGAAGCAAAAGGTATACATTCCTTTTAGAATGTAAAAAATCTTAATTCCTATGAGGACCACTTTATAATTTCCAAGTCATTTTAAATTCGTTTAACCTGATGCATGTATTTTCCAGGAGCTTTTGATCCAAGTGGGCTCTATTTAATAGTTCTTTGCTTTGCAGAACATCTCAACGCTATAGAAGCGTTAGTGCTTAATCTCAACTTTTATAAAATGGAGTGTTTTTTGTGTGGAAATAAGATCATAAATACAAAATGAAAATATTTCTTTCTCCCATCGTCTTAGATTCACATGAAAGAATTCCTCTAGCTGCCACTCAGTTTTCATATGAAAAAGATGTCAGTAATCATCCATTCTGAATGTGAGTTCTGTTAGAATTCTGAGGACTTCACTGACATTATTTTTATTCCTACTGTATTGCTCTCACATGCAATAATGGCTTGTTTGTCTATACGCAGCATCTACTCATGGAACAACCGGCTTTGTCTTATCTATCTAAATCTTATGTATTAGTCCATTCTCACATGGCTATAAGGACATACCTGAGACTGGGTAATTTGTAGAGGAAAGATGTTTAATTGACTCACAGTTCTGCATGGCTGGGGAAGCCTCAGGAAACTTACAATCATGGTGGAAGTCACCTATTCACAGATTGACAGGAGAGAGAATAAGTGCCAGCAGGGGGAATGCCACGTGCTATTAAACCATTAGATCTCATGAGAACTCACTGACTATCACAAGAACGGCATAGGGGAGATCACCCCAATGATTCAATTACCTCCCACTGGGTCCCTCCCATGACACGTGGGAGTTATGAGAAATACAATTCAAGATGCAGTTTGGGTGGAGAGTCAGCCAAACCATATCACCTTATCTCTCTAGAGAGTCACTTGTATATAGTAGAAAAAACGGACTTTCAAAGTCCACAACTTTCACTGAACCTCAGCTCCATGTCTTGAATGTGTTAATTTCGGTAAGCTATTTAAAATCTCTGAGCCTCAGCTTCCTCATTTGTGAAATAGAGAGGATATTACTAGTTGACTTTTGGGTATTTATGAGCTTTTAAAATAAAAATATGCATGAAAAGCATTATGTGCGATACCTGGAATATACAAGCAACTCCCAAGCTGTTAAATTTCTACCTAATTCTGTTACCCAAATATGGCTGGAGAAATTGATCTGGAGACAGTGACATAGCTCAGGGGGAGGAAGGTATTCTAGTCAGACTGATCTTCGGGACGTCTCTCAAATCATCCCTATTGAAAGGGCAGGCTTTCTAAATTCTGAGTTGACCTTGCCACCGTCAGGCTCACATTTTTATGTCACTCTCTAATCTTTTGCCTTGATATATAAGTGACATGTTTTCCTAGTTGGATTTTGAACTTCTTCAAATTAGATGTTATCTTTTGTTGTTTACCATCCTTCAGATTTATTGGAATTTTGCTAGGCATTCAGTAAATTCATACTAAATACTTGCCTATAAAGAAATACAGAATTTTGGGGCTGGTAGGGACCTTTAAATCAATTCGTACAATGACTTTATTTTACAAATGAGAAAGGTATGGCTCAGAGATGTTACAAAGTGTGCTCAATGTTGCACAGCTAGAAAACGGCAGAGCCAGTATTTAAACTCCTGACTGCCTTATTCCCTTGACAATGCTGCTTTCATTACCCAATATTTTTTCTTAACATGATGAATTTAATGTATTTGAAATTGTAGCTTAGCAACGTCTCAGTATTTTGGAGAAAAAAAAATCTTCTCTTGGTCACATCATTTATCTAGACTAATGGTTTTCACACATTAGCTTGCTTTTAGAATCATCTAGAAGGCTTTTAAAGCACAGAATGTGGAGTCCTACTGCCAGAATTTTTGATGCTGTATGTCTAGGTGTGGTCCCAAGATTGTGCATTTCTAACAAATTCCCAGGTGATGTTGATGCCTCTGATCCAGAGATTTCAGAAACAGCCTTATCCTGAGATCATCTTTCTTTTACTCAAAATAAGATTACTGAACACCTTTTATGTAAGTACATGGTGCTACAGATGATCCAAAAATGTACGAGACCCATTATTTGCCTTTAAAGTGGCCCTGTGACCTCAAACAAAAGGAAGAGGTCACTTCCAGGAAGGGCTGGGAATGAGTGGTGATTTTAGAAATGGTGGGCTTGAAGAGGCCACAGTATAACTTTAGATGTGTTTTAGAAATAACTATATTGACCAGCTTTTGTTCATTCCCAACATGAATCTAATAACTTTGGAAACAGATAAGTAACTTCTGACATGCTAATTATTTTTAATATAAACCTGTGGTTTAATATGACGTGGTATATATTTTTTCAAATTCATTTTTCATCTGAGATATTATTAATTACATTGGTGTTTGAGGTCTGAGGAAATAATAAACAATCTCTGTAAGTGGGAAAAGACATTCTGTATGCTGGAATTTCTGCCAATTCATTTGGCAGAAGTGGAGGTAATTCCAAACATGGTGGACCCATTGACTAATACATAAAGCAAGTTAATGATTTTAGCGAGGATTTTCTTTTGGCTGTCTTTTGGACATCTATAACAAGGTTCAGTGGATGCCAAGAGGTGGTATACATGATCCTTAGGGGATCCTGATTCCCATAAAACTGTATGAAAAATGTCTGGGTACAAATTTGCATTTTTTTTTTCTGGAATAGGGGCTCTAATAGCTTTCTTTAGATTCTCAAAGGAGTTACCCACTTTCTTAATCTTGTTATGGGAAACCAGAACAAAAAAGCAGAAGAATTATAACCCAAGAACTTCGACTTTACTTTTGTCCTTTTGTCCCACCTATCTTCACCATATGTATGACAGATCTGCTTTCATATTGATTTCATGGAGGGCAGGTAGAGAAACAGAAACATTAGGAGAGAGAAAGTCACGCCCAGAGGCAGCGTAAATCTTCACTAACTGCATCCTCATCCGGATTAGTTGCTTGCTGATCTCATATGCTCACTTAATCTCTTTTCATCTGACATTAAGGTTTTAGCTTATGTAGATAATTGATAACCAGAGCACCAAGAAACTTCCCTGGCCAAGGCAGATGCAGATCTGTGATTCTGAATGAATCTCCCTGGAGCATATATCCATGTAGTTGTCTCTTCCTCATCCCTTTTGCTTGTTTAAACCTTATAATCCATCAAGACCCACCTCAAACACTTCTTCCTTCATAAAGTCATCCTCAGTAGCTATATGCAGAACTCTTCTGTCCTCTTCCTGCTAATATAGTCGTTTTTTTCCAGTTCTATCAATCATTTGTCACTCACATTCAATTTAGCAGTAGTTCATGCAAAGAGAATGTCTTCATATGTGTGTACTGCGATCCAGACACTGTGAAATGAGCAGAGTGGGTACTTAAACATAATTGTTGAACAAATGCAGAACATGGTCTCAGGTTGTCAGCAATATGCTCCCTATTTGGGAAGGAAAAACTCTGCCATCTTTAATCTCTCACCCTCACAGCACCTACCAATACTTCTGAGCACACTGATACCCCATAAATTCATGAGAGTAACACAATTGCAAAAGACCTGGGATGTGAGAGAGAACATCCATACCTTCCAGGAAGGATGACTGAATGAGCAGCTCTCATTTTCTCACTGAGCCAGCAGCTCTCATTTTCCTTATCCTCCATATCCATTACAAGCTAATAGCTTCTATATAATGAATTCCACCAACAGTTTCAGTGGATTAGAAATATTTGGCTTTTCAGCTTTTGTATTGCGAGTGGTATGGACCATTTTAATCTCCAATGAATGTGTTTCTGACATGATATGTGTTCATATGTCAAAGATGAGATGTTTGCTTACTGAATTCTCATTAATTTAGAAGTATATAGTCACCAGTCACCACTGAGAATGTAGACTTATGCTAAATGACTTAATACTTCAATGTAGAAAATACTTTCACCTGCTTTATCTCAGTTGGTTTTATAAGAGTCCAGTCAGAAATATGTGACTTGCTCAAGGTCACTCAAGGGCTCCATTCCATTTGCCCTTTCTCCAAATACTGACTTTTCCACTAAACAAGACTGCCATTTGAATCTAAATATACCTGCCTATTATGCACCAGACTCAAAAGGAAAATTATTTTCTTCTGGAAATCACCTTTCTTTGGCAGCTATATGATATGACTCTACTACTTTAAAACAGCAGAGTGAAGATAAAGCTCACACAAAATTAGATTTGACAACCTAATGAAGAACCCTTCTTTGCTATTTGAAAATAGTATCATTCAAGCATTCATCATTCAGCCGCCTTCAGTTTAAACAAATAAGGGATATGTTTACTTGGCATCTAAAGAAGAAAGTTGAGACCACCAAATCACACAGTAGAAGGCAACAAGTAATTCCAGTTTGCTAGTTTTTTTTTTTTTTTCTATCTCCCCTTGTTTGGGAAGGTTTCTCTAAGATTCTAGTAGACAGTACCTTGTTTATTCCCTTCAATTGTTGAGAAACAAAAACTTTCCATAAGTCCAATTTCATTACACATTTACTTATTTTAGTAGTTTTCCTTTTACATGGGCTAACAAAAGAGATGATTAATGTAAATTTCTTGCCCTTGATAGTTTAGAGTTCCTCGTCTGAAGGTTGCTTATTGATCCTAAGAATCCCCAGTGCTAATGCCTTTGTCTGAGGTGTACTATTTCTGCAAAGCTTGTCGATGGGAGGCAAACAAACCTTCTGTGAGTCTGTGATTTTTGCACCTGCTCTTCTTTCTTCCAGGAGTGTCTTTTCTTTCCATCTGGTAATGTCTAAATATCTCCCATGATTTGTCTTTGAATTCACTTCCTCAGTGAAATTCTCTTTGATTCCTACAAATAGAATGAATCTGTCACTCCATCTCATTCCCACGAGGTTTTATTCAGTCCTTTAATTTAGTACTTGCTGCAGTTCATTCCAATTCGTTGCTAACTTCTCTGTTCTCCCATCTTGACCACAAGCAACTTAAGATCAGGATCCATTTCTGACCTCTCTTTCTCCAACAGTGTCCAGCATCTCATTGGCCTCTTCCTCATTCCCAACACGCATTTAGTGAGTGCCAAACACTATGTCAAGGACTCTAAAGAGGTTAATCTATGAGGCGGACAATGTTATCCCAATTTATACTCTGAGAAAGCTGATGGTACAGAGAGGTTATGAAATTTGCCTAAGATCTTGCACCTACATAATTGAAAAGTCTGGGTTTTCAATTAAATCACATGTTTTGAGGTAGAATTGACATAACAAAGATTAACCATTTTAAAATGAACACTTTAATAGCATTCAGCATATTTTCAATGTTGTGTCACCATAACCTCTGCCTATTTTCAAAACATTTTCATTACTGCAAAAAGAAACCCTGTACCCATTCAGAAGTCATTCTCTTCCCCCTCCTTCCAGCCCCTGTCAACCACTCATCTACTTTCTGTCTCTATGGATTTGCCTGTTTTGGAAGTTTTATATCAGTGGAATCATAAAAGACATGATCTTTTGTGTCTGAGAAGCTTGTATTTTATTTTAATTCTCTCTACATCTAGGGTCTACTCCCCTTACCTACATTTTCCTGCTTTACATTATAGGTGCCCACTGTATATTTGATGAATGAATGTATGGTTATAGAGAGGACACCAATCAGATTTCTACTTAACCTAGTTATTTATTGTTTGATTTATCTTCATAAGAGATCGCTTTGCAGCTTTTTATTAAGTGTAAGTGTGAGAGACTGCAGCTTTGTCGTAGCTGAACAGAATGAAAAAATGATGAAGAAACACAGGTTTGCGGTTAGCTCTCCAGGGTCCTATGTTATTTTAAATTGGCACCTACAAATGATTTAGTCGTTATCACATTTTTAGGACAAATGCAGAGGGGATTAGGTGACCCGACTGAAGCTGACCTGAGATACTGTATGTAAATGAATTGTTATCAATTTGGTTGCCACGACTAGCGGAGCCAGTTCCTGGAGGGGAAATGAACTTAGTTATTCCTCAGTAACTAATATTCTTTAGTATGTGAGCTATTGATTGGACAGAAACTGGTTTGAACGGGTTGGCTTCTAAGAGCTGCCAAGAAGATTTGAGCAGTTCCTCCTTCCTTGAAGGCAATCTGATTTGTTGTTAGCAGTGTTAGAGTGTTTTTTTTTTTTTTTTAACTCACAATGCGGGAGTTGGCTTTTGACACTACTTGAAAAGCAGTCAAACACATGACATTTAGTCTATAATGACTTACCTGTCTGGTTATGACAAAAATATCCAGATAGATAATTCTTACTTTTTTATGTTTTTATAGAAATGTACATTAATTTTTATTGCCTATATATAGCATGTCTCAGAAAGCTTTCTTAATTATCTCTCTATTTTTATTGGAAATTAAATCATATCTTTACTGATATGAAAACAGAACATTAATACGTTTAGCTCTTGGACCATCTGCTCTTTGCAGCGTTGTTTTAAATCTGGTAATTCGCATTTCGTTTCATGGTACTAAGAAGGGGAATTTCACATTTACTTATGTTTATTCTTAGGAAAAAGATAAATGAAAATTCTAGGCCACAGTTGTAAATAATTTTCTCCATTTATGTATGGGTTTGAAGAAAGTGAAAATTTTCATTACAGTTTTAGGTATGGTTAGTTGTTTATTTTTGCCAGTATGTACCTCTGTACATATATAGGAAAGCCTTAACTTTTATTTTAAGATAATAGAGAAAATAAAATCACCTGTAATTTTAAGAAAATACAGAGACATTCAGTGTACTCATCACAGTTCCCTCCCCCAATGTTTTGAAAACTACATCTTGCAAAACTATAGTGCAATATCTTTCAATATCTTTTAATCACTATAGTGCAATATCACAACTAGGATGTCGATGTTGATACAGTCAAGATACAGAAGAATTCTATTATCATAAGGACCTCTTGTGTTGTTTTTATAGCCACACCTACCTTTCCCAAAACCTTCATCCTTAGCCCTGGGCGTACAGTTATCTGTTCTCTAATTTCTACAATTTTGACATCTCAAGATTGCTATATAAATGCAATGACACAGTACATAACCTTTTGGAATTGGCTTTTTTTTTCACTCATCATAATTATCTGGGGATTTATTCAAGTTCTTGTGTGCAGCATTATCTTTTTTTAATTGTATGTATTTAAGATGTGCAACATGATGATTTAATACACATATGCATTGTGAAAACAGTACTATAGTCAAGTAAATTAACGTATCTCCTCACATAATTACTATTATTTGAAGTGAGAGCTCCCAAAGCCTATTCTTTTAGCAAAAATCCCAACTCTAATGCTATATTATTAACTATAGCCATCATGCTCTCCATTAGATCTCTAGTCCTCTGTATCCTACATAACTGCAACATTGTGCCTTTTGACCAATATCTCCCCATTTCCCCTACCTCCCTTCCCCTGATAAACACGCTTCTACTCTCTGTTTCTATGTATTTGGCTTTTTAAATTGGAAGCCAAGTTATACTCATTTTTCAGGTAAAATGAAGCAAATAGAAATATTAAGGCCTCACTACCATTGTTTTTCAAAATTTCTTCATTATAAATCAATTCTTGAAAGGGAAAGTTAGGGCATTCATTATGCATGGGTCTAAGCCATGCTTCCAGTCTATTTCTGTGTGGCATTTATTCCAGGAACATAAACTCTTCAAGGACTTAGACCATGCTGTGTTTACCCATCAGTATTGATTTTCTGTTGTGGACTGCACTTACCACATAATCAAGAAACTACAAAAATAATCCAGGGGTTTGGAAAGTGGCAAGTTGTGTTTGCTATCATGGTTGGAACTCAGAAAAAGAATCTGTTAAGGGTCATTTATCAAGTGTAGTTTTCCACTAAGAATATACAAATAGATCCAAAGGTCCTAGTATGATGTATGAATTAAATACAAGAGGCAAAAATGTAGACTCCAGTCTTCTAGATCTTTCACATCAACCAAAAGGTTTTTCTGGAATGTTATTAACAGAATGCAATGCAGATCTTTCAAATTCAACAAATTCACTAGTTACTTCTTCTGTGTTTAATAGATATGCCATGCTTTTTTAAAATATTTAAAAACTTTTTATTTTTAATTGTGGTAAAATAACAATTTACTATCTTAACATTTTTAAGCATAGGATTCAGTAGTATTAAGTACAGTAGTATTAAGTACATTCGCATTATTGTGCAACCATCACCACCATCCATCATCAGAAATTTTTCACCTTCCCAAACTGAAGCTCTGTGCCCATTAAACACTAATTCCTCATTCCCCTGCTCCGAAGTGAAAGCACGAACTCAAACAGATATACCATGCTTTGAGTAGCAATGAGGTCAATTGAAAATTTGGGTTAATTTCTGGAATACTGTGTAAGAGGAAATAGCCACGTAGAGTTAAAATAGGTTTGGTGTGTTTAAAGTCAATATTTCAGGGTGAATTTTTCAGATACATATTGCATCATGGTATAGTGGAACTAATAGGAGATTTGAGATCCAGAAATACTTGGATTTGAATCCCGCATTATAAGATATGCTTACTAACTGTCTTAAATTGGCAGGACACCCCCAAGCCTGAGTTCTACATATATAAGATATTATTAATATTTATCCTGCTTTAGCATTAACTCCGTTTTCTGCTCCTCTTTGAAGCAAAGCTTCTTAAAGAGTTGACTAGAGTTTCTGTCTTCTCTTCCTTACCTTTTAGCGTCTCTCAGCACACTCCAATAAATTTTTATCTAAATAATTTTAATGGGATGTATCTTGTCAAGTTGATCAACGACTTCAAGGTTTCAGCTTGTTAGCTTTAGCCTGTCTAGAGCAGCAATAGGGCCAGGCCAACCAAGGCTCTTCTATTTACTTGAGAAACTGAATGACCTCTTGAAAAAGAACTTTTCCACTAGACGGAGAGCTGAGGTTTTCAAACTTTGTCCAGTGTCAGTTTGGGAGAGGAAAGGAAGAGAAGAGGGAATGATTCTAAGAACATCATAATGTCTATCACTCAGATTGTCTTCAAGCTTAGCTCCCAAAGACCTGAGCCCTGGAAGGTAAGGCTCATTGTAATATGTGAGAAAAATAAAACTGATTAAAGAATAACAACCTATTCCACTGAAGTCTATGTAGGATGTGAAGAGCAAAAATCTGTGCTGTTTTGGAGTGTAACATCCAAGTACTAGAGTAAAGCACCTATGAAGTGACTTTGAAATATAGCATATTGCAGATACTGGAGCACAAAGCACATGTAACAGTGTGAGTCAGAACCAGGCCAGTCTGCATCTGGAATGCAAATAAGACATCACTTCTAAGTACTCTGTCATTAGTGCTGTAACTTTAAGGTAGTCTTCAGTTACAGGTGAAACTGCAGTCGTGGGAGCAGGAAAGGACAGAGAAAATGGCAGATGCTACATGGACACCAAGAGAATTAATTGACAAGCACACATCGCATACATCCCTTGAAATTTCCTAGACCTCTTTATAAGGAATTTGAGAAGGAGCAAAAATCACATTGGCTTTGCAATTAACTTAAAATGAAATCTACACTCATTCACTGACTTCCAAGTCTTTGCATGATCTAGCCAGTACTTACCTGTCCAACTTCATCTCATACCACTTGCCTTTCTTTATGTTCCTTGACCACATTAAGCTTGTTGAAACCACGTGCTCTTGAACTCTCAGTTTATATGCCTGGAAATGCTCTTCTGGCCATCTCCTTCTCATTCAAGTCTCATCTTTAATGCCACCTCTACGGAGAGGCCTAAACTAAACACTCTATCTAAAGCCTCATCTTTCTTGGTCCCTCATCCTACAGTTAATCTCTATTATATTTCTAGGCATAATTTTCTCCACAAAGCTTTTATTATTTTAAAGAAATTTTTGGCCTGCCTATTGTTTGCTCCCTTCTTCATACATGTAAACTTCAGAAAGACAAGGGCCATTCTTGGCCTGTTCAAGAAGGCCACCCGGCACCTAGAACAGTGTTTGGCAAAGAGGAGGAGTTCAGTAAATGCTTAAAGAATAATTACTAATAGTTAACACTTAATTGTTTTACGATTAGTTGGTGTATGTTATAACATAAAATATAGGCCAGGTGCGGTGGCTCAAACCTGTAATCCCAACACTTTGGGAAGCTGAGGAGGGGGGGGGGATCACCTGAGGTCAGGAGTTCGAGACCAGCCTGGCCAACATGGTGAAACCCCGTCTCTACTAAAAATACAAAAATTAGCTGGGTGTGGTGGTGCATGCCTGTATTCCCAGCTACTTGGGAGGCTGAGGCAGGAAAATCACTTGAACCTGGGAGGTGGAGGTTGCAGTGAGCCGAGATCATGCCACTCTACTGCAGCCTGGGTGACATAGTGAGACTCCATTTCAAAAAAAAAATATATATATATATATATATGTATATATATATATATATATATATATATATGAAATGTTACTTTATATATTTTACACATATAATTATACATTTGATATGTTATGGGTTACATTTATAATGAGTATCATTGACTAAGAATTAATGCTAAGTGAATGGGCATGAGAGTTTATCTTATATCCGTGATTTCCATTGTGGTGTGGGTGCCTTTGGTCTCACAGTTTATAAAGAACAGTGCTAACTAGCTTCTGCCTAGCTTTCCAGCCAGACTGAACAACAGGCTCCTCTAGTACACATCCTCGAGTCTTTCTCATATACTGTCCCTCTTCATGGAACACTCTCACTTCTCTGTCTCCATGCCCCCTCCGACTGACAAATTTTTAGTCATATTTCACCTTGCTGCTAGATGTCACATTTTGGGAAAATTTGGGTTATACATACAGCGAAAGAGTTCTTGAATGTGCGTCATGCAGATAAAATATTTTGCTCAGATACACAGTCTTTCTCAGTAGGAACTGCATATAGCTCTCCTGCCCGGGTTAACCTCATTTTTTTTTTTTCTTACTATACCTGTGTCCACTTTTCTTGTGAAGGGCATTGTTCTCTTTCTTTCTGACCTGGGTTATCTTACAAAGTCTCATGTGGGTCCCTGTTCTTGAGGTGTCTTTGATTCATTGTCCAGATGTGAGAAAAGAAGGACTTTCCCCAAATACAAAAATGACTGATTTTGATGCTGTTAATAGCATTATTTTATCTCTGATTTCTGTGTTTATCACTTGTGTTTACATCTGCAAACTCTACATATTGCCAATAGGACTGTAAGTGATCGACAGAGGTGGTCCTCTCTCCATTTAATGGAAAGAGAAAAGATTATCCGCCCTCTGGAGGGACCTCTGTCTTCTCTGAAAGTTATGCTTCCAGAGGATCCATGTCGAAATTTGAAACGAATCTTTTCATGTTTTATTTCCTAGTTTTCTTCCTGCAGTGAAAGATGGGATCAAAGGGACACTCTGCCCCAGGAATTGCAGCTGTGACTTAGGGTTCTGTAGATCTGCCACCTTTTGACTATTTTCTTTCCCAGCATTATCACTGCACATGAATTGATCCATTATATAATCCTTGGAGCTAAACAAGTTGGCATGATACCCTTTGATGGAGTAAGAGCCTGATGTGT
The DNA here is from genome assembly GCF_000001405.40 of Homo sapiens. Taxonomy (NCBI): domain Eukaryota; kingdom Metazoa; phylum Chordata; class Mammalia; order Primates; family Hominidae; genus Homo; species Homo sapiens. Next base: position 142,538,886 of record NC_000023.11, read on the forward strand.
AATAAAGAGTTGATTGGCCACAACCTGAATTTTTCCACTAAGCCTAGTGACCCACCCACAGTACTTCCTTGAGGAATATCATTATTTTCGGAGACTCTAAGATCTCTAGAGAGTTTTTGGACATTCATTGATAATATTCATGATGATGGTGATAACAATGATGGCAACAATAATAATGCTGATAATTAACATTTATTCCTCACTAAAATGTAAGTGCCAGTAAAGCAAGGATTTTTGAATGCTTGGTTCAGTTATACACCCCAAACGACTAATGTAGTGTCTAGTACATATTAAATAATAAGTATATTTTATATTTTATATATTTAATGAGCATAACATGAAGACTTCATGTATTAATAATGAAATGGTTACTATAGTTAAGCAAATTAACATACAAATGATCTCACATAGTTATTCTGATTTTGTGTGTATGACAAAAGCACTTAAAATCTACTCTTTTAGCAAAAGTAGAGTCCGAAGCAATATTATTATAGTTCTCATGTTGTATATTAGATCTCTAAACTTATTCATCCTATATATCGGCCACATTGTATCCTTCAATCTACATCTCCCCTTTCTCCCCATCTGCCAGCCCTATCCCTGGTAATCACCTTTTTGTCTTTTCCTATCTGGCTTATTTCATTAATCATAATGCCTTCAGGTTCATCTATGTTGTTGCACATGGCAGGGTTTTCTTCTTTTCAAAGCTGAACAATATTGTCCTAAAAAGATAAAGAAAGTGTAAAAGAAACTTTATCTTAAAAAGAGAAACTGTGGTACTGTACATAGCACAGTGTCTTTACCCCTTCATCCTTCGACAGACACTTCAATTGACTTCATAGCTTAGCTATTGTGAAAAATGCTCAGTGAGCAGAGGAGTGCATATATCTTTGTGAGGTGGTAATTTCAATTCCTCTGGGTATATGCTCGGAAAAGGGCTTGCTTAGTCATATGGTAGTCATATTTTTAATTTCTTTCGGACACTCCAAAAAGTTTTGCACAATGGCTGCAACAATCTCTACATTCCTAAAAACAGTGGGCAATGATTTCCTTTTGTTCACATCTTGGTCAACACTTATTATCTCTTGTCTTTTGATAATAGCAATCCTAACAGGTGTCAAGTGATGTCTCATTGTGAGGTTGATAGCAATCCTTCATTTCCCTGATGTTTAGTGATGTTCAGCATCTTTACATATGTCTGTTGGCCATTTTTACATCTTTTTTTAAGAAATGTCTATTGAGGTCCTTTTACACGTTTTTAATTGGATTTTTTTTTTTTGCTATTGAGTTTGTAAAATATATTTTGGCATTAATCCCTTACCAAATATAGAGTTGGCACATTTTTCTCCAATCTGTAGGCTGCCTTTGCATATTGTTGATTGTTTCCTTTCTTGTGCAGATGCTAATAAGTTTGACATAATCCTATTTTTTTTAACTTTTGCTTCCTTAGCTTGAGTTTTTAGTGTGATATCCAATCATTGCCAATGCCACTGTCAAGGAGATTTTCCCCTAGGAATTTTATGGTTTCATATTTTCCATTAGGTTTTTTTAAATCCATTTTAAGTTTACTTTTGTTTGTTTTATAAGTGTCCAAATTCATTCTTTTGCATGTGGAAATTTAGCTGTTTCAGCATCATTTATTGAAGATACTATTCTCTATCGTGTCTTCATAGTGCACTTGTCAAAAATTAGTTGACCATATATATTCCAGTTTATTTCTAAGCACTCATGGTCTGTGTGTCTGTTTTTATGCCAATACTGTACTTTTTTGATTGCTATAGCTATGAAATATTATTTAAAATCAGGAAATATAATGACCGTAGCTTTTTAAAAAAATATGCTTTGATTATTTTGGGTCTTTTATGGTTCTATAACAATTTTAGAAGTATTTTTTTCAATTTTTGTGAAGAATGACATTGGAATGTTGATAGAGATTGCTGAATCTGTATATTGCTTTGGGTAGTATGAATGTTTTAACAATGTTAATTCTTCCAATTCATGCACACAAAATATCTATTCATTTATTTGTGTCATTTTTCAATTTCTTTACTTAATATTTTGTAGTTTTCAGTGTACACATTTTTCACCTTCTTGTTTAAATTTATTCCTAAGTGTTCTTTTAGGGGCTATCATAAATAGAATTGTTTTCTTGATTCAGTTTTTAGATAGATCATTATTGTCAGCACATATTTTTGAATAAATGAATGGGCATGCCCTGTGCTAAATGTCTTAAAAAATTTTCTCTTTTAATCTACAAAAGAACCTCATGAAGTGCTATTTATATCCTCTTTTTACATATAGGAAAACTAAAGCTTAAAGATGTTAAGTAGCTTTTCCAAGATCTTAGAGCTAATAAGTGACAAAATTAGAATTCAGACTTAGGCAATAGAAAGTCACACCTTACACCCTTAACTATTATATTGTCCTGTAGTTATTTGGAGATTGTTTGATATATTTTGTATCAATAAAATGCAAATGATATGGGTAATTCATTTAAAAGAACATTATGGATATAGCTTAAAATGCATATGCGTGAATATGTGTTCTGCAAAATATGGAATTCACGTTCACTAGGAAGGGTGAGTAACCTTGAGGAAAAGTGCCAGAGAAGCTGTATAATCTTGTTTCAGGTTAAATTGGCTGCCTCTCAAGAGTATAAAATATCTTTCTCAGGAAATGCAAATTCTTCCAAATGTTTTGTGTGCACATTCCCTATAAACAGTTTGAATTGTGTTTCTAGTGACCAGCTAAAAGGAATATACTGCGTTAGTAATTAGTTTAGAGCACAAAAGTGTAGTAGTGTTTCTTGTTAAATGCCCCTATATTTTATGGTTTCATAATTATTGTTCAATGTGTATGTTCTCCCATACCTCAGACTTTTAGTCATTATTTTTAATCTGTGAATTGTTTAGATGACTGCTTTATATGAAATTTTCACCCTTGGAGGAGGCTCTTTATGGTAGTGATTGAAAGTATAGGTTTAAAGACCAGAATATGAATCTTGTTTCTTCCTGTTACTACTTGACCTTGACAAGTCATTTCACCTACGTGACTTTCAATTTTCTTATGTACAAAATAGAAAGAAAAAACACAATAATACCTATTGTTCAGAGTTGTGACACTAAAATGACACCAATAGTATGAACTACTTGAAATAGGGTTTGATATATAGTAAGAGGTCACTAACCTTTTCTCCCCAAATGCCCAAGAAAAATGAGCATTTAAGCTTTAACATGGTGTTTTTTAGGTTCATTTTCTTGGAATTTTGTTTTAAAGGCAAATCAGTAGTATCATAATAAAATGTGTATTAGCTCTTGAGCCAGAAGAACAGGATTCAACTCTTGGCTCTACATTTTTAACAACTCTGATTTTGAAGACTTTCAAGCTGGAGCTGATTATCTTAACATTTACATTTTCCTTGCTAAGGCACAAGTAGCATGTTTAAACATATGGTTTAATTTTTTAAGATTTTGAATGTTTATTTATTCCACATGCCTCATGAAAGGGATAAATGTTTTGGGGAACTTGAACCCCACATTTGGTGGTGTGTCTGATGGTGCTCATCCTGGAATCGCTGAGAGTGTTTTCATGTAGGATACAATTTTCAAGAGAACTGTATGAACAAATACTATCATAGGTATCTCTCTTTTTTCTCCTGCAGATATTTAGTTGAGTCTGGAGGAAAATCTATGTAGGCATGGGTGTTTATTAAGAAAGCTATAAACTTAAAAGGATGTCAATTCGATTCTGTGCTCAACTGTTGGTTGCAGTAACTCTGGTAATTAACTGGCATTATCAAAGAGCTACATTCAAAACACAATATAATCTTAAAATTATCGCTGCTCAATATTCACCAGAAAAATCAGCTGAGATAAACAGTCCTCGAGTAGACTTGTTTTGAGGATATATATCCCATCTATTACTCAAAACCTTCTAAAAAGGTGCCATGACTAACTTCAACAATCAAATAATTAATTACCTGGCTCATTTTGTCTGAGAACTGCACAGAACTGTTTTTACTAAGCTTTCCTTGGGGATTTCATCTTATAGGTGGGGAATTAAAAAAAGCAGCTCTTTTAAAATCCTTGTTTCATCTATTGTAAGGATGCTCATTACATTACAAGGTATGATCTGTGGAAAGACCCTTCAGATGAATTCTTATCTGATATCAGTGCCAAGTGCAGTTGTAACACTGAACAAAATTGATCTGGGCACTCTGAACTTTAACACTAGCCAGATTTTCTTTTTTACATTGACTTAGAGGTTAGTTTATCTATCTATCTATCTATCTATCTATCTATCTATCTATCTATCTATCTATCTATCTCTCTCTCTCTCTCTCTCTCTCTCTCTCCATCCATCCATCCATTTAGCTAGGTAGCTGCAAATGCAAGCTTCATGAGGGCAGGGACCTCACCTAACTCCTTTAAGACAGTACTCTCAGCACTCAGCACCTACAACAGTGTTTGACATGAAATAGGCTCTCAATACATTCTTAATGAATAATTAATAATTTTTGGTCCCCGTATCCTGAGTTTCCAACTCCTCAGCTCCCTTGTTTGGATGTGCTGGTTTGAAGACCCCTCTACAATTAATGGAAAGGAATTTAGTAGAAAAGGCAAAGGTTTTGGAATGAGACATACCTGAATTCAAATTTAGGCTGTGCTACTTGTAAGTCTTTACAAGTTATCTATCCTTTCTGAGATTCAGTTTACATATTTGCAAAGTAAATCTGAGGGTGATATCTACCTCAAAGAATTCCTGTGAGGTTTCAATGAGATGAGATATGCAAAGTCTCTAACCCAGTGCCTTGAACGTACAGAGTTGTTGCTGCTCAGTAGATACTAGTTTGTTTTCCTTTTTTTAAATAATAAATCTGTCTCATTTTATGCTCTTATTTTATCTATCAGCAACATACTAGGTAGATTTTTCTCTATAGGCAGGTTCATTTATTTGAGAGTATAGTGAAAGCAATTGTATTGGAGTGTTCATTAAGCAGTGTTTGTTTACATTTAATGTCTGAAAGTAGATTGCAGATGCATGTAAGTATCTCTTGATAGGTAAGAAATTAACTTAAAAAATCTCTGGAGCTCATTAATATGTTGTCTAAGTAATAACAAAGTTTGTTTACATCATCTACATTATCCTCAAATTGTCTGTATGTTGAATGGGTCAAGTGAATGGGATGGAGTCAGTGTCACTTTGCTTAAAGATTTTTAGATTCATTTAAAATACTTCCAGAAATTGAAATTGGGTGACTTTCTATTTAAGAAATATCTACTTTCTGCCTAGAGAATACCCTGTCATAATTTTCAAAGGTGTCATGGGTTGAATTGTGCCCCTCCAAAATTCATATGTTGAATACTTACCCCCAAGTGCCTCTGAATGTGATCTTCTTTGGAGATAGGGTCTTTACAGAGGTAATCATGTTAAAGTGCAGTCAGGATGGTGCACCCTCATCCAATATGACTGTCATCCTTTTAAAAAGTGGGAAGTTAACAGATAGTCATGTACACGTGAGAATACCATGTAAGCATAAAGAGATTATCCACATGCCAATGAGACAGGGATTAGATAGATTCTTTTCTCACAGTCCTCAGAACAAATTAACTCTGTCAACATTTTGGTTTTGGACTTCTAGCTTTCAGAACTGTGACATAATAAACTATTTTTTTGTGGCACTTGGTTATGGTGTCTCCAGAAAACTAATACAATATATTCACCTTCTATTTTCCCTGTGAAATGATTTGTGTTTTCCACAAATGTACAAGGACTTCTAGATTGATTCAAAGTGACTCATTTTGTTGAAAATCCTCTACCGTTTAGTGGCTTTTGTCACCTATCCCAGTGATACTGTCTGTAGTGAATACTGTTGGAATCTTACCCAGATCGTGTTTTCTGGCCAGCGAACCCATTTTTTATCTGCTTTGGGTACTGTCTGATGACAACTCACAGGTGCACCCTTCTCCAGGCTATTGCTCACATCTAACTTGGAGTCTTCATGCCCCAGTGATTAGATAGCATCTGTCCCTAGGACTGACGACAGATTTCAGCAGGGACTAACTGACACAAGGTACAAAAGGCTGCCTCCCTTTCCTCAAGGTGGGACCAACTCCGGTTGAATCTGGTGCTCCAGAGCTTCTCCATGGTACCAGAGGTGGAGCCAGTCTCTAATGGAAATGGCATTTTTCTGAGTTTCCTTCACCCTTTCTCATCCAGTTTTCCTCTCTTCCCTTCTCCTGAGAGCAGCTTTCGCCTCAATAGATAAGTCACTCACATAAGAACACCCACCTCAGGCTTTGCTTCCTGGAAACTAGAGCTCAGGCATAGCATCTACCCAAACGTTTCTGACATTCTGCAAGTGGTCTTTGCAATCTCCTCCAAGTTTCTAGATTGTTAGGTTTTGAGGGCTAGTATTACTTTAGGAAATACAAGATTATTTAGAGTCACTGTGGGGGATAAAATGTGTAAGAAACTTAAATGGCACTGTTGCTCCAGTGCCAACAGCAAAAAAATGGCAATAAAGCAATGTTTGATTATTGAAAAAATATTAAACTGGGAAGTGTAGCTTTCTACTTAAATGCCAAACTCCTGATATATGTTGAAAACAAAGTCTTGTTACTTGCTCTGCTCTACCTTCTGTCTCCATTAGTTCATCACTATTAACTTGCCATTTCTAAAAGCATTTTTAAATGCTTATAAAATGATATTAGCATATTACAGTCTTCTTTCTTTTTATGTTACAGGAGAAATACAATATGTAGTAGTAAGATGAGCGACAGCTCAGCAACATACCTGGAAGATCTCTGTCTTTTTTGATAGGAATCAACCTTGTCACTTTGCTTCACATACTTTCAAAGTTCTTCCAACCTTTAAATTTCAATTATTTCCCAGCTAAGCAATTACCCTCCTTAAGCATTGTTGACAGTTTTCAAATAACTTTGAATGTTTGACAACAGATATAAAATAAATATTATTTGGCATGTTTGTCATATTTTAAGGTATTTGAAAATAAAAATGTGCATGTTTTTCTTGTATTTATGTAATCCTTTTAATTGTTGCTAATACATGGAGTTCACTTGAGTACACGTGTGGTAGACTAGTTTCAAGGTGTCTTCCTAGCCAACAAGCCATCATCACCTCTTAGAGTTGCCACTTGGTCTAGGGTGATGGGCCTTCTGCCACCAAGCTTGCATCATGGGGGTCCAACCTTCAGCCATTGTTGATTAGACGGGGAAGAGCCATCTAACACAAACTGGACTAATTGGATTATCCTCTGATTTTCCAATTTGGATAAAGAAATTCTAATTTGCTATGGACTATTAAATGCAAGGATTGTAAACAATTTGACTCATGTAATGATCATCTCTATCATGCAGAGCAAGCCCCAGTGCTTCTTGAGGCTTCATTGTGTTCTGATGTTACTTTCCATGAAACTCCTGTGAATCCTTATACAGCAAAATATAGTTGTTCCTCTTTTCTGTTTCTCTTTCAGGGTACAAGAAAGGTGATTATAAACATTTACATTTGTAGTTGGGGATGAAAGATTTGAACTGTGCCTACCAGAGGGTCCTGATCTGAAAAGGTGAGAAGTGACTAATGTCAAACTTATATAAAGTGTTTCCCCCACATTTATTTTTTGCTTAACTGCTTTGTGATTTGTGATTTGCAACCTAAAATTCATGCGACGCTTCTTACAAATAAAGTTAAGTCGACAACAACAACGAAAATTACAGAGTAGAAGGCAATTATAAAATATATTAATAATTTTAAAAAGCACAAAACATTAAGCAATATCATCACATCATACAGCATACCTTTTGATTAACCAACCTAAGTCTTTTTGCTTAAACACATCTGTTACAGGAGAGATTGATTTGCAAGGAAGCCTATTTCATTTATAAACAGTTGTAATTGATAGAAAGTTCTTTGACCCTTTTTTCTATTAAACTATGCTCTGATCTCTACAACAAAATCTTTTTGACCTGTTCTGCCCTTTAGATCTATGCAGAAGAAGGATACCATATTGTTGACTTGATCCATTCAGATTTTAGAAGCCAGCTGTCTGTACCCCACAAGTCTCGGGTTTGCATATCCACTATTGCTGCTCATAGCTCAGCATTTCTACACGTTTCACTCTCCTAGACACAGCCATCTGCTTGTACCTGCTTATGCGTATAAAGGTCTATGCCTTAATATTCTTCATCAGTTGAGGAATGAAATCTGAAATAAAGTGAATGTCTGATACTTGTTTATGAGTTGATATATAAAATCACAGCTCTGTCTTAGTGCTTATGTTCCTTTGCTGGGGACAAGTTCATACATATCTCAAATGGTTAATGGGAATGTACAAGGTTTTGCTCATTATTCTAACATCCTCCTTAAATCCACACCACAAATGTGTGTCTACATTTTCATGCATATTTTGTCATACACTCAGACAATTACTGCACTCATTTCACACATGAAAATTGATGTCTTAAAATTAGCCAAGCTATTTGCAAATGTAATCCTTTATGTTTACCCTCCTGGCAGTGAGAAATAATATACTGGATAATATCTTCGTAAGAGGAAAATAATATCTAGATGACATTTCAGTTCCCCTTAAATTATTTGCCAAATTATAGGTATTCATTCTGAAAAATGACTGGGATGGTGTAATTGGTGTATCTTGTTTCTCCCCCAAGGGGAAATGAACAAATCAATATGTCAATGTAGTAGACACAATTGTGGAAACAATTAGGTTTTTTAAAAAAACAAATGATGCCAGTATTGGTTCTCATACTGATCCATCCAAGGTCTTTTATTTATAGAAACCACAGCAGTTTTAATAAGGCGATGGTATAAAATATTGCTCTTCAGTCAAAGAAAAATTATATTTTCAAGTGACACTTTCTATTTATTTTGTGACACTAAATAAAGTGTCCATTGTTCAGTTTGTTTCTAAACTAAGATATGAAAAGCTTTCAGAAATGAAACAGATTCCATTTATTTGTTGTTGTTGTTGTTGTTATTGTTACAAAACAAATTATTTCTTTTGTTGTTGGAGACCTAGACGGTTATTGCTTTCAGAACAGGGATTGGGCCTGTAATCTTTAGTAAGAGAGAAAGACAGAGTAGGCCCAATCCCTGTTGTGAGCTGTGCATGGTACAGAGGAGCCACATAAGTGATGTCTGTTGGCAGGTGGATGAACAAATGAGTAAGTACTGGGTTAGTGCCTTCGAATGAAAGAGAAGATAATACCCAGCATATTTTAAGGGTTGGTGTGAAAATAGTCTTGGTGTCTAAGACAGGAAATCTAATGCCTAGAATGTATTATAAAGCAAAAACCCTGGGAGCTGTGACCAGTAAGAAATTATTGGGTCTGTTAGAAAGCCTGCTCAAAGTAAGCCTTTGTTATCCCTAAAAGAATAAGGATCAGTAAGGAGGGAGCAGTACAGAGTAAAAGAATAATGAGGGTCCAAGGCGGGTCGATCATCAGGTCAGGAATTTGAGACCAGCCTGGTCAACATGGTGAAACCCCGCCTCTACTAAAGATAAAAAAAAAATTAGCCGGGCCTGGTGGCGCGTGCCTGTAATCCCAGCTACTCCAGAGGCTGAGGAAGGAGAATCACTTGAACCCAGGAGGCACAGTGAGCCGAGATCGTGCCATTGCACTCCAGCCTGGGTGACAGGGCGAGACTCCCTCGCAAAAAACAAACAAACAAACAAACAAACAAACGAACAAACAAAAAAACCAATGGGGGTGAAGGGGATGCTATAAACATAGCTTGTAGACTTTAAATATTTGTTAAACAATGATACTTAGTCCACACAAAGTCAAATCATTATTTCGTTAATTAAGTTCTGGCAAATATGCTATAATTTAGTTTAAACAAACTAAAAAGCAATCAAAAAACTAGTCAAATCCAGAAGAAAGTCAAGCATGGGGAAAAGTGTGCAAAGTTTGGGCATGAAAAGTCTCTAATTCTGATACTAGTTCTTATACAGTGTAACTGTTGAACAATTAGTTTTCCCATTCTCAGTCTCCTTTTTCTCATATTTAATCATGTGAATGGGGTTGGTTGATTGCCAAAGACCCTGCCATCTCTGAAATGTCTAGATGCTATATTGTTCATTTGCTAAACACGATTGACTAATACATTGAATTGTTTCTGAATGTAGATATAAGACAGAGAACAGGGCAGTCCAGAATCCAGTGATACCCAAAACACGAATATGTGCTTTTGCATATTATGAGAACACTTTCTGAGAAAGCTAAAGTATCTTATTATGACAAAATTTAAGATGGAGTTCACCCACTTCCTCACTTTCTTTGTGTATAAGTAATTCAATATCATTTTCCAGAAAGCAGTAAAAAGTGGACATGGGTGTGGATTTTTATTTGATATATTGTACAATTGAGAGGTGTAATAGTGACTTGTGATATCTAATATCACAAGATAATAAATGGTTCAAACTTAAATAAACATGAAAACAGTAAAACCCACTTTTGCTTATCAAACTATTCTAAATAAATTTAGATTGTTTTTAGTATTCTAACTTAAGTATTCCTTTTCATTTTCTATTAATTTGATTTCCAGTATGATAAATATGGTCTGTAAGAAAGGCGCAGTTTAGAATGAAAAATTAACATCTCCACCCTCACTTCCTGTAGGGAGAGAAAAGTATTTTAACTACTCATGCCTGGTTAGTAGCAATTAATTGTTTTTTCCCTACTGACTGAGTTGATTTAAGTCTATGATTGTTGATAATGCTGCCAGTGGATTTCTATTCAAGGAAAAGATTTCCTGGAATAAATTTTGTTTAATATAGTTTCTAAGATTTAAAGAGACTTTTCTGCTTAAGTAGCACAGTGTCCAGTGAGGTCTACCAAAGCTTTTTAATTGAATAGTTCAATTAGAAAATAAACAGACATTGTCTTCTGCTTTCAGAAGATACACTTATTAAGGGAATTTTATAATTATTCTGGAAAATGTAGTGTAAGGAACTTCCAGGTAAAAATGGCAAAATGATACTGCATCATAGAAGCTTACCCCCCAATCAAGAAACATAACTAATAAAAGTAGCCATTGGAAATACTAGAGGAAGAACAGTATCAACTAAACAAACAGTAGCTACAACTTTAATCCGTATGTTTATAAAACTGCTTGCCAAATAAGGAAACGAATATTCAACATTCAGTGTCAAGGGCATGCCTTGTAATTCAGCCCTCATTCTGCACCCCAGCTTTGCTGAGTCAGCAAAATTCTAAAACTTCTCCTGAATATTCCAAAATTCTCAGAGAAAAATAGTGGGAAGGTGTCCTTATTTTTTCTTTTCTTTCTTTCTTTTTTCTTTTTTTTTTTTTTTTTGACTATGATATAGTAGAAACAGCTGCCGGGGAAGAAGACACAAAATAGGGAAAATGAAAAACAGAGTTGAGTGGTAGAAACAAAGATTCTGAGACTGTGCACTGACTTAATTGGAGGTATGACTGGAAGATCAAAAATACTCAGTATGAGACTAGAGTATACTTCACAACTATTTAGAGTGAATCTTGTACTTCATATTAAATTTAAAAAAATTCAAAAGTTATGACAAGCCCTGAGATTCTATCCAGGAGCATACCGATTTGTTCTCAGTTGTGTTCTTCACTCTCTCCATGTCCTCATGGTACAGAAAAATGAATAAAAAAACAGAAACTCAGCCCTCAAGTTGGGGATTGAAAAGAACAGCAATGTAGGCCCAGGAAAGGAACAAAAGTCCAGGAAAGGAGTACCTGAAGAGAAGAAATAAATATTCAACCCTAATATTATATCAAACTACAATTCTAGACAGAAGCAATATGAATGAAAAAAGTGAAAAGAAATCACAGGACAACTATATCAACAGACTAGGTGATACAATACCCCCACTCCCACTGCAAAAATAGAAACAAATAAATAAAAAGAATTGAGCTAATTGGGATATTTGCTCTTGTTTGTTTGTTATTGAATCATTTGAATGTTCTTATATATTTCAGGTATTAGTTTCTTATCAGATGTGTCATTTGCAAATATATTCTCCCATTCCGTAGGTTGTTTGCTCTCTCTCTCTCTCTCTCTCTCTCTCTCTCTATATATATATATATGTATATATATATATAAAACTTCTGCACAGCAGACATATATATATATGTACTGTATAACTGTATATATATATATATATGTATATATATATATATATATATGTATATATCTGCTGTGCAGAAGTTTTTCATTTGATGTAATCCCATTTGTCTATTTCTGCTCTTGTTTTCTTTTCTGTACTTTTGTAGTTTAATCCAAAAATTCTTTGCCTAGACCGATGTCATGGAACTTTTTCCTTACGATTTTTTTCTAATAGTTTTGTAGTTTCAGGTCTTACATTTAGGTCCTTAATCCAGTTTGAGTTAAGGGTCCAGTTGATATAAGGGTCTAGTTTCATTCCTCTGCATGTGGATATCTAGTTGTTCTAACACAATTTATTGAAGAGGCTGTACATTCACTGTTGTGTCTACTTTGCACCTTTGTCAAAAATCAGTTGACCATAGATGCATAGGTTTATTTTGGGGCTTTCTATTATGTTCCATTGGCCTATGTGTCTGTTTTTATGCTAGTACCATTCTGTTTTGGTTATTATAGTTCTGCAGTATGTTTTGAAGTTGGGTTGTATTCTATTCAATCATAAAAAGAAATGAAATCATGTTATTTGAAGCAACATTAATGAACATGGGGGATGTTACATTAAGTGAATTAGGCCAAGCACAGAAAGAGAACTATTCCATTATCTCATTCATATGTAAGTTTTAAACATTGTTTTCAAAAGAGTAGCGAGTAGAATGGTTGTTACCAGAGGATAAGGAAGAGAAGGAGGAGAGTGGATGAGGTAAGGTTGATCAATGAGTACAAGGCTACAGTTACATAGGAGGAATGCATTACTTTGTTCTATTGCATAGCAGTATGACTAAAGTTAATAATAATGTATTTTATATTTCAAAATAGCTAGAATAGAGATTCTTGTATGCTTGCATCACAAATAAATGATAAATTTTTAAGGTGATGGATATAATAATTACCCTGCTTTGATCATTACAAAATACATACATGTATCAAAATATTATGTTTTAATCCATAAATATGTACAATTTCCAATTATACATTTACAAAACAGAGTGGAGCTAGAATGTGAAAAACAAAGATCTCAATTTAAATGAAACAAAGTAAGAAATACAAGGAAAATTTTCATAAGCACTTCACAGTTTAGAAAAAAAATAAGAACCTGTATCTAGTAAAAGAAAGCTCAAATATTAGAAGACCAGAAAAGACATAGTTAAGAATAACATAACTTTGGGAGTCGCAGTGGCTCAGGCTGGTTGTCCTGGCACACAGGGAGGTGAGGCCACGTGTTTGAGGCCAACCTGTTCAACATTGACCAAAAAAAAAAAAAGAAGAATAACATAACTTTTATATAGAAAAGCCTTGAGGTAATCTCAGCGAATGCAGATAAAAAGGAAAAATGATTAGAGTGCTAAGAAAGGAGCCAGAAGATATGAAAGGGAGAGACAATATACGGGAATTACACAGAAATATATTTAAGGCAAATTTTTCTGAAAGAAGAAAATCATGTATTCAACAACATTCATTTATCAAATACGTATTACTTATCTACAGTAGGTCTGGCTCTGTTGTAGAGGCTGAGGAATTGTAATAGTGACAAGGAGGTTAGAAGTCCCTGCGCTCATGAAGCTAAACTTCTCCTAAGAAAAAGTACAGTAAACGAGTAAACAAAAAAAAAATAAAATTTTACATATATAAACTAAAACACACAGTGTGTTGCAGAAACTTTTCAAACAAGATGTTTGAATATTTAATCTAGTTCAGTTATTTAATTTATAAGATAAAAATATAATTTTTTAGGCATCCAGGCTAGAAAAGCAAATCATGTGTAAGAAGAAAACATCTGGTTGTTTCCTATGTTTTTCAACACAAATCTCGAGTCCAGAAGATCATGAAAGTGTATTCCTAAATTTTTGAGGGAGAGAATGTGAGAATCAAGAATATTATACCAGAAAACGTATCATTCACATATCAGGCAAACAGGTAGACATTCTCAAAAATGAAAAAAGCTAAGATAATACAGCATCTTCAGAAGCCCTTCTTTAAAATAATCAAGCAAACTCTGTTTGATGAAGAAATCCATAGCTAATTAAGAGATTAATGAAAATAAAGACCTTAGGAATGAAGAAGCTGGAGTATGGGTTCAGTTAGATTTGGATCCACTGAAACAGAACTAATAGTAAAGAAAAATGTGGAAGTTATAATCAGGAAATAAGATGTGCATATTAGAAGTTTTGACACTATGTAAAATTAATGACATCATTCACAAAATTTGGAAAGTGGGGCGCCAGGGAGATAGGATAAAATTTGAAAAAGCTAGCCAGGTGTGGGGGCTCACGCCTGTAATCCCAGCACTTTGGGAGGCTGAGGTGGGCGGATCACGAGGTCAGGAGTTCGAGAGCAGTCTGACCAACACTGTGAAACTCCATCTCTACTAAAAATACAAAAATTAGCCTGGTATGTTGGCATGCGCCTGTAATCCCAGCTACTCTGGAGGCTGAGGCAGGAGAATCGCTTGAACCTGGGAGGCGGAGGCTACAGTGAGCCGAGATCGCACCACTGCACTCTAGCCTGGGTGACAGAGTGAGACTCAGTCTCAAAAAAAAAAAAAAGTGTTAAAAAGCTAATGCTCTAATCTTTCACAGTGAGCAATTAGTACTGTACAAAAATTAAATATTTAATTAAAACTAATGACTCCTATTTCTTCATGTTGTTATAATCTGTTTTATTACTTTTCGAGGGATATTTTAAAAAATACTATCTCTTGTGGTAAAGAAGCATGTATCTGAAGTGAAACATTTCCAAAAGTTTCTTTACCTTTTCATAAATTCAAGTAAAATTGTACTTATGATTTTACTTATAAAATAAAATGCTATTAAATTGTGTGTACACATTTTATTTTATGTGTATACACACATATACATAGTATATAATTTTATGTGTTTCTGTATTTACGTTTCTGTCTGCATATAATGCACAGAAATATGTGTGGAATAATACGTTTGCAAATGCTAATGCTAGTTATTTGTGTAGTGGGATTTGGAGAGATCTTTTTTTTTGTGAGGAAATGTGAGAATTTGTGTTTTTTAATCCTAATGGTGTTAGTACATCATTTTCACAGAAATACTAAATGAATTTGTTTTCTTAAAAATATAGCATGAAATAAATGTGAGAATGGTGTTCTCGTAGTCTAGATATAAAAAAAGTGTAGATATCAAACTTGAGCTCAGGAGGTCCAAATATGAGTTTGATATCTGCCTCTACTGAGCTGTGTGACCATAGGCAATACATCTGAACTCTATAGAAATTAGTCTTCACATTTATAAAGTGGTTTATTCTAGCTCTAACATTACTGTAACTTCAAAGAATTTGCCAGTAGCTCATTTAGCCTAAATTGATCCCCAAAAAAGATCATGAGAGAAGGGTTTTTGTGTAGGTAGGTTATTTTAGGATGTGATGATCCTAGTGTATGGGAAGAGAGTCCAAGGACAGTGCAATGGAAGGGAGGGGAAACTAATAGAGGCATATGATATTAAGTTGGTTACGGCTGTGGGCAACTGGGGTTTCATCCCACCAGGAACCTCTGAATGGCTGTATAGAATACAATTCAGAATTTTTCACCCAAAAGCAGAAAAGAAAACATTTATCCACCAGTTTCAACCCTACATTGGACAAGTGTTACCCTGCTGGTAAGATTGACATTTAAAATATAGGATACACAGTTGAATTTGAATTTCAGATGAAAAACTATTTTTTACAATTTAACAACAAATATTGTATGGGACATACATATACTAAATGTATAAAATTTAAATTAAATGGGCATCGTGTATTTTTATTTGTAAATTCTAGCAAGTCTATACATGAGATATTAACATGCTCATACTTTTGGTTGTGCATGCATGAGTGCACGTATCTTGTCCCATAGCATCAGAAAAACACCACTGCAGAAAGCAAGAGGAACACAGTTCAGTTTCAGGTACAGCTAAGATGAAATGCATTCTGTATGTATGGGTACAAACTGCCTCATTAGCAATGAAAGGTTGGGTCAGGAAGAAATTACACAGGGCACAAGGGTATATATGTGGAGACTGGGCAAATTAATCAATGTGGATGTCTTTTATAATCTGAATATAATAAAATAAAATATGAGGTGATATTATTATTATTATTATCATTGGCTTGCTTTAAAATGTGATTATTTTGGTAGGGATCAGATTATTCAAGTTGTAGGGGGGGTGTATAAATAAGTATAAGCTATTTATATTAAGACAGAATAAAAACAATTTTGCTTTTGGCTTTTAGATAGGAACTTCTAGCATACTTGCTTACTCAATGTCTTTTTTCATGCATAGTTGGTTGGACTATTTGGTCCAAATTGATTTGCTCTTGATAAAGCATAATATTTTTGTGCTTACCAGGAAGTTACTCTAGAATCATATTTTATTTATTTACTATTATTATTATTTTAAGGTAGAATCTCACTGCTGTCGTCCAGGCTGGAGTGCAGTAGCATGATCTCAGCTCACTACATCCCCAACTTCCCAGGCTTAAACTATCTTTCCATCTTAGCCTCCCAAGTAGCTGGGACCACAGACGCACACCTCCACGCCCGGCTAATTCTTCATATTTTTAGCAGAGACGGGGTTTCCCTGTGTTCCCAGTCTGGGCATCATACTTTTTAATTGGATTGATATGGCTGTGAAGAGACTTTGCAGTGTCCCTAGGATTCAGTAGTCTCTCAGTAAATGGTAAAGTCTCTTCCCTATAATTGTTTTTGTTTTTCCTTTTGGCTGTCCACCTTCCAATTAGCATGCTGTTTTTTTAATTGTGCTTACTTAATATCACTTTATTCAGTCTTGGAGAGAATAAATTATTGTCCTTTCCTTATGAATACACAGCCATTGCTGTGCAGTCAATTTTCAGGATGAATCCTAAATTACCTCTGAACTCACTGCATTCTGCCGCTGCATCCATTATTTTCTCAAAGTATATGGCTTACAAATTTCTGTAGAAAAATGCCTTTACTGCCTGGCCTAGGAGGTCATTCTGCCAGGAAAGCTGTCTTTCTCTCAAGTTTATTTTTCCTTAGCAAGGTTTGTGCATAGTTTCTTTATGGACTCTCCACTCTGCCAACCCTTGAGTGCTTTGTCTCTTCTACAGAAGTATGGTTTTCTATCCTTAGGATCTGAAAACCCTCTCTTGTAGCAATGGCTTGCAAGTGGTAGATTTTGCAAGCTATTAGGCTAAGCCATTAGGCAAGTCATTAAGCTAAATTTTGGAGTATAAGAGGCATTAAGATGTAAGAACATTTTTTGTTTGTTTGTTTGTTTTATAATCAGAAAAGTAGCCTCAGTAAGTCGAGCTGAATCAACTATAAATGATGTGTATTTAAAATTCAAATCTAATTTCATAGATAACTTAGAAAATATTCACTGTAGAAGCTAAAAATGTCCAATTATTACAGAGCGTCTGTCCTAAGCCAATAGACTTTGCAACATATATATTGCCAATAAAATGTCTTTTATAGACAGTTACATATTTCTGCATTTATTGTTATTTAATTGTCAATGAATTATGCCCCCCAAAGTAATTTGTTTTAGTGAGAGAGCATTGGCCTCCAGTGCAATAATTATGCCATTTTATCATAAGGAATCTATTTGATACAATTTTTAAACTAGGAAGTCCATTATTTATGTCAGCTTATTACCATATCTTATCAGCTTGGTTTCAGTGGTGAAATTAGGGTATATTTCATAACTAGATGGATGTAAGATTGTAAGAGAAGGCCCATGTGTAACCATATTCTACACTGCCTAGCATCCTGCAATTCATTAGTGCCCATGAATGCATGGGTATCCTGGAAATAAATAGACAGCTATTGTAAAATGACACATTTTATAAATCACTGCAGTATAAACTAGATGAGCACTTTAAAATAGCTCAATAGATATTTGAAGTCCAAATCTGTAATGCCAGCATGGCTTTGTGTCCATGGAACACAGCAGGTTGATATATGGCTGTTCTCCTGGTACAGCACAATATTAGTAACAGGCTTTCAGGGGCATGCCTTGGCTGAATCCCTTACCTTTGTCCCCTACTTGGCTGCTGATTGGAATTGTTCATTGAAAAGTGGGGAAAAATGACATAATCTGCAGCTGACCCTTAGTTGTCTATTTCCTGACATGGCGATGTTTTATCTTTTACCTCTCACCCATTTCATATATATATATTTTTTACTTTCCTCTCTCCTTGACTCCATTCTAAAGTCTCAACTATCAATATTCTTAGTACGTTTGGAAGTTGGAATTATAGTATACATGCCATCCTTTAGCTTTTTAAAATTTGGCATCACCGCATGAAGATATTCTTAAATATTCACCCAAAGTAAGAATCTGAACTCTTGTCTAGTACTCCATCATATATCTATTCCATTTGTTGTTTTTCCACTTTCTTAAGACACAGTCCTAAAAGCAGTATGTCCAAGTGTATATATGCATGCATTTAGAGCTCTAAATATACTTTGACAAATTGCCTCTCATAAATATTTCACCAGTTTACATCTAAACCAAGGTCTCGGAGGTGTGTACTCTTCTTTAGTTCCACCCAGCAAGACAATGTCTTAAAAAGCCAGAAGTTTCAGAATAAAAACAGCTTTCTACACAAGGTTAAGGTAGTGCACAATTTGGTTTAATCCAGAAAACATTCCCAAAGAACATCATCGTTGTAATCATCTTAGCCCTGGTTTCTAAGTACAGTCCTGTTACTGAACCTGCAAAACTATGTTTAGTATATTTGAAAAAAAAGTACAGCAAGTATTTTGTGTCCTGTAGGACGTTAGGTATAGGTTGGAAAGACGTTCTCTGGAGTCTTTTCCTTGTTTTATCAGGTTAGCCTGACAGCTACCATGGGGAGCCTCATAGAGCTATCCTAGAAATTGCTATATTACACAAAGTTTGAGCAATATTCATTCTTTGATCTTAGAAATATTGACTAAATACCTACTCCATGATAGGTTACGGGACATAAGAATGGATCACAGTTCTTACATATAGTCCCCCTTAAATAACTCACTGTCCAGTGGAGAGTGTAGTTATGGAAACCGATTTAGATAATACAAGGTAAGTAAATGAACCTGTACCTAAATGCTCTGGGAGTTCTAGAAACAAAGTTGGAGAGATTCATTACTGGCATTTAATACCCATTTTTCCTTTGTGCCTAAACTCCCTTTACATGGAAAATTTAAAAAACATACATGTTACTATAACCAGCTCCTTATCTGTATTTTAAAAATCCGGTTTGTTGTCTTTCTCTTTCAAGCCTATTAAATTGTGAGGGAGGCAATCATGACTAATTTGTACTTTCCTAAAACCACTGACAACACAGGCAAAAGAGCCCCACCCTAGCCAGTGTCAAAGTACCCATTTATTGTTAAGAGTTGCATTAATACTATGCATATTCTACCTTGATAAATAATTTATGATAGAATGTAATGTTCACTTTAAAAGTAAGTAAATTCTTTTCACTGGCATTGAATTAGTGAGGTTGAACTACATCAGATGAATGCATCAACAAAATCAGTCAATCATGCGGGCCAACGAGAAATCTTTGTACTTATGTCTGGAAATATTTATGAAAACAAATATTTTCAAAGCTTTAAGAGACTATATATATATATATATATATATATATATATATATATATATATATAGTCTCTTAAAGCTTTGAACTATATATATAGTCTCTTAAAGATATATATATATATCTAAATAACTTAGTAACTCAGTTGACCTTTTAATCATTAATTTTTAAAATATGTATTGAGCACCTATTATGTACCAGATAGTGTTTCAGTCACTAGGGAGCCCATACTGAACAAGATGAACAAGGAACGTGTTCAACTGGAGTTTAAATTCCAGTTGGGTGACATCTATGACCAGCAAACTGAGGGACTGAATATGCGAGCAAATAATGGCAAGACCATATGTGAAAACACAACTGTGACTCACAACCTGAGGCATCTTGCTTAGAAAACCAACCCCTTAACTCCAATAAGCAGCCCAGGAAGCCAGCTAGTTCTAAGTCAGACTTGTAGGAAGTCAGACTTCTGTCTTTAGTAATAATCCAGAAAGCAAAACTACAACTTTTGGAACAATTGGCCCCAAAAGGCCAGGACTTGACTAATAACTGACAGTTTCCCTATTTTGTTCTTGCCACCAACTTAGGACCAATCAGAGAAAGCCAAATAGGCACTCATAAACAATCACGTAGGGCCTCCTTCTTCTATTCTAATTAACCTGCCTCCAGCTTTCTCATGCCAACAACCTCCAATCAGGCATACCTGTAGTATCCCCCCTTCTTCCGCTATGAAGCTTCCCCACTCTTCTGCCTGCCTTTGAGTCTCTGCCAAAACACAAGTGATGGTGGCTAACATCATTGCTGCAGCAAGATTTGAATAAATAGCCTTTACTTTTATCATTTAGTTGGTCTTTGTTTCCAAAAAACAAATAAATGAGCAAGATAATTTCCAATAATGACAACTGCACTGAAGAAAACGCATGTAAATGATGTCACAGAAGGTGATAGAGCGGGGATAGGGGATAACTTAAAGTAGGTGGTCAGGGAGTGATTCCTTGTGGTGGGGTTTAAGCTGATCTGCATAACAGCAGTGAAGGAGCTTTCTAAAAGTCTGTCTCAGAGACTTCCTGGCAGAGGTACCAGCCAGTTGAAAGGCCACGAAACAGGAACAAGTTGGCATGTTTAAGGAACCAAAAAGTGGGTCAATGTTCCATAACATGGTGAATGAGGAGAGCAGTTGGAGATAAGGACAGAGAAGTACATAGGAACCAGTTCAAAGAGGGCCTTGTTGGCCTCTTCATGAATTTTGATTTTATTGTAAGAAATTCAGAAAGCCACTCAAGGATTTTATGTATGAGAAGAAAACGATTTAATTTTAATTTTTAAACATCTTTCAAGGTGTGTGTGAAGACAACAGTGGAATCAGGGAGACTGCTTGAGAAGCTTAGAAATAATACAGAAGAGAGATGACTGGTGGCCCAGACCAGTGTTGTAGCAGCAGAGATGGAGAAAAATGGTTGGACTTAGAAAATATTTTGGAGGAAGAAATGACATACTTACCAACAAATTGGATGTGCAGTTTGGGAGAGAGAAATGAGTCAAGAATGAGTCTTAGCATTTTTTTGCCTTTTTTGTTTTTTTGGCTTGATCCACTTGTTGGATGGTAGTATCATTTTCAGAGATACTAAGCACTAGGTATGAAGTAGGTTTCAGGAATGAGCAGGGAGTGGCAGGATCAGAATTTCTAATTTGTTCATATTAAGTTTAAGATACCTTTAGAAATCCAAGTAAAGAGCTCAATAAAATAGTTTGGAACTCAATAAATGTCTCAGGGCTGAAAATCATTGGTTCTGCCACCTACTGGCTGTGTGATTTTGGGCAAGTTATTTCACCTGAGTTTCTTTTTCTTCATTGGTAAAATGGAAGTAATGAGAGTTTATGGGGAGATTGTAGGTGTATCTGTTGGGCTTCATATTACTTTCTTCAATTTAGTTTAGGAGTTACTGGAAACATTTTCTGGATTTCCTCAATAGTTTAAGTGCAATACCTAGTATTTAGTTGTTGCAGGAAGTCAGGGACCCTGAACGGAGGGACCTGCTGAAGCCATGACAGAACAACATAAATTGTGAAGATTTCATGGACATTTATCACTTCCCCAATCAATACTCTTATAATTTCCTATACCTGTCTTTACTTCAATCTCTTAATCCCGTCATCTTCGTAAGCTGAGGATGTATGTCGCTTCAGGAGGTGATGATTGCATTAACTGTGCAAATTGTTCGTAAAGCATGGGTGTTTGAACAATATGAAATCTGGGCACCTTGAAAAAAAGAACAGGATAACAGTGATGTTCAGGGAACAAGGGAGATAACCATTAGGTCTGACTGCCTGGGAGACAGGCAGGACAGAGCCATATTTCTCTTATTACCGAAAATGGATAAGAGAAATATTGCTGAATTCTTTCCCCAGTAAGGAATATTAATAATTAACAGCCCTGGGAAAAGAATGCATTTCCCAGGGGGGCCTCTAAAATGGCCACTCTGGGGGGGTGTCTGCCTTATGCAGTTGCAGATAAGGGATGAAACACACCCTGGCCTCCTGCAGCGCCCCCAGGCTTGCTAGGATTAGGACATTCCAGCCTGGTGAATTCTAGTCAGGCCGGTTCTCTGCTCTTGAACTCTGTTAAAATGTTTCTCAATGACAATGCATGCACAGCGGGACATGAAACTTAATTAGTAATTCTAGTTTCTCCCTGACCTTGTGATCTCACCCTGACCTTGTGATCTCGCCCTGACCTTCTGCCTTGTGATCTTTTGTTGCCCTTGAAGCATGTGATCTCTGTGACCCACACCCTATTTGTACACTTCCTCCCCTTTGAAAATTGCTAAGAAAAACTTGCTGGTTTTACGACTCAGGGTGCATCATGCATGGAACCTGCCAACATGTGATGTCTCCCTCGGACACCCAGCTTTAAAATTTCTTTCTTTTGTACTCTTTCCCTTTATTTCTCAGACCAGCCGACACTTAGGGAAAATAGAAAAGAAGCTGTGTTGAAATATCAGGGGCTGGTTTCCCCCGATATTTAGTGACGTGAGTTTTCATCATTTTTCTGTCTTTCCAACAGCTGTTAGAAAAACTGCATTGTGGGCTATTGAACAGTCACAATGTTAAACTTGAAGCCTTTAATATTTCTTTTTAAAAAAATTATAAAAAATATAAACCTCTCTCTAACTGAAGGGTTGCACTAGATAAACTGACTAATTAAGTAACAAAATTGATGTAGGATTTCTTGTTGACCCTGACATTTTATACAGAGATGAGCATCATTTTGACCCTTTAATCCCAGAGCTATGAATGCTGGGAGCACAGAAGACTTCCAAGGTCCAGAGACATGCAAGGGTACAATGCTTATGAAATTTTAGGGGCTATGTTATTTAGATAATCACTGTATCTCCTTCTCAGGAAATATCAAAATGATTGATTGCCTTAGGGACTAGTGCAAGGGACACAAGGATTTGTGCAGACAAGACTTGCCAAAAAGGAGATGCTTCGCTACAATCATTTCCTTTTTAAATTTTTAATTGTTAACTTTTGTGGGTACATAGTAGGTGTGTATATATGGGGTATATGAAAAGTGTAGATACAGGCATGCAATGTGTTATAATCACACCATGGAGGATGGGGTATCTGTCTTCTCAGGTAACTGTTCTTTGTCTTACAAGCAATCCAGTTATATACTTTAATCTATTGTAAAATGTACAATTAAATTATTATTGACTATAATCATCCTGTAGTGCTATCAAATAGTAGGTTTCATTTATTCTTTGTATTTCTTTTGTATCCATTAACCATCCCCACCTCCCTCATCCCCCAGCTGATTTTCTTGGCTTCTGGGAACCATCCTGCTACTCTCTATGTCCATGACTTCAGTTGTCTTGATTTTTAGATTCCATGAACAAATGAGAACATGCAATGTTTGTCTTTCTGTGACTGGTTTATTTCACTTAACATAATGATCTCCAGTTTCATCCATGTTGTTGCAAATTACAAGATCTCATTCTTTTTTATGACTGAATACTACTCTATTTTGTATATATACCACATTTTCTTTATCAATTCATCTTTTGATGGACAATTAGGTTGTTTCCAAATCTTAGTTATTGTGAACAGTGCTGTGACAAACACAGGAGGGCAGATATCTTTTTGATATACTGATTTCCTTTCTTTTGGGTATATAACCAGAAGCAGGATTGCTGGATCATATGGTAGCACTATTTTTATTTTTCTGAGGAACCTTTAAACTGTTCTCCATAGTAGTTGTACTAATTTACATCCTCACAAACAGTGCATGAGTGTTCCCTTTTTTCCACATTTATTTTATTCCAGCATTTATTACTGCCAGTCTTTTAAATAGAAGCCATTTTAACTGGGGTGAGATGATACCTCTTTGTAGTTTTGATTTGCATTTCTCTGATGATCAGTGATGTTAAGCGTCTTTTTATATACCTGTTTGCCATTTGTATCTCTTTTTTGGAGAGACATCTACTCCAATCTTTTGTCCATCTTTTGATAGGATTATTACATTTTTTATAGAGTTGCTTGAGCTCCTTGTATATTCTGGTTACTAATACCTTGTCAGATAGGTAGTCTGCAAATATTTTCTCCCATTCTGTGGGTTGTCTCTTTATTTTGCTGATTGTTTTCTTTGCTGTGCAGAAGTTTTTTAACTTGATGTGAACTCATTTATCCATTTTACTTTGGTTGCCTATGTTTGTGTGGTATCACTCAAGAAGTTTTTGCACAGGCCAATGTCCTGGAGAGTTTTGCTGGTGTTTTCTTGTAGTAGTTTCATAATTTGAGGTCTTAGATTTAAGTCTTTAACCCATTTTATTTCATTTTCATATGTGGTAAGAGATGGGGGTCTAGTTTTATTCTTCTGCATATGGAAATCTAGTTTACCCAGCACCATTTATTGAAGAGGCTCTTTTTCTCAGTGTATGTTATTGTCACCTTTATCAAAAATGAGTTCACTGTAGGTGTGTGGATTTGTTTCTGAGCTCTCTATTCTGTTACATTGGTCTATGTTTTTAATGCCAGTACTGTCAGGCCTCTGAGCCCAAGCCAAGCCATCGCATCCCCTGTGACTTGCACGTATATGCCCAGATGGCCTGAAGTAACTGAAGAATCACAAAGGAAGTGAAAATGCTCTGCCCCGCCTTAACTGATGACATTCCACCACAAAAGAAGTGTAACTGGCTGGTCCTTGCCTTAAGTGATGACATTACCTTGTGAAGTCCTTTTCCTGGCTCATCCTGGCTCAAAAAGCTCCCCCACTGAGCATCTCGTGACCCCCACTCCTGCCCGCCAGAGAACAAACCCCCTTTGACTGTAATTTTCCTTTACCTGCCCAAATCCTATAAAACGGCCCCACCCCATCTCCCTTCGCTGACTTCTCTTTTCAGACTCAGCCCGCCTGCACCCAGGTGAAATAAACAGCCATGTTGCTCACACAAAGCCTGTTTAGTAGTCTCTTCACACAGACACCCATGAAAAGTACCATATCTGTTTTTATGCCAGCACCATGCTGTTTTGGTTACTATAGCGCTGTAGTGTAATTTTAAGTCAGGTTATGTGATCCCTCCAGTTTTGTTCTTTATGCTGAGGACAGCTTTGGGTATTCTGAGTCATTTGTGATCCACATAAATTTAAGGATTTTTAAGAAATTTCTGTGAAGAATGTCATTGGAATTTAGATAAAAATTGTATTAAATCTGTAGATTTCTTTGGGTAGCATAAACATTTTAGCAGCATTGATTCTCCCAATCCACGAACGTGGAATATCTTCTCATTTTGTGTGTGTGTCCTCTTCTATTTCTTTTGTCAGCAGTATATAGTTTTCCTTATAGAGATCTTTCACTTATTTTATTAATTCTTAGGTATTTAATTTCATTTGTGGCTATTATGACTGAGATTAACTTTTTTATTTTCAGATTGTTACTGTTGGCATATAGAAGTGCTACTGGCTTTTTATGTTGATTTTGTATCCTGCAACTTGATGGAATTTATCAGTTCTAATAGGTTTTGGTGGAATCTTTACGTTTTTCCAAATATAAGATCATATCATCTGCAAACAAGGATAATTTGACTCATTTCTTTCCAATTTGGATGCCCTGTATTTCTTTCTGTTGTCTGATTTCTCGAGCTAGGATGTACAGTACTAAGTTGAATAACAGTGATGAATGTGCGCATCCCTGTTGTGTTCCAGATCTTAGAGAAAAGGCTTTCAGTTTTTCCCCATTCAGTATGATACTAGCTGTGGGTCTGTCATATATGGTTTTTATTATGTTCAAGTATGTTCCTTTTATACCTAGTTTTTGAGGGCTTTTATTATGAAAGAATATTGAATTTTAGCAAATGCTTTTTCAGCATCAATTGAAATGATCACGTGGTTTTTATCCATTATTCTATTGATATGATGTATCACATTGAATGATTTGCATATGTGGAACCACACTTGCATCTCAGGGATAAATGCTACTTGGTCATGATGCATGATCTTTTTAATATGTTGTTGAATTCAGATTGCTAGTATTGTGTTGAGGATTTTTGCATCAACATTCATCGGAGATATTGACCTGCAGTTTGCTTGCTTTCTTTCTTTCTTTCTTTTTTTTTTTTTTTTTTGGTGTATCTTTATTTGGTTTTGGTATCAGGGTAATACTGGCCTCATAGAATGAGTTTGCAAGTATTCACCTATCCTGTATTTTATGGCATAGTTTGAGTAAAATTGGTGCTAGCTTTTTAAATGTTTGGTGGAATTTAGCAGTGAAGCCATTTGATCCTGGGCTTGTCTTTACTGGGAGAACTTTCATTATGGCTTCCATCTTGTTACTTATTATTGGTCTGTTCAGGTTTTGGATTGCTTTCTCATTAAATCTTGGTAGGTTTTATGTCTCTAGGAATTCCTCACTTTCTTCTGGATTTTACAATTTATTGGCATATAGTTGGTCGTACTAGCCACTAATAATCATTTGAATTTCTGTGGTATTAGTTGTAATGTCTCCTTTTGAATTTCTGATTTTATTTATTTTGATCTTCTCTTTTTATTCTTAGTATGGCTAAAGGTTTCTCAATCTTGTTTAACTTTTCTAGAAACAATCTTTTTGTTTCACTGATACTTTGTATTGTTTTCTTCATCTCAATTTTATTTATTTCTGCTCAAATCTTTATTTTTTATTTTCTTCTACTAATTTGGGGTTCAATTTGCTTTTGCTTCTGTAGTTCTTTAACATGCATCATTAGTTACTTTTTTTACGTGTTTTTTTTAATGTAGTCACTTATGGCTGTAAATTTTCCTCTTAATACTGCTTTTACTATATCCCATAGATTTTCCAGGTATTTAAAAGGACTTAGTGTTGTGATCTAAGCCATATCTTCGTTAGGAGGCAGCACAAACCCAGTAATGCGGTGGTTTTCGTAGAATCATAAAGGTACTACCTTGGTGGGCTTGGATAAGATCTGGAAGAATTATATGGATTAGTAGGTAGGCATTCCTGTTCCTGGCTGCCTGAAGCTAGGGGTGGAGTGACACAAGCACCCCTGTGGCTGTCATCACTGGGACTGTACTGCATCAGACATAAACCCAGCTTCCTCCTAGCCTATGTTCACTCAACACCATGGGGCTCTACAATTAGGAGGTGGCAACGCCAGCCAGGCCTGTCTCCTTCCATTCAGTGTGGCCAGCTCCTCAAGGCCCTGGGCAGGTCCAGAGATGTTGTCCCAGAGCCAGGGACTACAGCCAAAAACCTTAGCAGTCTACCTGATGTTTTATTGTACTATGGCTGAACTGGCACTCAAATCACAAGTTTCAGTCCTTCCCACTCTTTCATCCTGTTAACAAAAGCAAAGAAACTTCACCCTGTGGCTACCACCACCACATGCCCTTGGGGAATACTGCCAGACTACCACCAATGTTCTCTTTAGGCCGAAGGATTCTTAAGTCAACTTATGATGAATGCCGCGTGGCTTGGGACTCATCTTTCAGGGCAACTAGCCTCCCCCTCTGGCCTATGGCAGGTCCAGAAATGCCGTCCAAGTCCAAATCCTAGAATATAGGACTCCAAGAGCCCACTTGGTGCTCTAACCCCCTGTTGCCAAGCTGGTATCCAGGGTACAAGACAAAGTCCCTTTTACTTTTCCCTTTACTTTTCTCAAGCAGAAGAAGCCTTGCCTCATAGCCACCACAGCTGGGAATGTGTTAATTCTCACTTGAAGCCAGCAAGTCTCAGAATCTCACCCAACACTCAATGTAGTACCTGGATATCACTGCTGGTTATTCAGGGGCCGAAGGCTCTTTACTTACCCAGTGATGAATGCTGCCAGGACTGGGTTCTTCCCTTCAAGGCAGAGGGTTCCTTTCTGGCTCAGAATGTGTCTAGAAATGTTGTCCAGGTGCTAGGGCCTAGAAAGGAGGCCTCATGGCTCTTACCATTGCCCCATCCTGCTGTGGCTGAGCTAGTATCCAGGATGGAAGAAAAAATCCTCCCCACTTTTCCCTCTTCTCTCCTCAGGTGGAAGGAAGGGGTCTCTTTCAGAGCCATGAGTTATGCAGACTGGAGTTAGGGGAGGAGGTAATGGCAGCACTCCTTTAGCTGCCTTACCTGGTACCTAAGTAGATTAAGTGCCCCCCACCCAGTACACTGGCTCTGGGCCCAGTTTATCTTTACTACTCCCCTACAAGTTGTAATTCTTGAGACCTAGAATGCTTTTCAAGTTTATTTAAGACCCGATAGCATTTTAACCCATGGTGGCAAGGCCTTTGGGAACTCATGTTTGGACTACTGGGATCAGTGATTTGCTTGTACCTAGGGCTCATTTAAATGTACCTTCCATGGGTAGATGCCAGCTGAGTTTGGTCTAGTCTTCCTTTGTACTCTAACAGGGCAGAACTGAGTTGAGTGCCTCACAATTGCTGTGCACTCCCTTCCGTAGCACACAGAAATGCTCTCCACACCTCACTGCAGCTTCTTGGGTATGGGGAAGGGGTGGCATTGGTGATTCAAGACTAGTTTTCCTACCTCTTCTATACCTCTTTCAGCGATATGAAGTGAAAACCACATACTGTTAGTGCTCACCTGATTTTTGTTTTTTTATGAAGGTGCTTTTTAGGTGTAGGTAGTCTATAAATTGGTGTCTTTGTCAGGCGGATGTCAGTGGAAACCTTCCACCATCTTGCTCTACCTACTACCCGTTTCCTTTCAAATATAATAAAATTCCTATTAAAATATTTCCATTAATATTAATGGAGAATAGTATAAATTATTTGATAACAATATATAGTGTACTGATCATTACCATACTTCAGGCACTATGCTAAGCAATTTACATGGATTTTCTCATGTAATCCAACTTTTTGAGATAGATGCTATTAGACTGTTCATTTTACCTGAAGAAATTCTTTGAAATGTTCAGGAACTAGTCCAATTCACTGAGCTGGTTAGTGTTGGAGCCATGATTTAAATGCCTCTACTGCATGGCAATCGGTAATACACAAGTGCCAACCTTTCCTACTCACATGCAAAGCTACAGATTATTGTCACAGCCTTTATTAATGCTGTGGTGAGTTAATTTTAAGTCTTGACCACATTAATAAATAATATGAGGAGAAAAATAGTCCGGGGAAAGGAATAGGGCAAGAGGAACCAGTCAATAGAAAAACTGGCATTGTGCAATTTCCTGGATTTCAAGGATAAAGCAAAGGAGTTAGCAGTCATCAATATTATAAGGATTCAGGATTCAAATTGGAGTTTTCGGACTCTAAGTGCAATTATTTTTAATAACTGTTAGGCTTCTGTATTAGTCAATTCTCTCACTGCTCTAAAGAAATACCTCAGACTGGGTATTTTATAAGAAAAGAGGTTTAGTTGCCTCCTGGTTCTCAAGCATGGCAGCATCTGCTTCTGGGGAGGCCTCAGGGCCTTTTACTCATGGAAGAAGGCAAAGTGGGAGCAGTCATGTTACATGGAGTGAGCAGAAGCATGGTGGGTGGAGGCACCACACATTTTTAAACAGCCAGATCTCATGGAGAACTTACTTAACATCAGAAGAACAGCACCAAGAAGATGGTGTTAAACAATTTATGAGAAACCACCCCCAATCACCTTCCACCAGGCCCCACCTCCAACAATGGAGATTACAATTTTAGATAAGATTTGGGTGGAGACATAGATCCAAACCATATCAGCTTTTAAAATTCATTAGAGAGGTTATTTGGTCTTTGTTGGCTGGCGGGGGAACACACCCTTCATTTGAAACATTCTTTCTATGGTAACTTATATTTGGCATTCCAAAACACCTATTCATAAACAAACTTTTAGAAAACAACAAAATGATGCTTGTATGATGAAGAAGCATTTCTCTCAAACAAACATATTTATGCACACTTTATGCACACAAACATTCAAAGGGTTTGATCTTCCAGCTTTGAAGTTGGTAGTCAGAACTCTTGAAAATTATTACTTTTTTTTAAAAATTTTCTTTTTCTTTCTTTCTTTCTTTCTTTCTTTCTTTCTTTCTTTCTTTCTTTCTTTCTTTCTTTCTTTCTTTCTCTCTCTCTTTCTATCCCTCCCTCCCTCCCTCCCTCCCTCCCTCCCTCTCTCTCTCTTTCCTTCCTTCCTTCCTTCCTTCCTTCCTTCCTTCCTTCCTTCCTTCCTTCCTTCCTTCCCTCCCTCCCTCCCTCCCTCCCTCCCTCCCTCTCTCTCTTTCTTTCTTTCTATATGTTTTTGGGGAAGAGGTGGTGTTTGGTTACACGAACAAGTTGTGTAGTGGTGATTTCTGAAATCTGGGTACACCCATGGCCTGAGCAGTGTACACTACACCCAATGTGTAGCCTGTTATCCCTAAGTTACATTCAGTTTATTTTCAAAACATAAATTAAATTTAAGAAATATGAATCATGAAATCAAGAGGAATATTGAATACGGTTAGCAGTTGAACTATAGATTTTTGTCTCTGCAGAGCTGTTGTCTGTTCTTCATCCCAGTGAAGTCATTATAATGCTTATTGCTTTAAGCATTTTGATCAAGATCCTCACATGTTGCAAACAGCTCAAGATTCTGTTTGTAATTCTTTGTTTAAATAAATGTCATTCTGTTCACACAGTTGCTTTGATGATTTTTTAAAGGTTTTTTGTGTGTTTCCGCTGAGCCCTTTTCCCTGAAAAGCTGGAGGCCTTACTGAATATCTTCACAATATTTTACCTCTGCCCTGACAAGCTGTCAGTTGTTGTGTTGATGTCTGTATTTTATCTCTTTTTTTCTTCCAAGAAATATTGGCAAACTTTCATTTCCAGTTATGAAACATTTTAAGACAAGGGTGAAACACAGGTCACTTTGGACTTTAAGGTGGACAAATAAAGTTGTTTAGAAAATAGTAGGTAACTGTATTTTGATGTTGTATCAATGAGCTTAAAGTAAATGAAAAGTATAGAAATAAGTCTCCACTAAGGAAGTGATCAAAATCTCATCAGGGTGATGGTTGCATTTGTGGCTTTCAAGTCTCAGCAATGTGATCAACTCTTTTAGAAAGGCTTCCTTGAGTCCTGAAAAACCTATATGCCTTCTTCATGCTTCCATGGTCCTCTGGCCCCACACCAGGTTTAGCCTCTATGATGACACTTCGTGTTTTATTATTGTAGTTTATTTTTTTCTTAATTTTTTAAATTTTAACTAGTTGACCATCTGTAGATAAATTTCACTACAGATCTGTTTTTGTCATCCTTTTCTTCTCTGTGTAGTAGAAAAGATTTCAAATATATTAAAAATTGTAATAACAGCCAACACTTACATAGTACTTACTATGTGTTGAGTACTGTTAAAAGTTCTTTATATGTATTAACTTGTCTGACCCTCAGAACAACCTTATGAGGTACATGATACTACAAATGAGAAAAATGAGGATCAGAGAGTGAACAAAATGCCAAAGAACACATAATAATTAATGGTGCAACTGAGATTTTGATTCTCCTGAAGGCTAGTTCCACATTCTACAATTGGAACCAATACATATGCTATATTTCCTGTCTAAAAAGTACAAATATAAAAGTCAATTTTAATACATATATAACATATTTAAGACATCTGTATTTGTATATTTAACATGTAACCATATCTGCTCCAGATTTACTTTCATAAAACAACAAAATATTACCAATGAAGTTGACATCTCCTCTATGTAGCTCTCTATTGTCTCTTGTTAGAAGTAAATACTATTCAGAAGTTGATGTGTATGTCTTCCACAGATGATTTTCCAATTTACCAGATATTTATGTGCTCATAAGCAACTTACAGTATTTTTTTGTTCAAGATTTACATAAATGGGGTGAGGTGGCCGATATGGTTGACTAGAAGCAGCTAGTGTGTATGACTCTCATAATAATGAATGGAAGTGGCAAGTTAATACATCATCTTCAAATGAAACTTTCAGAAACTCACCTGAGACTAACCAAGAAAAACAACTTGACCCACAGAGAACAGAGAAAGGCAAGGCAGGATGATGGTCCACCCAGGAGCGACATGAAACCAGAGGAACTTTCCCCACCCAGGGAAGTGGTGAGTGAATGTGCATCCCCGGGAACCCATGCTTCTCCCACAAATCTTTGCAACCCTTGGGTTAGGAGATACCCTCATGAACCCACTCCACCAGGGACTTCTGTCTGGCACACAGAACTACATGGAGTTTTGGCGCAGCAGCGACTCAGGCACACGAGGAGACCCGCCCGGGAGCTTTAGATACCTGAGCATTCTAGGCTTCCTGACAAAAGTACCTGCAACTCCAGCAGAACGGGTGGTTAGACTCCCATATATACACCCGGGAAACAGGGTAAATCCAGAGAGCTGAGCAGTGACAGTCTGCAGGCCCCACTTCCGTGGCACCTCACAGGATAAGACCCACAGGCTTGGAATTCCAGCTAGCCAATAGTGGCAGCATTGCACCTCCCTTAGATGGAACTCTCGGGGGAGGGGTGAGCCACAGTCTTTGCTGTTTGGATGACTTAGCCATCACAGCCTTTGTGCTTTGGAGAGTCCAAGCTGACCAGGGATGGAAGCAGTAGCCCAGAACAGTACAGCTGCTCTGTGAAAGCAAGACTGGACTGCTTTTTTAATCAGGTCCTTGATCTTGTTCCTCCTCACTGGGCAGGACTGCCCAACCAGGGCCTCCATCCAGGCATGCAAAGCCATGGTCTAGGCCCAGGACTCAAGGGAGAGAGAAATACACACTTTCAGAGCATTGAGAGGGAACACAGCTGTAACTGGGAGAAAACATAGGGGAGCCACACAAATGAGCAAGAGTCTACCGACGTACCAATATACCTAAGTACCACCTACTAAATAACACTGCAAAGCTTCAACACCAAAAATACCTCACTAACATACCTCCCCTCTGAAACCAGACAAGAAGTCAGCTTCAAATAAAGATCCTGAACAAAGCCTCCACCTGCTGAAAACATCCAGAAAAGAAACCTATTGATTGTATTTAATCTACACTACAGTTAAACACCACACACAGAGATAAGAAAGAACAAATGCAAGAACTCTGTTAATTCAAATGGCCAGAGTGTCATATGTCCTCAGAATGATCGTACCAGTTCTCTAACAAAAGTTCTTAACTAGGCTGAACTAATTGAAATGACAGAAATAGAATTCAGAATATGGATAGAAACAAAGAACATGGATATTCAGATGGATGGCAAAACCCAATTCAAGGAAAATAAGAAGCAAAATAAAGTGATACAGAAGATGAAGAATGGGATAGTCAGTATAAAAAAGAACCTAATGGATCTTACAGAGCTGAATAACACAAGAATTTCAAAATGCAATCACAAATATTGGTACCAATACTATTGAAACTATTCCAAAAGATATAAAAAGAGGGAATCCTACCCAAATTATTCTGTGAAGCTAGTATTACCCTAAAATCAAAACCAGGAATAGACATAACAAAAAGAAAACTGCAGACCAATATCCCTGATGAATATAGATGCACATATGCTCAACAAAATACTAGCTAACCAAATCCAACAGTGTATCAAAAAGATAATAAAGCATGATCAAGTGAGTTTCATATCAGAGGTGCAGGGTTGGTTTAACATATACAAGTCAATAAATGTGATATACCACATAAACAGAAGTAAAAATAAAAAACATATAATCATTTCTATAGATTCAGAAAAAGAATTTGACAAAATCCAGCATCCCTTTATAATTGAAACTTTCAGGACCATCTGCATAGAAGGGACATACCCTCTGGTAATAAAAGCCATCTATACCATATGCACAGCCAACATTATACTGAATGGGGGTAAGTTGAAAGCATTTCCTCTGAAAACTGAACTGAAGACAAGGATGCCCACTTCCACCACTTCTATTCAACATAGTACTGGAAGTCCTAGCCAGAGCAATCCGATAAGAAAAAGAAATAAAGGCATCCAAATCAGTAAAGAGGAAGTCAAATAGTCGCTGTTTGCTGATGCTATGATCGTATACCTAGAAAATCCTAAAGACTCATCCAAAAAGCTCCTAGATCTGATAAATGAATTTAGTAAAATTTCAGGATACAAAAATCAATATACACAAATCAGTAGCACTGCTATACACCAACAGCAACCAAGCTGAGAATCAAATAAAAAACCCAACCCCTTTTACACCAGCTGCAGAAATAAAATAAAATACTTAGGAATATACCAAACCAAGGATGCAAAAGAACTCTACAAGTAAAACTACAAAACACTGCCAAAAGTAATCATAGATGACACAAACAAATGGAAACACCTCCCATGCTCATGGAAGGGTAGAATCAATATTGTAAAAATGGCCATATTGCCAAAAGCAATCAAATAAATCCAGTTCAATTCCCATCAAAATATCACCATCATTCTTCATGGAACTAGAGAAAGCAATTCATATGGAATTAAAAAAGCCTCAGCATAGCCATAGCAAGAGTAAGCAAAAAGAACAAATATGGAGGCGTCACATTACCAGACTTCAATCTATACTTACAAAGCTATAGTTACCAAAACAGCATAGTACTAGTATAAAAATAGGTATGTAGACCAACGGAACAGAATAGAGAACCCAGAGATAAAGCCAAATACTTACAGCCACCTGATCTTTGACAAAGCAAACAAAAACATAAAGT
This sequence comes from Homo sapiens, assembly GCF_000001405.40. NCBI lineage: Eukaryota > Metazoa > Chordata > Mammalia > Primates > Hominidae > Homo > Homo sapiens. The sequence goes on from NC_000023.11 coordinate 142,573,778, forward strand.
GCGAAAAGGATACACAATTCAACAAATGTTGCTGGCAAGCCACATGTAGCAGATTGAAACTGAATCCTCATCTCTCACCTTATACAAAAATCAAGATGGATGAAATACTTAAAGAACTGAAACCATAAAAATTCTAGAAGGTAACATCCAAAAAAACTCTTCTAGACATTGGATTATGCAGAGTTTATGACCAGGAAACCCAAAACAAATGCAACAAAAACAAAGATAAATATAAATAGATGGGACTTAATTAAACTAAAAAGCTTCTGCACGGCAACAGAAATAATCAACGGTGTAAATGTACAACCCACAGAGTGGGAGAAAATCTTTGCAAACTATACAACTGACAAAGGACTAATATCTAGAATCTACAAGAAACTCAAACAAATCAGCAAGAAAAAAATAATCTCATTAAGAAATGGGCTAAGCAAATGAATAGGCAATTCTCAAAAGAAAATATGCAAATGGCCAACAAACATAAAAATTCTCAATTTCCGTAATTATCAGGGAAATAATGCAAATCAAAACCACAATGCAATACCACCTTACTCCTACAAGGGTGGCCATAATAATAATAATAATAATAATAATAATAATAATAATAATAAAATGGATGTTGGTGTGAATGTGGTGAAAAGGAAACACTTTTACACTGCTAGTGGGAATGTACAGTAGTACAACCACTATGGAAAACAGTTTGGAGATTCATTAAAGAACTAAATGTGGAGCTACCATTTGATCCAACAATCCTACGACTGGATATCTACCCAGAGCAAAAGAAGTCATTATATGAAAAAGACACTTGCACATGCATGTTTATAGCAGCACAATTCATGAAAGTAAAAATATGGAACCAGCCTAAATTCCCATCAACCAATGAGTGGATAAAGAAAATGTGGTATGTACATGTACCATGAAATGCTACTCAGCCATAAAAAAAAGAATGAAATAATGACATTCACAGCAACTTGGATTGAGTTGGAAACCATTATTCTAAGTGAAGTAACTCAGGAATGGAAAAACAAACACCATGAATTATCACTTCTAAGTGGGAGTTAAGGTAGGATGCAAAGGCCTAAGAATGATATAAAGGACTGTGGGGACTTTAGGGGAGTGGTGAGAGAGAAGTGAGTGATAAAAGCCTACACATTGGGTTCAGTGTACCCTGCTCGCATGCAACAAAATCTCAAAATCACCACTAAAGAACTTATCCATGTAACCAAACACCACCTTTTCCCCCCAGAACTACTGAAATAATCATAATTAGAAGAAAAGAAAAACAATTGCAAAAAAAAAAAAAAACTGCACAAACACATAAAAACTTCCTGCCTTAACTTTGTCCACCTACTTAATAACTTTTTCTATTTCAGTTTCTATTTACATTGTTTCTATTCGTATTTATATTTACATTCATATTTATATTTTATTGTCTATGTCGTGAAAAGTTTTTGCAGGTATTGTTTTAGATTCGTTTATCACTTAGTCTTTTTATTTAGGATAAGAGTAGTTTACACCTTCCATTTACATTTTTATAATATTTTTTGTTTTTCTGTGTATACTGTTACCAGTGTGTCTTCTACCTTCAGGTGTTTACTGATTGCTCATTAACATCCTTTCCTTTCTGATTGAAGTATTTCCTTTAGCATTTCTTGTAGGAAAGGTCTGGTGTTGAAGAAATCTCTCATTTTTTTTTAAATTTCTCTAAGAATGTCTTTATCCTTTTTGTTTGAAAGATATTTCACCAGATATGCTATTCTAGGGTAAAAATGTTTTTCTTTCAGCACTTCAAATATGTCATGCCACTCTCGCCTGGCCTATGAAGTTTCTACTGAAAAGTCGGTTGCCAGATGTATTGGAGCTCTATTGTATGATATTGGTTTCTTTTCTCTTTCTGCTTTTAGAATCCTTTCTTTATCTTTAAATTTTGGTATTTTGATTATTAAATGCCTTGAGACAGTCTTCTTTGGGTTAAATCTGCTTGGTGTTCTATAACTTTCTTGTACTTGGATATTGACACCTTTCTCTAGGTCTGGGAAGTTCTTTGTTATTATCCCTTTGAATAAAATGTCTATTCCTATTTCTTTCTCTACCTCCTTATTAGGGCCAGTAACTTTTAGATTTGTCCTTTTGGGGATATTTTCTAGATCCTGTAGGTGTGCTTCATTGTTTTTGTTTGTTTGTTTTCTCTGTGTAGATTTAAATAGCCTGTCTTCAAGATCACTAATTCTCTTTTCTGCTTCATCAATTATGGTATTAAGACTCCAATGCATTCTTTAGTATGCCAGTTGCATTTTTCAGCTCAAGAATTTCTGCTTGATTCTTTTAAATTATTTTGATCTCTTTGTTAAATCTATCTGATAGAATTCTAAATTCCTTCTGCATGTCATCTTAAATTTCTTTGAATTTCTTCCATGTGCTATTTGAAATTCTCATCTGAAAGGTCACATATATCTGTTTCTCCAGGATTGTTCCCTGGTGCCTTATCTAGTTTATTTGGTGAGGTCATGTTTTCTGGAATGACGTTTTTGCTAGTAGATATTCCTTAGTGTATGGGCATTGAAGAGTTAGTTATTTACTGTAGTCTTCACTGTCTGGGCTTGTTTGTACTGAGGTATTTATTGTAATATTCACTGTTTGGACTTCTTTGCATCTGTTCTTCAGAAGGCTTTTCAGATATTTGGAAAGTCTTGGGCATTGTGACCTAAGCTGTTTCTGCTTTAGGGGGCATCCCAGTGCCAGTAAGCACTGTTATTCTTTCTGGTCTTTAATAAGATCTGGGAGAATTCTCTGAGTTAGCAGCAAGAGACTTTCATTCTTTCCCCTTTCTCCCAAATGAATGAGCCAACTAAAGCTGGGGTAGAGTGGCCCAAGCACCCCTGTGGCTACCACCATTATGATTGTGCTGGGTCAGACCTGAATCCAGCATAGCACTGGGTCTTGCCCAAGGCCTAGTGTAATCAATCCCTGGCTACTACCTTTGTTTGCTCAAAGTCCTGGGGTCTACGATAAGCACATGCCAAAACCAGCCAGGCCTGTGCCCTTCCCTTTTTGGTTGGAAAGTTTCCTCTCTGGGCAGGTACAGAGATGCTGTCCCAGAGCCAGGGACTAGAGTCAAACGTCTGCCTGAGAAGTCTACTTGGTGTTCTTTTGTATTGTGACTGGGCTGGCACTCAAACCACAAGTCCTTCCCAGTCTTTCCTCCCCTTTCCAACGGCAGAGGAACCTCATCTCATGACCCCTGCCACCACAGATCACAGGGAATACTTCCAGAATACTGTGGATATTCTTTTAAGGCCCAAGGGCTCTTCAGTTGGGGTGTGGTGAATGCTGGCCTGACCTGGAACTCACCCTTCAGAGCTATGAGCTACCTTCTGGCCCAGGGTAGGTCCAGAAATGGCATCTGATATGGTTTGGCTGTGTCCCCACCCAAATTTCATCATGAATTGTAGCTTCCACAATTCCCACATGTGGTGGGAGGGACCTGGTGGGAGATAATGGAATCACAGGGACAGTTTTCCCCATTTTGTTCTTGTGGTAGTGAATAAGTCTCATCACATCTGATGATTTTATAAGGGGTTTCCCCCTTCACTTGGCTCTCATTCTCTTTTGTCTGCCACCATATAAGATGTGCCTTTCACCTTCTGCCATGATTGTGAAGCACCCCCCAACCATGTGGAACTATGAGTTCATTACATCTATTTTTCTTTATAAATTACCCAGCCTCAGGTATGTCTTCATTAGCAGTGTGGAAACAGACTAATATAGTAAATTGGTACAAGGTAGTGGGGTGCTGCCATAGAGATACCTGAAAATGTGGAATCGACTTTGGAAGTGGATAACAGGCAAAGATTTGAACAGTTTGGAGGGCTCAGAAGAAGACAGGACAATGTGAGAAAGTTTGGAACTTCCTAGAGGCTTGTTGAATGGCTTTGACCAAAATGCTGATAATTATATGGACAATGAAATCCAGACTGATGTAATCTCAGATAAAGATGAGGAACTTGTTGGGAACTGGAGTAAAGATGACTCTTGCTATGTTTTAGCAAAGAGACTGGCAGCATTTTACCCCTGCCCTGGAGATTTGGGGAACTTTGAACTTGAGGGAGGTAATTTAGGGTATCTGGTGGAAGAAATCTCTAAGCAGCAAAACATTCAAGGGTTGACTTGCATGCTGTTAAATACATTCCATTTTAAAAGGGAAACAGAACATAAAAGTTCAGAAAATTTGCAGCCTGACCATGTAATAGAAAAAAAAAATTCTTGTGAGGAGAAATTCAAGCTAGCTGCAGAAGTTTGCATAAGTAATGAGGAGCCAAATGTTTATTGCCAAGACAATGGGGAAAATGTCTCCAGGGCATTTCAGAGACCTTTGTGGCAGCCCCTCCCATCACAGACCCAGAGGCCTAATAGGAAAAAAATGGTTTACTGTGCTAGGCCCAGGGCCTTGCTGCTTTGTGCAGTCTCTGTGCTTGGTCCTTTGTGTTCCAGCCATGGCTAAAAGGGGCCAATGTACAACTCAGGTCATTGCTTCAGAGGGTGCAAGCTCCAAGCCTTGGTGGCTTACCCATAGTGTTGGGCCTATGGGTGTACAGAAGTCAAGAAATAAGGTTTGGAGGCTTCTGCCTAGATTTCAGAGTATGTATGGAAATGCCTGGATGTCCAGGCCACAGGTGTGCTGCAGGGGTGGAGCCTTCATGGAGAACCTCTGCTAGGGCAGTGTAGAAGGGAAATGTGGGGTTGAAGCCCCAACACAGAGTTCCCACTGGGGCACTGCCTAGTGAAGCTGTAAGAAAAGGGCCACCATCCTCCATACTCCATAACGGTAGATCCAACGGCAGCTTGCACTGTCCACCTGGAAAAGCCATAGACACTCAATGCCAGCCCATGAAAGCAGCTAAGAGGAGGGCTCTACCCTGCAAAGCCACAGAAGTGGAGCTGCCCAATGCCAGGGGTGTCCACCTCTTGTATCAGCATGACCTGGAGGTGATACATGGTGTCAAAGGAAATCATTTTGGAACCTTAAGATTTGACTGCCCTGCTGAATTTTAGACTTGCATGGGGCCTGTATTCCCTTACTTTTGGCCAATTCCACCCATTTGGAATGGCTGTATTTACTCAATGCCTGCACCTCCATTGTATCTAGGAAGAAATTAACTTGCTTTTGATTTTACAGGCTTATAGGTGCAAGGGACTTGCCTTGTCTCAGATGAGAGGTCTGACTGCCTGTAGGGTTGGGCAAAAAGAGCCATATTTTTCTTCTTGCAGAGAGCCTATAAACAGATGTGCAAGTAGGAGAGATATCGCTAAATTCTTTTCCTAGCAAGGAATATTAATATGAATACCCTGGGAAAGGAATGCATTCCTGGGGGGAGGTCTATAAACGGCCGCTCTGGGGGTGTCTGTCTTATGCAGGTGAGATAAGGACTGAGATACGCCCTGGTCTCCTGCAATACCCTCAGGCTTGCTAGGGTGGGGAAAAAACTCCACCCTGGTAAATTTGTGGTCAGACTGGTTCTCTGCTCTCGAACCCTGTTTTCTGTTGTCACGATGTTTATCAAGACAATACGTGCACCGCTGAACATAGACCCTTATCGGTAGTTCTGCTTTTGCCCTTTGCCTTGTGGTCTTTGTTGGACCCTTATCAGTAGTTCTCCTTTTTGCCCTTTGAAGCATGTGATCTACTCCCTGTTCTTACACCCCCTCCCCTTTTGAAACCCTTAATAAAAAACATGCTGGTTTGAGGCTCAGGTGGGCATCACGGTCCTACTGATATGTGATGTCACCCCCAGTGGCCCAGCTGTAAAATTCCTCTCTTTGTACTCTTTTTCTTTATTTCTCAGCCGGCTGACACTTATGGAAAATAGAAAGAACCTACATTGAAATATTGGGGGTGGGTTCCCCCGATAGTCTGGCTGTGTCCCCACCCAAATCTCATCTTGAATTGTAGCTCCCATAATTCCCAGGTGTTGTGGGAGGGACTTGGTGAGAGATAATTGAATAATGGGGGCGGTCTCCTCCATACTGGTCTCATGGTAGTGAATAAATCTCATGAGATCTGATGATTTTCTAAAGGGTTTCCCCTTTGACTTGACTCTCATTCTCTCCTGTCTGCTGTCATGTAAGATGTGCCTTTTGTCTTCCACCATGATTGTGAAACCTCTCCTGTCACATGGAACTGAGTCTATTTAACCTCTTTTTCTTTATAAATTACCCAGTCTTGGGTATATCTTTATTAGCAGCCTGAGAACAGACTAATAAATCATTCAAATGTCCTGTCCTCAAATTACAGAACCCAAGGGCCCACTTGTGCTCTAACCTCCTGACATGGTTTGGCTGTGTCCCCACCCAAATCTCATCTTGAATTCCCACATGTTCTGGGAGGGACCCAGTGGGAGGTAATTGAATCATGGAGGCAAATTTTTCCTGTGCTTTTCTGGTGATGGTGAATAAGTCTCATGAGATTTGATGGTTTTATAAAGAGGAGTTCCCATGCACAAGCTCTCTCTCTCTCTTTGTCTGCCTCCATCCGTGTAAGACATGACATGCTCCTCCTTGCCTTCTGTCATGATTGTGAGGCCTCTCTAACCATGTGGAACTGTAAGTCCATTAAACATCTCTTTTTTTTTTTTTTTGTAAATTGCCCAGTCTCTGGTATGTCTTCATCAGCAGTGTAAAAATGGACTAATACACCTCCTTTGGTCATACTGGTACTTAAGGTGAAAGACAAAGTCCCCTTTACTTTTCTGTCTGCTTTTCTTTTACCCCATAACCACCAGAGCTGGTAATGTGCTGTGTCTCTTCTGAAGCCAGCATGTCTCAGAGGCTCACCCAAGTCCCTCGACATAGTACCTGGGTATTGCTACCTTTTATTTGGGGCCTAAAGGCTCTCCAGTTAGCAAGTGATGAATGCTGACAGGACTGGTTCTTCCCTCCAAGGCAGCGCGTTTCCTTCTGGCCCAGAGTGTGTCTAGAAATGTCATCCAGGAGCTAGGTCCTGGAATGGGGTCTTCATGACTCTGACCAGTGCCTTATCCTGCTGTGGCTTAGCTGGTATCCAAGATGGAAGACAAAGTCCTCCCCACTCTTCCCTCTCCTCTCCTCAAGTGGAAGGGATGAGCCTTTTTTTGTAGCCAGGAGGTGTGCAGTTTGGGGTTTGATGAGGGGTAGTACCAGCATTCCCTTAGCCGCCTCAGCTGGTGTCTCAGTAGGTCACATGCTCCTCCAGTCCACTATCTCTGGGCCTGGTTCAGTGCTAAGACTCCTCTAGAGTTGCAGTTCTTATTGCCTAGACTGCCTTGCATGTTTACTTGGACACACAGAGCACTGTAGCCTTCGGTGGCAAGGTTTATGGGAACTCAAGTTCAGAATGCTGGGATTAGCATTTCCCCTCTGGCTAGGGCTGGTTTAAATGCTCTCTCAGTGGGCAGGTATTAGCTGACTTTGGTCCACTTTTACTTTCTACTCTAACAGGGCAGCGCTGAGCTCAATGCCTCACAATTGTTGTGCTATCCCTGCCCCAGTGCCCAACATGTGCTCTGCATTACACTGCCATTCCTGGGGGTAGGGAGGAGTGGCATTGGATATTCATGACTGTTTTTCCTACCTTCTCAGTGCTGCTTTCTCTGACACAAAATTAACACCAGGTACGATGAGAGCTCATCTTATTTTTAGTTTTTATAAAGGTGGTTATTTTTGTGTGTAGATAATTGTTAAATTGCTGTTCTTGTTGGGAGGATGATTGGTGGTGCCTTCTAATCTGCCACCTTGCTCTGCCTCTTTCCTAGGCAAGGACTTTAAATCAACTATCTTAAATATGTTCAAGTAGCTAAAGGAAACCAGGAAAACAACGCATGAGCAAAATGAGAATACCAATAATTAGATATTATTTTTAAAAAAGCAACCAAATTGGCATTCTAGTGCCAAAATCTATAATAACTGAAATGAAAAATTCGCTAGAGAAGTGCAACAGCATATTTGAGCATGTATAATAAAGAATCAGTGCACTAGAAGATTGAGCATTTGAAATTACCACATTTGAAAGGCAGAAATAAAAGAATGAAGAAAAATTAACAAAACCTAAAGAACTTGTGTAACACTATCAAGTAAACCATAATACCCATTATTGTAGTCCTGAAAGAAGAGAAAAGGAGGCAGAAAGAAATATTGAAAACATAATGGCAACTTCTTAAATTGGTGGATTACCTGCATCTACACATCCAAAATCCCCAATGAACCATAATTATGATAAAAATACAAAAGTTTTTTACAGAAATACATTATAATAAAAGTGTCAAAACCCAAGGACAAAGATAAAATCTTGAAAGTCGCCAGAGAGAGGAACCTTGTCATGTGGATCATCAGTAAGATTGAGAGCAAATGTCTCAGCAGAAACCATGGTGGCCATAAGGTAGTAGGATAACTTGTTGAAAATACCTGAAGAAAATTAACAAATAAAAACAATAATAACAACAATTAAAAATACCTTTCAAATGAACATTTTATAGCAGGCAACACCCTCCTTTAAAAATAATAAAGTTATGACATTGCCAGGTAATCAAAAGCTGAGAGAATCTGGTACCAAGTAGACCTGCCACACAAGAAATGGTAAAGATAATCCTTCAGGTTGAAGTAAAAGGGCAGTAGGCAATAACTTGATGTTGTACAAACAAATAAAGATATCTGAAAAAAAAGTAACTACATAGGTAAATATAAAAACTATTATTATTAAATTTCTGGTTGGTTATCCCATTTTTTATTGTCTGCATGATTTCAAAGACAAATGCATAAAAATAAGTACAAATCTATGTGATAGGACATAAAACATATAAAGATGTAGTCTGTGACAGTAACAGCACAATAGAGGAAGTGTGGAGTTATCCAGCAGCATATTTGTTGCATGCTATTCCATTTCTGCCTCCTCAAGTCAGTGAAACTGCCAGGCTCCTTTTGGGATAATCTTTCCAGTTCCATGGCCTGGCACATGCCTCCAGGCCAAAACGTGGGATGTTAGGAGGGCTTACGTTCATTTTCCTTTCCTAATGTATCACAGATTTTTACTACATTTTATCCAATACCTGAAAATAATGGCTTTATGTATTTCATCCCATTTTATAATTGTTAATAGTGCATCGCTATTCTACTGCAGTGTGTATAGCAAGTTTTTTCTCTTTTTTAACATATATACATATATATGTGTGTGTGTATTTGTATGTATATATGTATACATATTTGAAATGCACCAGAAAATTTAGTAATAGCTTAGAAAATATGAGGTCTTTTGACCCTTTGCTTTTTAAATTTATCTATTTTTAATATACGATTAATATAGCTATCTCACATAATGTTCAATTTGAAATAAGTAGCCAGTGCTGCATTTTTGAAATTTCTAGAAGACATTTAGCAAAATGACTTTTAAAATTATTTTAAATCATTTTTGATAATTCAAATTCTATTTTATTTTGATGAACAATTGACTACAATTCTATTCCCAAGTCTAAAACTGTCCCTCAAGTTTTGAATTTTTGCTACTTTTTGCTTCACTTTAAGAAACAACTTCCACAAACCTTCTTGAGGTTGTGGCATCTGTAAACATCAAAGACCTAATTAAAATTCAATTGTAACTTTTGCCAGTTTGCATTTTTCTTATCTTTTATGCAATTTGAATCATACTGTGCATACATATATTAAAAAATCCATATTATGAGAAAACACACGTTTGTTGTGGAGATTACTTTTTCAAAAGGCAGTGTCTGGCAGCTGCAGGCACTCACGCTTTTTGCGCCATTCACACAGTAATTTTGCTCTCATCAGAAATACAAAGCTTGACTGGAAAAAAATTAGCCTGGTTATTCTATAAGCCTATCAGGAATTATGCTTGTAAAGGAATGTTTCCCTTAAAAGCAGGTGCTAATTGTAAAGTTAATTATTTTTACATTTTTTAAAGATTTTTCTTAAAAGACAATTATATACCTAATAGAAGTCAATGCATATTATTGTTTCACCCAATGTATTTGAACCGAGTTCTTACTCGGTGCCACCTACTATGCTAAACACTGGGGGTGTTATAGAATGTAGATCACAATCAATTCTTGCTTTCACAGGATTTAGTTCAGAGAGTAGTAGGGATAATCAGATGGATAAATAATAAAGAAGTCAACCTGATAAGTGATTCAATATAAGAAGCTCTGGAAGCCAGTGAGCACAGAGGGGAAAAATACCAATGCTAATTTGGGGAATCAGGTAAGGCTTCCTAGAGAAGGGGACCGCTGATCTGAGATCAGAAGCATGAGATGTTAGAAATCAAATAATATTACATACAGAAAGTGAAAATGTTTCAGCCAAAGAAGGTAGCATATTCAATGTATTGGAAGTGTAGAGAAGCAAAATATGTTTGGGGGAAATGCAAATGTCACTCTGTAAAAGAGGCATGAATACTGTGATTGAAAAATGATGGGGAATCAAGCTGAAAAATGTCAAGGCCCAAATCATGAATGATTCTTTATAGTACATGAAGGAGTTTAGGCTTTTTATATAGGCAGTGAGGAACATTGTGTGATTTTCAGAAGGGAAGTGATTTGTTCTGAACTATATCATAATTCAAAAATGATGACAGGTGAATAGAAAAATGCATTAAGAGTAGAGATAATGGAACAGGGGCAAGAGGCGTTAAATTGAAATAATTGATTTTTAAAAATTCCTACTGGGTGTGGAAAGTAAGAAAGAGGGAGTATCTATAATGACATCCGGGTTATTCACTTGGATTACCAGATACATAGTCTTGTCATTCACCAATTTTTAACACAGGAAGAGAGCCAGTTTCATGTGAAAGAGATTATGGCTTGAACTTAGCCATTTTAAGGTATTTATGGGATATTCAAATGGAGCTGTGCCTTAAGTTTTCAGGAGTCTTGAGGTTAGTACAGGAGCTGGACTGTGCACGGATGTTTGAAGTAGGTCACAATGTGTTTGTTAATCAAAGTCATTGGAAGTGTGGTATTATTTTGGGAATATGTAGAATACAAGTTAAGAGGACAAGAACTGAACCCTAAAACAATTACAACATGTAAAGTATATTCAGTGGAAAGCAGGAGTTCATTTTTAAAAGAAATGAAGATTTTTAAAAAGGCCTCATTTATTTATTGCCTTGGTCTCATTCATTTGCCTTCTTTACTTCCCATAGACAGCCAATATCATGATTTGTCCACGTATTCTTTTATTGCACTGTATTTTCTAGTTTTTCCAATTTAAAAAAATTGTTTCAAATGTATTGTTCTGAAACTTTCCTTTTTGCACATGGTGGTTTCACCATTTATTTTTGTTAACACATACAGACATAGTTTATTTACTTTTATTGTACAAATACATGACAATTTAACTAACCACTTTTTATCATGGTTTCCCGTTTTTCACTCCCAAGAATTAAGCCTAAATGTCTTTGTGCCATTTCTTTTTATATATATGCAAGGCTTTGGTTTCTGGGGAATACAATTAGAAATAGGTTTCTTGAGTCATGAGGTATATGTATTTTAAATGTTACTTGCTATTGGATTTTTTTCTAAATACTCTATGCCAATTTATTTACATTCATACCAGTTACCATTTTCTAAATACCTTTAAAAAGTCGTTTAGAAGACATTTATGCAGCCAAAAAACAGATGAAAAAATGCTCATCATCACTGGCCGTCAGAGAAATGCAAATCAAAACCACAATGAGATACCACCTCACACCAGTTAGAATGGCAATCATTAAAAAGTCAGGAAACAACAGGTGCTGGAGAGGATGTGGAGAAATAGGAACACTCTTACACTGTTGGTGGGACTGTGAACTAGTTCAACCACTGTGGAAGTCAGTGTGGCGATTCCTCAGGGATCTAGAACTAGAAATACCATTTGACCCAGCCATCCCATTACTGGGTATATACCCAAAGGATTATAAATCATGCTGCTATAAAGACACATGCACACGTATGTTTATTGTGGCACTATTCACAATGGCTAAGACTTGGAACCAACCCAAATGTCCAACAATGATAGACTGGATTAAGAAAATGTGGCACATATACACCATGGAATACTATGCAGCCATAAAAAATGATGAGTCCATGTCCTTTGTAGGGACATGGGTGAAGCTGGAAACCATCATTCTCAGCAAACTATCACAAGGACAAAAAACCAAACACCGCATGTTTCTCACTCATAGGTGGGAATTGAACAAAGAGAACACATGGACACAGGAAGGGGAACATCACCCACTGGGGACTGTTGTGGGGTGGGGGGAAGGGGGAGGGGGAAGGGATAGCATTAGGAGATATACCTAATGCTAAATGACGAGTTAATGGGTGCAGCACACCAACATGGCACATGTATACATATGTAACAAACCTGCACATTGTACACATGTACCCTGAAACTTGAAGTATAATAATAATAATAAAAAAAGTTGTTTAGGTCCAACTTTAATATTGGCCAATCTAATGAGAGTAAAATTTCTCATTTTAATTTTTAGTTAACATTTACTTAATTGTTATAAGATTGATGATCTTTTATACATTTAATGATATTTATTTACTCTCTGTTTAACTGTTTCTGTCATCAATTCATCTTGTTTGTCCTTTAGATATTTTAAATACTGATTGTTTTGTTATACATTTATTGCAAATACTTTCTCCCAGCCTGTGGTAATGTTTAACTTTTTTATGGTATATTTCTTGGGGGGTGGGGGTAGACTTGTTATAAGAACTTATTTTGTTTTCCAAGGTCAAGTATATGTGTTATATATTTTTATTTAATTGCTTAAAATCTTTTTGTCTTATGTAGTTCTGGGATCACTCTATAATTTATTGTTCACATGTAAAGTGACAAAATTTTATTTTTCTCATGTAGATAATCTATTGTCTTAACACCAAATTCACAAATTTGTCTGGATGTGATTCTGGGCTCTCTATTCTGCTCTATTTATTTACGTAACTATCTTTGTATCAGTTCTACAGTGTCTTAATTGTTGTAGTTGGATGGTAATTCTGTATATATGGTGTAGAAAACCTCTCCTCTTTGTTGCTCCCCATCTCAGAAATTTGTGAGATGGCCTTTATATTATAAATGACATTATGGTTTTCTGAAGAAATGCAATACGGTTCATACCTAAAACTCACAAGACATTGCAAAAGTATTTCAGAAGTTAAAACAAGCTTTTCAACAGTTAAATAGTATTTTACAGAACAGCAAGCTTTGTTCACATGAAGTTGATCATGGCAGTCAATACCAGCAGTACGCTTACTATGTGTCAGGTCATTTGATGAGAGCCTTGAACATACTATCTCTTTTAAACTTCACAATGACACTATTTGACACTAATCTCCCATTTTACAGATTTTTTTTTTTTTTTTTGAGACAGAGTCTTGCTCTGTCGCCCAGGCTAGAGTGCAGTGGCGCGATCTTGGCTCACTGCCAGCTCCGCCTCCCAGGTTCACGCCATTCTCCTGCCTCAGCCTCCCAAGTAGCTGGGACTACAGGTGCCCGCCACCACGCCCTGCTAATTCTTTGTATTTTTAGTAGAGACGGGGTTTCACCGTGGTAGCCAGGATGGTCTCGATCTCCTGACCTCGTGATCTGCCCTCCTTGGCCTCCCAAAGTGCTGGGATTACAGGCGTGAGCCACCGAGCCTGGCCTTTACAGATTTTTTTGAGTCAACTCTAGTCACCTGTAGCCAGTGGTGGAACTGCTTATCTACTACATTCAAAGCCTGTAAAGTTATTGAGCACATGTTACTCTGTTGAGCCAATGGTGTGCTGCTGGGCTTCCAGAATTTCAGCACTATTACTCTAGGAGTCTTTATAGTCACTTTTTGAAAACCTTACTCTTTTGGCCTTCCTGGGGCTGACCGCTTTGACTCAAAGCATGTAATTTGTTGCAGAAAACCAGAATTACAAAACTACTGCGAGAAGTCTAGCACAGTAAAACAAGGGCAGAGTCACTCAAGAAGACTACTTTCAAGAATTCTGATTTACTCATTTTGGTGGAGACAAAGTAGGTTATTGCACTGTAGGCAAACCACATGCATCTCTAATGTTGATCAAATGTCATTACTAGATGCATGTAAACATGACACATAGTGTACCATACTTTCCCTCCCTATGCAACGGTTTTGACCAAAAGCTTTTAGAGCATGCCCCATATTTTCTGTGGAATTTCTGTCTTATTGTATGTATTTTTCTCTGAAAAGATAGCCAGAATAATTCGTGAAATTAGTCTGACTTTATTTTGATGTCTAAGAAATAAATACACATACATTATTCATCTCAAAATAGTATATTTCAAGATCTGCTTGTCTGTTAATGCATCTGAGAAATAGTGCTCTAACAAAGCTATTAGAACAATGGTTTTATCAGTCTATTTTTTTTAATAAAAACAAAAGTGGCCAAGAGACAGAAAAAGAGAGGTGGAGAGAGGTTGCAGTGTTTTTTAAGAAACATCAACAATGGATCACTTTAGATTTATGGACCCAATTCCCAGAGACCTATAACTAGATAAAGTTAGACTTATCATCTACTTCAGACTTCTGCATGGTCTTCTCAGGAGCTGAAATGGTATGTGAAAAATTGGTTCAAGAGAAATATAGCTGCAAACCATCTTACTCAGAATATACCTATCGAAGTAGCTTTATTTTGTAGAAAGAAGTGAGGTGTATAATAGGACTTATATCAAGAAAGAATTGACTGTAGGAATTTTAAAAATAGATTTTTGAGTCAAGCAGTGCTTCTAGCAGTGTGATCCCTTGACCACCTGGATTGTAATGGCCTGAGAAGGAATGTTGAAAAGGAAGATTTCTGGATCTTTAACACCTTAGGTCATTTTGAGGCATATTGAAGTTTAAGAACAGCATCTAAATTAGAAAGTCATATACACATTGGACTATCATTGCATAAATGGTTTTCCAGTACACTATTATAGAGCCTTCCTCCCCTATTTTTGTTTTTCAATAGCAGATCCCCTGTGCAACTTTCAGAGAAACCTGAGCTTCAGTGGGGAATAAATTATCCCCAAGACAAAGAAAGAGACAGCCTTGATTTTTGCCTTGCCCATACCCTTCCAGACCACACAACTGGCTCTGCTTATATAATTGATATTTTAGGGATATCAGTCTGATATTTAAAATTTCGTTTTTCTTGTGATAATATTAGAGGATTATTTACAGACCTACCAATTTTATAATAATCCCATGAAGTCCACTAGGTAATTTCTTGTGAATCTAGACCAAAATAAAGGTGTGTTAGCAGGTAAAATGCAAGGCATGCTCATTACATCTGAGATCAGAGAGATCAGAAAGCAGTGAAAAAATTGTCAGAGCAAACTTGTTTTGTGTTTAATTAATCATATCCTTATATTACATTTAAGTTTTATTCTCCATACATGTTGTTAATATTGTTGCTTCCTTAGTCAAAAATAGAAATACAGGTTAATAATAGGGTTAAGCTACAGCATGCAGTCACTATTTGATTTGGTGTGTGTGTGTGTGTGTCTGTGTGTGTGTGTTTGTGTGCTTGCACATGTATGCATATGGTGAGAAAGTGGGAAAGGAGTGTGTTTATCTTTACGTGGATGGTGAAGTAGAGATTTCCAGATGCTTGGTGTGCATCATGATGGTTTCAGTGAGCTGTGGGCCTTCAGGAGTGACAGCTAGTACCCATAGAATTCTATCTGCATTATCTAATTACAGTATTTGCATGTTGAGGCTGGATTAGATGCGGAGTCCATCTCATCTCTGACTCATCAGCATCTTGAGTGGGAAGAGAGGCAGGTTAGCTGTGAAGCGCATGCAGCTTAAGCTTCACAGACTCTTAGACCGGCCCTGTGAGTTCTGGATGTTGTTGGGAGCTGCAGAGTGTTCTGCATTGAAAGGAGAATGCAAGTGGCAATCAGGAAGCACTTTCAAGCAAGCATTTCTGATAAACAGCCTAAAGCGATTTTTGAATTTTCAAACATCAGTAATTTCTTTATTTTAAATAAATGACCACATTCATACTTATTTCTTATTTGTGCCCTTGTTTTCTTTTTTTTTTTTTCCTGGTGTGCTTTATTTCTTTTTTTAAATTTCTTTATTATACTTTAAGTTTTAGTGTACATGTGCACAACGTGCAGGTTTGTTACATATGTATACATGTGCCATGTTGGTGTGCTGCACCCATTAACTCGTCGTTTAACATTAGGTATATCTCCAAATGCTATCCCTCCCCCCTCCCGCCACCCCACAACACGCTCCGGTGTGTGATGTTCCCCTTCCTGTGTCCGTGTGTTCTCATTGTTCAATTCCCACCTATGAGTGAGAACATGCGGTGTTTGGTTTTTTGTCCTTGCGATAGTTTGCTGAGAATGATGGTTTCCAGCTTCATCCATGTCCCTACAAAGGACATGAGCTCATCATTTTTTTATGGCTGCATAGTATTCCATCGTGTATATGTACCACATTTTCTTAATCCAGTCTATCGTTGTTGGACATTTGGGTTGGTTCCAAGTCTTCGCTATTGTGAATAGTGCCGCAATAAACATACATGTGCATGTGTCTTGTATAGCAGCATGATTTATAATCCTTCGGGTATATAAAATCTAAGAGATTATTTAAGATTTGGGCCCCATAAAAATGGGATTTTCCCATAAATAACAGGTTATAGTTGAAAGAATGAATTCGATAGATTGAGGTTCAAATACAAGCTCTAACAGTTACAAATTGTATGTCTTTGTGCATATCATGGAGTGTCTTTAAGCTTCCTTAATTTTGATGAGGATAGTGCCCCCTCAAATAATACTTTTGAAGTGTATGAAGTGTGTGCATATAGTGCATGAAACACCAATTAGGGAGGCCAGTGAGTGGCAGTGAAGGTCATAGCATTCTCACAAAGGAAAGTGATAGCCACATTGTAGCAACTTAATAGAAAGGACATGACTGGCACAGGAAAACCACCATGACTTGACAAATAACAAATAAATGTCGCAAGTGACCAGGATCCTGAAATACAGAGCCACAAAATACAAAACCACCCATGCCTTGACAAATAAATGTCACAAGTGACCAGGATCCTGAAATACTAGATCCACAGCACCTAGAACATGGGTAGCACATGCAGTAGGTGCTTAATGAATAGTGTTGAATGGTTATGAATGGCTATGAAGGAAACCTTATTACACCAATTTTCTTATATAAAGGTATACTTGAGCCTAAGCTATCAGAGAAACACTTCGACTAATTAGCTTCATCCCCATTCATGAGCAGTTATTTGTAATTGTATAGGTTTCTTGAAAATGTATACGTCTATGCAGGTATTTCTATCAAAACCATGTAAATGTGTAAATAACTTTTAAAATATTCAGAGTTTGTTTTGGATACAAAATACATAAAGCCACATATATCAAAATATATTTAGATGCTTTGCATTTGCCGACATACCCGCTATTCATGTCATGTGTCTTCCATGAGATCTTTGAGAAGACAGGTCTTACTGCATTTTATCTTTTGCTTATTTTCATCTCTCTTAAAATTCTTTCTCATCCAACTTTGAGGTGTGCTTAGTGAATGACTTTGATTTTTTCAGTATCGGAGAAGTGAGAGCAAGAAAGGAACCAACACTGATGAAACACCTTTTCTGTGATAAGCACATTACAGACACAATTCACCCTCACCGCAGCCTTGTGAGCTGGGTTTTATAAAAGGTTACATATTTTCCTGTTATAAAAGAATCGAATCAATAATAAGAAAATCAGCTTTATTAAAGTAAGAAGTCTACTAAAAGAACACTTTTTAAGATAAGAGAAGGCAGAAAAAAGACCCAAGTCAAAAAAGGAGGTGAGGATTGAAAATAAAAAGACTGGTCCAGTTAGAATGTGAGGTCTTGAGACTCAGAAAGTGGTAAAATATGAGGTATATGGCAGGTCAAGTGGATCTTGAATATATGCTAAGAGTCAGACAAGAGGTTTTTCCCTTCCCCTGCAACTTGGGCCTCATCAGACTATTTTTCATCCTTCTAGCACATTATGCTTTAGATTCCTATGATCACACAGCTCATTCTACATGTAGTTAATTTTTAAAATTTCTTTGCATTTTGAGAACTTATTCACCCTTCAGCGTTCTAGTCAATTGCTACGTGTTCTCCAAAGATTTCCTCGATGTCACTAAGCACTTATTCAGTGTCTGTTCTGTGATCTCTGTGAACATTTAATTTACAGCTATTTTAACCCACACGTCAGCTGGCAAGTCATTGGCAATAGTTACAGACATGCCTATGACCACAGGCACCACGTAAAAGTGCTTTTCTCCTCAATACAGATTCAGGGAATGGCTTCAAGTTTTATCTCCGACCACTGCCCTAAACACCCAAGGTTTAGCCTTCTGTTTCTTTCTCCTCATCCTTAGGTTCTTGACCAGTTTGACTTCAAATTTTGAGCTTTCATTCTTCTTGTTTCGCCATGTAGAGATTTGGTGTTCCTGTATTATACTGTTTACCTTTACATTGACCTAGTAACTCAATAGGATGCATCTCTTCCTGAGGTCCATGCCTGACAACGTGCTTTATCTCTAGTTTAGGCTCCTGAGATTCTGTAAGCTAAGTCTCAGGGGCCTTCTCTGAACAAGAAAAGAGATTAGGCATGGAATTCATAATACTCAATAAAAAATTACTAATTGATAGTGTAAAATAAATTAAATTTCAGTTGTTAATTATTTTCTTACAATCCTTGATTTTCAGAAATGCCAAAAATGGAAATATGAATATATTGATATATGTTATAATATATGTTGAACGAATTTGTGCAACTAGAAACAAATCCATTTTGAACTGTTGTTAAAATCTTTTAAAAAGCGTTTACTTAAATGCATTTTTATTCTAAATCTATAACCATAGTAGAGTGGCTTTTCAATTTAGCAGCCACACTGGAACAGCTGGTCAGCTGGAGTATTTTCCTGAAGAGTTGTGATTTGAGAAAACTAAAGAATGACTAAATGAAGCAAGAGTAATCTCTTTTATAAATTTTTATTCTGCTCATTAAACATTCATGGACCCAAAGTCAACATGCCAGCAAAGCGCCTTGTCCATTTCTTTTACATGACCGCATCCAAATGTGGGTGAGCTTTACTACCTTAGAAACAAATTGCTCCCCTTATCTGAGCAACCCTAAGAATATCCAGCAACTATGAAATACATCTAAAATACTGTCAAGAAGAAGACATGATGCTTTTCTTGATTCACAGGATTAAGAAGGTCATGTGTTTATAGACCTTCACTCTAGAAAAAAAACAATTGTATAAACTTTCTCTATTGTACTGTAACTAGGCCAGTCAGAAGATTCTGATTGGGCTTCCTAACAACTGGAAGCCACGCTAAAAGAACAGCATGTATAGCAAGTAAGAAAATATGTTACTAACTCAGCTATTGAATTAGTAATGAGGGAAATGACTTTGCAAATGTAGATTGCTGAAGTTACAAAATGACTTTTTAGGCAAAGGCAAGTTATAATTTTCTGATTCTTAGAAGGCTTAAAGATATATTTGTCCCAAGGTCTTTTTGGGTATTACCATTTTGTTAATGTGTTTCTCCCCTTGGGCGAGTGATTAAACCAAGTATATACTTTTATATCCATAGCTACTTTAAAACAAAACAAAACCAAAAAAAAAAATGCTGCTATAATTCTGGTCTTTAGATTCTCTTCACTCTTTTAATTTTGCAGTGCTTTGACAAACCAACAACTGTGCTGTCAAGTTTAGAATTTAAATAGACTTTCACAAAAATCTTCACGCACACCAGCTGTAATGTCAGCAACCAGCTCCATCTTTATTTTCCGTCTTTTAACAGAAAGCATAGACTCAAGATGGCTCTTGCCAGCCACAGCTTGAGAGGTAGGCTGTACGGGCGGTGCTTCCCATCTGTGCAAAGCCAAACAGAATCACAAGACAGAATGTGTGGCGGAAGAAGCATCTACATTCTCCAAGAAGTTGGATTGATACTACTTTTGGGGAAAAGATTGTTATTGTTTTATAATTGTCCTTGTTATGTAATGCAATTTTATGACACACCGTTCAGTCACTGAGCACAAACACATACTGATAAAAGCAAAAGCTGAAATCAGTCCTTTTCGGAATTTGGAACATTTGTGGAAATTCCAAAGGGTCATACTTCTTCACTGGCCTGGTGAAGGCACAAAGGAAGACAAACAGAAAACACGGAAACATTGAGAGGGTGACAAACCTACAATCCACTGCTGGATGAAGTTTGCCGAAGGAAAGGATACAAAAAGACAGGAGTGCAAAAAGAATTGAGGAAATAAAGGAGATACAATAGTGAGAGGAAATTCGAAATTGCCAGTGATGTAAAAGGCCTTTTGAGAAACTCAATTAGAAAAACACAGAACAAATGAATACATTTATAAATGTTGAAGAGGAAAATTGAAACAAAGCCTTGAAAAGGCAAAAGATTATACACAGACTTTTGTACTGAGAGAAGGGGGAGACTGAAAAACATTAAAATAGGTGGAGCATCCCCATTTATACTTGTAGAAATACCTTTTAGCTTGGTACATAGTAGAGAACAAGAAATTGGTGGTTATATGGATGCAGTATCGCTGCCAAATTGTTCTCTGCAGGATAGTCACTCGTAGCTGATTCTCGGCTACCTTCTCTGCATCCTACTCATAGGCCTGCAAACTTCTGTTTCTGTTAAAAGTTTATTTTCATTGGGAAGCTATGGTATGGGTTATCTTCTTTCTAATAATAGTTCCTAAATGCTTTAGTATAGAACTGGGATGTCCAGTATGGTAACCACCAGCAATGCGTTCCTCTTGAGCACTTGAAATATGGCTAGTCCAAATTGAAATGAACCATAAGTGTAAAATATGCAGTGGATTTTGAAGGCAGTATAAGAATAAGAAGATAAAATATCGTATTTATGCTTTTTACATTGATAAGTTTGAAATTATCACATTTTGATATCAAATAAATTATTACTAAATTAATCGCACTAGTTTTATTTTCTTGTTTTAATGAGGCCACTAGAAAATTTTAAATTTTTGTGTTGCTCGTATTCGTGGAATGCATACTACTATTGAATGGTGCTGGTACAGAATGTAAGGAAAGGAGAATTTCACATTTCTGTAAAGCATGGGCCCTATTCTAATTCAGATGTTACATCCTTGATGTAAAATACAGCATGTTCTTTATTGACATGGTTTTACCCAGGGGAACACAAATTAGAAAACAGTTATTTTGTGAAATCAAATACAATCATTTTTGTAGCAAGAAGATCTTTCATTTATTGAAGTGTCATTACTCAAGTGTATATTGTAAAGCCAACAAAAGAGGGAAGGGCTAAAAGTAAACTCTTTCATTTCATTCACTCGTAGCAGGTTTATCTTGACATCTTCATTGTGAATTTGGCCTTTCTGTGTCATCTATTTTTTTCTTTCTAACTGGCAATGTCTGCTGAATGGGGCATAGCAATAATCATTAAGCTTTGATTAAAATGTGGGACTGAGCTCATTAGGAACTGTACATTTCAAATTCATCCAGATTTGCCCCAAATGACATGAGCAAACAGGTCTGAAGGATTTGTTGAAAAATCTGTTCAGGAGTTGGTTTATGGGCAGTGTCTTACTTTAGCTGTGTACATCTGTATTCATTGATAGCATTCCTGAGTGTTGCTAGGATAAAATTGAAAGAATAACATTATCTTTGTAGTGACATCCTAGTGTATCATATACATTTTATATTTTTGTGAACCAAGAACCATGCTGTCAATGATATGGAAAACCTAGAGCTTTGCCATTTTTCACATGCAAGAAAATTGTTTCCTTGTAAAGCTCACAATACCTTTGAATTCAACGTGAGACTTTTTATACAGAATGCGTCTTCTAACTATATACATATTTTCATGAAGATGCTCACCCCCCAGGCACAAAAGTAGATAAATGTATGAAAAGTTATTTGCATACAACTAATATTTAATTTGCCTTTACTAGTGGAGGATGCACTGTGGGATACCAAGAATAGAGGTCTTCATGAAATTTATAATGTAGTTGGAGAAATCTACTTTATGCCCATGGAAAATTAATTATTAGTATTGGCTATAAATGCTGAGAACAAAATGGATATTTCAGGAGAGAAGCACTGCTAGAGGTCACAGGAAAGTGAATTCGTTAACAAGACAATGTGTGGTAGTAAAATTGAATGAGAATCTTGAGTCTAGAGATCTGGGATTAAGTTAGGGCTCCATTGCTTCGAAATATGAGAAGACCTCACTTCCCTTAGCATAGGTACCCAAGGCTGTTTGTCCTTTGAATGTATCCTTCTATAATAATATTCTGCTGGACACTTTTCAGATCATTTTACTTCTTAAAGTATCACTAATTGAAGGTTATGTGTGTGGCAGACTTTACTAAATACTAGAGAGTAGAGACAAGATACATATCAGAGGAAAACCATAAAATACATAATAATCAACATTAATTACCCTCTACTTGTAAAGTCCTCTGACCTTTTTCAAAGGTTATTTTTAAAATTTATTCTTTGGATACAGCATCTGATCATATTGTTAGCCTCTCTTCTGTCTTCCCCTCAAGTTCTTCCTTCTCTTACCTATTAAGTTTTCCATTCCCATTCCCAAAGTCTCCTCATTTCTATGTCAGAGCAATTTAGTTCTACTTTTGACTCCTCCTTAGCCCGTCCTAGCCTTAATCCTGGAGAAGTGTGTGTTCGGGTGGGTGGCAGAGGGGAAATAGCAATAGAACTAAAAAGGCAAACAAAGCATGTTTGCCAATGATGGTTCTCAGCATTCTGCAGTCATCTTTTACACACACAATTTTCTTTACCCCCAAAGCGGTAAATGACACAACTTTGGTTTTAAATACTGTACATGATTGGATTCTTCAGTCAGTTTAATTGAATGGCACTTCACTTAACCCATGAAGTTAACATAAATGGTGGTCACAAAGTTTAGTAGAAAAGGATCACACTTTCTAGGCTTTTTTTCTTCTTCTGTCATTCTATTCCATGATTTGCATAGTTCCCATCATCCTTTGCAATCAAGATATAGACTAAAGTGCATTGAAAAGGTCTTCTTCTTGATTCCAATCCAAATGGAAAATTTCTATATAATTCTTCCCTAGAGATTTCTAAATTAAAACTTACTCTAGGACATTCACCAGCTGTGCCTACTAGTGTTATCCAAGTCCCAACTTCTTTGATTGTTTTACCTTGTCATGGGATCAGAAGTTGGATGTCAAAATTGCTTCCTTTAGTCAGTTTGAATAGAGAAGGCAATATAAATTTATAGTACTTTTGCCCATTATTTTTCTCTTTCCCAAGAAATCTCATTTAATAATCACAACAATTCTATAATGTTGGACCTTTGATTAGTCACATTTTACTAATGAAGAAATCGAAGCTCTGAGCAGTATTTAGTGTCACACAACTGGTAGGTGGAAGAGCCAGAATTCAAAATCAGGTGTGTCTGAATGCAGAGCCCATACTCATTAATTCTGCCTGTCACTGGATAAGGTGGGAAAGGCTACATGGGGAAGATGGCATTTGAGCTTGTTTTTGAATAATAATGAGCAGGATTTTGATATATGGGGACCACATGCAGATGGAAGCCCAGAGAGAACATTTCAGACTGAGAACACCACAGGAGGAAAGGCATCATCAGGGGATGATGCATGGTAGAAGTCTGTAGTGACACTTCCAGGAAATTAGTTAGCAACAAGATATTTTTCATCATGAACCTAAGATTACTGGTAAGCTATATTTGAATAGCCACTGCCAACTACAGTCTTATATATGATTTTACAGCTTCAGAACTTGGCATATTAAATAACTTCAGGACAGCAGATGAGGCTTATAGCTATTTCTTGTTCATAAAAGATGACACTTTGAGTCATGAGGTGAAGTTAAAAAACAGGATTAGTTAAAATCAGAGAAGCCTAGAAAACACTAAAATTTTAAGGAAAAATTAAATTTTGCTTTATATTAAATTTCATTATAGAGCAAACGAATTAGAGAATTCCAATGTATTTGACAAATATTGCCATATTCCCTTATCTAAATGTACTTGATGTGAGAACAATTTTTTTGACATATCATCATCAACACTGGTTTTAACCAGATGTCATTGTTAATGCATGTCCACTGATATTTTGAACAAAAATGACTAAACTCAAACATTTTATTAATGATTGTGAGCTATCATCATAAACTTCAATCATTTTTCCTGGTTATTATGCAATGATGGTTTGTCTTTATATTAAGTAGCCTCAGAAAATATCCTTTACTTTTTTCCATGACATATTTATGATTTTCCTGTATTATTCATACTAGTCAGGCTGTCAGAATGCTCTCTTTACAACCCCCGTCTACGTTCGATCTACTGCAGCTTATTAAAGCTTATTATAATTCTGTCTAATGTTAAACTGGCTCTGAATAAGAGCCTAGAATGTTCCTTCATGAATAAACTTCCTGACATTTCTTTTGGCTACTGAAGGTTTTTGCTTGTTTGTCTGTTTGTTTACATCCGATTTTCATTTGTGTTCTGAATACCTAAGGAAGCTAGGGATGTGGCAGCTGGAATTGTTATAGGTATTCAAAAGTAGAATTGTTACAAATACTTTTAAGAAAAGCTATAGCAGAGAATCCTTTCAAGGAAGGCACAAGAAATAAAGAGAATGACTATTTTATGTGTGTTTCATATTAAATCAGCTCTGAAGCATTATAAAGTAATGTTTTTAAATCATAAATTTAAAAACGTTTAAAAGTCATGAAATAAATATAGAATATGTATCATGTGAAAATAGGAAAACGTAGCACCATATTCCAAAGGTAGTCCAGCACCTTTGGTTAAGAGCATGCACTCAGGAAGCCGACTCACTAGATTTAAAACTGGGCCTCTCTACTTTCTAGCTATGTGACATTGAAAATGTCACTTCACATCTCTAAGTCTCAGATTCCATATCTGTAAAATGGGTTTAATTTAATAGTACTTTTCTCTTAGGCTTATTGGGAAGATGAAATTATTCAATATATATGTGTATGAAACAAATAGAATATCACTTGGTATGTAGTGAATGTACATTTAAATTAAGCCCTTGGAAACCCAAGAGCTGTTTTACATTTTCTTTTGTCTGTCCTTCTAATCTTTAAACAAAGTCTGTTCTATGCAATTTATGTAATTGTAAAACATTATAAGCTCTATGAAGTTAGGGATATTGCCTGTCTTGTTTGTGACTTTAATTTGGTGCCTAGCATAGTGCTTGGGAGAGCGGCAAAAGCCCGGTATATATTTGCTGAACAAATGAATGAATGGATTATGGTTGAAAACTCATTTTAGGTGTACTACAAGATGTTGCTGTTATAGACAGAGTAGAGAAGTTAGTTTTGCTATACCAAAATGTAAAGTGTCAGTGCTGGCACGGCCAGATTCAATTATGATGAACTTGGTGATAAATGCCTTGTTCTTTGGAAGACTATTCCTTGGTATTTAACTTGGCCCGATGATGTGTTAATGCCAAGAGTATGATGAGCTAGCAGCCATATTATAACAAAATTATTCATTTTGATAAAATAGATGAAAACAGTACAAGTAAATTATGTAGGTTCTGTTTGACTTAAAATATTCCCAATATATAGGGAAAATTTTGGGAAAATACATTGAAAATTACAGTACATGGAAATTTTTAGGCTGTTTCTGTCTGATATCAACACAATTTGCTGAAGAGTGTTTCTTTTTAGTCACTCAAATGTATTAACATATCTGCCTATCAAAGTACCACAAATAGTTAAAATCATAAAAACAAGCCTAAACAATTTTGCCATGTATATAAAATCCAAGGTATAAAATCTTAATAAAAGATTTGTGTAAGAAAAAAAAAGCTCATATAGAGAGAAAAAAATGGGCAAAAGATATAACAGGGAGATACAAAATAGAAACACAAATGGTCAATAAATCTCACTAGTAATAAAAATGCAAATTAAAACAAGAGATACATTTTCTCCTCTATGGAATTGGCAGGGTTTTTAATGACAAGTATTCAATGCTGACAAAATCATGGGGAAGTGAGCACTCTTACACCCTGCTGGTTGTTGTGTAAATTATGACAATCAGGCTGCAGAGCAATATAGCAAAACTAAACATCTAAGAAATGTTCATACCCTTTGTCTCAACAATTTTACTTCTAGCAATATATTGTATAAAAACAAGTGGACATGTAGGCACCTATAAATGTGCAAGGGTATTTATCATATAATTTTATTCTAATATTGAAAAAAAGCGAAAACAACTTAGATGTTGGTTTGATTGCCTTTGGACTAGCTAAATAAATTGGGATGTGTTATGTTCCAAAAATATCATATAATAACAAAAAGTTTGTAGCTGACATTTATTAATTATTTGCTACTTGTCTTATTTGCATTATTTCATTTACTCTTTATAACAGGAGTAAAGGCTAATTATTTTTCCGTATTGTAAATGAGAAACTGGATAAACAAAAAGAACAAATGATTTGCCTCCAGATTCAAAACTGGGTCTAGTTAAGAACCCAGGCTCTTAATACTATACGATAGTACAGATATCTGGTAGCTTAGAAAAAAGTGAAAGAGCAGGTTGCCAAATAGTACATAGTTATGATATTATTTTTTATTGTGGCTATCAGTATAGGTATATAATTGGGTAGTGGGGTTATAAGGGATTTTAATGTCATACTTTTGCACATATATTTTCTTCAAAAATATGTTTGTATAATTTTTAAGGTTATATTTTGAAATAAATTTACTTGCTAAACTTAATTACTGTGTCCTTAAAATCCTATTTAGGAACTCAATAAAAATCAAAGAATGTTCTAGGACTAGAAAGAAGTGTGTGTACATGTGCATGCACGTGTGTGCATACTGCAAGTATTGTAATGGAAACTAGTAAGCTTACATTTTTTTTTTTTTTTTGAGATGGAGTCTTGCTCTGTTGCCCAGGCTGGAGTGCAGTGGCATGATCTCAGCTCACTGCAACCTCCGCCTCCCGGGTTCAAGTGATTCTCCTTCCTCAGCCTCCCGAGTAGCTGGGACTGCAGGTGCCTGCCACCGCACCCGGCTAATTTTTTGTATTTTTAGTAGATACGGGGTTTCACTGTGTTAGCCAGGATGGTCTCGATCTCCTGACCACGTGATCCACCCACCTTGGCCTCTCAAAGTGCTGGGATTACAGGCGTGAGCCACCGCGCCCGGCCATAAGCTTACTTTCTTATTCAGTAGCTAATAATTTCCAGTAAGATTATTTCAATAATTGAAATTGAACAGAACAGCTCTATTCTATGACTTGTAAAAAAGATGTGGCAGAAGTGAATATAGTTAATTGGAGTATGATTTTACATAGTCAACACTGGACTCTGTTTCCAATTTGTCCAATGTTTACCAGAATCTGAATATAATAATGTCATAATAATGATAATAGTGAAATCACTGTCTCTCTTTTGATAATTTAGTTGCCGAAGAGATCATTGTAACATTTAATTCATACATTTGTCAATTCGTGTTTATGTAGCATCTGCTCTGTGCCAGATACAGAGGAATAGAGACATGATCTCTGCCCCTATCAGGCACACTTGTCTGGTGATAAAAAGGCAAACCTATCATTTAGTAAAATATATATTATAGAAAATTGAATAGAGATCAAATGAATGACATTCATTTTTCTATTCTGATATGGTCATTGCGTGCCAAAAAGTATCCTAGATACCGGAGAACACAACAGCAAGTAAACATCGTTTTTTATCCCAAGTGCTCACAGTCTAGTAGGGTAATCACAAAATGATGAACAAAAAATAGGTTTTGTAAAAGGTGTGGTAGAGCTTGTACTAATTGACTCGATGGGAGAAGAGCTGAAAAACATTTGTTTCACCTTTGCCAAGCAGAATGTTCTGAAATGAGAAAACTGTCCTCTTGAAGATATTTCTGAAAGCAGTTACTATTTACTGGACTCACTCTCCTTTCATTTTGTTGGCTTGATACGATATACTTGGGACCAACTCTCTACCAAGAGTGGTCATATTTTATGTAAAACTTTGGCAAATTTCAACAAACCACCTCTCTGTTTGCTGCAAAAGCTGCAATCAGGCAAAGCATGTAATATTATTGCCTGCTGTATTTCAACACCATGTCCATGCGTTATTACTTAAATCTGTGCCAGGTTCTCCTCTTCACATTCCACAGCTGCCAGTGGAGATAGCACAGTATCACAGTTATGTAGTCCAAAATGTTCCCTTCAATCTTGAAATCACTGAAGCATTTCCCTCTTGGAGTTAGAAAGTTAAAAGCAAAAGCAAAAACAAAAAAAAAAAACCATGTTAGTAACGCCGGAAATCAGTCATATACGTGGGCTTGACCTGGTGATCTAACACCTAGACTTTTAAGCTAGAACTGTAAGATGCACAGGACTTCTTCAAGAAACTCTTTAGGAAAACCCTCAGTCACAACATTGGCTATATGAGGCATGAGAAACAATGGCATTGAGGGCTAAATTGCTCCATTTGGAGATGTTGTATGCAAATCAAGACTCCCCCACCATTACTGACCATCTCTGCTCCTTCCTGCAGATCTCAGCTATTGCTTCTAAACCGTGAAATAGTTGTGATGATGAGTTAGAAACAGAAAACAAAATAAAAATTATTTACATCGATATCATTTGTTGTATGAACTATTACAAGAGGAACACTCTCACTTCCTCTAGTCTTGCTTTATCTCCTTGCCATCAGAATGAGCTTATTTTCTTTTTTTCAACTTTTATTTTAGGTTCAAGGGTACACATGCAGGTTTGTTATATGGGTGAATGCATGTCATAAGAGTTTGTTGGACAGTTTATTTCCTCAGGCAGGTATGAAGCCTGGTACCCAATAGTTATTTATCCTGATCTTCTCCCTCCTCCCACCCTCCACCCTCCGACAGGCCGCAGTGTATGTTGTTCGCCTCTATGTGCCCATGTGTTCTCATCATTTAGCTTCCACCTATAAGTGAGAATATGTAGTATTTATTTTTCTGTTCCTGCATTACTTTGCTATAGATAAGGGCCTCTAGTTCCATCCATGTTCTGCAAAGGACATCATCTCATTCCTTTATTTTATGGCTGCATAGAATTCCACAGTGTATATGAACTTTTTCTTTATCCAGTCTATCATTGATGGGCATTTAGGTTGATTCCAAGTCTTTTGTATTGTGAATAGTGCTGCAATGAACATAGGGGTGGCATGCGTATTTAGGATAGAATGATTTATATTCCTTTGGGTATACACCTAGTAATGGGATCGCTGGGTAGGATGGTAATTCTGTGTTTAGCTCCTTGAGGAACTACCACACTGCTTTCCATACTGGTTGAACTAATTTATATTCTCACCAACAACATATAAGCTCTCTCTTTTCTCCACAACCTCGCAGCATCTGTTATTTATTTATTTATTTGTTTATTTTTTTACTTTTTAATGATAGTCATTTTGATTGGTGTGAGATGGTATCTCACTGTAGTTTTTATTTGCATTTCTCTAATGATCAATGATATAGATTTTTTTCATATGCTTATTTGCCACATGTAGACCTTTGTCAGATGTATAGTTTGCAAACATTTTCTCCCATTCTGTAGGTTGTCTGTTTATTCTATTGGTACTTTATTTTGCTGTGCAGAAGCCCTTTAGTTTTAATTAGATCCCATTTGTCGACTTTTTCTTTTGTTGCGATTGCTTTTGGTGTCTTTGTCATGACCTCTTTGCCCATTCATGTGCCCAGAATGGTATTGCCTAGATTGTCTTCCAGGGTTTTTTACAGTTTGGGGTTTTACATTGAAATCTTTGATCTCTCTTGAGTTGATTTTTGTATATGGTGTAAGGAAGGGGTTCAGTTTCAATCTTCTTCCCATGGCTAGCCAATTGTCCCAGCACCATTTATTGGATAGCGGTTTCTTTCCCTATTGCTCGTTTTTGTCAGCTTTTCCGAAGATCAGATGGTTGTAGGTGTGTGGCCTTATTTTCAAGCTCTCTATTTTGTTTCCTTAGTTAAACTATGTTTCTGGCTTTGTACAAGTACCATCTTGTTTTGGTTACTGTAGCCCTGTAGTATAGTTTGAAGGTGGGTAGCATGATGCCTCCAGCTTTGTTTCTGTTTTTGCTTAGGGTTGCCTTGGCTATTCAGGCTCTTTTTTGGTTCCATAAGAATTTTAAAATATTTTTTCTAGTTCTGTGAAGAATGTCATCAGTGGTTTGATAGGAATAGAATTGAATCTATAAATTACTTTGGGCAGTATGTTCATTTTAGTATTGATTCTTCCTATCAATGAGCATGGATGTTTTTCCATTTATTTGTGTCATCTCTGATTTCTTTGAACAGTGTGTTGTAGTTCTCATTGTAGAGACCTTTCACCTATATGGTTAGCTGTATTCCTAGGTATTTTATGCCTTCTTATTTTCAAATGTATTTTTCAGACTGGTAAAATTTTCAGACTCATCAATCCATTTTCCTGGGCAATAAAGTTCAAAGTTTTTGTTGTGTTACACAAAGTCCTTTATGATAACATCTCCAGCCATAACTCTCACCATTCCGTTTCTTGCACCACAGACTCCACCTACCTCTCTATTTCTGGGACAACTTACCTAGCATTTATTAGTTAGCTTTATCATTAATTTATGCCCATTCCAAATAAAGGTAATCTTTTGACCTTTGTAACTCTACTCTCTGTCTACACTAATTTAACACATTTATTTCTGAAACATTGATATTCTCTATTAAACTAAAAGCTTCTTAATGGGAATGTCCCCCCACCCAGTATCTTTAAAAAATTCTCCTAGCATTGTACCTACAATATCGTTGGTACTCAGTAGATTTTTATTGGATGAATTAATAAATGCCCTGAGAAAATATTGATAGAATCCAATGATTTGGCATAAAATGATGCCCATACAGAGAAAGAATGAAAAATGTTTGAATTTGTTCTGTGTAAGCAAAACTCTGATGAAAAAGAGGTAAAGGTCATATTAGAGTGTGTTAAGGCAAAATATAGTCCTTTGAGAAAAATTAAAAATGTAGTATGACAGCCAGAGAAAATAGACTGTAATAGCCCTATTTATCTAAAACATAAATGTTTTCATGTTTAGAAAAAAGAATTTAAAGAATAATGGTTTG
Source organism: Homo sapiens (assembly GCF_000001405.40). NCBI lineage: Eukaryota > Metazoa > Chordata > Mammalia > Primates > Hominidae > Homo > Homo sapiens. The sequence continues at coordinate 142,604,955 of NC_000023.11, forward strand.
GGAAAATAGTGAAAATAATTGCTGCATATTACTAAGGAAGTAACAAGAACTGATCATCTGGCAACTGGAACTCAGCTCAAAGCTTATTTTTCTTCACACAATGCAATTTTTCTGATGTTATTATGGCAGGATATTCCAAAATGATGTTCTCTCTATTAAATACCACATACACGTAACAGGGAAATCCACTTCACTCCTTTAAATGCTTTGGTATAATAAGGTTGGGGTTCTAAAGAAGAAACTAACTCTTTGTGAAGAGAAAGGAAAACCAGCATTTTTTTTCCTCAAATATTGGTGAATAGAGCCACTGGTGAATTGTGCTGTAAGTCCCCAAAAGATAAGTTCCTGTCTCTGTGATGCCTGCATTCTAACACCAAAACAAATGAACAAGTTTCAAAGGTGATATTTTAAAGTTCTTATTGTACGCTTCTCTCTTTTGTTGGTACTATTTGTGAATGCACAGTTGACTGCCTCCTAAACTGGAGTACTTCATGGAGAACTTCGAGTGCAGGAGGCTACCCAGCATGTAAATAAAAGCTGGCAATGCTCACAAAGAATAGTGAGCAATGTTCTAAACCTGACAGTGGGTTTACCGGATGGAGAAAAGAGAGAGGACTTGATCTGGATTTCACAGAAAGGGTCTGAAGAACAAAGGAGCCATTATTTATCCTGACCTTCAGTTCAGCATCAAATATTGACAACACATCTATTTTATGTCATTCACAGTATGTGTGCCAAGAGTAGAGATAAGCACTATAAATATATCCATTGAACAACTTCATGCAAAGTACTGTAGAGCAGATGTGTTGCCTAAAAGTCTTGGAATTACCTATGTACTAGAATAAACCCCAACTAGGCCATGGTAAATGAATTTAGGAAACAAGTGTTTATCTATTACTCAACAAAAAAGCATTAAATATATACTATAAATAAGCAAAGCATTGGTAAGTAATGTGAGAAATACAGGACAAAAATGTTGACAACAATAATTAAACTCAAATTGCCAAGCTACCACTTGTGCAAGTCCAATCAATGCTAGATGCTATAGACTTGAGGCTGTGAGAAGACTGGGAGAGTCCCTTCCTCCAGAGAACTCATGCCTTTATGCTTACCTTATTATGAAGAGACAGTCATCCATTAATTTCACAATAATTTATTGAACACTTACTATTTTAGGCTCTGAGAATTCAGTAGTAAACAAAGTAGACAAAAACCTTGCCTTCCTTCTAGTGGGAAAATGTAGGGCCCAGCCCCACAGGGTCGGTGGGTCTCTCCCCGTGTGCAGAGATGAGAGAGTGTAGAAATAAAGACACAAGACAAAGAGATAAAAGAAAAGGCAGCTGGGCCCGGGGGACCACTACCACCAAGTCGCGGAGACCGGTAGTGGCCCCGAATGTCTGGCTGCGCTGTTATTTATTGGATACAAAGCAAAAGGGGCAGGGTAAAGAGTGTGAGTTATCTCCAATGATAGGTAAGGTCACGTGGGTCACGTGTCCACTGGACAGGGGGCCCTTCCCTGCCTGGCAGCCGAGGCCGAGAGAGAGAGGAGACAAAGAGAGAAACAACTTACACCATTATTAGAGACTTTTAGTACTTTCACTAATTTGCTACTGCTATCTAGAGGGCAGAGCCAGGTGTACCGGATGGAACATGAAGGCAGACTAGGAGCGTGACCACTGAAGCACAGCATCACAGGGAGACGGTTAGGCCTCCGGACAACTTCGGGTGGACCTGACATCAGGCCCTCCACAAGAGGTGGAGGAGTAGAGTCTTCTCTAAACTCCCCCCGTGGAAAGGGACCGGGAGACTCCCTTTCCCGGTCTGCTAAGTAGCCAGTGTTTTTTCTTGACGCTGAGGCTACCGCTAGACCACGGTCTGCCTGGCAACAGGCGTCTTCCCAGATGCTGGCATTACCACTAGACCAAGGAGCCCTCTGGTGGCCCTGTCTGGGCATAACAGAAGACTCTCACTCTTGTCTTCTGGTCACTCCTCACTATGTCCCCTCAGCTCCTATCTCTGTATGTCCTGGTTTTTCTGGGTTATGATTATAGAGCAAGGATTATTATAATATTGGAATAAAGAATAAGTACTACTAACTAATGATTAATTATATTCATATATAATCATATCTAAGATCTATATCTGGCATAACGATTCTTGTTTTATATTTTATTATACTGGAACAGCTCGTGTCCTTGGTCTCTTGCCTCGGCATCTGGGTGGCTTGCCGCCCACAGGAAAAGATAAGCAAATAGCTTGGCAAAATATGTAGTGTGTGGCCGGGTGTGGTGGCTCACACCTGTAATCCCAGCACTTTGGGAGGCCAAGGCGGGCAGATCATGAGGTCAAGAGACTGAGACTCTCCTGGCCAACATGGTGAAACCCCGTCTCTACTAAAAATACAAAAATTAGCTGGGCGTGGTGGTGTGCGCCTGTAGTCCCAGGTACTCGGGAGGCTGAGGCAGGAGAATCACTTGAGCCCAGGAGGCGGAGGTTACAGTGAACCGAGATGGCGCCACTGCACTCCAGCCTAGCGACACAGCAAGACAACGTCTTAAAAAAAAAAAAAAAAGTAGTGTATCATTCTGTGACATGTAGGGAAAAATAAAGTAAGGAATGAAGAGAAATGCAGGTTGGAGGCTTCCTCTCAGCCCCAGAGGCATAGGTAGGTTAGAATCCTGAGCAGTCCTGGTCCTCTTGTGATAGTTATTGTAAACCAAACTAATGGGCATAAAGTCATTTGTTTTGATGATCATCAGCTAAATGATCAAATGAATGTTGACAGTGAAGGGAGGGGTTATCACGAGATATGCAAAGATTTCTAGGGCATCCTTTCAGTTCTTCTAACTATGCGGAGTTCTGAGACAGGGCAATTGTAACTAGATTAGCAATCATCTGCTGGACTTCTGCTATGAAGTCAGGAGAAGCTTTGAGAGGAATGCCCTGATCCAGATCCCACCGAAAACAGGGATTCCCTCTTTGTCAAATTCAAAATGTCTGGAGGATAGAATATTAAGTATAAAACTGCAATGGCAGTTTTCTCAGTGTGGTTTTTTACTAATATTATTTAATTTAAAATGTTCAAACTTCAAATTAATATGTCTTCAAATTATAAAGTGGTCTTTAACTGAGGCAAGAATAGGGTCACAGAAACTAGATATTACCTTGAAGAGCAGAGCCAAGGACAGGCTACTGCTATGCTTCCAAGAGTCCTTGCTGACAATGAAAATAACCATCACTAGACTTGATAGAGGATTTTTACATACTCCTTTTCTGTAAGAGAAATCTATTACTAAAATTGGATCAACAAAACCCATAATTTATGCTATCTAGTCTCTGTACACACTAAGTCCATGATTATGGAAATAAGTCTCAGGAATCAGGTTGGTGAAATCAGAAATTTCATTCTACATCAAAGCTCACCCAAAGTTGACAATGTAAGAAGAGAAACAAGATGTGTAACCAAGTAACTACAAAGCAATAGGTTGCCAGTGTCAGGATATCTTTTTGAGCAGCAGCAGTGTTTTGGAGCCCTTAAAAAACTTCAAAGCAGTCAAATACCCTTGAGGTTTGCTTTAACCTGGGAGACTTTATTATTCTCATGATACTGTTTTTGGAGCAAAGTTGTCATTCATGAAGCTGCCACAAGAAAGATAAAGCAGGCAACAACTTAGGATTATTCAATAATGTAGCTTATTGACCAAGGTTTATGAAGTTCCAAGAAATTATTTGTTCTACATTTCACAATCTTTTCTCACTTTCAGACCCCACATAACACACTACCATAATCCCTTCCATTATTGGGAAGGATGAGATAAATCTGTGTACCACTGCAACTTTAAAGCCCTTAGTTAAGAAATATTTGCTGTCTGCCCATAAGCACCTCACCTCTGACTATCTTCTAGTAATCAGCACTCTAGTTTTCTGGGCTGTTCTAGACATCTTGGCACTTGCATCTCTTCTCCATGTACTGAATGGTTACATAATTAGAGATAGCCTACATATTAACTCGAAAAATTGTGAAAAGAATTACAGACAAAAGTAGGGTGGATTATGGGATAATGTTTTAATATTACTGGTTAAGGAAGTACAAGTTAGAAGGTTACAGTATTGCCTTATCCAAGAAGAAATGACCGCAGACCTATGATGCTTAGTGAGGTGTATAGAATTCTCTTCCAGTTTAGATTGGAAAGACACTAACAGTAGATGGTTTGGACTTGTGCCAAATGAAAAATCCACACCTTGTGTCCAGGAATGATATGGCACTAACACCTTTGAGAAGCTTTAGGCTTTTATCAGGTGGAAATGGTAGAGTCAGAGTGACAGTAGGGGCATGAATTGGGGAGGAAGTGATAAGGTTATGTCAGACAGGAGTGTTCTGACAAAAAGGCATGGAGGTATAAAGGTACAAATCATGTCAGAAGACAGTAATTTGATCAGTTTGCTGGGGGTAAAGTTGCAAACAAATGAACAGTTAAAAATGAAATTGGAAGTGTAAATTAGGGTCAGTTGTATGACTCTGAATGGTCAAAGATTGAAAACTAGATCTAATATCTTCACTTATAAGTAATGAATGACAGACTTGAGTTTTGAGCCTTATTTATTATTACACAGGAAATATCATCATCTTTTCCAAACAAAAGTTACCTTCAAAATTTGCTTTGGATACTAGAGAACATTGATCTCAGAAGGTACTATTCCTTTTGTGATGGGTGTCTATATTTTCACATGTAAAATGTACTCTCTCTAGAATAACCAATGATGATATTATAACTTTATATGTGTAATTACTACCGATGGTTTCAAAACGTTTTCCATCACTTTAATATCCTATTTGGAGCTCACGAGAATGTCCATGGAAAATACCAACACAGATTTATTAGAGTGAGACTGGAAAACTAACTTTTACTTTCAAATGGGTAACAAGGCCATTCTGTCATTAATTCTCCCCATGAATACTGAACTAATCTAACTCTCAAGAGTACTATTAATTGACAAGCACACAGTGACAGAATGTGTTATCTGTTTTTTGAGTTAATTTGTATTGATCCAAAAATATGTCAGTGGAAACTGCTGTTGCAAAACCGTCTCCCTCAAACTGCTGATGACTTTTATGTCAAGATTTCTAAAGATGACATCCTAAAAAATAAAATATAAAATTCCATGACTTTTAAATGAAAAAAGTCCTCTTTTGATAAATTGTGTGTATCAAAATGGCCTAAGATTGTCCAAGGATGTCTTTATGCATAATGAACTGGAAGTCTGAGAAAGAGAAACTCTGGTTTGTTTCTCTCTTTTTTTTGTATTAGAGAATAACTGTAACCATTTTCATATAAAAATGATTCTAGGTTGGGCTGTATACCACTAACTGATTTTTGTGCATTTATTAGTCCGTTCTCACACTGCTATAAAGAACTGTCCAAGACTGTAATTTATAAAGAATAGTGATTTAATTGACTCACAGTTCCACATGGCTGGGGTGGCCTCAGGAAACTTACAATCGTGAAGAAAGGGGAAGAGGCGTGTCTTACATGGCGGCAGGTGAGAGACTGAGTATGTGAAGGAGGAACTGTCAGACCATCAGATATCCCGAGAACTCACTCACTATCATGATAACAGCATGGGGGACACTGCCCCCATTATCCAATCACCTCCCACCAGGTCTCTCCCTCGACACATAGGAATTATGGGGATTACAATTCAAAATGAGATTTGGGTGGGGACTCAAAGCCTAACAATATCAATGCAAGTGACAAACTGTAAGACTCAGTGTCCTTGCCTATAAAATATGGGGATAATAATCAGTACTTCACTTGTATGCATCACCAGTCATGGGCTTTAAAAATAACCTGTGTATCAGTGATTTGTAGTCCATAAAATATTATAAATATGCATAGTATAATTACTATGAATTGCTACATTCCTAAAGCTGTCCAAATTACAACGTGTAATATTTAACTACAAAACAGTTATTTTTTGATAACTATTGTATGTTGCCTGTCTCTTTTACATAAATGTTCATTAGGAGAGTGACCTATATCTGCTTTTCGCCTATGCATCCTAAGTACCTAAAACAATGCCAGGCACATAGTAGGTGTTAAAAAAATAAATATTTACCAAATAAATGAATAAAAGCAGAGCATATTTTAATTTACTAACTTATGATGAGATTCTTGTACGCCTACATGATTTATTAAAAATCATGATATAGCCATGGAGTACTACTCGGTCACAAAAAAAGGAAAAAAAATGGCATTTGCAGCAACCTGGATGGAATTGCAGATCATTATTTTAAGCGAAGTAACTCAGGAATGGAAAACCGAACATTGTATGTTCTCACTCACAAGTAGGAACTAAGCTATGAGGATGCAAAGACATAAGAATGATACAATGGACTTTGAGGACTTGGGAGAAAGGATGGGAAAGGGGTGAGGGATAAAAGACTACGCATTGGGCGCGACGTATACTGCTCAGATGAGGAATGTGCCAAAATCTCAGAAATCACCACTGAAAACTTATTAATGTAACCAAACATCATCCGTTCCCCAAAAACCTATGGAAAAAAATAAAAATTATAAATTAAAACGATGGTACAGGACATCATTTTTGTCTTTATTTTGAAAATATTTTAATGTTTCATATACAACTATTATATTCTATATATATCAAAATAAAAATTCTAAGGGGTTATTGGCACACAGTTGTTCTAGACTAATGTATATCAGACACACACTAAATTCTCTGCTATATCAACTCTTCATTTTTGACTTCAGGTATTTTTAAAATTATATAATATTTCATACAAAAAAGAAAATACAAAATGTAAGTTAAGGTTTAACGAATTGTAAAACAAAGGCTGTCATAAGCACCAGTTTTCAATTATGTTTGTTTTCAATTTAGTTTTCAATTATAACTGTTGAACCCTCACTTTGTACCTCTCCACAATCACATCCTTCTCCCCTCATCCCTCTGTCAAGATTAACTATTATTCAGTATTTTGTGTTTATTATGAACGTGTATGTTGGTATAGTTTTACTGTGCAGATATGCATACCTGATGTACTTTTAAACTGTGTATCAATAGTATTATATTGCATACATTTTTGTGACATACTTTTATCTATTCATGTTCATGAGAGATATAGGTATATATCAATACATAATATATATTAATATCTATCAATATCTATCAATCAACTGACCATTTATTAAAATCATATGTATTACTATTACAAATGATGCTACTGTGAACACTATTCTCCATGTGCAAGAGTATTAGTAATGCAATTTTGCCCCCAAAAGGGACATTTCATAATGTCTGGAGACAATTTTGGTAATTATGGTTGGGGATAGGTTGCTACTATGCTCCTGGCACCAATGGAGCAGAGATCAAGAAGTCTGTTAAACACTCCACAATACATAAGAAAGCCTCCACAACCAAGACGTACGTGCCCCCAAATGTAAGTAATGCACAGATAGAGAAGCTCTACTCTAGGTCTTACTATATCTATGAGTGGAATTTCTGAGTTTTCTGTTATACACATATTAAACTTTCTTTCCAAAGCTGTTATCTCAACATGCACAGTATATAATAGCTCCTCTTACTAAGAAAGTTAATAATTATTGCTAAACTTTAACATAATTGCCTGTATTCACTCTTTATCTCCTCTTTGTAAAAGAAAATGTGTAATATTGGGATGACCTGTTTCCTGAAAATTTTGCAGGACTAATCTGTAAAACAATCTAGTCCTGGTCTTTTATATTCAGGAATATTTTAAACTCACTTAATTTCTTTAATACCTTGTTATAGTTTTCTAGATGTTAGTCTATTGCATGTAAGTTTTAAGTGTATTATTTTTCACTTTTAATAACTTTTACTCTTCTGTATTTGTGTTTGTGTCCAACTTTAGATTAATACTCTACCTCTCATTTTTTTCTTGCTCAATCTTAGCAGAGGTTTGTTATTATTCTTTTTTATGCATTAAAATTATTGGCTTTATTGATTCTTCCTGTTTTACTTTGTTTTCTATTTTATTAATATCTGCTGTAATTTTTATTATTTACTTTTTTATATTTATTGTTTTGTTACTTTTATAATACCTTCAGAAATACATTTAACTCATTCAGTTATGGCTTGAATCTTTTCATAGTATAATGATATTGATATATCTTTGTATTGTATTCTATATTAATTTATATATGAAAAATGTTGAATATTCATTATCATTCAGCTCTACTCAATGAAGTTCTCTTATTGTTTATTTTTTTCATGCAAATATTTGGAAAATTGTTTAATACATTCCAAACACATGGGATTTTTCAGATATGTTAGTGTTACAATCTATAATTATTGAATTTTGATCAGGAAATTTTATCTGGAACCAGGAACTGGAGGAACCTGGCTAAATAGCAGCCTCTACCAACTGTCCTCCCTGCAGGACCACCAAAATAACAACTACCTACCAAAAAAGCACCTTCAAAAGAACAAAAAATCAGGTGAAGGAATCATAATATCTGATATTAACTTCATATTGCTGAAAGAGGCACTGAAGAAGTTAAGAAAAACAGTTTTCAGTTGCTGACACCACTCTTTCTCCATTCCCCTGGCAGCAGCTGGATGGCAAGGTGAAAGAATCTGTGTGTTTTTGAGAGACAGAGTGCACAAATTGTTGGACTTTGCATTGGAACTCAGTTCTCTAAACACTGGGCAGAACTCAGCCAACATCCATAATGCAGAATCCCATCTCATATATATATATATATATACACACATATATATGTATATGTATATATATCTATATATGATATATATACACACACACATATACATATATATACACACATATATATACATATGTACATATATGTGTGTATGTGTGTGTGTGTATATATATGTATATACTCTGTTGCTTTTGTGTGAAGTTGTTTTAGAGTTCCCTCATCTGTTATTTTTGCTGACATTACTTCTATTACTTTTAAGTATTTGTCTCCACACTTTGAAAAACAACGTAAATGTTGAAATTGCTAAAATCTAAACTTGTTTGCAATTCCAAATATTTATTAATTTCCTTCTATTATGTGCCTCACTCAGTCTAGGATAAAAGAATGGGGATACACCAGTGAGGTTAGCCAACTTTTACTGAGGGCTCAGTACAAGTTAGGCATTGTTTTGAGTGAGTTACATTTCTTCACTCAATCAATCTACACAACAATGCTAGCAAGTGGCTGGTTTGATGTACATTTTACAGATGATAAAAATATAGTGCAATGATATTGAATAACTTAACCACGGTCACACTGCAAGTAAGGTGAGGCACCAAGATTTATATGTAGATAGTCTGTCTTCAGAGCCTGTGTTCTGGAGTACTCTTCCCTACTGCCAGTACTATAGGGACAGAGTTATCAACTAACAATAATAACAAAGAGAAAGACAGTTTTGATGCCAAACCTTTTCTTTTGCCAGAGTGGTTTGTTTTCTGTGTTATAGATATATAGCAGAATAAAAGGCTCCAGTCTCATCAAAGCAAATTGATTACTTTGGATGCTTCTTGTTAGTCTTCATATACTGTTTTGGGTGTAATTTAATTACTTTTTGCTTTGATTTTGCCCTTGTCAACCTTTTTGAGAGTAAGGATAATACCGATTTTATGTGTTTTCACTTATTTTAATACATTCCCATTTGGTGGCCAATAATTAGTTTGTTTAAGTGGCCTTTTGAAATCACATTTATGCCTAACTGACATATAATTCTAGGTTCTGACATTTCTGAGTATTGATTTAAATTCTTTTTTGTCTTAACTTCTGGGAAAACTTTCACAAAATTAAATAATAATTCCTCAAATTAAAGCAAATTTGGAGGATCTTCATTCCCATGTGTAAAAGTAAATTTGAAATATCTGACAGCAGCTGAAGTGGATCCTTAAACTCAGCTGTATTAATGTCAAAAGTCTGCAAAAGAATATTACAAAAGCTAAGTAGAAGATTAACTAAGGAATATAACAAATGTCACAAGAAATGAAATAGGATTTGAGGGTTTAGAGAGTTTGATACTGTAACCAAAACGAGAAAAATGGCAACATGGTGCTTGAATTGCAGGGCTCTGAAAATGAATGTTTTTAAACCCTTGAAATGAATTGAACTTAGTATACAAGCCCATGGAAAAAATATCTTTCATGAAATACACATGCTAGAATTCCTTCTGCAATCATAATATTGTCATGCTTTCCTGTGAAAAGTAATTTATAACAAATTATGTGAGCCACCCCATAAAATATTTTGCATGTAATCCTTAATTGGGTAAACTTGAGACATTGTTTTTTAAAAAAAAAATTAGAAAGAAAATGGCTCAAAATATCACTAAAATTGCTATGTAATGTTTAAGTGCTTAATTGTTATACAAATGAAATTTATATATATATATTAAAACCTAGCCAAAATAACCCAAAATAACCGCACCGCAATTGCACTTGCATTGATTGGCTCTCCTTTTGCAAAAGGTTTCTTTGTAGCATATGATGCTATTTGATATCATTTTACGCGAAGTAGAACTTCTTTCAAAATTGGAGTTCATTACTATAAACATGAAAAAAGCCTAAGCTTTGCCCCCTCAGGACCTGTGTTTCCCTTGGTCTGAGGTGACAGGACAAGGATCATTAACACCTGTAGCCAAGAGTATGTCTATTTTTTTCATTGTTTTCACCCAGCTTTTTCTAGAAAGTCCTACCCTAAGACAGAGGCATGAATGCACTAAAACACACACACACACACGCACACACACACATACACACACATACTTTTGCCCTCAAAAACCCAGAAAACCCAGCAGACAAAAATCAGTTTATTTATTAGCAAATAATTTTATATGGTTTTGATTTGTGTCCCGACCCAAATCTCATGTTCAATTGTAATCCCCAATGTTGGTAGGATGTGATTAGATCATGGGGGTGGATACTTCACGCATGGTTTAGTACCATCTCCTTGGTACTGTTCTCACAATAGTGAGTGAGTTCTCATGAGATCTTGTTGTTTAAAAATAGCACAGCACATCTCCGCTCACTCTCTCTTGCTCTTACTCCTGCCATGTAAGATGCCTGCCCCGCTGTGCCTTTTACCATGAATAAAAGCTCTCTGAGGCCTCTCCAGAAGCAGATGCTGCCACGCTTCCAGTATGGCCTGCAGAGCCATTAGCCAATTAAACATCTTTTCTTTATGAATTAGTCAGTCTCAGGTTATTTCTTTATAGCAATTTGAGAATTTACTAATATAGGATTGGACAAACACTAGGTATTAATCAAGAAAATAATATTTTCTTCTCTGACTTTATGTTCCCAGAATTCTGTTACATTTTATTTACATGTGACAGATAAACATCATATGTGTATATAGATGAGAAGATACTTTGTTTGAAAAGATTATTGCCACAAGCCGTGGTAGAGTCTAGCAATAAAATGAGAGAGACTATTGCAACAGGGAGAACACTTCAACTATAAGGTCTACAAGTATCCCAAGATTCATGAAGAAAAGAATTTTATTTTATAGGGAGACATAAGCAAGGCTAGAGAGAACAAAATATGGTAGAGGGGATGAGTGGGTAGTTCTATCAGACACTTGAGCTGGAAAGGAAGTGTTTCTCTTTGGGGTCAAGGTCAGCCTATTCTTGGAAGGAACCATTACATTGGCTTTGTTTTGCCTTCCAATGCTGGCTCAGGCTGAGGGAGGATAAAAAATAAAAATTCAGTGGTGGTTGGGGCGGGGGGAGGATAGAAATTTAAAGTTTGACCAAGTCAAGTTAGCAGATATTTTTATAAAATTGTTCAGTGGCTACAAACAGTTCAGTTAATCATTTATGAGAAAACAAACGGAAATTTGACAGTTCTGTTGTCTGGTCTGGTCTTAAGTAAAACAAGGTCCTCTGTGTCTCAATTCAGTCATGTGGGGAAGGGTGTGTGGTTCTTTTCAGTAAACCCTTTTCTGGAAGAAAAAAGTGGGAAAGAGGTTCTTAATCTCACTGTTTTCTAAAAATCAGAGGTCTCAGAAAAAGTTCTACATTGGCAAATGTAAATGAAAAGATGACATATCGGGCAGTATGTTAGATAATCTGCCAGTTTGAATGTCTCCTGTGAATAATGAACACCTTTTCTATATCAAACCATCTGATCCTAGCACAGCTTCACAATTCTCGCTTGTATCAAATTACTCAACCTTAGAGGTCATCTTCCCAGTTGGTCACTGAATTTGGGTTTCCTGTTTTATCAAAAGCAAGATATTTGCTTATCTTCCATCTCACCTTTCCATCACCATAATAGTTAGAAGAGGTCTTTTAATCCAACTGAAGATTGATGAGTAGCTTTCATATATGTTTTATTTCAGAGGACTAATATTAAGGAAAGTTTGAGCAAGCATGAGGAAAGATGCTTAAGTGATCAGTAAGGCTTAACAAATGTTCATGCTGGGAAGATGAAGTTATTAACTTAGACCATTTGGGGGTCACATGTTCAGACTGCAGCCAGGATTCTAAAACTGAAATGTTGATCTTTAATGCATTTGACCTCTCAGGACTGTTTTTATATTCTTTGAGAAATACCTCACAAGGCCATTTGCTTCCTGCACTTACATCGAATCTATCAAAACTAGCCCTTAGTGACTCAGCCTAGAACAGACTTTTAGGGAATGTGCTGACAGAGTCAGTAACTTACATGTATGTAAAATGACTGGCAGGGCTTAATATGTGAGCCTCCTGAAGGAAGTAATTTTTTGTTGTAGTTGTCATTTTGTTTGTTGCTTGGTTGTTTTCCTTCTTCCTAGGAAAAGCATAAGAAGCAGAAATTGTATGTTACTTAACCAACAGTAGAGGGTTCTGTGATATTTTTATCTGGTCTGACCACTTTCGTGCATCACAAAATACTGGGAATCTCTATGCTGATGTGTACCCATTCTGAAAAATTAAAAAGTTTAAGTCATAGCAATTTTATGACCTTGTGGCCAGCTGAAGGACTTTTTACTGAATCAGGCCAGGGTGAGCAAAGGACAAACATTCCAACAAGCTCTCTGTATTTGAATTTTCTGGTTTTCCCGAAGCCTGTGCCATGACTAGTCCTGCCTTCAACCTTCCCACAGCTTCCTGTTACCACTCTGACCTCATTTTCTAATACAGGCATACTTTAGAGATACTGCAGGTTAGGTTCCAGACTACCATAATAAAGCCAATGTCATAATAAAATGAGTCACACAAATTTTTGGTTGCCCAGTGCATATAAAAGTCAGGTTTACACTATACTTGGGTGTATTAAGTGTGCAACTACATTATGTCTAAAAAGACAATGTACACACTTTGATTTAAAAATAGCATATTGATAAATATGCTAACAATTACCTGAACCTTTAGTGAGTCATAATTTATTTTCAGGTGGAGGGTCTTACCTCCGTGTGGATGGCTACGGACTACTGACTGACCAAAATTTTGGTTGCTGAAGGTTGGAGTGGCTGTGTTAATTTCTTAAAATAAGACAGCAATGAAACTTGCTGCATTGATTGGCTCTCCTTTTGCAAAAGGTTTCTCTGTAGCATGTGATGCTATTTGATAACATTTTACCCAAAGTAGAACTTCTTTCAAAGTTGGAGTTCAGTGTCTCAAATCCTGCCACTACTTTATCAACGAAGTTTATGGAATGTTCTAAATCCTTTGTTTTTATTTAAACAATGTTCACATCGTCTTCACCAGGAGTAGTTTCCATCTCAAGGAACCACTTTCTTTGCTTATTCATGAGAGGCGACTCCTCATCCATTCAAGTTTTACTAAGAGATGGCAGGAATTCAGTCACATCTTCGATCTCCACTTCTAATTCTAGTTATATTCTCATTTCCACCACATTTGCGGTTAATTTCTCCACTGAAGTCTTGATGCCCTCAAAGTCATCCATAAGGGTTGAAATTAACTTCAATCAAACTCTTGTTAATGTTGATGTTTTGACTTTTTCCAATCAATTAAAAATGTTCTTAATAAGATCTATAATAATGAATCATTTCCAGAAGATTTTCAATTTACTTTGCCCAGATCCATCAGAGAAATAACAATTTATGGCAGCTTTAGCCTTAGGAAATATGCTTATTAGATAATAAGACTTGAAAATAAAAATTACTCTTTGATCCATGGGCTGCAGAATGGATGTTGTGTTAGCTGGCATAAAGACAACATTAATTTCCTTGTACATATTCTTTAGAGTTATTGGGTAACCAGGCATTGTCAAAGAGCAGTAATATTTCAAAAATAATATTTTCTAGGTAAGGGGTCTCGACAATGGGCATAAAATATTCAGTAAATGATGCTATAAACAGATGTTTTCATCCAGGCTTTGTTGTTCCTTTTATAGTGCATAAGCACAGTAGATTTAGCATAAATTTTAAGGGTCCTAGGATTTTCAGAATGGTAAATAAACATTGGCTTCAGCTTAAAGTCAACAGATGCAGTAGCCTCTAACAAGGGAGTCAGTCTGTCCTTTAAAACTTCAAAGCCAGGTATGCACTTCCTCTCTAGCTGTGAAAGTCCTAGATGGCATTGTCTTCCAATAAAAAGCTGTTCCATGTACATTAAAATCTGTTGTTTTGTGTAGTCACCTTCATCAATGATCTTGGCTAGAACTTCTGGATAACTGGCTGCAACTTTTACATCAGTACTTGCTGTTTCATCTTGCACTTTTATGTTATAGAGATGGTTTCTTGCTTTAAATCTAATGAACCAACTTCTGCTAGCTTCAAACTCTTCTTCTGCAGCATCCTCACTTTTCTGAGCCTTTATAGAATTGAAGAGTGTTAGCGCTTTGATCTATATTAGGCTTTGGCTTAATGGTATGTTGTGGCTGATTTGATCTTTTATTCAGACCATTAAAACTTTCTCGATGTCAGCAATAAGGCTGTTTTGCTTTCTTATCATTTATGTGTTCACTGGAGTAGCAATTTTAATTTCCTTTGTTAACTTTTATTTTGCATTCACAACTGGGATAATTGTCACAAGAGGCCTAGCTTTTGGCCTGTCTTGGCTTCCAAAATGCCTTCCTTACTAAGCTTATCCGTTTCTAGTTTTTGATTTAAAATGAGGGATGTGAGACTCTTCCTTTCACCTGAAGACTTAGAGGTCATTGTATGGTTATTAATTGGCCCAATTTTGCTATTGTCGTGCCTGGAGGAATAGGGAAGCGCAAGGAAAGGGAGAGAGAAGGGGAAAGGCCAGTTGGTGGAGCGGTCAGAACACACACACAACAATTATTAAGTCTTATATGGGTGTGGTTTATGGCGCCCCAAAACAATTACCATAGTTAACATCAATGATCACTCATCACAGATCATCGTAACAGATATAATAATGAAAACGTTTTGAAATATGGTGAGAATTATCAAAATGCAACATAGAGACACAAAGTGAGCAAATGCTTTTGAAAATATGGAGCCTATAGACTTGGTAGTTGCAGGGTTTTCATAAACCTACAAACTGTATAAAATGCAATATCTGTGAAGCACACTAAAGCAAAAGACAGTAAAAATGGTATGCTTGTATTCTCCCCACATCATTCTGCTCTGTTTCCCTGTATAGGCCAGGTATGTTCCCGCCTTAGGGCCTTTTGTAGCAGTACCCTCTGCCTGGAATTGTTCCTCCGCAGACAGTAGCTTGACTATTCCCTTATCTTCTTCATGTTTTGGTTCTCATTCATAGTTAGAACTACCCTGAACACCTTAGTTAAAATTGCAACCTGCCTCTCTGTTTCCACACTTACATTTCTGATACTCTTTTTCCTGCTTTACTCATTATTGTACAGCAGTTATCATATTTTTACATACCATATAACTTATTTATGTTTACCATGTCTTTCTCCTAAAAAGCGAGAGTGGGATTTTGATAATTATTGTTGTATTTATGGCATCTGGAATCATGCTCAACACATAGTAGATAATCAATAGTTACATTAATTAACTATGTTAAATGCTTTTTAATAATAAAAGGGCATACAATATAATTGAACAGCCCTTTATTATACAAGACTATTTCTAATCTATATATATTCATCCTGAACCTGACATTTTGGTATTAAAAAAATCGACCTGCTCAGACTTAAGAGACTTGTAAGAACTTTTGTTTGTCTTGGAGATTGAGACACTACTATATGTATTACATATCTTTCTTCTATTGCCATTTGTAATAGATATTATATATTTCCTACTTTAGTTGTCTTTTCAGATAATAGGAAAGGTTAAAATTTAGTTTTTAATGATATCCAATATGCTTATGAACAAAAATGTAAAAAACGTTCTCTTCACTTCCACTGGTCAGATACACTTAGTCATGATTCTGTCGTACCATGGCTATTCTCTCCCGTAAATGCGCTTATCTTTTCTTGCCCAGAGCAGCCCTTCCTCATAATACCTTGTTAACATTTAAAATGGCTGACTTAAGTCAGGAGATAAACTGTTAAGGAGGGGAGTTGCAACTCTGGAAATAATAGAATGCAAACTCTCACTTTATTTTCACTAACTTGTAGAGAAGACTGATTATATTTGAAGAAAGGTAGTCAATAGTTGCTGGAAGGAAAAGTAACAAAAAAAATCAATTCTAGCTGTCTCTAAGAAGGAAAGTAAATCTGAAAAACAAATGTTCATTCGGGGTTCCTAACCCTAAGAGGGCACATGAAGGGAGTCATAGTCTGTTAATCCCAGAGATACCAATTCCACAGATTGGGAAATTCAGGAATACCATATTGTTAAGAACTTATCGAAATAATTTTCAGAGCAAACAGTGAAAATGTTTGCTCGCTTTGGACTGTTCATCTCAAAGGAGCCTTGGAGGTGCAATACTACAAATCCACAAAATCTCAAAGGCAAGGCTAAAGGCAAAAAAAGAGAAGGGTTTTGGTTTACACAAGCTGACAGTAACTACATGATATTCTCACTTCTTCTTTCTCAAAGCCCTAACATGAAAATCAATAGAGGACATGCCACCAAGATTTACTAGACGATTAGTCAAAATAAAATGTAAGGAAGCAGAATTGGCTGGACTCATTCAGGCTAGAGAAGATGACCAGATTTCTGCGATGGATAGTTACTCTTTTAAGAATTATTAAAAGAAAGATGACATCTACCTATTTTTGTTTGAAAAGAAACAGATTTAAGCTAAGGACAAAGTAGAAAATTTAGCAAGAAAGATGTCCTTTCTTTTAGAGATCAGTAAGTCCTCAGATGTTATGATTTAATGTCCAGATGGGTGTATCTCTTGCCCTGAAAAGTTACTTGAACAGTTTTCCCATGTTCCTGTGCTTGAGGATTAACTCGTGAAGAGGATGAATGCTTAGGCACTTTTGATTCAATACAGGCATTTGTGTTCCACATCACTCCTATCTCTTACTTTTCTGTCTCTTTCATTTCTTGCAGTAAGTGCTAGTATTGCTTTGTGAAATTCTACTTTCCAACCTCTTCATTCCAATATTAAGAAACATATTCACCAAGTATTGCTCATGTGCCTAGACAATAAGGATACATATTGAGATGGGTAAAACAGACAAGACTCTGTCATCATGGGACTTATATTGGGATAAGATGACAAGAGAAAGGGAATCTACAACATAATTGAATACAGCAAGTAGTAGTATGATGAACAGGGTGCTGTGGTGGGCAGCGATGGGGTGTGTGTGTGTGTGTGTGTGTGTGTGCATGGGGTGAGGTTGAGTTCTGATAGGGAGTCAGAAAAGGCCTCTCTGAGGCAGTGACTGGTGAACTGAGACCTAAAAAAATGAGCAGAAAGCATTTCTGTAAAGAGACAGGAGAAGGCAGAAGAAAGAACATGCTCAAAGGCCTGGAGCTAATCTCTTAGTCTGCAATCCCAGGCCTCCTCAATATCAGTGTATTTAATTTGACTTTTTAAAAAACCCACATGTATCCTCTGATAAAATGGATATATAAAACTTGGGCATTTTCCCCAAAAGGCAAGCAGTCATCCCAAACAAAAATTGAGATTGAGTTGTAAGAATTAATATTTTATTAAGTCAAACATTCAGGGATAGTTGCTAATCATGACGCACTGGAGCAGAGATCTGAAGTTTCACTTTTCATTCTGATTTGAACAGAGGGTGATAATAGAATACAGTATGAGACATTTCTGTTGATGGGTAAGAATCATCACTCTGAAACAAGGCTGCCTGAATCTGGATCCTGGCTCTACCGCTTTCCAGGTCAGTGGTCCTGAACAAGTTATTGAAAACTGCTCTGAGCTTTGATGTCATCATCCGTAAAGCATGGATAATATGGATAATACTTCAGAGAGTTGTTGTAATAATTAAATGTGTTTATATTTGTAAAGCACAAAGAACAGTACCTGACACACAGCAACTATTAAAAAAGTGTTAAGTAACAATAAAATGAAACAATTATTTATTATGAATAACCTGAGATAAATGTTGGTGCAGACTATAAAATGTCTTTATAATGCTTGCTGCAGGAGACTTATTTGACACGTTATGGATTAAAAATACATTACTGCAAATCTATAATTATGTATGAGTTTAATAAAAGTTTTCCTTTATATTCCCCATAAAGGGTATGGTAAGTAAATTATTAATGTAAAGAAGTATGCTGTGTATGTTAAAGTTTCTTAAGGGATATACTAATTACTAACTAGTATTATATTTTCGTTTAATTTATTTGACCACATTCTATAACATTTTACGTTATAATAATTTACACCTAAAACTGTCATTATAATTGTATTTAAAATATACATATAATTTGTATGTGTCAATCTAACTTTGTGTATTCACTTCTCATTATTATACATATAACTTATGTAAAAAAAAAAAAACAGAAGACAAGATATCTCGGGTTAGGCAATTTCCAATGTGGTGTGTTTTCTAAATTAAAAGCAGACTCTCAGTTTTCTTTTTTCTTCCACTCCAATCCTAAACACAACACAAAGATCATAGAATTTTTTAAGTGTTGAGAAGTACTATACCTAACATATGCTTCCTGAAACTCTCAGACGTCATATCTTTATGTGTATTAGTCCATTCTTGCACTACTGTAAAGACATACCCGAGACCGGGTAATTTATAAAGAAAAGAGGTTTAATGAATTGGCTCATGGTTCTGTAGGCTGTACAGGAAGCATAGCAGCTTCTGCTTCTGGAGAGGCCTCAGGGAACTTACTCGTGGCGGAAGGCAAAGCAGGAGCAGGTGTCCTACATGTCAGAAGCAACAAGAAGGGGGGTGTGTGGGGGAGCTGCTGCACACTTGTAAACAACCAGATCTCAGGATAACTCTCTCACTGTTGCCATGACAACGCCAAAGGGGTGATGTGAAACCATTAGAAACCACTCCCACCAGGCCCCACCTCCAACACTGGGGATTAAAATTCAACATGAAATTTGGGCGGGGACACAGATCCACACAATATCACCATGTCTGACATTCTTGCCGTGGTGTCAGTGCCAGGAATCACGGAACATCTGAACATCTCGCCATGCACCTCATCCTGCAAGAAGACAGTTCTGCTTAATATTGTGAATAACTAATTTTCAGTCATTTGTGTAATTATTTTTCTTTCTCTCTTTCTTACATGATATCTACACAAAGCAACATTGTGAGGATTCAGCAAGTCTAGAATTATAATCCCTAATATTTATTTTTTAAGTAAAGGATGGGATGTCTGCTAATTTCAAGTCAGCACCAAACTGGGTATGTAAACCTTGCTCATGTGTCCTATGTACTGTTGTAGTGAGACTCTTGTCCCTGTTTATGAATCCTATTATGGTCATAGTTCGGTCTTTCATGTCGTATCAAATCTCTCACCATGTGCGGGCCTTCGGGGATGGTGGCATGTGTCACTGTACGAGTGTTTGCAACTTTTCAAACAAGCTTGTTAACACTGAGTCATCTGCCTACTTAAAACCCTGAAAATATATTCAGATTTTTTTTCCTGATTCCTGGTAAATTAAAGCTTAAAAAAAAAAAGACCTGGCTGTCAATCAACTATAATTAAATACACCAAGATCTATCAGATGCAAAGGACCCCTTGTGCTTATGTGGACCATGGATATCCACACTGTGGACTGAGGAATTTGTCATGTAAGAGAATAGCCACTGGCATAATCTGGAGGGAACAAATGCTTTGGCTTTGATTTTCATCTGATTATCTTTCCCATATACCTCATAAGGGCTGATGGACCTGGAACCAGATTAGTGCATAGCCACCTCAAAGGCTGCGTAGTTCCTGTCATAAATTTTGTGCAGCTTTTTTGCTTTCAGTGCCAGCCACTTAATTCTAGCACCATTTAACCATTCCAAAATAGCTATTGTGTCTTTATTACGTAACAGGCACTTGGCTTGGCATGGGGGAACATGTTGATGAGCAAGACATGGTTCCCGCATTCAACATCTTCCATGGATAAGCAGGAATGATATGTATGTAAATAGTCTTATTCAAAGCATAATGCAGTGAATACTAAGTTATTATAATATTCTAAGAATACTAAAAACAGAGACAAGCAACGGTTTTATGGCAAGGTCAGAGAGGATAGAGGAGCGAGAAGTAGGGATCAAGATGGCACTTTCTAAGGTTATCGGCTAAATGATCCTGAAAGTCTCTTTCAAACTCTGTTTCTATGAAAATTCTCATCTCATCTGTTAACTGTAATCACTGCTGACCTCCCATTCAGTAGCGCTCCATATACTTGAAACCCGGTATTAAGACCCTAGGAGAAGAGTAGACTTTTTACCAATAATTGAGAAAGAATAGAGTGTGATGACTTTGGAGCAAGTATTCAACACTTAGCCTTTGTCCCATTAAGCCTCAACTAGGTTGGAAGAAAGAGAGAAGAGAAAAATAATAAGGAATTTCAAGCTGATAAGCACTGGGGAAGTCAGGGTAAAATAGGTAATTTGGGAGCCAAAACCAATGGATATCACATGCTTTAAGAAGACAGTAGTGCTCTTCACTAATGGAAGAATGACAGCGAGAGAAGAGACAAGGCATGGAGCCTGAAGGATATCACAGTAAAGTGGAGAATGGAGCACACTTAACTCCAAAGCAATTGACAAACGGGCATCTATGTGAATCATTAGGAAGTATGCTTAATATGTTCCCACACTTTGACAAGGCATTTTTACCTGGTTGTTTCCAAAACAGATTCCATAATATCTTAAGTGATCCAACTGGCTTGTGGTTCAGCATCTTCAAATCATCGATAGTTATAATCCACAGACATTATCATACTAATATATAAGATGCTTTCAATGTGATAAAAAAGAAAATGTCACTCAGTAATTTCAGATACAGTACCTACTCATGCATAGGCTTGATTTGCTCTGCTTATCACCTATAGAGAATTTACAATGACATGTTCCTGTTTGCTTCTTGGCTTGCCTCATCCTCTGGATTTTTATGGACATCACCCCTCATTTGCACTCTGTTCACCCAGCTCATAGTCATCATTCATTCAGGTCTTAAATTCTATGTTAAATCTAATCAGCCTTCCCAGGCCTTCAGGTGTAGGTCAGGCACATCTCTAATCAGCTATCCTAACACTTTGTAATTTTCTTTTATGTCACATGAAAAATGAAGTTATAAAATCACATATGTGATCATTTAAAGTCTGTTTCCTTCACATCTTTCTCAATTAGATCGTAAGCTCCATGAGGGCAAGGGCCACTATGTTCTCAGGCTTTATCAGAAAGACTGACACATGATAGGTACTAATTCTATCTTTGTTGAGTAAATAAAACTTTCAAATTTAATGGAATTATCAGACCAAAAATGTATGGATATATATGAGGTTCTTGACACACAGTTGCTGGTTTGATTAAACAATAGATTATATAATTAAACATATTGTATGGGGGTGCTTATTTTACCATGTGCTCTCAGAATTGTTATATTTTTGAGTAGAATTTATCATTCTCATTATTTAAGTCTAGGAATATTTAAAATATTTTTATTTAGAAAAAAATCTTTTTATGATATGACTATGGTATTTTGACATAAGCATGATCACAGCAACATTATTCGAACTGGCCCAATTTCACTGTCATCAATACTAGGTATTTCTGGTCACTTTGGTGAAGCTGGAACCAATATTCTAAAAGCGTTGTGTGCCTATTTGGTTTAATTGAGATTATTGTGTTGAACATATGCTCTAGCTCATTAAATTTTCTTTGTTCTTAAGAATCAAACTAAATATTACTTTTGTCTCACCTCTTTTACAACTTTTGAAATGTTATGTGATAGAAAAAAATTAGATTCCTATCTCAGACTATAAATCAACATTGATTCTATATAAAATAAAAAGTTAAAGTTAAGAAAAGAAAAACTAAAGAAATACAAAAATTAACAACAATTTTTCTAAGTGTTCATACTACTTCAATACATTCTAGAATATCATTGTAGTATACATTTCAAATCATTTATAAAGTAGAAACTTATAATCTCCCCCAGTAGAGGGAAATACTTATAATATATGTGATTGGCAAATAGTTAATTAATCTATTATACAAAACCACTTAAAAGATTAATTAGCAATAACACAAGAGGAAAAAAGACAAGGAATGTGGGAATAATTTCACAAAATATCTAAATAAATGGCTTAAATATGAAACCATGTATAATTCACTAGAAATTCAATGAATGCAGACTTAAAAAATGAAGTAATATTTTTGAATATGAAATTGTCAGAAAGAAATGGAAAAAGATGCCCACACCAAAATCTGTAATCACATATTCATTATTTTGCTATTATTTATAATGTCCAAAAAGTAGAAACAATCTAATGTTTATATCAACTAATGAATGGATAAATAAAACAAAATGTGTCCATACAAAGGAATATTTATTATTTGGCAATAAAAACAAACGAAGTAATTATACATACTACAACACAAATGATTCCTGAAATTACTATGTTAAGAAAGAAGCCAGTCACAAAAAACCACATATTGTATGATCCTATTTATATTCAGTATCCCTTATAGGAGAATCTGTAGAGACAGAAATAGATTTCTTTTTATTAAAAAAAACTTATTTTAGTTAATGGGTTCATGTACAGGTTTTTTATATATAACCTATATATGACCTATAGGTAACAATATATGGTAAACATATGTTATGGGAGTTTGTTGGACAGATTATTTCATCACCTAGTTATTAAGCCTAGTACCCAATAGTTACTTTTTCTGCTCCTCTCCCTCCTCCTGCTATCCACCCTAAGGTAGGCACCAGTATCCATTGTTCCCCGTTTTGTGTCCATGTGTTCTCATAATTTAGCTCTCACCAAGTGAGAACACGCGGTGTTTGGTTTCCTGATCCTGCATTAGTTTGTTGAGGATAATGGCCTCTGTATTTCTTTGGGTAATATACCCAGTATTGGGCTCACTGGGTGGAACTGTAGTTCTGTTTTTAGCCCTTTGGGGAATTCCCCCACTGCTTTCCACAATGGTTGGACTAATTTATTTTCCCACAAACGTTGTGTAAGTGTTCCCTTTTCTACGCAACCTTGCCAGCATCTGTTATTTTTTGACTTTTTAATAATAGCCATTCTGACTAGTGTGAGATGGTATTATTTCATTGTGGCTTTGATTTACATTTCTCTAATGATCAGTGGTGTTGAGCTTTTTTTCATATGCTTATTGGCTACATGTATGTCTTCTTTTGAAAAGTGCCTGTTCATGCCCTTTGCCCACTTTTTAATGGGGTTGGTTGTTTCTTTCTTGTAAATTTGCTTAAGTTCTTTATAAAGGCTGAATATTAGACCTTTGTCAGTTGCATAGTTTGCAAAAATTTTCTCCCATTCTGTAGGTTGTCTGTTTGCTCTGTTGATAGTTTCTTTTGCTGTGCAGAAGTTCTTTAGTTTAATTAGATCTCATTTGTCAATTTTGGCATTTGTGGCAATTACTTTCGGCATCTTCGTGATGAAATCTTTGCCAGTTCCTGTGTTCAGAATGGTATTGCCTAAGTTGTCATCCATGGTTTTCATTGTTTGGTTTTACATCTAAGTCTTTGATTCATCCTGGGTTGGTTTTTGTGTATGGTGTGAGGAAGGGGTCCAGCTTCAATCTTCTGCATATAACTAACCAGTTATCCCAGCACCATTTACTGAATGGGGAGTCATTTTTCCCATTGTTTTGTTTTTTTTGTCAGCCTTATTGAAGAGCAGATGGTTTTAGTTGTGCAGCATATAGACCGAGTTTTCTGTTTTGTTTTATTGGTCTGTGTGTTTGTTTTTGTATCAGTACCATGCTGTTTGGTTACTGTAGCCCTGTAGTATGGTTTGAATTTGGGTAGTATGATGGCTCCTGCTTTGTTCATTTTGCTTAGAATTGCCTTGGCTATTTGAGCTCTTTTTGGTTCCATGTGAGTTTTTAAATAGTTTATTCTATTTCTTTGCAGAATATCATTGGTAGTTTGATAGGAATAGCACTGAATATGTAAATTGCTTTGGGCAGTATAGACATTTTAATAATATTGATTGTTCCTGTCCATGTGGATGGAATGTTTTTCATTTATTTGTGTCATCTCTGATTTCTTTGAGAAATGTTTTGTAATTCTCATTATAGAGATATTTCACCTCCCTGGTTACCTGTATTCCTAGGTATTTTATTCTTTTTGTGGCAATTGTAAATGTGATTGCCTTCCTGATTTGTCTCTCAGCTTGGCTGTTGTTGGTTTACAGGAATGCTAGTGACTTTTGTACATTGATTTTGTATCTGGAAACTTTGCTGAAGTTGCTTATAAGCTGAAAGAGCTTTTGGGCCAAGACTATAGGGTTTTCTAGATACATAATAATTTCATCTGCAAGTAGGGATATTTTGACTGTCTTTCTTACTGTATGGATGCCTGTTATTTCTTTCTCTTGCTGATTGCTCTGGCCAGAACTTCCAATACTATGTTGAATAGGAGTGCTGAGAAAGGGCATTCTTGTCTTGTGCTGGTTTTTGAGGGGAATGCTTCTAATTCTTGCCCACTTAGCATAATGTTGGCTGTGAATTTGTCATAGATGGCTCTTATTATTTTGAGATATCTGCCTCCAATAACTAGTTTGTTGGGATTTTTTTAACACGAAGGAATGTTGAATTTTATTAAAAGCCTTTTCTGCATCTATTAAGGTAATCAAGTGCTTTCTGTCTTTAGTTCTGTTTATGTGCTGAATCATGTTTATTGCTTTGTATATATTGAACCAACCTTGCACCCCAAGGATAAAGCCTACTTGGTGATGGTGGATTAGCTCTTTGATGTGCTGCTGGATTTGGTTTGCTAGTATTTTGTTGAGAATTTTTGTATCAATGTACATCAAGGATATTGACCCGAACTTTTCTTTTTGTGTTGTGTTTCTGCCATATTTTGGCATCAGGATGATGTTGGCATCACAGAATGAGTTGGAGTGGAGTCCCTTCTCCTCAGTTTTTTAGAATAGTTCAAGCTGGAATGCTACTAGCTTTTCTTTGTACATCTGGTAGAATTTGGGTCTGAATCTGTCTGGTCTTGGTCTTTTTATGGTTCATAGGGTATTTATTACTGATTAAAATTTTAAGCTCTTTGTTGGTCTGTTCAGATTCAATTTCTTCTTAATCAAGTCTTTGTAGGGTGTATGTGTCCAGAAATTTACCCATTTCTACTAGATTTTCTAGTTTCTTTGTATAGAGATATTCATAGTAGTCTTTGATACAACACAATGATAGGATCAAATCCACATATATCAACACTAACCTTGAATGTAAATGGGCTAAATTCCCCACTTAAAAGGCACCGAGTTTCCAAACAATTTTACAAGAAATAAACAAACTACCCCCATCAAAAAGCGGACAAAGGATGTGAACAGACACTTCTCAAAAGAAGATATCTATGCAGACAACAGACACATGAAAAAATGCTCATCATCACTGGTCATTAGAGAAATGCAAATCAAAACCACAATGAGATACCATCTCACACCAGTTAGAATGGCAATCATTAAAAAGTCAGGAAACAACAGATGCTGGAGAAGATGTGGAGAAATAGGAACAGTTTTACACTGCTGGTGGGAGTGTAAATTAGTTCAACCATTGTGGAAGACAGTGTGGTGATTCCTCAAGGATCTAGAACTAGAATTACCATTTGACCCGGCAATCCCATTACTGGGTATATACCCAAAGGATTATAAATCATGCTACTATAAAGACACATGCACACATATGTTTATTGTGGCACTATTCACAATAGCAAAGACTTGGAACCAACCCAAATTTCCATCAATGATAGACTGGATTAAGAAAATGAGTTCCTTTGCAGGGACATGGATGAAGCTGGAAACCGTCATTCTCAGCAAGCTATCACAAGGACAGAAAACCAAACACCGCATGTTCTCACTCATACGTGGGAATTGAACGATGAGATCACTTGGACACAAGGCAGGGAACATCACACACTGGGGCCTGTCAGGGGATGGGGGGCTGGGGGAGGGATAGCATTAGGAGAAATACCTAATGTAAACAACGAGTTGATGGGTGCAGCAAACCAACATGGCACACGTATACCTATGTATCAAACCTGCACATTGTGCACATGCACCCTTGAACTTAAAGTATATATATATAGATAGATAGATAGATAGATAGATAGATAGATACACACACACATATACATATATATACACACATATATACATGTATGTATATACACATATGTGTATATATATATATATATATATAGAGAGAGAGAGAGAGAGAGAGAGAGGCACTGATTTCCAAGCAGGAGGGAAAACAAACAAACAAACAATGATATTCTGCCTTCAACAGACCCAGACACATCTAAGATGCAATGACACACATAGGCTAAAAATAAACGGATGGAGGTAAATCTACCAAGCAATTGGAAAACAGAAAAAAAGCAAGGGTTGCAATCCTAATTTCAGACAAAGCAGACAGTGAACCAACAAAGATTTAAAAAAGACAAAGAAGCGTATTATATAATGGTAAACGGTTCAATTCAACAAGAAGACCTCACTATTCTAAATATATATTCTCCCAACACAGGAACAGCCAGACTCATAAAGCAAGCTCTTAGATCCCTACAAAGAGACATAGACTCCCATACAATAATACTGGGAGACTTCAACACTCCACTAGTGCAGTCATCTAGAGGAAAAACAACACTCTGGCTTTCTGGTTACAGTTCTTGCAGAGGCGCTTTCACATCTTTGTGGGCTGATGTTCTTTCAGTCTTTGAAGTTGCTTTGAAGTTGAATAGGTTTTTTGCTCTTACCCTATTTGATGAACTTGGGAAGTTTGATTGTAGTATAAGTTGGGTTCAGCCGACTGGCTTCAGCTCTGGAAGATTTTCATGGGCCAAGGCTCAGCTCACAACTCCTGGGCTGCGTTCTGTAACTCTAGGGAACTGGTATTGAACCCCAGCTTTGTTCTCTGGCTTCTCAAGGTTAGGAACCTGCTATGCTGGAGGGGCCAACGTGCTCCTGAACCACTGGTCACAACATTCCAATGGGTAGTGTCAGCTAAGGCACTTCATAAAGCAGTGGTACCAAGATTCGTCTTCATTTATATTTGCCAGCAGCAATGGCAGTGGCAGCACGACGGGGTGCACATTCATTGGCTGCAGCATGGTGCTAGCAGGTGCCATGGTACCGACCTCCGTGCGGACATTTGCAGCAGTGGTGGTGGCAGCACAGTTGGAGGAGTGCAGGAAGGCCCCTTGCCAATGACTGTGCATGCCTTCCTGCCAGTGGTGAGGATTAACATGGGGGCAGGGCACTGGTAGGCACAACATCAGACATGTGTGCGCTGTCTATGCATATTCATACAGGCAGTGGTGGCCACTCAGGGTGAGGGTTGCTTTGCTATTCTCCATGAATAATTTCACTCTGCAGGCAGTGTAGATGCAGGGGCAGGACACTGGCGGGGGTGGGGTGGGGGGGGGGTGGCCTCACAGGATCTGTGCCAGCTAGTGCTCCCAAGAGAATGGACAGAAATAAATTTCTTATGAGTAATTTTTTAGGACTTGGGAGGGGGGTGTGCATGTTAAGAGGAAATTGGATGTAGAGAGATGAATCTTAAAGGGTATGGGGTTTTTTATTGGGTTAATCAAAATCTTTTGAAATTGGTTGTGGTGAGGGTTGCACAACTATGTAAGTATACAAGAAAAATTGAAGTGAATAATGTAAATGGGCAAAATTTACTTTATATTAATTACAACTAAATAAAGGCTTTATGAAAGATAAATAATATGAAATTTTTTAAAAACTATCTGAAGGCAGGAAGAAAAAAAAAAGCCACTAGACTAAGGCTACATTTGGAATGAAACTTAACGTTTACATTTGGATAGCATCTCATTTCTAGTATTTTAAAACATGGAAATAATTAGGTATTTATTAATTCACTCAGTCAACCAACAAATATACTCTGAAGGCTTACATGGGCCCATGTGTTAGTCAGAGAGCCAAACATTAGCCTAAGTAAAAAAATCAAAATTATAAATATGGTAGGAGCTATAATAAAGCATGATGCTATTAGAGCATGATCACTTGTTATAGATGCTGGGGATAGATCAAAATAGGTAAAAACCTCTGCCATTGTGAGATTACAACCTAGTAGGGAAACAGATGTAAAAAATGAATTAGTACCATATATAGTAGGTATGATGCTTATATTTTTATTTCAAGAAACAGAGGGGGGTTAAAGGATACGGGTCTTCATTTAAAATGGGATGCTTAGAGAAGGCTTTCCTGAGGAACAAGGATCTACAGAACATGAAGCAGCTAGCCATGATGTCTATGCTTCAGCATTCAAGCAGAAGAAAGGGTTAGTGCCAAAGAGCCTGAGAAGGCAGCATGCCTGACCAATTAGGAAAACCTCCCAGAAGCCAGTGTAGCTGAAGGAGGGAGCTTACAGTAAGATTATAATGAAAGTTTGAGGTCAGACAGCTAACAGTTTAAGGGGGGCAGATATTGTGGAGTGTCTAGACTACTCTAGTAATTTAATTTTGCTCTGAATGAGAAGGGAAGCCATTGGATCATTGGATAGTTTTCAGCAGAGAGCCATGACTTATTTTAGGATCACTCTGGCTGCTGTGTTGACAATATTCTGAGCCTGGGGAATGCAGGAAAAAAAAAATAAAAATAACAGAAAAAAATAACAGGCAGGCCTGTTAGGAGACGATTGGAGTAATCCAGGATGGAGAGGATAGTGACCTGTATTCGAGTGATAGCACTTGGCAGTTCAGGTAGACTAAGTAATATGGTTTGAAGATGGAGCCAACAGCATTTGTTATATTGTGATACCGAGGAGGCAAGAATGAATTTAAGTTTTGGGCTTAAGCATCTAGAAGGATGAGGTTGGCATTTGCAGATATAGACATGTCTGTAGTTACATTTCATTGAAAAAGCAAGAGTTTGGGTTTGGACATGTGAATTTTGAACTGGTTATTAAACATCCAAGTAGTGAGGTGTAACTGGAGGCAATAAAATATGTAATTCTGGAGTACAGCAGAAGGTCCAAGCTGAGTATATAAATTTGGGAGTTCTCAGTGTAGATATGATATTTAAATCCACGTGATTCAACGGTTTCATCAACAGTGGTAAGAGAAAGTTTTGAGGACTGAACCTCATGGTTAATAAATCAGCAAACTAAGGAGGAATGGCTAAGAAGAATGAGGAGTAGTTATAGAATATTCACAAGTGCATTTGATCCAATCAAGGTATATGCAAACATTTAATTCCATTATTTCTTGCTATGTTTAGAGTAGTGAAAAATAAGAAACAATCGCAAAGTCCAACAGCAATAAATCCTCATAGATTCACTTAATAGAATATAACACAATGATTTAAAGTGTAGAAAATGACATGTTTTATTGACAGGGTAAATGTTTATTGCATATTACTGAAAGGGCAAAAACCAGAAGAATGCAGGGCGATGAGACTATAGCCTATGTGGAGTGGTGTAGTTCTGAGGAAATTATGCAGAATCTCAAATGCTAGGCTAAGTAGTTTAGGAAAGATCTCATTTAATACAACAGTTATTCAAGGTAGTTACTATTCTTCCTATTTTCACAATGAGCCATTTGAGGCGCAGACATCTTTTAAGGTAACCTCACTAAATTTCCAGCACAGTTTAATGGGTGAAGGATATATGCTTCTCTGTAACAAGTTCAGAGTGTTAAAAGTAAGAATGTGACCTCGGCTTGGTCTTATGGTTGATATGAACTTATTTCAATCCCTATATGGTTGATATGAACTTATTTCAATCCCTATATGACAGTTTTGCAATATCACACAGAGATCGTTTGATCACAAGCCTCTACTGAAGTGAAGATTAACATCATTAGGATAAGTTCAATCATTATAGCAGGTGGACTTGACTCTGAATATCAGTTCTCAAACCGTAGAGATCTGGTAGAAGAGTAGGTGGGAATATATTTCATCCTTAGGGGTTCTAGCTCATGTCAGGATTCAGAAATAAGCAGCTGATGAGTGTCGAGTCCTGAACAGAACCATCATTTTCTCCTGGATAGTTCAGGGAGCTCTGAGATAACTGACTCTTGTCCTGTTGTCTTCCATCAGACCTAGAAGAAAACAAAAGTTCCCTATCAGAATTCAAGCTCCACAAGGGTAGGACAGTTTGGTGTTGTTTATAGCTGCATCCCCTTTTCTAAAACAGCACCTACTGTTGTAACACAGTAAGCTCCTAATAAATATTTGGAAACACAGCAGTATCCTTGGGATCCTGAAAAAAAAAAAAAAAAAAGGCAGAAGGCCAGGCAGTGTTTGTCCTTCTAGGCCAGTGGTTTTTGCCTCTGACTGCTTATTAAAAACACCTGAAAATCATTTAAAATTCAAATCTTTTAAAATTAGAGCTGCCTGGGGAGCACTCTCCAAAGATTCCAATTTAGTTTAAATGGTATAGGTTACAGGTATTGGTGTTTTTAAAATCTCCCCAGAAGTTTGCAATGTGTACCCAGAATGAAGAACAGTTAGTTTAAGCAGTCACCACTCAGGCTGTTCAAAGGACTAAGATGCCAATTTTAATTCTCAGCACTTGGGCTTTCTGATGGTTTCTGGGATTAGAAGCTGTTGCCTCCTTGGATGAGCTCTGGTTTCAGACCTATGTCTGATCCTGAGCATCTGTTGGGGCTTTTGGTCTCAGAAGCCCAGCTGAGACTCACCCTGAAGGGCCAGAAGAAAAGGAATCATCCTACTTTGGGGACTTAGGTAGGTGAGCAGATTTGAGGGGCTTTGAGGGTACAGTGGCCTGAACTTGCAACCAGTGAGGACCAGCATGACAATAACAGTCATCCTCATTTGTGAGAAGAGGAGGGATTCAGAGTCCAAAAACCCAGCCAGGGCCTCACATCTCTTTTTTATGTATTGACGGTCTCTTTGCTAGGGAAAGGAAAAATATGCATTATTTTCATACCACATAAATTATTATGATTACAGGACTGGATAATGCAGCATCTAATCAGAAATCGCTTCTCATACAAAAAATGCTCCAGAATGTTACACACGTAACTTAAACTACAATTTACAGGGATGTGTCAGGTCACATTTCTACTTTCCATACCAAAGAAGATATATTATCTCACGAATGTAGAATAGGTTATGCAGTGAAGCCTTCCAAAAGTCACTTCTGACATTGCAGTCCAATTCTCACCCTTATTTCCTCAGAAGACTATCACAGGCTTAATCTACAGATAAACATTTAGCACTTTATCTTACTGTTTTTACACTTCAGAATTGGGTAGAAAACCCCTCTGGTATTTTTTTTTTCTTATGGATTATTCCTTTAAAGTGCCCTCGAAGTGTTTCTTGACAAGTGGTTTGTTGTGAAGTGACATATTTTCCCTTTGAAGTAAGGATATAATAGGAAAAAATAACACGTATAAGACTTTGTGGGGATTTTACTCATTGTAACAGTAGATGAGTGTATTCAGAAGTAGAAAAATGGTTAAAGAATTATCCTTTTGAAACAAAAAGAGGACAGGCCTCTACATTGAGGTGAGACAGACATGGTTTTCTGCCCCATTGTGCATCTTAAAATACAGTTTTTGCAAATTAGACCTTCAGTCACTTCTTTACATCTGCAACATGAAATCCATAAGCTTGGTAATTCTGAACACAATTTGAGGCAATTATAGCCAAAATGAGCTAATTAAATTTGCACAATAACATTGCCCTAGAAAGGCATCAGGCTGAGGCTGATTATTTAATCAAAAATGGAATAGGAACATGCCATTTACTTGAATTTTACTTGTACCATGCAGTACATTATATTGAATGGGAACAGCTGTTTTTAATGATACTAATTTGGTCAGAAAGGATCAAATATTATTCAAATAAATATAAAAGAGAACTACTCATCAGTAGCATGCTGTGTCTGAATGAAAAAATTTAAATATGAAGTTGAGTAATTTGTGTCAGAAAGCACTGTCACTCTAGGCTGCTTATATAATTGGCATATGTCCCAGGAAAACCACAAGCTATTATTTTTAGGAGACCATGGCATCGCAAAGCATTAGTAAGGGCAAATTTGAAGCTGATATATCCCAAAGGAAAAGATTAACGCCCCCCCCCCCCAACCCCACCAAGTAATAGCAGACTGATTAGGTTCATGTTATCACCTGGAAAGATGTGCTCTATATTGATTTCAGTAGGGCTTTCAATAATGTTTCACGGGATTTTCTCATTAATAAAAATATATGATAATAACAAAACTAGTTTGATTTAAAACAAGGAATAGGTTATTGGGGTTTTGGAGTTAATTCTGGTGGATATGCAATATAGTAATAGTAACCATGAGGAGTGGCCCTACATAGCAATTAGCATCCTTATTGACCCTCACTATAAAGAACTTGAGGTTATGCTCAGCAGGTTTTAAGATAGCAGCAAGTTATTCAGAGATTTTAACACCGTAGAAGGCATAAATGCAATTTTAAATGATCATGATAAAGTTTTTAAAATGAGTCTAAATAGAATAAAATTTGGTTAGGGTATGTACAAAGTGGCCTGCAACTGAAGTAAAAAAAAAAATTCAGGTTGGAACTGAATGCTCATCAAAAACATTTCTAGTCTGAATCAACAGTCAATGTGACATTGAGAATAGCAAAAGGCAAACACAATGACTAAGAAGAAACGCCCTGCCTTATTCTGAAGAGTATGAGCATATTAGATTGATTAGGGTCATTGACCTTTGCAAAGGAGATAAGAACCCTAGAGAGAAGGTCTAGAACAGAATAACATTAATTAAAAAAAAAAAACAGAAAATAGGTCTGATGAGACACGCTAAAAGATGTGTGATTTTAAAGATGAGATTGTTAAGGGAGGATGCAGTTAATATTTTTCAAATATATGATGAATGTTTTATTATGGTGATTATTCAATTTCCATATTATCTGAATAATTTTACATTATTCATTTTTAAACTTAGGAGACACATATTTTTGCTTTTTAGCATAGTTTGGTAATCGATATTTAATAATGATTACCAGCTACTGTATGTTTGGAACTAAAAACAGAAATAGGACTTCTTATGTAAAATCAATTTCCTATACTCCATGATCCCTTCCCTTTCACCCTCAAACATATTTGGTGCTTCTCATCTTTAAAAAAAATACCCAGAAAAAGCGTTACATGGCCCTCATTATTAATCATTTCCTTTTCAAACTCCTTTAGTACTTAGTAGCTAAACATTACATGAATGCATTGCTTTGTCTTATTTTTCTGCCTCCCGCAGATAATTTAACGCTTGATTATATCAAGATATAGCACTATTTTTCATAAGAGACTCTTGTTCATTAATTTATTCAACAAGACTTTTTTTGCCTCTTAGTATGTGCCAAATATTGTGCTGGCACTGGCAATACAAACAAGAGCAAGACAAACACAGCCCCATATATAATCTTGGACAAGAGTGACACAGGCTCTTCACAATCTAGTGGTTTAAATACGCAATACTCAAATACCACACAAATACATATACAAGTGCAATGCCTCAAAGTACTGTGAAGTTCTCTGAGACCACAAAACAGATTACCTAACCTAAGTAATTTTTTCTTTCTGTAGCGTTTCTTAGGTTAACTAGATTGTGAGTTTTTAAAGGAAAATTTGCATAAGCTTGTTTTATAAACCCATCATACTTATCACAGTTATAAATACATTGGCATATAATAAATACTTATTGATTTAATATTTTATGAAACTGATATGTTTGGTTATGACACATCAAAATAATAATTATGTGGTAGATACCTTCAACCTGTGAACTCCATATTTAATATTATTATTATTATTAATATTTTTATATATAGAGAGAAACAGAGTCTCGCTCTGTCGCCCAGGCTGGAGTGCAGTGGTGTGATCTCGGCTCACTGCCAACCTCTGCTGCCCGGGTTCAAGCAATTCTCTTGCCTCAGCCTCCCAAGTAGGTGGAACTACAGGCACGTGCCACCATGTCTGTCTAATTTTTTTTGTATTTTTTAGTAAAGACGGGGTTTTGCCATGTTGGCCAGGCTGGTCTCGAACTGCTGACCTCAGGTGATCCACCTGCCTCAGCCTCCCAAAGTGCTGGGATTATAGGCATGAGCCACCGTGCCCGGCCTTATTTTAACTATATATTAGTGCTTTGTAAATCTTTTTTGGAAGGCATCTGATTTGTATGTACTGTAGGAATTATACACAATAGCCAGTCTCTTAGTGAGCAAGACTAGTGGGCCAGCTAACATATATATTCCTAACTAGTGTTGCTAGTGTTGCTGCTCTCATGCCATTATCCATATGATTAATCACTTTCAGTGAGTAAAGAAAAGAAAAAACACATCCTTTCCTTGTGTAAAGTGGATGGCTGCCATTCCTGTGGAAAAGCCGAAACCCACAAGTTTTTCTGCAAATTCCAGTAAC
Source organism: Homo sapiens (assembly GCF_000001405.40). Taxonomy (NCBI): domain Eukaryota; kingdom Metazoa; phylum Chordata; class Mammalia; order Primates; family Hominidae; genus Homo; species Homo sapiens. The sequence continues at coordinate 142,639,854 of NC_000023.11, forward strand.
AGGTTATAATTTCATTGTCTTTCGACTCTGATTCCTGCTTCTACTTAATACTTGTCTTCTATTCTGAATTTTTCAACCTTTATCTCCATCGAAATTGACTCAAACATTAGCTCTCGGATATACTCTTCCAAATTAACCACTGACACAGGACTGTTGTATGCAGAACATTTAATGACTGTTGGCATATAACAAAGAAAGGGTTACATTGTTTCAACAAACAAGAAACAACTTGCTATTTCAAATTAGATGTTGTGATTATTAAAAGACTTTTTGGACATTCAGCCATGGGGTATTCCTGACAGATCACATTACTTCAGAGCTCTCATCAATTTATTGGTTTTCCTCTCACGCCTTAATTCTTTTTCTCACAAAGTTGGAGAAGTCTATTAGGCTATTATTAAAAAATAACCATAAACTTTGTAGCTTATGAAAAACAGAAATTTATGCCTCACAATTCTGGAGGCTGGGAAGTCCAACAGCAATGGAGATTCAGTGTCTGGTGAGGGTTCACTTGCTGGTTCATAGATAGTGTCTTTTTGCTGTTTTCTCATATGGCAGAAGAGGCAAGGCAACACTCTAGGCCTCTTTATAAGGGCACAGATCCCATTCATGAGGGGTCCACCCTCCTAACCTAATTACCTCCCAAAGACCTTACCTCCTAATTCAATCTCACTGTTGATTAAGTTTCAACATACGGATTTTAGGGGAGCACACACATTCAGGCCATAGCAGCTGTGAAATTCAGCTTTCTGATAATCCAAAAACCAAACTGAGTTCTTGGCCTACCTGAATATGTATAAAATGTGTCAACACTCTTAGCTGAACACAAAAAATATATCTTTAGTTGAGAGTCATTACTTTAACAGGATCTATCCTCCCTATTAGGTAGCAGTAATTTTAAGTAGTTATGTTTTTTTCTTCCTTCACATTTACAGTGGGGATGAGGGATGACAGAAATTTCTGGGAGAAAGTCAAAATGCCAGTGCTAGAGAAGAAAGGCAAAAAGACTTTGAATAATTATGTTTCTTAATCTGTTTCCTATTTAATTGTTTGCTGCTGTAACTGAATATTTGAGACTGGGTAGTTTACAAAGAAAATACATTTATTTCTTACAGTTCTGGAGGCTGTGAAGTCTGAGGTCAATGGCCCACATCTGGTGAAGGCCTGCTCGCTAGTGAGGACTCTCTGGAGAGTTCCAAATTGGCACATAGCATCATATGGTAAGAGGGTTTGAAAGAGAGAGACAAAGTGCCTTTCTATATCACACTCATTCTTGTGATAACTTGCTCACTCTTGTGATAACTCATTAATCCATGAATAGATTAATCCATTCAAGAGGGAAGAGCAGAGTTCTCATGACCCAATTACTTTTTAAAGTGCTCATCTCTTAATACTGTTACAATGGAAACTGAGTTTCAAGATGAGTTGGGAGGGGGCAAACATTTAAGCCTTAGAAATCTTAAGAAGAAGGAATGATTTTTAAGTTAAGGAATGAAATATCAAACTTGTTTTTGGCTCACATTTGTCACATAGTGTCTACAGTATATTCTATACAGAATAAAGAAAAAAGCAGTTGTGAAAATTTTTCATCAAATGTTCAGTTCAGTGCAGAAACTGACTTCAGTTTTGTATATACTAAATATTTTAGTCTGAAGGAATCAGTTATATTTTTCATCTGTTTGCTACTGCGTTTTGTGGGGGATATTATATCATACTGGAATTTATGTTTTGAGATTCAAAAATATCTCAGGATATACTCTTAAGAATGCCAAGAGGTTATTGTAATATATCTTTTATTTTCAGGAAATTAGCTTGCAACTGGGATTTTATTCATTTACACTCATTTATTTACTATTTGTTATTTGCCAAGCATCATGAAATAGTTAATGTATTTTACCAAAGTCAAAAAATATTTACTCCTTGCTGACTACGTGACACTTACAAATTATTTCTCTTCTGTGTCCCAGTTTCTTCACTTTAAAAGCTTTTGCTTTTAAAAAAGACAGTGCCATGTTCGCTGTCTGATTTAAATATATATATATATATATATGCATATATTTAGAGTATTTCAAGCAGAGTTAATTGCTGCCATTTATATCTGTACAAACGGAAAGGAATTTTGCATCAACACAAAAGAAAGAAAAGAAGAAACAACAGACCAAGTTTTACTAATTTTTTAAAAGTGTAAACTTTCATAATATATAAGCTCTTCAAATACTAAAGTCTTAGCAAATTTTACAAATGATATTTAAAACCATCTAGAACTTCTAAATTATAATAAGCTACAATAAACTATTTTAGTTATTGTAATTGCAATTTTTTCTTTTTAATATAAATGACACCGTTAGATAGTAGGCAATAATGAAGAAACAGCAATGTAGGGAGAAGTGTATGAATTTACGATACAAACAAAAATCTTATAAGAATCATGGTGATTCACTGCCTTTATGAACTTGTGATATAAATTTAGGCTTCATTTTTTTCAGTTCCATTATCTGTGAAATGAGAATGATACTTATAATGTTGCTGTAGCGATTACATTAAGTTTCCTCATTGCTGATTAAGTTTGAATAAGGTCAGTAGAATATCCTATCAATGTTAATTTTCTGGTTTTCCTTTTTAAATTTATATGTTTATTAATTATTATTATTACTACAATAGTTTTTGGGAAACAGGTGGTGTTTGGTTACAACCAAATATTATCTTCTAGAACTTTTATATTTTCAGGTCTTAGAAGTCTCTGATGGATCTTGAGTTGATTTTTATATAAGGTGAGAGATGAGGATCCACTTTCATTCTTCTACATGTGGCTTGCTAATTATCCCAGCACCATTTGTTGAATATGTTCTTTCCTGACTTTGTTTTTGTTTACTTTGTCAAAGATCAGTGGGCTGTAAGTATTTAGTTTTATTTCATGGTTCTCTATTCTTTTCTATTGGTATACATACCTGTTTTTATACCAGTACCATGTTGTTTTGGTAACTATAGCCTTATAGTGTAGTTTGAAGTCGGGTAATGCGATGCCTCCAGATATGTTTGTTCCTTTTGCTTAATCTTCCTTTGGCTATGCAGGCTCTTTTTTTGTTCCGTATGAATTTTAGGTTTGCTTTTTCTAGTTCTGTGAAGAATGATGATGGTATTTTGATGGGATTTGTATAGAATTTATAGATTGATTTTGGCAGTATGCTCATTTCCACAATATTGATTCTATCCATCCATGAGCCTGGGATGTGTTTCCATTTGTTTGTGTCATCTATGATTTCTTTCAGCATTGTTTTGTAGTTTTCCTTGTAAAGATATTTCACCTCTTTGGTTAGGTATATTCCTAAGTATTTTTTTTTTTTTGCAGTTGTCCTCAAAGGGGTTGAGTTCTTGATTTGACTCTCAGCTTGATTGCTGTTGGTGTATAGCAGTGCTACTGATTTGTGTACATTGATTTTGTATTCTGAAACTTTACTGAATTCATTTATCACATCTAGGAACTTTTTGGATGAAGTCTTTAGGATTTTCTAGGTATACAATCATATCATTGGTAAACCACAACAGTTTGACTTATTCTTTACTGCTTTGGATGCCCTTTATCTCTTTCTCTTGTCCGATTGCTCTGCCTAGGACTCCCAGTACTAAGTTGAACAGAAGTGGTGAAAGTGGGCGTCCTTGTCTTTTTCCAGTTTTCAGGGGAAATGCTTTCAACATTTCCCCATTCAGTATAATGTTGGCTGTGGGTTTGCCATAGATAGCTTTTATTACTTTAAGGTATGTCCCTTCTATGTTGATTTTGCTGAGGGTTTTAATCATAAGTTGATGCTGGATTTTGTCAGATGTTTTTTCTGCGTCTATTGAAATGATCATATGATTTTTCTTTTTCTTCTGCTTATGTGGTGTATCACATTTATTGACTTGCATAAGTTAAACCAACCCTGCATTCCTGGCATGAAACCCACTTGATCATGATTTATCATCTTTTTGATATGCTGTTTGATTCAGTTAGCTAGTATTTGGTTGAGATTTTTGCATCTATGTTCATCAGGGATATTGGTCTGTAGTTTTCTTTTTTTGTGATGTCCTTTCCTGGTTTTGGTATTAGGGTGATATTGGCTTAACAGAATGATTTAAGGAGGATTCTCACTTCCTCTGTCTTTTGGAATAGTTTCAGTAGTATTAATATCAATTCTTCTATGAATGCCTGATAGTATTAAGCTGTGGATCCCTCTGTTCCTGGACTTTTGTATTGGCAATTTTGTTTCTATAACTGTTTCAATCACACAGGACCTATAAAATAGTAACACAATTAAAAAGAACCAAGGATAGATCAGAATATAGCATAGGCATTAAATGATATTAGGGAATTATTATTAATTTTATCAGGTGATTTCATGGTGTTTGGTTATATAGGAAGATGTCTTCAATTTTAGGTATGTGTGCTGAAATATACAGGGCCTAAGTGTCATAAATAAATATGCAATTTATTTTAAAATGGATCAAAATCCATAGTATATATGTATTCATATAATGCACACAAACACTTATAGTGCAGATATAGCAAACTGATAGTAGTTGTCTAGGTGATGGGCGTATGAATGTTTACTCTACTAGTCTTATAACATTTCTGTTGGTTTGGAGATTTTAATTACAAAATGGTAAAAAGTTTAGACACTTCCCTTCAATGTTCATTCTATTTTTATTCAATTACGCATATCTTACTGCCACAATATCTGGTTCCCACAGCTTGAGTGTAGTAACCAGAACATAAATGATTCCATTATTATACCCTCTGACCTACTGAATATCATCTGCCACTTTGACTGATCCCTTGGCTATCTGTTTATCAGGGCTTGATCAATTCAACCAAGTGAAATTTACAAACATTAGAGCAATTCCATCATAAACCATCTTGATAATTTTTATAATGTTCATATACCTGTACAGTATATGACCAGGTTATATGAATCTATTTTTTTTTCTGGATTCTGTCTATGCATGACTAGATTTAATCATATTTATTACCTTGAGGAGTTTTGTAATGGAATTCCTTAGAAGATAAGTAGAAAAATTTTGAAATCATTTCAACTTACATAAAGGATCTCTAGTGAAGGAATCTCCCATGATAAATCTATTTCATTCAGAAAGTTCATCAATTCATTAGCCTAAATCTGTCTTACTTCTTCTCATTTTACTATTGATATAACAGAATAAAATACTTTTTTTCTTCCTTACAATTCAGCCTGTGTGGGAGAACTGTTATGAAACCCCTCTTCTCTTCTGTGATTAAGAATCTCATTTATTTAATCTTTGAAAAAGCTAATAATTTCCAGATCCTTAATACATTTTATTGTGAATTTTTCTAGCTCCAGTGTGCTTTTCTCATCCTTTTTTTCTGAATAAATTTAATATTTTTATATGGGTCAAAATAATCCTGAAGTCTAGTACTTTAGAAGAAAGCAATATCAGATAAAAAATTTGATCCAAACCCAGGTTCTCAACATATCCAAAAATTAAATTCAATTACCTTTGCTAACCACCCACCAAATATTTTCTCCAAGTCTCCTATTTGTATAAATATCCTCACCTTGAACGATGTTTAAATAGTATAGAAAAAATAGAATTAGAACAGAAAGCAGACATTTGAGCTGCATAATTGCCTTTTATGCCTACAATTTTTGGCATTGTGCAGAATGTCTCTGCCTCAGTTTTTACACCTGTGAAATACAGTGGTATTTTGAAGACAAATGTGGTTAAAATGAAACAACAAAACATAATTTATGAAGACGGCTGCCTAATATATGTATTAACCTACTTATGTGCATTTTTAATGTTTTATGTGTTGGATTTGCTACTTTTTAAGCTTCAAATGGACATGTATGGAATTCTCTTTGACTTTTGCAGTCTGCTTGAAAAGATTTTTTTAAGGGATTATGCTAATGACATCTTTAAGGTATAAATGCAAAAGTGTTAATATCTAGTAGATGATTAAAATTTGTTCATTTTTCTTTATACCCTTCAAAAAAGCCAGTTACCTTCTCTAACATAAGAGACTACATGGCAACTGCTCTATAATACATCTTGGCCTTCATGCATTTGCAAGACACCACAAACTTTTAGATATAGGAAATTTGTAGAGATAGCATGTATGTTTCAGGAACACTGTTAATTAGTTCATCTTTGTTACTGTGCCCAAACATATCTGCAAATCATCTCAGTCACTGCCAATCCAGTGTTACACAGATATCAGCTGTAGTGATATAATTCATGATAATATAGCATGATAGACATAATGTAGACCTTATTATCAATTTCATTTCTCTAAGTGTCAAAATGTATGATAGTTCCCATGAAATACTTCTTTGTAGCCTATTCATCCTAACAAGAATTTTTTCTAACCTTTGCATTTTGTTAAAAATGCCTTTTTACCATATGCTTCCAGAATCCTTTGAGAAGATGTTTTTCATGTTCATTAAATTAAAATGATGTTGTCCTTACAAACTATTATTACAATTAAAACATTCTTAAATCAGTTTACATACTTGATCTAGTGAAAATGTATCCCTGTAATTTCTTTATGTTTTAATTGGAGCAGAAGCAAACCACAGTTCAACGAGTTAAGTTTTACATCTGGAAAAACAAAGTAGTGATGAATTTTCAGCGACTGAAATGTTAAAAATGGATATGACCTAATTATGAGAATATTTGTATCAAGTCTTAACTGCTTGAAGAAATACAGAAGGAAGTGGTATATTTTAAACTTTTGAGCAGTAGAGAAAGGAAGGTTGCTTCTAAGATCCACTTCTAGCGAATAGATACCATCCAACTTCCCTTCTAGCTATGAGGAACTGTATGACTCTAAGTTCATCAGAATTGGTTTCTGAGCACTGACCTGGCCCTAGACTTCCTTTGCTTTTGGGTCAGTCCTACCCATCCCCTGACCTTAATTAGACTTTAGATGACAACTTTAAGTTGAAGAGGAAAGGGGGAAGATTAGTCAAATGTCATCATTAAGCTAAGATCATAAAAAAGATGGCAATGTATTTCAGGGTGTATGTGTTCCAATATATCTAAAACTAAGCAACACCTGGGACATTTACAAAAAAATTCATGTGGAAAATTTGAACATTCTAGAAGCCCATACTGTGCAAGCCTACACTAAAAGCTACAGATAATTGTCTTGACTTATCTTTGGCCTACACTCTGTGCCCCTCAGGATATATAAGTTGAGTGCTGATAGCCTGAGAAATGATGGGACATATTATGGGCAAAAGATTCAAGTGTATATATATCTAACTGCACTACAGAAAAGCAAAGAGGCAAGTTGCATTTCAGGGCTGGATAGAAACTGCTTTAGATCATGTGGTTGGCAGAATTCCAAGTTGGCCCCCAATTTTTCCTTCTCCCTGCTGTACACACATCTTATCCCAGTTATTCAAACACTGAATAGTTTAAGTCAGGGGATTCGGTGTGTGAGAGAGCACATGGCAAGGAACTGCAGGAAGCATCTAGATGCTGAAAACAAGTCCAGATCAACAGCCAGCAAGGAAATGGGGACCTTGGTCCTACAACCACAAATAACTGGATTCTTTCAATAACATGAATCAGCTTGGAAGACGATTCATCCCCAAAATCTATTGATAAGAGTCTGGCTAGGGCAACACCTTAAGTATGAGATCTGTAACAGAGGACCCATTAGAGCCCCCTTAGATTTGTCATCTAGAGAATAGTGAAATAGTTAATTGGTGTTGTTTAAAACATTAAGTTAGTCATAATTTGTTATACAGCAATAGAAAATTAACATGCTAATATAAATTATTTTAGATTATATGCGTGAAACGTAGTATAACGTAATAATTTATTATTTATTCAAGAATAGTAAGGGTTGCGATAGTGGTGGTAGTTGTTGCCTTTGGTGTAGGTGTTCTGGCTTTCACCTATTGAGATGTTTTATTAGATGGTGACAGTATGTTTAGTTTTGTAAGAAATTGTCAACTGTCTTCCAAAGTGACTATGCGAATTTGCATTTCCACCATCTGGCCAATAAACTATAAGGAGTAGTGATGTGTGTGCTGCCCAAGGCATGTCTTTAAAGGGAGAGAACATTGTCCGTTCGTCTGCTGATTAAAAAATAAATGGCTGAATGAACCCATTTCAGATGTAAAATGAGGTCCACACCAAAGGGTAGGTGGAAGAGGAAGCTAAATGCTCTATAAATCCCAGATAACTGTAAGGCCCCTACCTCAGCCTTTGAATGCTTACCTCCGTCCTTCAACATGAAAGAGAAATGATTTATCTCTTGCTTAAGCCACTGTTATTTGGAACTTCTGTTACAGAAGCTGAATCCATTTTCCATGTATAACATCATCTAATTGAGTCATCTCCCTTTAGTACCTGACCCCAATATCTGCCTGCTTCTATTCATGCAGTGGCTGTCAGCATTTAAATATTTCACAAGCACCTTACTTCAACTGAGTTAAACATAATCTCCATCACAAAATGCTCATCATCACTGGCCATCAGAGAAATGCAAATCAAAACCACAATGAGATACCATCTCGCACCAGTTAGAATGGCGATCATTAAAAAGTCAGGAAACAACAGGTGCTGGAGAGGATGTGGAGAAATAGGAACACTTTTACACTGTTGGTGGGACTGTAAACTCGTTCAACCATTGTGGAAGTCAGTGTGGCGATTCCTCAGGGATCTAGAACTAGAAATACCATTTGACCCAGCCATCCCATTACTGGGTATATACCCGAAGGATTATAAATCATGCTGCTATAAAGCCACATGCACATGTATGTTTATTACGGCACTATTCACAATAGCAAAGACTTGGAACCAACCCAAATGTCCAACAACGATAGACTGGATTAAGAAAATGTGGCACATATACAGCATGGAATACTACGCAGCCATAAAAGATGATGAGTTCATGTCCTTTGTAGGGCCATGGATAAAACTGGAAACCATCATTCTCAGCAAACTATCACAAGGACAAAAAACCAAACACCGCATGTTCTCACTCATAGGTGGGAATTGAACAATGAGAACACATGGACACAGGAAAGGGAACATCACACACTGGGGCCTGTCGTGGGGTTGGGGGAGGGGGGAGGGATAGCATTAGGAGATATACCTAATGCTAAATGACGAGTTAATGGGTGCAGCACACCAACATGGCACATGTATACATATGTAACAAACCTGCACATTGTGCACATGTACCCTGAAACTTAAAGTATAATAAAAAAAAAAAAGAATAGGCAATTTATGTCTCAAAAGAAAAAAAAAAAACCTCATTCTTCCTTCATGGTTCCATAAATTATGTCACCCTCCTTTCAGTCGAGAAACCTGGAAATCAGTCTTGACTCCTCCCTCTCCATAAATGCTATGATTTGCTTGAACTTTTTATTGCTCCTCTGTGAGTGATTATATATACACTCATGTAATAAGATGTGATCTTCTGAAATTTCTAGAATCCCTTTACTTCTGTCTCTACCATCAACCTGGAGCAAATCTAGAATCTTTTACTGTCACCTACTTTCCTCCTAGCATCAGTTCTTAGCCCCTTCTAAACAATTACCTCTGAGAAAGCAGGTGTTCTTCCCACAGTCCAGGACTGATCATGACATATACATGTCAGGTCACTGTGTCAAAACCATTTAGTGTCCTACATTTACCATCGGAATAAAGTCCATACTCATTAGTATGACATACAAACTTCTCTTCAATATGTCCCTTGACTATTTCTATAGCAGACTTTTATCGAACTATGCCTGAACCTCATTAGTAGGGTCAGGAAGTCAATTTAGTTGGTCGTGACCAGCATCTTCTTTTAAAGGAAAAAGAGTAGAATAGAATAGAATACAATAGATAATATTGCAGTTCATTTCTCATAGTAAGAGTTTTTTATTAAATATTTGTTTCAATTATAAATGTAATGCATTTCTTGCTGTAGGTCGAAGTGCATAGATTTTGAGAGCTCTTACTCTATGCTATCATCCCATGCTGCTCTTCTTGCCTGCATTGCCCAGCTTTTTGAACTTCATTTAGTCCCTCAAATGTCCACACATTCTCTTTCTGCCAGGCTCTTTGCATATGAGTTATTTAATCCCGCTTGTGTTTGTGCGTGTGTGAGCATACCCATATCCAAACATTAACAATGACTATTTCTGAGGGATGGAGTTGCAGGGAACTCTTCCTTGCTGTGTTCTTTATGTATTTTTCAACATTTTAACAATGATTTTATATTACTTTTTAAATCAGCAAATGTACGAAATATACATTTTAAATAAATAGGAAGCTTATAAGGTAATTGAAGAGAAGAACAAGTAAAGTGCAATAATTTTAAAATGCAATACTAGGTGCCACTTTGTAATTCATAAAAGGATGAGTAACAAATAGGCTGAGGAAGACTCCTCAGAAGAGATGCGTAGTAAGTATGAGCTAAAAGAAAGTGTAGGAAATCATTAGACACAAAGAGATGGAGGGCACTGCAAGCAGAAGAAATATCATGTGCAAGAAGAAGAAATCTGAAATCATGTCTTAGTCATGATTTATTATTTGCTATAATAGAGGCTATACTATTATGTGATGAGTGGAAAGAATCATGGGAAATGCATATGGAAAGGCACATTAGATCAGAATTTCCTTTACCCTGCAAACAGTAGGGAGCCGCACAACATTCATAAGCAGAAACTCACATGGCCAGATCAGGGTTTGGAGAGTAATAACTCTGGTAGGAATGTGAAAAATTGAATGGCTCTAGAAGACAAGGACATTGCGTAGCTGGCTGCATATTTGCTTACCATCTACCTCTGCTTCATCAGTCAACAACTCATATTGCTATAGACCTCGGGACCCCCTCTGACCCCCCAATCCTGGGAGTGCTTACTGGGTTTTGAATCTGCAGGTGTGCTCTGTGCCTGGAGCAAGCCTGAGGTAGGTGGAGTTTCTGTCACTCTGAGCTGGATATAATTGGCCCCTGTGGGACCTTGATGGCAGTTACTTGGAGTCAGAAATAGAGGGTGGGAAAGAAGGATGAACATAAAACCCAGGGAATGTTCAGTTATTTCATGCACATTTCTTCTTCATGACAAAACGAACACTGTTCAGAAAGCAGCAGAATAAACACATTTGCTACAGCTCCTGATGTCCTCTGTTGCCATAAGTGAAAAAGCTTGAATTGTCTGTCAGGCTTCATAAGTATCCTTCCTCTGGACACCAAGTCGTGAGTTTAACCCTGACGCTCTGCCAATGCCTGACTGCTGACAGCATAGTTGAATAATACGGGATCTTTCTCTCTCCTTCCTCAAGAGAAGGTCTGGCAGTGGGATCGATGCAAATTTTCCTGTCCCACCTCAGTTAGAATACACATCCAATCGCTTGTAAACCTTGGTTTATTTACCCTAGGATAAGAATGCACAACTCTCAGGATAGATAGAGACATGAAATGAGGTAACCACTATCAAATTCCTGGAGCATAATAGGATCTCAATAAATAGTACTGATAATACTGCTGATGGTAATGTAAATAATAATACTGACCTTTAAAGGCAAAAGCAACTAGCGTGCTTTAGTTACATATTTGTAGGCATTATGCGAGCTGCTTTACATATATTGGCCCATTTCAAATTCACATTTTAAAGAAAGAAAAACTGAGGTTTGTAGAGGTTAGTTTGCCCGAAGTCATAAATCTAGTAAGTCACAGAGCTCAGACTGGATCCTAAGACTATACAGCACCAGGTTCAGTCTATTTAATCACTCCCTGATATTACCATAATAGCAGAAATGTGCCATTTAAAAATTTTGCATTGTGATTTTTTTTTTATCTCATAGCTAATCTGGATGATGCTCCTTAGAAGACAGAAATGTTGCTTGCCATTTTGCAGCTTCCATTAATTTTATTACTAAAAGTTAGCTGCCTGGGTTTATTTGTACAATCATGTATGTTACTTTTTTTAAAAAAAGAATTTCTAAATAACTTGTCATTTTGACTATCTTGAAAATACTGATTACGCTTTCAGATGGTGACAGAAATGAAAAGTTGCAGGAGGTTTAATCATGTACTACTTCCAGCAGCAGTTACTAAAGCCTCATAACACTTCGTCACAACTAATACATTATTGGAAAAGGGGAAATATCATATCATATTTTTAACAGCTGGAAATAAGTGATTTTTATTTTAATACAACAAGTATTATATTGTAGAAAAGAAGCATTCTGACTTTTTTGTCGTTATGACTCACTGCCTATCAATTGCTTGTTATGACATTTGAAGCGATGCTGGCCCAAGCAATCTTTTTAGAGTTCTTTACCCAGATTAGGCTGTTGCAATCCTATGATCCTTTGAAAATGTTTGTGAGAATATACTGAAGAGCTAGCACTGTACTGTGTTACCCCCAGCGTCATGTGTATGAAATTATCTCCAAGATGCTGTCAGCTCAGCTAGCCATCAAAGCTGGTTGCAGGCCCAGGGCAAAAGTTTTGTAATGAATACACCTCATGAGTTAGGAGTGATTGTGGAAGACTTTTGCAGTCAGTTCTCATTCAGCCTAGACGATTCTTTTTAATGACACAGGGATTATGATTATCCGTTACTCCCTCACGAAAAGGGGAAGGGAACACATATTTACTTTCTTGATAATATTTTTGCCTAGAAGAACCATCTGCTGAAGTTTCTGCTTACCACAAACTTATTCAGCCCTAATTTGTCATGTCATGTGATTTAATTCTCATAAAGTTCTAAGAGATACAGATGATATTATCATCCCCATTTTACTGATAAGAAAACTGAGGATGAGAGAAGTTAAGTGATTTTTCCAAGATCACTCAGTCAACAACGGGTGAATCTGGGAGTCTAAGCCAGGGCTTTCTGATGTTTCCTTTCTTAAGGTCTTTTAGTCTCCCATGATATTGCTCTTCTTGGGATTCCAGTAACACTTGGCTTATCTCTTTCATTGAGCACATTTTATTTTCACCTTATGTTATAATAATGATATATGTTTGTGTATTCTCTTTCCATTGAGTTTTGTCTCCTTGAGGGTAAATGGCAGATCCTTTTATTTCTCTATTCTTTATAGTGCTGACCATGGGGCCTGAAATACTTTATTATTTGAATAAGTCAAATATGTGTTCAGGAGATGTCTATATTTAAATATATTTTACCAATATCAAATACCAAGCGTTTGTACATTTTCCCAATAAATACTTAGGAATTGCATTCCTTTGGCAGTTATTTTTCTGTAAGCTTTCTATTCCACTGAATAAATTAATATCCTGAACCTAATATCGAATGGATGTCTAAGGTTTCTGTTTTGTTTTGTTTTTTCTAGCAAAGATTTTTTTTTTTTTTTGAGACAGAGTCTCATTCTGTCGCTCAGGCTGGAGTGCAGTGGTGCGATCTCAGCTCATGCTGGAGTGCAGTGGCGTGTTCTCGGCTCATTGCAACCTCTGCCTCCTGGGTTCAAGTGATACTCCTGCCTCAGCCTCCTGAGTAGCTGGGAATACAGGTGCCCGCCACCATGCCAGGCTAATTTCTGTATTTTTTAGTAGAGACGGGGTTTCACCGTGTTAGCCAGGATGGTCTCGATCTCCTGACCTCGTGATCGGCCCACCTCAGCCTCCCAAAGTGCTGGGATTACAGGCGTGAGCCACCGTGCCCGACCTCTAGCAAAGATTTAAAGTGTCAGGGCTTCCATTAGAATGAAGGGAAACAACTGACATAGTTGGGACAGTGAAGAGTGATCAGGCATTATATGACTATTCAACAAATGCCATGGTTTGGAGACCTCATCAATAATTCCTTGTATTTATCTACCTGGAGGTTTTATATACATTTTGCCCTTGCACTGCCCTGTGAGTTGAATAAGTTGAATAGGATAGGTCATTTCCACTGGACAGATGCATAAATTAAGGCCAGAAGAGAGTGAGTAACAGGACAAGGTTACACAGCTTGTAAGTACTAGAGTTGAGACTAGTATCTGGGCCTCCATTCCCTGTCCATGTTGCCTTTGGAGTAATCCACCCACGCAGTGATTCAAGCTGTTACTTGGGAAGTCATTCTCAACATCTGTCTTTCTCCCTGCTATACCAACTGAACATTTCTTCAGGCTGTTTCCAGACCATCATGAATTTATGCAGACGCCTCCAACTGTTTGTCTCTCGGCTTCCAGTCTTTCCCTCTAACCTGGTCATTATAAAAACTTGAATAATACTAGTCACTCACCTCTTTGAAACCCCGACATGGCTCCATAACTCCTTAGCTTGGTACCCAAGACTCCTGCCAGCCTCATTTGATTCAATTCTTCCCATATTTTATCATTTACTACCACTCCATCCTCATGGTGAAAGTAATTGCAATAGCTCTTTTATTCCTGGACTGTTTAACATAACGTTCTCTCTGGCTTTATAGACAGTTACCTCCTTCCCCAGCCTCCTTTCCGTCTGATTCACATCCACTCATTCTTTAGGCCTCTGAGGATATACCATCTCTTTCTAGAAGACTTCCCTGATGCTCAAGTTCACCAGCGGGTCCCTTTATCTATGGGGCAATAGCCCCTCATGCTAATTCTTATAACATTAATCATACTACAGTTCAATTGTCGTATTGTATTTCCTATCGGGCTGTGGCTGTATTCAGATGAGCAGGACCAGGTGACACAGTTCTTTATGGCTCCTTGGGGAACTGGAGAATGTATGGCTAGAGCACTGCTATGAGAGCTAGTGGGAGGACTTGAGCAGCAGCCTTGCTCACACAGCATAAAAAATGCTGTGGACCCGACTTCCATTCTAAGCCAGGTTATGCTTGACTTATATCTGCAGTACTTGAAAAGTATGAGTAACAGTAGATGAGTAACAATTAGACAAGAACTCATGCAATTCCTGCTTTAAAATGTTCACTCCAAATTTGAATCAAACCGACCAATGGAAAATAAGAGTGAGTTTTATTTAACAAAAATATTATGTTCCCTAGTCATAACCTTTCTGATATAACGCATCAAATATATTAAGAGTTTATTATTTGTTTGCTGCTTTCAGAATTTGGAATTACTAATAACATTAACAATCACTATCATTGTGATCATGCGAATGTGTTACTATTTGACACACACAGTTAAATTTTTCATCATGCTCTGTAGTTTCCAATGTGTACTGTAGGTTTCTCATGGGTAGGAACCATTGTTTTGCGCTTAATACCTAGCACGGTGTTAGATTATTCTAGTAAATTTTAAATAACTAAATTAACGTTTTACATATATTAATTTGTTTTATTCACATCACAGCCCCGTCTGTCAGGTCTGGCATTTTCTAGATCAAAAAGCGGAAAACAAAATCACTTAGAGATGGAACAAATGGAGAAAACTAAATTTATTCGAACACCTTTTTGGGGGATACTTGGTGGGTTTTCTAGAAGCATGGTTGATTAACAATAGCTAGTCATCAAATTTCCTTGTACAGTGGTTGGGCCATGTTATATTTAAGGCTTTTATTAGTTTTCATACAGATTCAGGCATAAGACTGAAATCATTTGGAAGAGAGTAGAGAGACTAAGAGATCAAGTGCTACATAAGAAAAGGGTGGAGACCGTGCTCCCCAGCTAGGCAGGGTGATTGGAGAGATCATAAAGAAAAAAATGTCAAATATCAAAACCATCTTCTTTGTCTTCTACAAATTTTTCAGTAAAATCTACATGTTTTTTCAGTGCTTTGACAGTAAGTTCCCTCTTTCTGATGATTACAAAGGAGCGCTGTCTCAGATATTCAGCTAGAACTGAGCATTTCAGTACTGAGAGTTTAAGCAACGTGCCTAGTCATTTGGATAGTGGATGTTGGTGGAAATGTATTTATTTATTATGTAAATGAATGTAAATCAATGTAAATGTAAATGAAAACTCAGTAGAGTATTTTCTGAATGGCAGGCACTGGAAACAGTGCAGTGAACAAGATTTCAAAGGTCTCCTTTCTTATGGAAATTACATTCT
Organism: Homo sapiens; assembly: GCF_000001405.40. Classification (NCBI taxonomy): domain Eukaryota; kingdom Metazoa; phylum Chordata; class Mammalia; order Primates; family Hominidae; genus Homo; species Homo sapiens. The sequence continues at coordinate 142,655,824 of NC_000023.11, forward strand.
AGTAGTAGAGCTAAAAAGTGTACAGGAAAAACAATAAAGCCTGCAATAAGTATTTTAAAGGAAAAAATTAAACAGGGTTATGCTATAGAGAAGAAAATGAAATTGGAATTACTTTTCTGTAGGATGGTCATAGAAGGTCTCTCTGAGGGGTGATGTTGAAGATGAGAACAACCCTGGTTAAAGGAAAAAGGAAGAAAATTCCAGACTTAACAAAAGAGCAAACAAATCCAAAAGCTAGCACAAGACAAGAAATAACTAAGATCAGAGTGGAACTGACGAAGATAGAGACACGAACAACCCTTTAAAAAATCATTGAATGCAGAAGCTGGTTTGTTGAAACAAACAATAAAAGAGAGAAGAATCAAATAGACAAAAAATTGATAAAGGGCATATCACCACTGACTCCACAGACATACAGACCAATGGAACAGAATAGAGACCTCAGAAATAAGACCACCCATCTACAACCATCTGATCTTTGACAAACCTGATAAAAATGAGCAATGGGTAAAGGATTCCCTATTTAATAAATGGTGCTGGGAAAACTGGCTAGCCATATGCAGAAAACAGAAACTGGACCCCTTCCTTGCACCTTATACAAAAATTAACTCAAGGTGGACTAAAGACTTAAATGTAAAACCCAAAACCATAAAAACTCTAGAAGAAAAGCTGGGCAATACCATTCAAGACATAGGCATAGGCAAAGATTTTCTGATGAAATCTCCAAAAGCAATTGCAACAAAAGCTATAATTGACAAATGAGATCTAATTAAACTAAAGAGTTTCTGTACAGCAAAAGAAACTATCATCAGAGCAAACAGAACCTACAGAATGGGAGGACGTTTTTGCAATCTACCCATCTGACAAAGGTCTAATATCCAGAATTTACAAGGAACTTAAATTTACAACAACCCCATCAAAAAGTGGGGAAAGGATATGAACAAACACTTCTCAAAGAAGATTTATGCGGCCAAGAAAGATAAGAAAAAAAGCTCAACATCACTGATCATTAGAGAAATGCAAATCAAAACCACAATGAGATACCATCTCACACCAATCAGAATGGTGATTATTAAAAAGTCAAGAAACAACAGATGTTGGTGAGGCTGTGGAGAGATAGAAACACTTTTACATTGTTGGTGGGAAGGGAAATTAGTTCAACCACTGCAGAAGACAGTGTGGCGATTCCTCAAGGATCTAGAACCAGAAATACCATTTGACCCAGTAATCCCATTACTGGGTATATATCCAAAGGGATATAAATTCTTCTGTTATAAAGATACATGCACATGTATGTTTATTGCAGCACTATTCACAACAGCAAAGACATGGAACCAACCCAAATACCCACCAATGATATACTGGATAAAGAAAATGTGGTACATATACACCATGGAATACTGTGCAGCCACAAAAAGGAATGAGATCATGTCCTTTGCAGGGACATGGATGAAGCTGGAAGCCATCATCACCAGCAAACTAACGCAGGAACAGAAAACCAAACACTGCATATTCTCACTCATAAGTGGGAGTTGAACAACGAGAACACGTGGACTCCAGGAGGGGAAAAACACACACCGGGCCTGTGGGAGATGCAAAAGGGAAAGAGTGCATCAGGACAAACAGCTAATGCATGTGGGGCTTAAAACCTAGGTGATGGGTTGATAGGTGCAACAAACCACCATGGCACGTGTATACCTATATAACAAACCTGCACATTCTGCACATGTATCCCAGAACTGAAAGTAAAAATAAGAATAATAATAAATAAATAATAAATAAATAAAAATATATTAAAGCAAGAGAGAGGCTGGCATGTTCCAGAAATTTTCAGAACACCATTGTGATTGGAAAAATTGGTGGGGTGGCATTAAATGATACCGAAATAGAGAATTTATGAAAATGTCTAATTTAATGTTCTTTCTAATTCACTTCTATATTGCACAATGATAATATAATGAGATGGTAATGGGTAATGTTGATTCTGAAATACAGCATATTTTAGTGCAAAATTTTAAGCAGGGATTCTTCTGTATATTATTTGCACTATCACTAGGATTACCCCTATTTGGTAACACTGGCTGATGCCTTATCTCAGTACTAGTATTTATTTTACCTTGTTGTCTCTTCCAATAAGATGAAACACATTTTATTTCTTAACTGTAAATGACAGTAGAGCATTAATGTGATGAATAGCTTTAATTTTAATACAAACCTGAAGAAGGCCAGAATGAGAGCATTCTGCTGATACATTCCAAAAGCAATGCTACTATCCATCAGTAAAGCTAATTTATCCATCTGGAATACGAAAAAGAAAAATCTGAATTTGAGAAATAAATGGGTTTATATAAAAAAGAAGCTCACAGAGTTTTTTTCATGAGGGTCATTGCTTTGCATATGACAACAAAGTTAAGTAATAGTTTTCTGCCTATGAACTTAGGTTAAGATAGTGGGCTAGGTTTCAACAGCATCTGACAATTTTTCATGATGCTGAAAGGGAATAAAACAATACCATCTTGAAACATTATTTCGTATACTCAGGAAGTTAAGGCAATTATAAAGCCCAGTAGACTCCTTATTCCTGATTTTTAACCACTGTAACGCCATGTGCTTAGAAAACTCTTAACATTGGCCAGAATTAAAATACCAAAATAGAATGGACTTTTACTGTAGTCTCCTAAGGAGTAACGTTCCTCTTATGTATCTATTAACATGACACATATCAATGAGAACTTTCAAAATCACACTTCACAAACATTAGTAAGAATAGCATAGTCAGTGTTAATAGTATAGGTTATGGAGCCCACCTGCCGGGATTTGAATTTTGGTTCTACCACTCATTACTTCTGTGACTGTGAGAAAGTTGATTGACTGCTCTGTGTGTGTTTCCTCACCTGTAAAATGGTGATGATAATAGCTATAAGGTTATTGCAAGGATTGAGTTGATGAATGTTAAGCACATAGAACGCTTTCTTGGGACCCAATAATCCTTCAGTAAATTTTAACTGCTTTTTATTATTCTACTCCAATATTTAACATTTTAGTATAATCACATACAAGTTATTAGAAGGTGCCTTGCAGTAGAGAACCCCATTGCAAATTGTACCATAATAAGCTCTTTCTGCTGAATTCTCATTAGTTGAATGAAACATGCACACGGTCTTAATATGTCTGGTTCTATAATTACTAGAACAATCTTCTAATCACTTTTGTTAGAATATTTTATTTGAAGAAGTATTCTTTTTTAGGTAGTCCCAGAATACTAAAATTATCCATTTACGGAAAAAAAAAAAACCTCTGAAAATGTGGCAGTGACTTCTTACTTGACATTACAGTTGCTTATTCATGTAATTAATTATTTTGTCTAGAAAAGCGAAGCATGTTTCTGTAAGAAGGAAATTATGTGTCAGCTCAGCAAGGATATATTTTCAGTCTGTCTGGAAGTGTAAGGTTGTCCTAATTGGTGAACCCTAAGATACAAATAGAGATAGACAAATGCAAGAGTGGAGGAAGAGAGTGGATGCTAAGAGGGCAGGGAGGTTATCAAAAATCTTGAAAAGATAAAACAGAGCTAGAGGCAGGTCAGATATAAGTATAATAGTATAGAGAAATTCTAAACTCTAAACTAAATCAGGCAAAGTAGAGAATGTCAGTCAATGGACAGGTATATGATCAGGCCCAGCAAACATTTTCAGGTTTACTTTACCTGGAAACATAGTTGGTCATAATAGAGACCAGTTAAATATTTCATACACTTCGTCTACATTTCATATGGATTCAACTATGTCTCCTTGAAGACAGAAATTTTGGAAGCTGGAATCCATGCTCTCTAGTTCCTGCCTGGACAACATAGTGAGTGAGACCCTGTCTCTATAATTAAAAAAAAAAAAAAAAAAAACTAGCCAGGCATGGTGGTGTGTGCCAGTAGTCCCAGCTACTTGGGAAGCTGAGGTGGGAGGATAACCCAAGCCCAGGAGGTAGAGGCTGCAGTGAGCTGAGCACTCGCCACTGCACTCCAGCCTGGGTGAAAGAGTGAGATCCTGTCTAAAACAAACAAACAAACAAACAAACAAACAAACAACACTCCCAAGTTCAATCTATAGTGCTTCCAATGATCTTAAAAGTGCCATCCTCTATGCCAGGCATATGGCAAGCTGAAATAATATGTCACTGATACAGTAATTCTTGTGGTGACACAATGTATAAAGGCAAGCAGTGAATATGTATTTAGGTTTAGCCTCCTAATAGCCATCCCAATGCTTTCCAAAGAAAACCAGAGAAAATGTTCATTTAAGTTTTATAAAACAAGCAGTGATTCCAGCTGTGATATAGCACTTTTTATTATCTGGACATACCATATACATGCATCACATTTTCCAAACACCAATACAAAGTGCCACTAAACAGTCTTTTTTTTTTGTATTTGCAATTATTAGGAAATACCTGTTTATAATCCATAAGAGTGGGCACCTACTTGCATATGAACATGAGATTCAATCACTTTGTTTTCCTTCCTCTTGGAGACGATGGTTATAGAGAGTGAAGAAACTGAAAGTCTTTTAAGTAGCCTATTTTTCTTGATAGACAGGTATTTTATAACCCATCTTCAGATTTACTTTAATACTTATGTCACGTACATTATACTTTATAAAACACATAAATATTGATTGTAGAACACATGCGCTATATTAAAAGGCATAAATGTAGTATGATCGTTCTAAGAAAATATGCCTTTTTAAAAAGGAGAATCAAGTAAAATAGAATTTATGAGAATTTCTGTATTTTTAGGACATGAACCCATAGCAGCACTAAAAACAATGGGTATGTTTGTAATAACTCATATAGGAAAGAAAGGAAACATAGATTGTTCCAAATTGAACAACACTTCTAGAAAATGATAAGGCATTATCAATAACAAATTGTGATGCTTAGAAAAACTTTTCTAAAGTATAAATATGTTTGAATTTGACCAGTGTGCTAGGGAAAAGGCTAAAGAATTTTTCTATCATATTTATAAAAAAAGATATTACAAAATTATGGTCATGTGAAGAACAATCAAATACTACACAGCCAAATATGTAAGAGAAAAATACATAGGTGGGTTAAGAAGTTAATTAATTTGTGTAAATTTTACATTTCTAGATTCCATGATTTTTGTATTATTTATCATCTCAGTAAATTTTGTAATATTTGTGATTTCCCTTTTTATTCAAAATAAATACAGATATGTTTACTTAATTTTGTATCCATTTTTTTTATCTCTTTCCTAAATACTGTAAAAGTTCCAGGCTTCACAAAACTTAAATATACTTCTTAGTCTACTTTATATACAAATTTGTATTTTTCCACATTTTCAGTCAATACTGTCTTGTCAGCAATGCATCACAATCTCTGCAAATATTATTAAATGAGGAAAATATTAATGTATACCAATGTTAACTTGTTACCAAATAATTAGGCACCAGTTGGTTTGCATAACTTTCACTCTTAAAATTAGCATGATCTTGTTGATTTTATAATGAATGTCTTTGAAAAAAGTCATCCTTGTTCCTGTGTATTATTTTACTATAAGCTGTTCTTACAAGTAGAACTACTGAGTCAAAGCTTATGGTCAGTTTCTCTCTCTCTCTTTCTTGCTCTTACTCTCACTCTCTCTCTTTTTCTCTTCCCCAGTTTTTCAGAATGGTTTTGGAAACATACATTTCTGTTAGTACACCCTCATCAGCACTGAGTATTGTCATCTAAAGCTTATTTTAATATATGATATGAAGAAAAGTCTATTATTTTTTCAGTTAATTAATTTAACTTCATTGATTAATATATATCTTTCATTTTTATATTATTTTATATTAAAGTCCTATGAAGATCAGCCTTCTCCTTTTGAGAAATCTTTAAGTCGATTTTTATAACACTGTCAAAATTTTATAATAGTTTTATAATACATGATATGGTTTGGCTGTGTGCCTACCCAAATCTCATCTTGAATTGTAGCTCCTATAATACCCATGTGTTGTGGGAGGGACCTGGTGAGAGGTTATTGAGTCATGGCGGTGTGTCTTTCCCATGCTGTTATCATTATAGAGTAAGTCTTATAAGATCTGATGGTTTTATAAAGGGCATTTCCCCTGCACACGCTCTCTCGCGTGCTGTGCTGTAACATGTGACTTAGCTCCTCCTTCACCTTCCACCATGATTGTGAGGTCTCTTTAGCTGTGTAGAACTGTGAGTCCATTAAACCTCCTTACTTTTATAAATTACCCTGTCTCGTGTATATCTTCACTATCAGCATGATAACAGAATAATAGAGTAAACTGGTAAAGGAAGTGGGGCGCTGTTGTAAAGACACCTGAAAATGTGGAAGCGACTTTGGAACTAGGTAACAGGCAGAGGATGGAACAGTTTGAAGGGCTCAGAAGACAGGAAGATGTAGGAAAGTCTGGAACTTTCTAGAGACTTGTTGAATGGCGTTGACTAAAATGCTCAGGTGGTCTCAGATGGAGATGAGGAACTTGTTGGGAACTGGAACAAAAGTGACTCTCGTCATACTTCAGCAAAGAGACTGGCAGCATTTTTGCCCCTGCCCTAGAGATTTGTGGAACTTTGAACTTGACAGAGATGATTTAAGGCACCTGGCAGAAAAAATTTCTAAGCAGCAAAGTATTGAAGATGTGAGTCGGATGCTAATAAAATCATTCAGTTTTATGCATTCACAAATATATGGTTTGGAATTTGAACTTACGTTTAAAAGGGAAGCAGAGCATAAAAGCTTGAAAAATTTGCAGCCTGACAATGCAATAAAAAGGAAAAATCCATTTTCTGAGGAGAAATTCAAGCTGGCCGCAGAAATTTGCAAAAGTCACGAGGAGCCAAATGTTAATTGCCAGGACAATGGAGAAAATGTCTCCAGGGCAGCCCCTTCCATCACAGGACTGGAGGCCTAGGAGAAAAAAATAGTTTCATGGGTAGGGCCCAGGGCTCCCCTGCTCTGTGCACCTTCAGGACATGGTGCCCTGCATCCCAGCTGCTTCAGCTCCAGCTGTGGCTAAAAGAGACCAATGTACAGCTCAGTCTGTTGCTTCAGAGTGTGTGCAAGCCCCAAGCCTTGGTGGCTTTCGTGTGCTGTTGTTCCTGTAAGTGTACAAAAGTCAAGAATTGAGGTTTGAAAACCTCTGCCTAGATTTCAGAGGATACATGGAAATGCCTGATGTCCAGGCAGAGGTTTGCTACAGGGGCCACACCCTCATGGAGAACCTCTGCTAGGGCAGTGCAGAAGGGAAATGAGGGGTTGGAGCCCCCACACACTCTCCACTGGGACACTGCCTAGTAGAGCTCTAAGAAAAAGATCATCATCCTCCTCCAGACCCCAGAATGGTAGATCCACTGACAGCTTGCACTGTACACCTGGAGAAGCCACAGATACTCAACAGCAGCTGTGAAAGCATCCAGGAGGGGGGCCGTACACTGCAAAGCCACAGGGGCTGAGCTGCCCAAGGTGGGAACCCACATCTTGCACCAATGTGACCTGGATGTGATACATACAGTCAAAGGAGATTATTTCAGTGCTGAAGATTTAATTACTGCCCTATTGGATTTTGGACTTGCATGGGGCCTGTAGGCCCTTTTGTGTTGGCCAATTTCTCCCATTTGGAATGGGTGTATTTACCCAGTGTCTGTACCCCCACTGCATCTAGGAAATAATTAACTTGCTTTGATTTTAGGCTCATAGGTGGAAGGGACTTGCCTTGTCTCAAATGAGACTTTGGACTGTGGACTTTTGAGTTAATGCTGAATTGTGTTAAGACTTTGGGGAACTATTACGAATGCATGATTGGTTTTGAAATGTGAGGACATGAGATTTGGGAGTGGCCAGGGGTGGAAAGATATGGGTTATCAGTGTCCCCACCCAAATTTCATTTGAAATATAGCTCCCATAATTCCCATGTGTCATGTGAGGGACCCAGTGGGAGGTAATTGAATCATGAGGGCAGGTCTTTCTCATGCTGTTCTCTTGATAGTGAATAAGTCTCATGAGATCTGATTGTTCTGTATAAGGGGAGTTCCCCTGCACAGGCTCTTTGGCCTGCTGCCATGGCAGACATGACTTTGTTCCTCCTTAGCCTTCTGCTGTAATTGTGAGGCCCTCCCAGCCAGGGGGAAACGTGAGTCCATTAAACGTCCTTTCCTTTATGAATTACCCAGTCTTGGGTGTGTTTTTATTAGCAGCATGAGGACAGACTAATGCAATATATTTTTATACTTCACAGTATTGCCACTCCTCTTTTTCCAAATGTTATGTCTATATTTGCTGGTCATGGCTTTCCTTTTAATAATGTTATTATTTTAAAAATAGGAGCATCAAAACAATTTCAAAAACAAACCTATGAAACAACACAAAGGCAAATCAACACCTTGTTTTTTCAAGAAAAATGGAAATCAATAGTGTAAAAATGACTACATATATGTGTACGTATTTTACTGCATGTCATTTACAAGCAAAGTAAGACAAGAAATAGTCATTAGATTCATTGAGTTAATTATTGTCATCCTTACATATATAACTATATACTAGTTCCAAAACACTTATATTTTTTCCTTTCATACTTTCTTATTTCAGCTTAATTTATGGATTATTGACAAAAAACATTGTGTTCTATATATTAAACCTGTACAATGTGATTAGTTAACATATGTTTATTGTGAAATGATTATTACAATCAAGAAAATTAATATAGTTACTATTGAATGTAGAATGGCAACCCCATTCTACTCTCTGTATCTGTGAGTTCATTTTTTTTCTGAATTTTCACATGTAAGTGAGATCATACAGTATTTGTCTTTCTCTGTCTCCCTTATTTCACTTAGCATAATGTCCTACAGATTCATCCATCTTGTCAGAAATGACAAGATTCTCTGATTTTTTAAGTCTGAATAATATTTCAATGTATGTGTGTGTGTGAATACACACACACACACACACACACTCACACACACACACACATATATATATATCTCACATTTTCTTTATCCATTCATCCAACAATGGACACTTAGGTTGTGTCTATGTCTTGGCTATTGTGAATAATGCTGTAATGAATATGAGAGTGTGGATAGCTCTGCAAAATACTGATTTCGTTATCTTCAAATATATGCCCAAAAGTGGGATTGCTAGACCTCTATTTTTAATTTTTTGAGGAACCTATACTTTGTTTTACATAATGGCTGTACTAATTTACATTCTCACCAAGAGTGAACAAGGGTTCCCTTTTCTCCTCATCGTGGCCAACTTATCTCTTTTCTTTTTGATAATAGACACCCTAAACTGTATGAGGTGATATCTCATTGTGGTTTTGACCTGCATTTCCCTGATAATTACTGATGTTGAGCACCTTCTCATATCCCTGCTGGCCTTTTGTATATCTTCTTTTGAAAAATATCTATTTGAGTTATTTGCCCATTTTAGGATCATATTGTTTTGTTGTTGGATTGGTTGAGTTTATATTGAGTTTAATATATTTTGATATTAACTCATTATCAAAAATATATTTACGAATATATTGTCTTGTCCCATAAGTTGCCTTTTTATTTTGTTGGTTTTTTCCTTTGCATTGCAGATGCTTTTTATGTTGCTGTAGACTAACATGTTTACTTCTGCTTTTGTTGCCTATAATTTTTGTGTCATATCCATAAAAATCATTACAAAGATCTTTTTGATCTTTTTTCCTCTTTTCTACCGAGAGTTTTATGGTTTCATGTTTCACGACAAAATCTATAATCTATTTTTAGTTACTTTTTGTGATTCATGTAAGATAGTGCTCCAATTTCATTCTTTTAAATGTGGGTATCCAATTTGCCCAACAGCATTAATTGTAGAAAATATTATTTCCCCATGGTGTATTCTCAGCATTCTTGTCAAAGATTAGTTGATTAGTTGACTGTATGTGAATTAATTTATTTCTGGGGTCTCTATTCTCTTTATTAGCCTGTAAAGATGTTTTATTATTCATAATTTGGTCTTGCTAGGTTGTATTCATGTTTTCAAGGTTATCAAACTTGTTTGCATATAATCGCTCATAGTAGTCTCTTACGTTCATTTGTATTTGTGCAGCGTCGGTTGTAATGTGTTCGTTTTAATTTATAATTTTCTTTATTGAGTCAGATCTTTTTATTCCTGGTTAGTCTAGCTAAAGGTTTGTCAATTTTGTTTAACTTTTCAAAATTCATTCTTAGTTTTGTTTATCTTTTCTATTTATCTATCCTCTAATTTGTTTCTCTTCTGCTGTTTATTATATGTTTCCTTTCTTCTCTACTGTTTATTCTGTCCTTCCTTTTGCTAAATTTTGGGTTATATTTTTCATATTTTTTTTTGCTTGTGGCATAAAGTTAGCTTGTTTATTAGGGATCTCTTTTCTTAATGTAAACATATATTACTGTAAGTTTTCCTCTTTAATTGCCTTAACTGCATCCCATACATTTTAGTATTTTGTGTTTCCATTTTTATTTGTCTCAAGATATTATTTGATTAAAAAAAATTCTTCTTTGAACCATTGTTTTTTCAGGAGGGTGCTGCTAAATTTCCACATATTTGTGAGTTTTCTAATTTTCTTCCTGTTATTGAGTCTAGTTTCATACCATCCTTACCAGAAAGATCGTTGGCATGACTTAATTCTTTCTAAATGTGTTAAGACTTGTTTTATGGCCTAACATATTATCTATTCTTGAGAATGTTTTGTGTACCCTTGAGAAGAATACATTATGCTGCTGTGAGATGTAATGTTCTGCATATGTCTGTTAGATCAATTTGGTGTACGGTGTTGTTCTAGTCTGCTGTTTTCTTATTGAGTTTCTGTCCAAATGATCTATTCACTGTTGAAAGTGGGATACTAATGTATTTGACTATTTTCATGTTGCTGTTTACCTCTTCTTTCATTTCTGCTATTTGCTTTATATATTTAAGTGCTCTGACATGGGTGCATAAATATTTACAATTGCTACAGCTTCTTGATGAATTGAACATTTATTATTTTATTATGATTTTGTCTCTTTTTTCTTTTTTTTTTTTTTTGCGATGGAGTCTTGCTCTGTCGCCCAGGCTGGAGTGCAGTGGCGCGATCTCGGCTCACTGCAAGCTCCGCCTCCCACATTCACGCCATTCTCCTGCCTCAGCCTCCCGAGTAGCTGGGACTACAGGTGCCCGCCACTGCACCCAGCTAATTTTTTTTGTATTTTTAGTAGAGACGGGGTTTCACCGTGGTCTCAATCTCCTGACCTCGTGATACGCCCGCCTCGGCCTCCCAAAGTGCTGGGATTACAGGCGTGAGCCACCGCGCCCAGCCGATTTTGTCTCTTGTGACAGTTCTTGACTTAAAGTCTATTTGTTTGATATAATACAGCCACAGCTGCTGTCTTTTGACAATCAATTGTATAAAATACATTTTTTATCCCTATTCTTTCAGCCTATGTGTGTCCTTAAAAATAACGTTAGTCACTTATATGCAACACATAGTTGGAGCTATTTTTAAATCTGTGATACCACTCTTTTTTGATTGGAGAATTTCATTTATGTTTAAAGTAATTATTGATAGGTAAAAAATTACTATGATCATTTTGTGAATTGTTTCTTAACTGTTTTTTAGTCCTTTTTTTCTTCCTCTCTTGCTGTCTTTCTTTGTGATTTTATAACTGTTTTGGTAGTAAGTTCTGATTCATTTTTTAAAATGTTGTTTGACTCCACTACACATTTATCTTTTGTGGTTGTCATGAGGCTCACATACAATATCTTATAACATCTTATTTAAGCTAATAATATCATTAAAAAGCCTATAATATTACTTTCCCCTCACATTTTTAGGTTATAGATTTTATTATTTACATATTTTATGAAAATATTGAGTATCCATTATCAAATTATTGTAGCTACAGTTATTTTAATACATTTGCCTTTTAACAGTTATCATTATTTTTGAAAGGGATTTACACACCACCATTACAATTTTAGAGAATTCTAAATTTGACTACCTATTCACCTTTATTAGTGAGTTTGATACATTTGTCTGTTTTTGTATTGTTACTTAGCATCCTTTCATTTCAGCATGAATAAATCCCTTTACCATTTTTTATAAAGTGGTTCTAGTTGGTGACGAAATCTTTCAGCTTTTATTTGTTTGAGGTAATTTTCATTGCTCCTTCATTTCTGAAAGACAGCTTTGCCAGGTATTGTACCCCTGGTTGGCAGTTTTATTCTTCCACTATTTTGAATGTATCATCTACTTCCTCCTGGCCTGCAAGGTTTCTGCTGAGAAATCTGCTGATAGTCTCACAGAGGATCTTTTGTATGTGATGAGTCACTTCTCTTGCTGCTTTCAGTATTCTCTCTTTATCTTTGACTTTTCACAATTTAGTTATGTGTCTTCTGTAAATCTCTTTAAGTTCCTCCTATTTGGGCCTTCATAAACCTGCATGCTTAATTCTCTTCCTAGATTTGAAAAGTTTTCATGCATTATTTCCTTAAGTAGTCTTCTTGCTCTTTGTCTCTCACTTTTCTATCTGTGAGTTCTTATTTTGGATATGTTGTTTTGCTTGAAGGGCCTCATGAGTCCTGTAGAGTTTCTTTACTCTTTTTCATCTGTTTTACTTTTTGTAATAAATGCCACTGTCATTTCAATAAATTTATCTTGACGGTATTTCCATGTGAATAAATTTTCCATGGGGATAAAAATTTACTACAAGGCATCTACATTTTAAATGGAGCCTTTTGATAAAAAATTCCATAAATATGCAAATAAGTGACATATTTATATGTACAGTAATGCGTTTTTCACATTTAGGAAAAGTCAATATTCCAAACTTATTCAGTTTTGAAGGAATCCTTTTCTTGTTGGTTCACCATGTCTATGTAGACAGTAAAAGATAGCAGAGTTGTTGAAAATAATTATAGCTTTTTTGGATCTCAAGTAACCTTTATTAAAATATTGATTCATTAAAAATATGTGTGCATAAGTAAACAATCTCTGGTAACACTTGAAAGTTTAACAGAAGGTAATTTAAAATCAATTGTCAGTCCTCTGAAAATGACACAGACAGCATGATCACCCTCCAACCCAGTGTTTATGGAGAGATCGCATTTTGCAACAGATACTAGCTTGTAAAAGGAAGTCATGGTACCATGCTGGGCCATAGCATATTCGATTAGGGAAAAAAACACATATTGGTTTATAGCCAATGTTAGAGTCTGCAATAGAGACCAAATGTAGCAATACAAGTGTGAGTAGCTTGTGTTGCAATCACCTTTGCCTTTTGCAGACTCAGACCTTACATCATTTAGAACCCTGTACTTTAGGGAGCAAGCATGGTTAAATTCATCATGTAAATTTTTTTCTTCACATATTATTCTTTTCCTAGTTATTATTTTAAGTTTCTTCTTAGTTTTTGTCATGCTTAGATGTTTCTTTGTGGTAAATAGTTAAAGAAGCCAATGAGTAGCTTTTTAAATTTCCCAAAGCAAAACCTTACAGCAATACCTATACATTTAGGTCCAAACCCCCAAGCATATAACTATTACGGTGTGCTCACCAAGAATGGGTCTACCTTCAGCCATTGCCATAGCCATTAGCAAATACCTGAACCCATAATATGTGTCACACATACTCACTTTCATGCTGACTTTCATACATAAAATAAGAAACTTATCTTCTTACCCACTGCCATGTGATAAGACATGCTAAGAATTGTGCACCATAAATTATTATGACCATATCTAGGCCCATAACCCATATCTATTCTCCTAACCTCACTAATTTTCATGCCTATGTTCTATAGCGTCTCCTGTGGTCAAAATATAAAACCATACTCAAATTCATTACTTTTTCTGGTACAATGATAGTACATACTGTGGTAGGCAGAACTTCAGATGATGCTCAATTGAGTTAAACACCCTTGTATAATCTTTTTGCCTTGACTGTAGGCAGACATCGTCACTTACTTCTAGCCAACAAAATATGTCAGATGTGATGGGATAGCCAGTCCCATGATTGCATTTTATTATGTATGAATCTGTCTTAGCAGACTGGAATCAGAAATTTTTCTGTTTGTTTTGAATAATTAAGTTGCCTTGTTGCGTAAGTCCCACTTGGCTAGGACCTGTGACATCCTCTAGGAGATGATCATGAACCCCAGCAAATAGCCAGTAAGAAAATGGGACCTCATTTCTTCAACCTCAAAAAACTGAATTCTGCTACAACCACATGAGTTTGGAAAAGGGCCTTGAGCTCCAGAAAGGAGTACAGCCCCTCTGATACCCGGATTGTAGCTTTGTAAGACCTTGAACAGAGGACAAAGTAGAGCAGAGAACCCGCTAAGCCATACCTTGCCTCCAAAACCATGGAAACTATGAGATAATACATTTATATATTTTAAAACAACTATCTTTGTAGTAATTTGTTATTTTGCAGAGAAAACTAATACACATCTTCAGAGTCATGCTCAGCAAACAGTGCCTACATCTATAACCACGTGCAAGGAATGGCCATAACAACACCCAGGCTTGCCAAGAGAGTGTATGTTTTCACCTCTTTGGAATGTCAAAGCACACACCTTTAAACATGCTTTAATTTATACACAAGCTCAAATGTGCCTACGTTCAAATCTTGTACACTATATATATATATATATATACACACAAGATATATATGTACAAGATATATATGTACTATATATATGTATACAAGATATATATATATATATATATGGTGTACAAGATTTGAACACAACCACCCAGACAAGCACATTAAACGTGTCTAACTCAAACTTATACCTGGAAAGTCCTACCAGCTTTGCATATCCAGGCAGAACTACATGGAGAACACCCTGATGCACCCAGACAGGCTCAGGCCCATGCCAATTTCTTACCTATTCAGGGAATAATATTGAGATGACCTCATCCAGGACCACCTATGCAGTTCTATCTATTCATGCCCTCCCCTGCACCCACAGCACACCATTTTCTTAACCGAGCCAACCAGCTGAACACATGTGCTTATAGACAACTTTATGTCTGGAGTTATGTGTACAAGGTCAAAGGGGAAACTGGTAAATATATGTGTGCTGAAAGCAGGAAAAAAATAGGGAATGACAATAACTCCGTAGTTCTTGGGGAAGTATATGGACATAAGTATCCCTCAGTGTGTTCATCTTAGCTCCTAGCTCTGGGGCCAAAGGAAGTAGAATCTGTGCTTTAAGAGGAGAGGGCTAACAAGAGTCAAGTATCACATAAATGCTCTAGTCAATCTGGGTGGGGTTTAGGGAAAGCACCAGACTCAGTGCAAAGACTATAGTGTTAGTCTGTGAATCCAGACTAAAGCTTACTTGTAAAGTCTACGCCAACACCACAAGGAAGAGGGAGAGATCCATGATTGGGTGGATGCCCAGAGCTCCCCCTGAGATCTGTAATGAGAACAGTAAATTATGTGGAAGAGTACAAAGTATGCAGTCATGTGGAATTTGGTTTAATTCTTTTAAATTCCCTCAGAACAGAATCAGTAACTCTTTCCTTTATGTTCCTATTAAAACTTTGATCTTTACCTTTTAGTGTGTTTTATATTATATTCAAGTTTCATGTCTCCTGTCACCACTGATGTCTTAATCTTATTATTAGTAACTCTTGTTTATTGACTGCCTTCTTAAATCTGGAACTTCCACTTGTCACTTTACATAAGCATTGTATCTGATCTTTGCAACAAATTTGGAAGGTTTTATCATCATCTCGATTATATGATGAACAAACAAATAGAAAAATATCAAGTAATTACCCTGGATGACAGGGAGCCAATTATAGTGTTCAGAAGGGGAGGTTTAAAAGCTATAGTTTTTGGCATTTAGAGACGAGGTTTTTTCGTCACTCTACCATACAGCTTCCCTCATAATTCCCCAGCTTCATCTCCTTCTCAAACCCACCTCTGTCCTTCAAATGAGTTATGTGTCTTCACTATGTTGCTGCTCTCAGGGCCAAGCATAGTGTCTGGCACATAGTAGATATTTTACACATATTTTAGATAAGTTGTTTATTTTATTTTATTTTTATTATACATTAAGTTCTTGAATACATGTGCAGAATGTGCAAGTTTGTTACATAGGTACATATGTGCCATGGTGGTTTGCTGCACCCATCAACCTATCCTCTACATTAGGTGTTTCTCCTAATGCTATCCCTCCCCTTGCTCCCCAGCCCCTGACAAGCCCCAGTGTGTGATGTTTCCCTCCCTGTGTCCATGTGTTCTCATCGTTCAACTCCCAATTATAAGTGAGAACACGCGGTGTTTGGCTTTCTGTTCCTTTGTTAGTTTGCTGAGAATGATGGTTTCCAGCTTCATCCATGTCCCTGCAAGGGACATGAACTCATTCTTTTTTATGGCTGCATAGTATTCCATGGTGTATATTGCCACATTTTCTTTATCCAGTCTATCATTGATGGGCATTTGGGTTGGTTCCAAGTCTTTGCTATTGTGAGTGTTTCTTTATAGTAGCATGGTTTATAATCCTTCGGGTATATACCCAGTAATGGGATTGCTGGGTCAAATGCTATTTCTGGTTCTAGATCCTTGAGGAATCACCACACTGTCTTCCACAATGGTTGAACTAATTTACACTGCCACCAACAGTGTAAAAGTGTTCCTATTTCTCCACAACCTCTCCAGCATCTGTTGTTTCCTGACTTTTTAATGATCACCATTCTAATGGGCGTGAGATGATATCCCATTGTGGTTTTGATTTGCATTTCTCTAATGACCAGTGATGATGAGCTTTCTTTCATATGTTTGTTGGCCACATAAATGTCTTCTTTTGAGAAGTGTCTGTTCATATCCTTAGCCCACTTTTGATGGGGTTGTTTGTTTTTTTCTTGTAAATGTGTTGGTGTTCCTTGTAGATTCTGGATGTTAGCCCTTTTTCAGATCGGTAGATTGACAAAATTTTCTCCCATTCTGTGGGTTGTCTGTTCACTCAGATGATAGTGTCTTTTGCTGTGCAGAAGCTCTTTGGTTTAATTAGATCCCATTTGTCAATTTTGGCTTTCGTTACCATTGCTTTTGGTGTTTTAGTCATGAAGTCCTTGCCCATGCCTATGTCCTGAATGGTATTGCCTAGGTTTCCTTTTGCTTTTTTTTTTTTTTTTTTTTTTTTTAAGACAGAGTCCTGCTCTTGTCATTCAGATTGGAGTGCAATGGCATGATCTCGTTTCACTGCAACCTCCACCTCTCAGGCTCAAGCTATTCTCCTGCCTCAGCCTCCTGAGTAGCTGGAATTACAGGTGCCCACCACCATGCCTGGCTGTTTTTTGGTTTTTGTTTTTGTGTTTTTTAGTATAATTGGGGTTTTACCACATTGGCCAGGCTGGTCACGAATTCCTGACCTCAGGTGATCCCCCTGCCTTGGCCTTCCAAAGTGCTGGGATTACAGGAGTGAGCCACCCCGCACCTGGCCTGTCTAGGTTTTCTTCAAGGGTTTTATGGATTTAGGTCTTACATTTAAGTCTTTAATCCATCTTGAGTTAATTTTTGTATAAGGTGTAAGAAAGGGGTCCAGTTTCACTTTTCTGCATATGGCTAGCCAGTGTTCCCCAAACCACTTATTAAGTAGAGAATTTTTTCCATATTGCTTGTTCTTCTCAGGTTTGTCAAAGGTCAGCTGGTTGTATATGTGTGGTGTTATTTCTGAGGCCTCTGTTCTCTTCCATTGGTCTATATATCTGTTTTGGTGTAAGTACCATGTTGTTTTGATTACTGTAGCTTTGTAGTATAATTTGAAGTCAGGTAGTGTGATGCCCCCAGCTTTGTTCTTTTTGCTTAGGATTGTCTTGGCTATAGTGGCTCTTTCTTGGTTCCATATGAAACTTAAAGTAGTTTTTCTAATTCTGTGAAGAAAGTCAATGGTAGCTTGATGGGAATAACATCTATAAATTAATTTGGGCAGTATGACATTTTTTACGATATTCATTCTTCCTAGCTGTGATCATGGAATCTTTTTGCATTTATCTGTGTCCTCTCTGATTTCCTTGAGCAGTGGTTTGTAGTTGTCCTTGAAGAGGTCCTTCACATCCCTTGTAAGTTGTATTCCTAGGTATTTTATTCTCTTTGTAGCAGTTGTGAATGGGAGTTCTCTCATGATTTGGTTCTCTGTTTACTTTTGGTGTATAAAAATGCTTGTGACTTTTGCACATTCATTATGTATCCCAAGACTTTGCTGAAGTTGCTTATCAGCTTAAGGAGTTTTTGGGCTAAGATGATGGGTTTTTTATTTGTTTGTTTGTTTGTTTGAGACGGAGTCTCTCACTGTCGCCCAGACTGGAGTTCAGTAGAGTGATCTTGGTTCACTGCAAGCTCCGCCTCCCGGGTTCACGCCATTCTCCTGCCTCAGCCTCCCGAGTAGCTGGGACTACAGGCACCCGCCAGCATGCTCGGCTAATTTTTTTTGTATTTTTAGTAGAGACAGGGTTTTACCTTGTTAGCCAGGATGGTCTCGCTCTCCTGACCTCGTGATCTGCCCACCTCAGCCTCCCAAAGTGCTGGGATTACAGGCATGAGCCACCACACTAGGCCGGGCTGAGACAATGGGGTTTTCTAGAAATACAATCATGTCACCTGCAAACAGAGACAATTTGACTTCCTCTCTTCCTATTTGAATACCCTTTATTTTTTTCACTTGTCTGATTGCCCTGGCCAGAACTTCCAATACTATGTTGATTAGGAGTGGTGAGAGAAGGCATCCTTGACTTGTCCCGGTTTTCAAAGGGAATGTTTTCTGTTCTAACCATCAGGCCCCTCTTCTGCAGGTCTGCTGGAGTTTGCTGGAGGTCTACTCCAGACACGATTTGCCTGGGTATCACCAGTGGAGGCTGCAGAACAGCAAAGACTTCTGCCTGGTCCTTTCTATGGAAGCTTCATCCCACAGGGGCACCCACCAGATGCTAGCCAGAGCTCTCCTGCATGAGGTATCTGCCGACCCCTGCTGGGAGGTGTCTCCCAGTCAGGAGGCATGGGGGTCAGGAACCCACTTGAGGAGGCAGTCTGTCCTTTACCAGAGCTCGAGTGCTATTCTGGGAGATCCACTGCTCTCTTCAGAGCTGGGAGGCAGGAACTTTTAAGTCTGCTGAAGCTGCACTTACAGCTGCCCCTTCCCCCAGGTGCTCTGTCCCAGGGAGATGGCAGTTTTATCTATAAGCCCCTGACTGGGGCTGCTGCCTTTCTTTCAGAGATGCCCTGCCCAGAGAGGAGGAATCTAGAGAGGCAGTCAGGCGACAGCTATGCTGTGGTGGGATCCGCCCAGTTTGAACTTCCAGGCAGCTTTGTTTACATTGTGAGTAGAAAACCACCTACTCAAGTTTCAGTAATGGTGGACGCCCATTCCCACACCAAGCTTGAGCATCCCAGGTTGACTTCAGACTGCTGTGCTGGAAGTGAGAATTTCAAGCCAGTGGATCTTAGCTTGCTGGGCTCAATGGGGGTGGGATCCACTGAGCAAGATCACTTGGCTCCCTGGCTTCAGCCCCCTTTCAAGGGAGTGAATGGTTCTTTCTTGCTGGCATTCCAGGTGCCACTGGGGTATGGAAATAAAAACTCCTGCAGCTAGCTCAGTGTCTGCCCAAAGGCCACCCAGTTTTGTGCTTGAAACCCAGGGCCCTGTTGGTGTAGGCACCCGAGGGAATGTCCTGGTCTGCGGATTGCAAAAACCATGGGAAAAGTGTAGTATCTGGGCCAGAGAGCACTGTCCCTCAGGGCACAGTCCCTATGGGCTTCCCTTGGCTAGGGGACGAAGTTCCCTGACCCCTTGTGCTTCCCTGGTTAGGCGATGCCCCACCCTGCTTCTGCTAGCCGTCAGTGGGCTGCACCCACTGTCTAATCAGTCCCAGTGAGATGAACTGGGTACCTCAGTTGGAATTTGTTGATATTGTTTCTTTAACTTTTCTGTAAGTTTGAAATTATTTCAATATAAAATAAAACTATCATGTTATCTGCACTATTTCATAATTTATAGTAAAAAATAAACAACTTGAAGTAAGTCAGGCAAGATGGTCGAATAGGAACAGCTCCAGTCTGCAGCTCCCAGCGAGACCAACGCAGAAGGCGGGTGATTTCGACATATCCAACTGGCCTACTTTAAGGGTGTGGTCAATAATAAGAATTTGCAAAGAAGAACAAAGCATTTTCCCAAAACGTATTCTTTGAAGAACCCATTAAAATATTTTTCCTACCCAAGAGTATTCAGCAGAGGGAACCCAAAGGGTTAAGGCAGTTAGTTTTAAAATTCCACCCCCTTTCACACAGAGATGCTAGCAATAAGAACACAATTGATCAGCAGAAAAGAATGTCAATATTGCTTTGTACTGAAGCCCTGTTTTTGTGTTGTGTGTGCGTGTGTGTATTTGTTTGGTTTTGTTTTCTTCTAAATTCAAGTCATTAAGCAGAGTTTGACCTTCTCATACTTCAGTGAGAAAATGTACACAAAAGATGGTGCTTCTTATGAGAATTATGTCTTGTGAATTTTATGGTGGTTGACATTTGCTGTTTCATAACAGGTCACTATAAAAGCGAGATGTTTTTGCTGCAGCCAGGTCTGTGGAATGGAACAAACCAGGTTAATAACTTGAAACCCACAGGGCACATTCTGCCGTGGGATAGTCACATTGGCCACTCCAGTGCCATTTTATTATCTCTCTTTTGTTAGCTTGATAGAAAGGCTGACCCGTTTGCCCACAAGAGCTGCACAAGTCTAGGACACATGTTCCAAATGAGTATACAAGCCTAATAGAGTTTCTGTATATAGTGCGGTGATTAAGTCTATAGACTTCCCTGCCAGGGTGCTAATCCTGACTCCAAAACATCTAACTGTGAGTGACTATATTCAAGTTAATTAAGCTCTCTGTGCCCCATTTTACTCATCTGTAAAACAAAGTCTATAATAGTACCTTCTTCTTAGGGTGGTCGTGAGGATTACGTGAGTTGACAGATATAAAGCACTTAGAACAGTGTGCAACACTTGATAGGGTCTTTTGAAGCACATGGGAACAAAACATGAAATCTATGTATCTGCATCTGTGTACACATGTGTGCCTGGGAGTGAGCATAAGGTGACTGTGGAATGCAAGTAGTCAAGAGAATTTGGAAGTATAATTGATTCTTGAGAAATGTTGAAGAATGAGTAGATTTTCAGACAGACAACATGAGGAGCAGTGAGAATATCCCAAACAGGAGCAACCTCATGAGAAAATGTGACATTCTGTGTGAACTGCAAGTAATTCAGTAGAGTTGAAGAGATGGTCAGAAGGTGCCTACTAGCTTAAGGAGTTTATTAGTTAGTAAGCTTAGATTCTGAACCTAAGTTACATCCACTGCTAGGACTCATGCAGTCTGTGAAAGCTTGGAGAAATTGAGGAATGAGCTCAATAGAATTATTTGGGGGATGGTGGAAGTTCTGATTGAGAAGCTGCTTAAGATAAAATCTCGTGTAAGAAAGATATAGTCATAGTGAGTGTGATATACTGATCAGGTTTTGGTTGTTGGTAGGGACAGTGATTGTATGGTCAGCATGTAGAATGACCGCTAGGGTCAACTGATGTTTCTTACCCTCTGGGTTTCATGTCTGGACATAATGATTCATCTTCAGGTTTTCTGCTTGGCTGAAAAGGTGTGAACAAATAGCTACACACCTCCCTGGTGAGGCCCTTATCGGTTGACTATAGTTTTCAAAGGAAATCATTTAATCCTGCCATTCCAAATTAATGAAGGAATTCCATGCAGACCATTTGGCTGGCTGCCTTCCATACACAGCAGAGAAAGTCTTTGCCATCAATGCCAAGGTTTCAAATGGGCATTTTCATAAAAACAGGCAAAACAGCCCATTATCTAATTGATTTCCATAAATTATGGTGGCTGGGGAGTCAATGTCAATGCACATGGCATTGAGCCATTTCTTGGAAGGCACTCAATTCTAGGTTTGAAATATCTTCTGTACCAATAGAGGCCCTAGATTCCTTTACTAAAAAAAAAAATAATTAAAATTTTCACATTTGAATAGTGTCCACATACACAGTCTCTGAAAGCAAACATTGGGAAACTTTACCAGGTTCCCTTTGCAGCCTATCGTAAAGGAAATGTACCATGAGATTTTAAGATGAATTGGAGGTGACACATAATACTGCTGTACATATCTCTTAGCACAAACAGCCTCTTTGCCTAACAAGAGTTGTTTCTGTTTGCTTGGCTTTAATTACTTTAGAAAATGATCAGTCAGTTTCATCTTAAGTTCTTCATGCTTCAATAATATCAACTATTCTTGCCTTGTTACCCAGAAGAAACTGACTGTCACAGCTGACCAACTTGGGGGATTAGACGTGAGGACTAAGAAAACTTCGTAAATAGGATACGGTGTTCTTGCAAGCAGCAGGACCATCAGGGAGGAAGAGGAATCAAATGCAATGGAAGCAAATGACACATTGCCCCCACCCCACTCAGGTTGCTTGAGCTGACTCCGGATGCCTCTCGGTGCTCAAGTTTCCAAAAATCACGCAACGTATTCAACTTCTCCCATTGAAGTCCCTAAAATAAACAAGGCATGCATCTCACTCACATAAAATTCAGTTGAGTGTCTGCCATATGCCAGACATTGTGCTAGGTATTGGGAATAACAACTAACATATATTACTTGCTGACATGTGCCAGGCACTAGCTATTTTACATGGATTAACTCATAAATCTTAATAATCAACCTGAAAATTATAGACTATTATAATCTCTACTTGCCCATGAAGATAATGAGGTATAGAGACTGATTTGTAAATGATCTCATAGATGAGAAATGGAACAGTCAAAACTTAAAACCAAGAAATGAGGTCTAGCGTGCACAGGATTCATCATGATGCTCACTATTTTCCTACAATGAATCAGGTTAGGTCACCACCCTGTAGAAGTACAAAGTTTAGGTAGTATAGGAGACATAAACATGAATACCATATCATGTGAATTGATTGAGTCCCTTTTAAATTCTAGGTACTACATGAAGTGCTATATTGATATTAATTCATTTAGTTCTTGTGGTATCAGGCTCATCTCTCTAGTTAAGACCAACTTTGGCTCACCAAAATAATGTGTAACATTTCAAATATACATATTTTTACTCATGATTTTGCTTAACATCTGTAATTAAATAGCCTCTCTCTTTTTTATAATGGCTTTATTGAGATATAAATCCCATTTAAATATTAATCCTTTTAAAGTGTACAGTCCAATGACATTTAGCACATACGGGGAGCCATACAACCATCACCACATCTGATTCTAATATTTTCATCACTCTAAAATGACATCTTATACTCTATTAGCAGTCACTCCCCATTCCCCTTCCCCAAGACCGTAGGAAACACTGATTTGCTTCCTAATTTTTATAGTAGATTTATTGGGATATAATTTGCATAAAACATACTGACTCATTTAAAGTGTGCAGTTTGATTTTTTTAGTACATTACTAAAAATTGTGCAACCATCACTGATATCTAATTCCAGAATTCCAGACTATCACAGAGTTGAAGAGAGGGAGATGAAAATAGATCAAGATAAATTGTCACAAAACTCTCTATTCCTATAAAAATGGAGCCATTTTTTTAAATAAAAGTTCCTCAGATTCTTGTAAGACTTTGGCTCATTTTCAGAGTTCTAAAAAAATTAATTTTGACAATTTTTGCTCATGTTCTTATTGCTTTTGTGGAGGCGTCAATTTTGAGATTTTCTCATTTCACCATTCCCTTGGGAACAGTATCTTGGGCACTTTAAAAACGCAAAAGTTCTCAGATGCTGCAGGCCCATTTATATACCACAAACTCCATCTTTCTTAATATAACAAACCTTCCCTAGACTTACATCTGTTAACTCAATACCAGCTGTATCATATGTATATTTAAAAATATTCTTTCCTTACTTCCACTTTTCTTCTTCCCATAAATATATATTGAACAAGTACTGTGTGCTAGGATCAGAGATAGATGCTGAGGGTTAAAAGTACATTACAATAGAGTTTATTATGACCTCATGGAGTTTAGAGTGCTGAAGGGCAGATAGACAATAAATACATCCAAGGACATTGTGTTAGAGTTCTCCAAAAACACAGAATAGGATATGTGTGTGTGTGTGTGTGTGTGTGTGTGTGGTGTTTGTGTAAGTATGTATGTGTGTGTATGAAGGGAGGAAAGAGAGAGATTGAGAGATAGTAGAAATTGGCTTACATGATTATGGAGACTAAGACATCCCACAATATGCCATCTGCAAACTGGAGAACCAGAAAAACTGATAGCTCAGTCCAAATCCAAATGCCTGAGAATTAGGGTAGTTGATGATGTAATTCCCAGTCTGAGTCCAAAGGCCTGAGAACCACAGGGGTGGACTGGTTAAAGTCCTGGATTTGGAAGGCCAGAGAACCAGGAATGCAGACATCCAGGGGCAGGAGAAGATGGATGTCCCATCTCAAATAGAGACAGGCAGTGAGAGAGAGATAATTCACCCTTCCACTGTCTTTTGTTTTCTTAGAGCCTCAACACATTGGATGGTTCACACCCACATTGGTGAGGAAAGTTCTTCTTTACTCAGTCTACAAATTCAAATGTTAATCTCTTCCTGACACACTCTTAATGTTAATCTTTTCCTGACACACTAAGAAGTAATGTTTTACCAGCAATCTCGGAACTCCATGGCCAAATAAGGTTGACACATAAAATTAACAGACACCTAGGTCAAATACCAAAGTAAATTCAGGTGTGTATATGTAGGCATGCATAGAATTGGTGTTTCTAGGGCAAGGGATACTGGGGCTTATCATTTTCTCTTTCTCTCAGTGAAGTTTTGATGGAAGGTAGAATTCTAGAATTAATTCATTCAGCAATATAATATGTGTCCAGATCTCTGCTGAATTCTTGGAATGTGACAGTGAACAAATCAGACATGGTCCCTGACTTCATGGAGCTCATAGTGTAATGAGAAGTTCATGGAAGTCTACTCATCTGATTTCAATTTTCTGAACTCCATTCACTATAGAGTTTAGAAAAGATTACAGATTACAGTTTTTTTCCAAGTATAAAATAATATAAATAGAAAATAGAGAAAACATATGGAAATCATAAAAGGAGGCTGGCTATTGAACATAAATTGACTAAATTTTGTCATAGAGTGACTAGGTATTTAGTTTGCCCAAAACTTTCCTGGACTTAGCACTGAAGGACCCATCTCCTGGTATACCCTGGATAATTGGTCACCCTACTTATTAATGAGCTTTTGCGTTGGCAACAGCAGACAGATAATAAGGGTATGATGCTGGTTGCCTAAATATAAACAAGCAAATATGTAAAATAGAACTAAAAATATCTTCTATTAAGGAAGATCATTAAAGTGTGTTTGTGGTTGTATTGGGGCAGAAAATGTACATAGAATAAGCATTACAGAAAAAGAAAACAATAAACGAAACTGATTAATTACCTACAATGTTTATATGGAAAAGGGATGTATGCTGCAGTGTGAGTGTTAGGCAACATTCCTCATACTTTAATAACTAACCAATGAAACAAACAGGAAATATAAATAAGAATCAGCTCACTGAGTAAAGAAATAAATCTGTTACAATAAAAGTAAATCAAAGTGACACAGCTGTAAAAATATGTATATATTGGTAAAAATTATTTAAAAACTGAATACTTATTTAACCAGAAATAGTGGCATACCTATATTCACATGATAGTGATTAAAAGAACGTTGAGTGGGTGATGGGTCAGTGTAGTGGTATAAAGATTGTTAAGATTTCTTAGTGGATAGTAGGAAGCCAGGTGGATATATATATATATATATATATATATATATATATATGCACATACAATCTAATAATAAAATATAAGAACATTATTTTAAATAAGGAGGAAAATATATGTAGAAACAAACAAAAAACAAGTGAAATGGTTAGCTTTGGAGAATGAAAATTGGGGGAGGGGGCAAGAATATGGCAAAGGACTGGAACTGTTGTTTTGGTTACGTACTTTGAAGTACAATTTAACTTGTAAATTATGTACTTATATAACTTTCACAACAATAAAATTAAATTGAATTGAATACATAAAAGGTAATAATTTAGTACAAGTAATGAATGTTTTATCTTTACAAAATACCAGCCCAGTTCAATATTCTTATTTTATTTAATATATTAGTATACTGTTTTTATAAGTGTTGGAGTTTTTCTATTTGTATTATTAACTGTTCTTGACTCTTGAATAATTTGGAAATAAAGAGGAAATTTCAGAGATAAGAGACATTTCAGTGCCTGGGCTTGGAAATGCTTATTAATTATTCCACAGTGATTTGCTTTTTTTTTTTTTTTTTTTTTTTTTGAGATGGAGTTTTGCTCTTATTGCCCAGGCTAGAGTGCATGCAATGGCGCGATCTTGGCTCACCGCAACCTCCGCCTTGCGGGTTCAAGTGATTCTCTTGCCTCAGCCTCCTGAGTAGCTGGGATTACAGGCACCCACCACTACGCTGGCTAATTTTGTGTTTTTAACAGAGACGGGGTTTCTCCATGTTGGTCAGGCTGGTCTCGAACTCCTGACCTCAGGTGATCCACCCACCTGAGCCTCCCAATGATTTGCTTGTAAAAAATACTTTTTCACCTCATCCACCATGACTTTTACAAGATTTTTTCTTAGAATCCATAAGGGAATGTAATTTGTTGATGCCACTGATGATAATATGATAACATAACACATATCTAAAACTAATATCTGCTAATCATCACTAGTGCATAGACTCTTCTAGTGAGTTTCTGCTGCCATTAGTTTGATATTAGAATATTACAGCAGCAATGTTCTCCTTCATTTTTAATATCCATTTGCTTTCCTTTGTAAGGAAATGCACATTTTTCTGTGACAATCACATTATTTTAATCCTTAATGTTTACACAAGCCTTGTATGCAAATACTATCCATTCAATTCTACACAATATAAATATGAGGCTCAACTCTGGTAGGAGATGTCTGTCTTAAATTATAAAATTGAACTGCTGTCCACTGCACCAAGAGGGCCACTAAGGTGCATCTCTTTATTATTATTATTTTTTTAATGATACTTTAAATTCTAGGGTACATGTTCACAACGTGCAGGTTTGTTACATATGTATACATGTGCCATGTTGGTGTGCTGCACCCATTAACTCGTCGTTTACATTAAGTATATCTCCTAATGCTATCCCTCCCCCCACGCCCCACCCCACAACAGGCTCCGGTGTGTGATGTTCCCCTTCCTGTGTCCGTGTGTTCTCATTGTTCAATTCCCACCTATGAGTGAGAACATGCGGTGTTTGGTTTTTTGTCCTTGCGATAGTTTGCTGAGAATGATGGTTTCCAGCTTCATCCATGTCCCTACAAAGGACATGAACTCATCCTTTTTTATGGCTGTATAGTATTCCACGGTGTATATGTGCCACATTTTCCTAATCCAGTCTATCATTGATGGACATTTGGGTTGGTTCCAAGTCTTTGCTATTGTGAATAGTGCCGCAATAAACGTATGTGTGCATGTGTCTTTATAGCAGCATGCTTTCTAATCCTTTGGGTATATACCCAGTAACCAGATAGCTGGGTCAAATGGTATTTCTAGTTCTAGATCCCTGAGGAATCGCCACACTGTCTTCCACAATGGTTGAACTAGTTTACAGTCCCACCAACAATGTAAAAGTGTTCCTATTTCTCCACATCCTCTCCAGCATCTGTTGTTGCCTGACTTTTTAATGATTGCCATTCTAACTGGTGTGCGATGGTATCTCATTGTGGTTTTGATTTGCAATTCTCTGATGGCCAGTGATGATGAGCATTTTTTCATGTGTCTTTTGGCTGCATAAATGTCTTCTTTTGAGAAGTGTCTGTTCATATCCTTAGCCCACTTTTGATGGGGTTGTTTGTTTTTGTCTTGTAAATTTGTTTGAGTTCTTTGTAGATTCTGGATATTAGCCTTTTGTCAGATGGGTAGATTGCAAAAATTTTCTCCCATTCTGTAGGCTGCCTGTTCACTCTGATGGTAGTTTCTTTTGCTGTGCAGAAGCCCTTTAGTTTAATTAGATCTCATTTGTCAATTTTGGCTTTTGTTGCCATTGCTTTTGGTGTTTTAGACATGAAGTCCTTGCCCATGCCTATGTCCTGAATGGTATTGCCTAGGTTTTCTTCTGGGGTTTTTATGGTTTTAGGTCTAACATTTAAGTCTTTAATCCATCTTGAATTAATTTTTGTATAAGGTGTAAGGAAGGGATCCAGATTCAGCTTTGTACATATGGCTAGCCAGTTTTCTCAGCACCATTTATTCAATAGGGAGTCCTTTCCCCATTTCTTGTTTTTGTCAGGTTTGTCAAAGATCAGATGCATCTCTTATAAATGGTCTCTGCGTCATTCCCAGGGTAGTTGCTTATATCACAGATGTTGGGAATTGAGGATAGTATCCATATAACAGGGTCTCTGAGTTTTCTGAACTAGTTAGTTCTCTTTGGGTATAAAGGATGTAGAGGAGGAGATAAGGATGTGATGAAAAAGAAACCTGTTTGTCACAGTTGATAGGATTGGGAAATGCGAACTTAGAATTATTCAAACAATGGTTATGGAATGCTATTCAAACTATATGTATGAAATAATGACTATTTGTGCCATACAGTCCTAGTTGCCATTGAAATGCAAAAGTAATTTAACTGTGCACCTACTTCAGTGGAACTTAAAGTGGGGTTGGGTATATACATATACTAAAATATAAATATTATTAGAGGCCAAAATGCTGTAATTCATATGATAAACACAAAACGTGTTTGAGGGTGCAGAGTAGGGGAGTACTCTAAGCTACTGAGGGCATTTAGAGAGGTGTTCAGAGAGGAATTAGTATTTGATGTGAAACTTAGAAGAGAAGGCAGAAAATTTGGGAGATGTAAAAGCATTTTAATGAAAGATACAGAATTAGCATGGTTGGAGAGCTGAGAAAGTATTGATGTGTCCAGACTACACCAAATAATATATTATTGTGTGTGTGTGTGTTTGAAGAGGACACAAGAAGTAATCACATTTGAAATTAAAGCATGCTTGTTTGTTTGTTTAAGAGGAACAAACTGATATTTCACTTGTATTTGGTAAAAAAATGATCTAGAAAGGTAAACTGACAATCTGATAGTTATAGGCATTCAATGCCATCATATATACCCTCATACCTTTCAAAGCAGATTGTACTCAAGAATAAGGAATATAATCAGATTTTAGTTATTTTATGTAGCACACTTGACTCCAAGTATATTGATTCAATTTGAATGAAACTCTGAGATGATAAACAGTTGGTATTTAGTTTTGTACTAAAAAGACTTATTTCTTATATTTATTTAAGCTTAGTGGGCAGGTATTAGATGTCTCTTGTGCCTCACCTCAAGTCATGTGAGGCTGAGGTATGCCTTAGGTATCTCAATCATCATCTGCTGGGATTAGCTGGGCCATAAAGTTTTCACCCACTTCAATTTTTTTTTTATCTTTCTCATCTTTTAGATCATCCCACTGCTTCCTCCTTGTTTGACCCTGTGGTCACCCCAGGAAGTGCAACAAGCATAATTGCTTGTGAACCTTCAGTAAATTCTGATTCAAGTGTCTTGGGCTTGGGGAAGAGCAACAATAAGAAATGAAGCAGCTGCAACTGATTTTTTAGTAATGATGGGATGTCATATTTTTCCATGGTCAACAATACCTTGGGATGCCTCAACCTTTATTTAATTTAAACTTATCTATTTTACTTAAAAAGCATGTATTAGTTAACCACTGATAAGTAATGTGTGAGAATATTATTAACATGTTTTACTTAATGTATTAGGACCCTATATTTTACTTCATTTAACCTGACTCAACCAACATTTTCTAAGCACCTACTATGGGCCAAGCTCCAGGAATATAAAGATGAACTTATATTCTTGTAGGCTACATAATACTACAAAGAAAATTATACTACTGGTCAGATATTGGTAAATGTAATTAGGAGCATAGTGTGTTATGAATGCCCCAAGAGATGAATTTAGGAGTGTGAACCAGTGGAAATTGTCATGTCGCAAATTGAAGAACGGTTTGTGGGTAAACGTATAGGGTCTGTCATCTCAGTTGCTTTATTATTCACGGGTCCTATATAACAAAAAAAAATAAGGTCAGTGGCAAGATGTGGCTTTCTGATCTCCTCTAGGAAGGTCTGAGAACAATGGACAGGGTTGTTCACTGAAGGAATCCTTCAAAGAGAGGCTTACTGACATCTTGATTCCCACCGAGGGGTCATGCCAATCGACAGGTGCAGTTTGTAAGGCAATATCTATAAGAAGACATCTATCTTTATGAAAGTCCAATGGAGCTTTCACTCTTCTTTTCAATTCCCTGTGAACCCAGAGGTGGGTTAGATATTTTTGGAATGTGCCACAGGCAGCCAGGCAGGTGGAAGATTTCATTCCACCCCATCTCTGTTCTAAAATAATGAAAGAAGCTCCAAGAAATTGTACCTGTCAAATCTGTCAGAGAGTAAAAGCAAGATGATATCATTCTGACAGATTTCAGCAGCCATTCTGCTGATCATCCATGTTACTACTGCACTATGTTCCCGAGGAACTGATAGGTGAGCAGTGAATTATATGTTTCAGAATTAACTCAAAAGGATCTCTCAAATGTATTTGTAGCATTTCAACAAGTTTGGAAAAGCTGACTTTGTATTTCTGAAAGGGTTGCATTTGGGAGCAAGACAGAGAGGGAGAGAGAACGAGAGAGAGAATGAGAGAGAGAGAGGCTTAATATATGTTGAATATGAATAAAGGAGACAGTATGATCATATTCCTGTCTCGTTCCTTAGTACTTGTTTTCTTGCTGTGAGTTTTACTTGCACATGTAAATGAGCTTCCTGACACCCACAGGCAGTTTGAATGCATTGAATTTCTCTCATTTCCAACTGCATCGTGGGAAAAACAAACAAACCACCTGAAGCAAGTACTATTAGCCAAAAAACAAGCATCTGTGTCCAGATAAGGAACGGAGTGTTGGCACTAAAAGACATTGGCTGTTTCTACATAGGTTTACTTGGGGACTTTATTGGATTAGTCTCTGTGTTAAATCATATATTTATTAGTCATAAAGTTGCCTTGGTGTTATCTAATCCAGCTCTATGTTGTGATAGGATTGAGTCATTATGCTCTTCCAAGTATTTTTATCTGATCTGGGGTTTAAACTGTAAAGGTCAGGTTAGTTGAATGCATTATGATAAGGGTTTAATCTATAACTAAGGACTAGATCACTACAGAGATTTGAGATTACTATTAGTTTCTTGAAAAGAGTAACACTTAGAGAAGAGCTTTAAACCTAAGTCAGAAGACCTGGAATGAATTTAAGGTTCTATATCTCTACTTATTTAACTGTGTATCCTTAGACAAGTCACTTAAACTGCTTGAACTCCAGTTATCTCATTTTCAACATGGAGCAATCACACCTACCCTGTGTTTGTTACATGGCTGTTTTTTGAGTGTCAAATAAGATAATATACTAAATCACTTTAGAATCTCTAAAGAAGTACAACAAATATGAGGTATTATAAGACATTGTAAAATATGTATAAAATCATAATTTATATTCTATTGTATTGTAGTAAAATATGCATAACATAAAACATATCACTTTAAACTTTTTGAGTGTATAATTCAGTGCCATTAAGTCCATTCACTTGATTTAGAACCATCTATACTACCCATCTCCAGAACTTTTTCATCATTTCTAACTTAAACTCTGTACTCATTAAGCAAAAACTCCCCATTCTTCCTTACCTTCTGCCTAGTAACCTCTGTTCTACTTTCTGTCTTTATAAATATGACTACTCTGGCTACCTAATAAAAGTGCCATCTTACAATATTTGTTTTTTTGTGTGTCTGGAATACTTAACTCAGCATCATGTTTTCAAAGTTTATCCATGTTGTAGCATGCCTCCGAATTTCATTTCTTTTTAAAGCAGAATGCTGCTCCACAGTATGCATTTACCAAATTTTTAAACCATTCCTCTATTGATGGACATTTTGATTATTTCAAGCTTTTGGCTATTGTGAATAATGCCACTAAGGAAATGGATATACAGGCTGGGCGCGGTGGCTCACTCCTGTAATCCCAGCACTTTGTAGGGCTGAGGCGGGCAGATCCTCAGAGGTCAGGAGTTTGAGATCAGCCTGGCCAACATGCTGAAACCCTGTGTCTACTAAAAATACAAAAATTAGCTGGGCGTGGTGGCGTGCACCTGTAATCCCAGCTACTTGGGAGGGTGAGGCGGGAGAATCCCTTGAACCCGGGAGATGGAGGTTGCAGTGAGCCGAGATGGTGCCATTGCACTCCAGCCTGGGTGACAGAAGGAGGCTCCATCTAAAAAAAAAAAAAAAAAAAAGGAAAGAAAAGAAAATGGGTATACAAATAACTGTTCAAGTCCCTGATTTAATTTTGTTAGGTATATACCACTATATATATCATATTTCACTTTATAGAAGTAAAATTTCTGGACCATATAATAATTCTATGTTTGATATTTTGAAGAACCACCCATGATTTCTATTTTTATCTCCCCAGAATTATGCAAAAAATAAGATTCTATGATGAAGAAATATTCCTTTCTCTCTCTCCCTCCCCGCTTTCCTTTCCTTCCTTTCCTTACCCTTCTCTTCCCTTCCCCCTCCCCTCCCCAGCCCTTCCTCCTCCCTCCCTTTCTTTCTTCCTTCCACAGTGAGTGAGCATTTACGCTATTCAGATCCTGTACTAGGCACAAGGGATATACTGATACATCAGACCTGTTCTCTGTCCTCCTTGATCAATTATTAATATAAATTTTAATATTAAAATTTCATTTCCGGTGTTTATATATTGCACTCTACATATTCATGGAGGGCATTTATAATCAAATTATTAAGTTCTCTAAAACTTATTTCAAACTTTAGTTCAATTTACTGGGTCATAAGAAACACTTATTTTTAATGCAATTTAATAAAATACAATAGCACACTATATTAGAAAACATGTCACATACTAAGAATAACTATTATTTCATAATACTTTTGTTTTAGAATATATATTACATATATGTTTCAGAATACACATAGGTATACTTATATATACATATGTATATATATATGTGTGTGTGTGTGTATAACCTAAAAGATGATTCCTTGTTTTAGTACTCTTTCCAGCAAACTAGGAAGGCCTTTCAGAGAGGCTGCAGGAAAAGAGTGGCAGAGAATAAACAGGAGCTAAGAGTAAGACAGCAAAGTCTTCCTTCTTCCCTATTTAATATGGTTTATCCTAACCTCTGCTAAAAATGACCAAAAGCAACTCTTATTTCCATTTTGGACTACGATACGGGACTCTTTAAAAATAAACTGATATGTGGGAAATGTGTCAATTTATTTTTAAAGAGTCCCATATTGTAGTCCAAAATGGAAAAAGAGTAATGTTCCTTTGATATTTTTCAGTTAAGAAATTAATAAACACAAGGACAAGATCTTTATATTCATAACTATGACCAAAGGTAATTTCGAGGGAAAATTCAATTCGCATCATGTAATTAGGTTCTGTGTAGCCAATATAAAAATTCACATTGACCTTTTTCAATTATGAATACAAACATTATTTTTAAAGTAGAGGAATTTTGATCTAAAATACGAATGTCACAATTTCTGCAGCTATCTCATATACTATGTAAACGCTCTACTATAATTTTTGGTTTGGGTTGTGTTTTAAGATAGCTTAACTTGACCAGGAAATTCCTGTTTTTAACAGAACATCTAACTTGAACATGAGGCATTTAATTTGAATATGAGTCATCCAACTTGAAGATAAAACATGTTAATCAGTTACACAGGTTTTTATTTTTAAAATTTGGGCCTATGCATTTAATCAAGATTTTTTTTTTAGTTGATCACATAGTGTGAAAACTATATAGTGTGGAATAACCATTAATCCTCTTTACCAAATATGCCCAGATCCCTGTCTTCTGGGTACATGAGACGAATAAACTTGTGGTTGAGTAGCAGATTTCTGTAATTGATCATATAGTGTAAATATATATATAATATAACAATTAATGTTCTTCACCAAATATGTCCAGGTCTCTATCTGCTAGGCATGTGGTAGGATTACATTTGTGCCTGACGAGTTGGGCTTTATGAAGCTTGATCAACAAATTATAAGTAGAATTCATGTATAATCACTCCTAACTGGAGGATTTTTTTTAACCTCCTTACTGACCTGTGGCTTACATGTAAAAAGCTGTATACATTTAATGTATACAAGTCAATGAATTTGAGAATGAGTATGCCTAGGCCATAGACATATTCATCACCTCCCAAAACTTTCTCCAGCCCCATTCATTGCTATTTTTTTTTCCAGCTGGGGAATTAAATTTCCAAAGCGAATCTCTCAATGAGACTATGCCCAAAGGAAAAGACACCAAGAACACTTGGGATGCTGATTGCTCTCTCAGTGTGGGTCCCCGAATAAACGTAATGATCAGAAGCCCCTTCCAATTAGAAATGAATATGCAGCATAAGCAAAAGTAAACCTTTGGTTGTTTTAAGCCACTGAAAATTTGTGATTATTGTTCTTATAGCATAATATAGCATATATTGCCTGATATATATATATATATAAAATATATTTTTTTTTATATAATGAACTAAATATCAGTGATGGCCACTCACAACTTCTAAACCAGTGCTTTATATATAGGTTTGCTTGAACAAAGAGTATAAAGATGTAAGATTTTGTCTTAATTTATCAATTTAGTCAATAAAATTTTAAAAAATTACACATCTGGCCAAAAATGAAAATGCTTGCTGAGTATATTAAGTTTCTAGTTCGTGAAGACTCCTGTATCATATTAAAATATATGATTTTTTACTCTCTATTATTAAGAGCTTTTATAATTTTATAACTTTTATAGTAGTTGCAAGTAATATGTGATGAAAAGGTTGAATGTTTAAAAGAGATAAATTCATGTAGCAACTACACTAAACTCAAGCTGCATTCACAGGGAAGGTTGGACAAATGTAACTACAAAACATACTAGATGGCAGAAATGGTGAAACTATATTCAAGTAGTTCATAGGAAACTGATACTAAAATGGTGCTAAAATGCTAATTTTTATAGGTCTTAAAAAATCTAAGTGGAAGAGTATTAGAAATGTATAGTCTCAAGTCCTCAAAAGCAATTGCATCAAACCCAAAAATTGACAAGTGAGACCTAATTAAACTAAAGAGCATCTGAACAGCAAGAGAAACTATCAACAGGGTAAACAGACAACCTGCAGAATGGGAGAAAATATTTGCAAACTATGCATCTGGCAAAGGTCTAATACCAAGAATCTATAAGGAACTTAAACAATCGAACGAGCAAAAAACTAACAAGCCCATTAAAAATGAGCAGGGCGGGCACGGTGGCTCATGCCTGTAATCCCAGCACTTTGGGAGGCCGAGGCAGGTGGATCATGAGGTCAGGAGATCGAGACCAGCCTGACCAACATGGTGAAACTCCATCTCTACTAAAAATAGAAAAATTAGCTGGGAATGGTGGCACATGCCTGTAATCCCAGCTACTCCGGAGGCTGAGGCAGGAGAATTGCTTGAACCTGGGAAGCGGAGGTTGCAGTGAGCCAAGATCGTGCCACTGCACTCCAGCCTGGTGACGGAGCAAGACTCCGTCTCAAAAAAAAAAAAAAAAAAAGAATAAGCAAAAGTTATAAATACAGACTTCTCAAAAGAAGACATATGAGTGACCAACAAACATATGGAAAAATGCTTAACATCAGTAATCATCAGAGAAATGCGAATCAAAACTACATTGAGATACCATCTCACACCAGTCAGAATGGCTATCATTAAAAAGGTGAAAAACAACAGATGCTGGCAAGGTTGCAGGGAAAAGGGAATGCTTATACATTGTTTGTGGGAATGTAAAGTAGTTCAGCCTCTGTGGAAAGCAGTTTGGAGATTTTTCAAAGAACTTAAAACACAACTACCATGCAACCCAGCAATTCCATTACTGGGAACATATCCAAAAGAAAACAAATATTTCCACCAAAAACTCACATGCACTTACATATTCATCGCAACACTATTCACAATAGCAAAGACATGGAATCAACCTAGGTGTGCATCAATAGTGGATTGGATAAAGAAAACGTGATACATATACACCACGGAATACTAGACAACCATAAAAAGAATGAAATCATGTCCTTTGTAGCAACTCAGATGCAGCTGAAGGCCATAATCCTAAGCTAATTAACTCAGGAACGGAACACCAAATACTGCACGTTCTTGCTTCTAAGTGGGAGCTAATCATTGGATACACATGGACATAAAGATGGTAACAATGGGAACTGGGGACTACTGAAAGAGGGACGGAGGAAGGGGGACAAGGGTTGAAAGACTAGTAGGTACTATGCTTAGTACCTTGGCAATGGGATCAATCATAACCAAACTTCAGGATCATGCAATATACCCAGGAATCAAACCAACACATGTACACCTTGAATTTAAAATAAAAGTAAAAATGTATAGTCTCAGTGAAGATCTTTGTAACGTTTATAGCAGTGATGTATAACACCTCTGAAAGCAATCAAGTGTCATAAAAATTTACAAAACATTACATTAACAAAATATGAGGGCAATAAAAATGCTTCTACAGAAAAACTCAAGAAATTTCATGAAAACAAATATGTAAAAAAAGCAAAGTGGTATTTTTATAACCCAGTAATTCCATGGGGAGGAGCAGAAGGTTGACGGTAAATGTTTGAAGATAAAGCATCATCTCTTAATGTTTTTAAAACATGAAGAAATATGATAAAATTACTTCACCTTTAAAAAATAAAGTGTAGGTGTAACAGAGCAAAATAGCGAAATAGAAGGCTCTACCAATTTCCCCCTACCCCCTGCGGGAATACCAAATTTAGCAACAATCTACAAAAAGAGTACATTCATTAGAACCAAAAATCACGACCTCACCAAAAATCAGGTGAGCAGTCACAGTACCTCACTTTAACCTCATATCACCGGAAGAGGCACTGAAGAGAATAGGTAAGACAGTCATGATTCACCAACACCCTCCAACACACAAATCCGCCGGCAGCAGCCATGTGGCACAGAGAGAATTTGTGCTCTTCGGAGAGGGAGAGTGCCCCAATTGTGAGATTTTGCATTGAACTCAGCACTGCCCTGTCACAGCAGAAAGCAAAACTGGGCTGATCTCAGCTGACACTGGGCTGATCTCAGCTGACACCCATTCATGGAAGGAGCATTTAGAGGAGCCCTAGCCAGGGGAGAATGGCCCATCCCAGTGGTTGGGACTTGAGATTCAGCCAGCCTCACCACCATGGGCTAAAGTGTTCTGAGGTTCCAAACACACTTGAAAAACAGTCTAAGGCACAAGGGCTGCAAACCTAGCTGAGAGCTAGTGTTGAGTTGGGCTCAGAGCCAGTGTAACTGGGGGATATGCGACCTACTGAAACACCAGCCAGAGTGGCTAAGGGAGTGCTTGGACCACCCCTACCCCGACTTCAGGCAGCACAGGTAACAGCTCTAAAACAGACCTTTTAGTCCTCTTGGGGAGAGGAGGGGAAAGAGTAAGGAGAACTTTGCCTTACATATTAGATACCAGCTCATCCACAGTAGGATAGAGTACCAGTCAGAATCATGAGACACTATCTCCTGGATGAAATTTCTAGACACACCCTGGAGAAGAAGGGAACCTGTTGCCTTGATGGAAAGGACCAAGTCCTGGCAGGAACCATCACCTGTTGACGAAAGGGTGTTTATACCCTGAATAACCATTAACAATATCTAGGTAGTATGCGGTGGATCCTGGGGGAGACTCAGAGGCATGCTGGCTTCAGATGAAGCCCATCACATTCCTAGCTGTGGCAGCTGTGGTGAAGGACTCATTCTGCTTGAGAAAAGCAGAAGAAAAAGTAAAGGGGATTTTGTTTTGCACCTTAGGTGCCAGCCAGCCACAGGGGCTAGAGACCGAGGTGGGCTCTTGGGGTCCCTGATTCCAGGCCATGGCTCTTGGACAACATTTTTGGACTTGCCATGGGGCACAGAGGAGCCCACTGCCCTCCTGGCATTATTCACCACAAGCTGACTGAAGAGGCCTTGGGCTTTAAGGGAACATTGGCAGTAGCCTTGGCAGTACTATCTGTGGCGATCTGGTGGTGGTGGCCATGAAGTGAGAATGCTCTGCCTATGGAAAGGAGAGGGAAGAGTGAGAAGGACTATGTCTTTTGGTTAGAGTGCCAGATTAGCCACAGTACAACAGGAAACCAGGTAGATTTCTAAGGTTTTTGATTTCAAGCCCTGGCTCCCGTATGGCATCTCTGTACCCACCTGAGCCTGAGTGAATTCACCACATAAAGGGAAAGATACAAGTCTGGCTGGCTTTGCCCACTGAAGATTGAAGAGCCCTAGGGTCTCGAGAGACCAAGGGGGTAGGGGTGGTACTCAGGTAGTGATTACAACAGGCCTTTGGGGAGACCCAGTGCTGTTCTAAATTCAGGTCTGACCCAGTGCAGTCCCAGCAGTGGTAGCCACAGGGGTGCTTGTGTTACTCTACCCCCAGCTCATGGGGCTCAGATGACTCTCCTCCTGGTAATCCAGAGAATTCTCCCAGATCTTATCCAAGACCACCAAGGTGGTAGCTCTAAAAGTCTACAAGAATCGCAGAATTACCGGGCTTGTGGTGGCCCTTAATTCAGATATGGCTTAGATCACAAAACACAAGTCCTTTAAAATCCCTGGAAAGCCTTTCCAAGAAGGATGGGTACGAACAAGCCCACACTGTGGAGACTACAATAAATGCCTAATTTTTCAACGCCCAGACACTGACAAACATCCACAAACATCAAGACCATTCAGGAAAACCCTACCTCACCAAACAAACTAAATAAGATACCAGGGACCAACTCTGGAGAAATGAAAATACGTGACTTTTCAGACCAATAATTCAAAAGTAGCTGTTTTGAGGAAACTCAAAGAAATTTAAGATAATACAGAGAATTAATTCAGAATTCTATCAGAAAAATTTAACAAAGGGATTGAAATAATTTTTAAAAATTAAGCAGAAATTCTGGAGTTGAACATGCAATTTACATACTGAAGAATACATCAGTCTTGCAATAGCAGAGTTGATCTAACAGAATGAAGAACTTTTAATCTTTAAGGCAGGGTATTTAAAAATACACAGTCAAAGGTGACAAAAAAAAAGAAAAGAAAAACAATAAAGCATGCCTACCAGATCTTGAAAATAGCCTCAAAAGGGTAAATCTAAGTTACTGGCATTTAAGAGGAAGTAGAGAAAGAGAAGGAAAAAAAATTATAAAAAGGATAATAACAGAGAACTTCTCAAACCCAGGGAAGGATATTAATGTGTAAATTAAAGAAGGTGATAGAACACCAAGCAGATTTAACCCAAAGGCATTTAATAATCAAATTTCCAAAGATGAAGGATATAGAAAGGGCTCTAAAACCTGCAAGAAAGAAGAAACAATGATCATACAATGGAGCTCCAACATGTCTAGCAGCAGACTTTTCAGTGGAAACAATACAGGCCAGGAAAAAGTGGCATTACATATTTAAAGTGCTAAAGGCAGAAAAAAATTTACCAATTTACCCTAGAATAGCATATCCACATTCAGCATTGGACAGATCTTCTAGACAAAAAGAAATCAGCAAAGAAACATTGGACTGAATCTGGACTATTTTATCCCATTTGTTCATTTTTGTGGCCTTCTAAGTCATAATCACTGAAGTTAAGACAGCCTAAATAGTTAAACTCTGATCTATGGGTCTTCTGTGTCCTTGAGAGGAGGCTGGTTGGAAATAAAGACCCCATTCCAATTGCCCAACCTTCATTTCCTCTTCAGGAAATGAAGAGTTTCCATATTTACCATTTGAAAGCTACCATTTGGGGCCCAAGTTAGGAAGGATTTAATATTTGTTCCACCCCACTTAGCAGTCACCAGATACACATAGGATTTCTTCCTTTTACTACACGTTTTTTTCTTTTATTCAAATCAGCAGACTAGACCGTAGAACTGCAATTGGCACTTTAACCTCACAAAGTAATAAAAGCAAGCCAACTATCATCCAAGAGTCCTGACACCTAGAAGAGAAATCATATACTTCGAAAAGGAGAAAACAACTATGTGTTGAATTCAGTGGCTAAAAGAACCATGAACTTCCTCCTCTTTTTGTCAGCTTTCACTGAAAGTGATCAGCCTCAGTTTCACATTGTTTAAGATGGATTTTCATTGAGAACTTTTCTATGGTGTTTTGATTTAAATACGTATAAGTGCTGTCATAATAACTATAATGAAGGTGGTGCAGGAGCACAGAGGAAATAAAATTCAAGTGGAAATAAGATGCAAGAGGTTATGTTTAGTGGTGCATTTTTTAAACAGAAGGTTTTATCTTTGAGGATGGTTAGATTTCAACAGTAGAAATGGAAAAGATTAGGAGATTGATGCTGAGAAGGCAGGATGGAAAGGAATTTTATAAATGGATGTGTGTGTGTGTGTGTGTTTATTTTCTCTCAGAGAATGGAGGGTTATAATTTTAGATTAGGTCATTTGCAAATCTCTTCTTTAAAAGTTTAGTTTTTCTTGTTTGCATGTGGAGAAGGGTTGGGTGAGAGAGAATCTCCACTCCTTAGCCTGGAGCAACATTTATGTATGCACAATTCTTATTATCTGGATCATCTGTCTTTTTTATTATTCTCTTTGTCTGACACTTGTGAATACATGATGCCTATATAATACAGATATAATGTTTCATAGGCATGATATAACAGAGAAACTTCTCTCTCATATACTATATTATGCAAATTTAAAGTCTATTATAATGACTATGTTCAGTATGACATGGTATTCATATATATACATTTTGGTATATTTATTACAGCAACCTTTTTAAAATTCCATAGTGTTGCCACACATTATACGTACTTGAGAATGTGTATTTGAAGGAACAACTAGAACATTCTTGAACATTTGTTTCATTAATCTTCAAATATAAGGTTGATTATTGGTTCATGTAAGTAATGCCCTTTGACTTGAATTCACATGTTAGCCAATAACAGAATCAGACCCTAGAGGGCAAGTAAGCCTTCACAAAACTCATGCTTTGTCCAGTAGAGACCACCTGAATAGTTTTTCTCAATGAATGAGAGAGTAGCTTACAGTTTATTTAGGAGCTTACATCTTTAGTTTTAATTTTAAAATATTTAATTTACAAATATAAATTATGTATATTGAAGGTATACAACATGATGATTGATTTGATATACCTATACATTTTTTACTGATAACTGTAGTCAAATTAATATATCCATCACCACTCATAGTTACCATTTGTGGGTGTGTATGTGTGTGTCTCTGTGGTGAGAACACCTAAAATCTGTTTTCTTATCAGATTTCAAGTAAACAATACAGTATCGTTAACTATAGCCAACATGTTGTACATTAGATACTCAGAATTTATTCACCTTATAGCTGAAAGCTTATACCCTTTAAACTACATTTCCTCAATCCTTCTACCCCCACCACCCCCAGCCCCAGGCAACCATCATTTTATCCTCTGCTTTTATGAGTTCTCTTTTTTAGATTCTACGTATAAGAACAATCATGCGGTATTCATCTTTCTGTGTCTGGGTTATTTCACTTAGTATAATATCCTCCAGATTCATCAATGTTATCACAGATGGCAGGATTTCCTTTTTATGGGTAAATTATATTCCACTTTGTATGTGTGTGCATATGTGCATGCATATCACTTTTTCTTCATCTAGTCATCTGTTGATGGACACTTATGTTTTTCCTATAACTTGACTATTGAGAATAATGCTGTGAACATTGAACTGAAAGCTCTTTGAAATGCTGATTTCCTTTTCTCTGGATATATACCCAGAAGTGGGATTGGTGGATCATACAGTAGTTTTATTTTAAATTTTTTGAGAAACAACCATGATTTCCATAACGATTGAACCAATTTACATTCTCCCAACAGTGTACAGGGTTCCTTTTTCTCCATACCCTTGCCAACACTTGTTATCTCTTGTTTCTTTTTTTTTTTCAATGATAGCCATTCTAAGTAAATTAGTACAACCTCTGTGGAAAACAGTATGGAGATTTCTCAAAGAACTAAAAGTAGATCTACAATATGATTCATCAATTTTATTACTGGGTATCTACCCAAAGGAAAGACAAGTCATTATATCAAATTTTGATATATACATGCCCGTATGTACCTGCCTGTGTATGTTTATTGCAGCACAATGCACAATTGCAAAGATGTGGAACCAACCTAACTGCCACCGACTAATGAGTGGATAAAGAAAATGTGATGTATATACACCATAAAATACTACTCAGCCATAAAAATAATGAAATAATGTATTTTGCAGCCACCTGGATGGAGCTCGAGGCCATTATTCTAAATGAAATAACTCAGGAATGGAAAATGAAATACAACATATTCTTAATTATAAGTGGAAGCTAAGCTATGGGTACACAAAGGCATACAGAGTAGTGTAATGGACTTTGAGGACTCAGAATTGGGGAGAAAGAAAGGGGGTAAGGGATAAAAAACTAAATTTGGGGTGCAATGTCCACTACTCAGGTGATGGGTGCAATAAAATCTCAGATTTCAGCACTATACAATTCATCCATATAACCAGAAACCACTTGTACCCCAAAAGCTGTTGAAATAAATATATATATTTATATTGAAATAAACATATATATTTATATTGAAATAAATATATATTATATTGCAATAAGTATATATATTTATATTGCAATAAATATATATATTTATATTGCAATAAATATATATATTTATATCGCAATATAAATATATATATTTACGTTGAAATAAATATATATTTATGTTGAAATAAATATATATAATGTATATATAATGCAAATCAGTGAATACAATATGAAGTGTAAATTTTTATGAATTATTAATAGCACACCTCTGTAATACCCTAAGTTAAAAGCGTAGACTATTTCCAAGTACCCTCCTGCCTCTTAATTAAGTACGATGCTTACGTTTACTCAATAATTAACCACTAGCCTGGATATTTTTTCTTCAAATGCTTCCTTTTACCTAACATATTTAATGACCTAGGTATGCATCTCTAAATGTTAGAGTATAGTTTTGTCTAATTTTAATATTACCTTAATTGAGTCAAATAGTAATCGGTAACTTATGCTATTTCTGTATTGCTCAATGTTGTATTTTTAACTCTTCATTCCTGTAGCTGTGTAGTGGTAGTTTACTTTCCTACTGTATAATATCAGTTATATTAAAATACTTTTATTGATCCTAAAATATATTAGCCGTTCTAATAGGTGTGAGTTAATATCTCATTGCAGTTTCAATCTGTATTGCTCTGATGATTAGCGATGTTGAGCGTATTTTCATATTCCTTTTGGTCATTGGTATGTCTTCTTTGGAAAAAAATGTCTGCTCAGGTCTTTGGCTTATTTTTATTTTTATTCTTATTGCCATTGAGTTGTATGAATTCCATATATATTTTCAATATTAACCCCTTATCAAATATATGGCTTCCAATTATCTTCTTCCATTCCATAAATTGCCTTTTTATTTTATGGCTTGTTTTCTTTGCTGTGCAGAAGATTTTTAGTTTGATGCATGCCCCTGTGTTTATTTGTGCTTTTGCTGCCTGTACATTTGGTGTCATATCCAAAAAAAATTATTGACAAAATCAATGTCATGGAGCATTCCCTCTATATTTTCTTTAATTTATTTCAAGTCAATTTTTATAAATGGTTGAAGCCAAGGATCTAATTTCTTTTTTTTTGTATGTGGATATCACATTTTTCCAACATCATTTATTGAAGAGACTGTTTCCCATTGTGTATTTTTGGCACTCTTTTTGAACATTCATTTACCATATATGTGTGGGCTCTCTATTTTGTTCCATTGGCTTATGTATCTGTTTTAATGCCTGTATCATACTATTTCAATTACTATAACTTTGTAATATA
This sequence comes from Homo sapiens, assembly GCF_000001405.40. NCBI lineage: Eukaryota > Metazoa > Chordata > Mammalia > Primates > Hominidae > Homo > Homo sapiens. The sequence goes on from NC_000023.11 coordinate 142,699,960, forward strand.
GTTTGAAATCAAGAAATGTAGTTTCTATGGCTTTGTTCTTGTTTCTCGAGATTGCTTTAGCTATTTGGGATCCTTTGTGTTTTCATTCAAATTTTTGGATATTTTTCTATTTCTGTGAGAAACATTATTGGAATTTCAATAGAGATTAGATGAAATCTATAGATTGCTTTGGGTAATGTGGAAATGTTAGCAATATTAATTCTTCTAATCCATGGCCAAGAGATATCTTTCCCTTTATTTGTGTCTTCTTTCTTTCATCAGTGCCTTATAGTTTTTAGTGTATAGATATTTTACCTCCTTTGTTTAAATTTATTCCTAAACATTTTATTCTTTGTGATGCCATAATAAATGGAATTATTCTTAATTTTGTTTTTTGGATACCTTCAGGTTCATGGCCTTTAAGCATGCTAGAGGCACTTTCACTTCTGCTGTTCTACCCTATGCAAGACAAAACACGACACTTTCGGGGTATCTAGTGTTGGTCATCAGGTTAGTAAGCATGACTGTGTCCTAGTGTTGAAATTATTTTTCTTTCACACTAAAAGAAAAGTGACTTGAATGAGGCACTTACAATTTTTGGCCTTCATTTCATATGAAAGGCAATTGAGAATGTTAGAGTTAGTTTTTATATGAGTCCTATGTATGTCAATATATATTTAATTCATTGTTTAACAAGTGACTAAATAAATTAATTACATTGTGAGGTGCATCCATAATTGATCATTCAATGATACTTTTGATTAATTTTTTTCTCATATTTAAGGCCAAATTGAAGTACAGAGGAGAGAAAGTGAAGTAGTTTTAAGCCATAAAATCTATTTTTAGGCAACCTCAGTTCAAATATCAGTCCTACCACTTTCTAGTTATGTGGCTTTGCACAAGGCACACATCCTCTTGGTTCAGTGTCTTCATCTGTCCATGTTGTTAATAAGATCACTTACTTCATAGGGTTTTTCTGAGGAGTATATGAAGGTGGAGAATATAAACATAAATATATACACATATATGATGTCATATGTTATCTATGATTAATTTCGGATGCAGAAGTTGAAATTAAAGGGCACAGCTGTAGTCATAATTCTGATGTTTACTACCAGAAAAGCCTTAGGCGTGTTCCTTGCCCTCTCTGGATCTGTGTTTCTTCAGCCATAAGATAGGAGGTTTGAAGCCAATAGTCTCTAATATTGTTTCCCAGATTGGTTATATTGTTCATTAGACATAAAATTTGCCATTATTTTTCATTATTTTATAATACTTCATGATCTGGGCCATGAAAAAATGCCAAAACTTTATTTCACACTGATTTTTTATTTTTACTAAAAGGTTTAATCATAGGAAAATGTTATTTTATGGAACATCACATCTGCTCTGTGGTTTAACATTGAAAAAAAAAGCCTGTGTCTACTGAGATATGAGTTAACAAAAAACACTAAGTCTGATGGTCCTAGTCGTCACTGAACATTGCAGTAGAAACATAAAGTATGGCCTTCCATCATCGTTCTATGATGGCTTTTTTTGAAGGCTCACCTTACATTTCATGAACATATTTCAACTTACTACACTCATTTCAGGCATTTTCTAAACCATCAAAGGAAATGAGCTGCTTTTTTTTTTAACTTTTTATGAGCTTATGTTGTTTTCTGAGTTCCATCTTCAATCTATGTGTGATATCTACAGTCCTAATGAAAGTAAAGGAATTAGTTGAGCAGAAACCATGAAGTTTCTAAAAATGTCTCTTCTAGTCTTATTGTCTTGAGGGTCTTTGTTTATTGTGATTTTAAAGGTTCCTTGATTCTCACGTTATATATCAAGAAAAGCAGTAGAAGAAAGTGACATGTGAAAAGTTTACATTAATGTAAGAAATAACTTTGCAACCAAGAGAGTTATTTACCAGTTTATTGTGTTCTGTTATGAAGTAAGATTTTTGAGTAGACAAGTAATAAGACAGAACTAAAAATTATTCTTTTAGGAGGATACATTGGCATTATGCAACCGAAATCATGCTCATTTTGGCTACAAAACCAGTAATTATAGCATAAGCTTTGGCACATGACGGACCTGAATTTAAAGTCTAGCTCCACAAATAACTGGCTATATGGCTCCAGATAAGGTTAAATAACCTAACTTGGAGTATCAACAACTTGATCCATAATATGGGAATTACAACTAATATATATCTTATAAAGTCTTTGTGACAATTACCAAAGTATTTATAATTATTACATGGTATTTAGAAATCTGAAATAGTTCTTTTTGCTTTTTGATTTTGGTATTTAAAGAAGATTTACAAAAACCGATGTTACATTATACATCTTTTTTTGACAAATAAACATAAACTATACAGGCCTCTGTATCCCTCAAATCATTGGCCTTTGAGAAAAGTGGCAGAGGGCTCTAGATGATATCTTACAGTCAACAATTCACCCTTAAACGTGTATAGCTGAGGCTGGGTTATGAAAAACTGAGATAAATCATTGTAGTTTGTCTTAAAACTCATCACTGTTTCTGTGAAAATAACAACTAGTAATTGACAGTTTTGTGGAGGCTACTATACAGTTAGGCTTTTAAAAGTCTGAATTAATATCCTCAATTATTTTCATGGCAATATTTCTTACAATTTAAACCACAAACTCAACAATCATTGAATGAAATTTATAAAGCTATGAAAAAAGAAAGGCATTAAAAGCATTTACATTTGTGGAAGAAAAAGATCACAACATTTTATAAGGTGTTTAACTGTATTTACTAAAACAATGGAGAAAAATTTTATTTTTAATGGAATAACAGTCCATTGCTACATACAAATATATTTTAGAGAACACTGAAATCAAGGCTTTGTAGATTGGTGAAATCAGCTATGATTATGAGGAGGGTAATGATAAAGGTGATGTTTATAATGATAATGGTGGTGTTTGAAAGAATAACGATGTGCTTTTCTATTATCTTCATTCAGTGTGCCTTGTATCACTCATCTTTATGACAGGGTTATATGTGTTTATTGCCCTTAGACTTTTCAAATGTAAAATAACCTGACAGATGTCATAAAGATATTTCCCAAATGAGAAATCCGAGGTGACACTTCACTAATAGATGTAGTTTAGAATATTATTCAGAGTCAGACAGAACTAAGTTATAACACTGGTTCTGCAACCAATGGTTTTGGCAAGTACCCTTGGTCAACTTATTTAATCTTTCTGAACTACAGTTTCCTCATCTGCAAAATGATGATAAACCTAATCTACTTAGTGTTGTTGTAAGAAATAAATGAAACTGCACACATAAAGTAATTAGCATAATTTCTGACATATTGTGATCACTTAGCAAACTTTTTTAAAAATTTTTGTCATATTCTGTATTTTCTTTTCTATATTTGGAAGTAGTATAATGTTAAAAAAGGCTCTGGAGCCACAATGTATAAGATCATATCTCACCTTCACAATTAACAGCACATACTACTCTTGTGATATTGGGAAACTTAAACTTTTTGTGCTTTAGATTATTCCACTATAAAATGGGGAAGTATGTAAAAGATTTTGCGAGAAGAAAATATGATAATACATGTAAGGTACTTGAAATAGCTCTTGGAGCATAACAAGTTCTCATTAAATTATGATTTAATTAATCCTAACTTCATTTTCCACTTGTCAATATATAAAATGCATAATTATTATTTTTCTTTAGTTTGAGACGGAGTCTTGCTCTGTCACCAGGCTGGAGTGCAGTGATGCAATCTCGGCTCACTCCAACCTCCACTTCCCAGGTTCAAGTGATTCTCCTGCGCCTCAGCCTGCCGAGTAGCTGGGACTACAGGCACACGCCACCATGCCTACCTAATTTTTGTTTTTTTTTGTTTTTTTTTTTTTTTGTTTTAGTAGAGACAGGATTTCACCATGTTGGCCAGGATGGTCTCGATCTCCTGACCTCGTGATCCGCCCACCTCAGCCTCCCAAAGTGCTGGGATTACAGGTGTGAGCCACCATGCCCAGCCATAAAATGCATAGCTTTTTAATGTGAAACTATATCCCCATTAATAGTGAATGTGATATTGAGTGGTGTGTTGCATTGAAGGCAATAATTGTGTTATCTAAGAATTAATTATCATTCTTGAAAGCATTCTTAAAAATCACCTATACATTTCTTCAAAATAAGAATTACAATCCAACACCTATTTATCATAAAATTTTATTAAACGTGAAATAGTGGGACATTTCCTCAACTTAATAAAGAATATCTACCAAAAGATACAGCCAACATTATACTTAATGGTGAGAAACCAGAAGTTTCCCTACTAAGACTGAAAAAAAGGCAAGAATGTCTCCTTCACCACTTCTTTTTAACATTATGCTGTAAGTCCTAACTAATGAAAATAGAAAGGAATAGGAAATAAAAGGTGTACTGATTAGGAAGGAATAAGAAATAAAGCTATCTTAGCAGATGACATGCTTGTCTATGCAGAAAATGTAAAATAATTGGCAAGAAAACTCCTGAAATTAATAAGAAATAGCAATGATGTTTCAGGACACAAGGATAATGTGCAAGAGTCATTTACTTTCCTAATGTATCAGAAATGAACAAGTGGAACTTGAAATGAAAAACAATACCATTTACATTAATACCACCCAAATGAAGTACATAAGTATAAATCTTATAAAATATGTACAAGATTTACTTGAGGAAAATTACAATACCTTGTTGAAATTTAAAGAAATAACTAAACAAATGGAGAGATATCCCATGTTCATGGATAAAAAGATTCAATATTGTTAAGATGTCAGCTCTTCACAAGTGGATCTATAGATTCAATATAATCCCAATGAAAATATCAGCAGGTTGTCTTCTGTGCAGCAGCAAACTGATTCTAAAATGTATATAAGATAAAAATCCCATTGATATATACACCTACTATGCACCCACAGAAACTAAAAAATTAAAACAAAAATAAAATAAAATCCAGAATCCAATCAAGGATCATAAGAAATAAAAGAAATAAAATTTATATAAAGAGAGAAATACCTCAGGTAGTCATTGCAATATGTAAGGTTAAGAAATAAGTTGGAAGACTGATTCTGCTTGACTCTAAGCATTGAGATGCCATTACACACCTATGAGAATGGCAAAAACACAAGACACTGATCACAACAAACGCAGGTGATGATGTGGAGCAGCAGAAACTCTCATTCTTTACTAGTGGGAATGCAAAGTGGTACAACCACTTTGGAAGACATTTTGGCAATATCTTGCAATACTAAATATACTTTTATAAAATCCAGGAATTGTGCTCTTTAGTATTCTACCCAAATGAATAAAAAACATGTTTTTAATAAAAACCTGTGCACAGGTATTTGTAGCAGCATTATCCACTATTGTCGAAACTTGGAAACAACAAAGATGTCTTTCAGTAGATGAATGAATAAATAAACTGTGAAATATCCATACAATTGGACATTATCCAGAGCCAAAAAGAAAATATCAAGCTGTAAAAAGAGATGAAAGAAAGTTAAATGCACATTACTAAGTGAAAGAAGTCAATCTGAATAGGATGTGTATTACATGATTCCAATAATATGACATTCTGGAATAGGCAAAAAAATGGAGACAGTAAAAATATTAGTAGTTGCTAGGGTTTAGGGGGAAGGGAGGAATGAGTAAATAATGCATAGAGGATTTTAAAGGTGACAAAGTACTCTGTGTGATACTATAATGGTGGATACATATCATTATACATGTGACGAAACCAATAGAATGTACAAAACCAAGGGTGAACCCTAATTAGTATATTGACTTTAAGTGGTAGTGATGTGTTAATTTAGGCTCATAAATTGTAACACATTTACCTCGCTGGTGTGGGATATTAATAAAGGGGAAGTTTATTCATATATGAGGTTAGAAGTTATATGGGAAATCTCTGTACCTTCTCTCAATTTTGCTATCAACCTGAAACTGCTCAAAAAGTATAAAATAATACAAAACAACAATGTCATAGATAATTATAGCTTATGGGAAAGTGAAATGAATGACAACAATGTTACAAGGGACAGGAGGAAGGTATTAGAAATATTCTGTTAGAAGGTACTTGCACTACTCATGAAGGAGTATAGTATTATTTGAAAGTGGAATAAAAATAGTTTTAAGTATATTGTCAACTTAAGCAGCCACAAAACGAATTAAACAAGAAGAATAATTTATATGATTGAAAGGAAAGAAAATTGAATCATATAAAATACTCAATTAAAACCAGAGGTGGCAAAAAATAGGAAAAGACAAAATAGAAACAAAGACCCAAGAGCAACACACAGAAAACAGTTACAAATATAGTACATATTAATCCAATTATTTTAGTAATCACTTTGAATGTGAAGGATCTAAATACACCAAGTAAGAAACAGAGATTGTCAGAGTTCTTACAAAATAATCCAAGTTCGTGTTGTGTATGAAACCAAATTTAAATATAAAGACAAAATTACATTAACAGTAAAGGGCTAGAGAAAGTTATACCATAACAAAAGAAAAATGAAATAGCTATATCCATTTTAGACAAAGCAAAATTAAGAACAAAAGAAAAGTATCATTGGATAAAGAAGGGCATTACATAATGACAAAGGTGTAATTCTTTAAGAAGTGTTAACAAAATATAAAGACATAACTCTAAGAAGACATAATGCTCCTTAACGTGCATGCATCTCAAAATAGAGTACCAAAATAAATAGCTGAGGCAAAAACTGAAAGAACTTTAAGGAAAAATACACTATCCACTCTGATAGTTGAAGACTTTAACACTGCTCTCCCAGTAATTGTCAGATCCAGCAGGCAGAGAATCAGTAAGAATATAGTTTAACCGATCAGAGCTGAACTAGATATAATTGACATTTATGGATTTCTTTATTCAACAATAACAGAATACACATTCTTCTCAAGAATATGTGGAACATTCATCTTGATAGAACTTATTTTAGACTATAAAACACACCTTAAGAAATTTAAACGTATAGAAGGCATACAAAGCATGTTTTCAGACAAGAATTGAATTAAACTAAAAATCAGTAACAAAATGCTAAGTGGAAGATCATGAAATAGTTGGAGATTAAACAACACACTTCCAAATAACACATGGGTCCAAGATGAAATTTCAAGAGAAATTTAAAAATACTTTAAATATTTTGAAATAAAATTCAATGTATTGAACTATCCAGTTTTAAGATTAATATATACAGTGTATTACTAACAAAAGAATATATAAGTAGATCAGTAAAATAAAACAGAGCCTAGAAATAAACACATAAAATTAAATTCCACTGATTTTTGCCAAAAATGTCAATACAATATAGAAAGTATAGTCTATTCAACAAGTGGTGATCTAAAAAGTAAATAAATTTGGACATAGGTCTTACACATTTTCACAAAAATTAACTCAAAATATATTATTAAGATAAATGTAATATGAAAAAGAAACAGCTAAGATGAAGACATAAAATAATATATTGGTAACCTTGCATTGGTGATGACATTTTAGATGCAATCCATCAAAAATTATTTTAGTTTTACTATATTAAAATAGAAAAACTGGCCGGGCGTGGTGGCTCACGCCTGTAATCCCAGCACTTTGGGAGGCCGAGGCGGGTGGATCACGAGGTCAGGAGATCGAGATCGTCCGGGCTAACACGGTGAAACCCTGTCTCTACTAAAATACAAAAAATTAGCCGGGCTTGGTTGCAGGCGCCTGTAGTCCCAGCTACTGGGGAGGCTGAGGCAGGAGAATGGCCTGAACCCGGAGGCAGAGCTTGCAGTGAGCCGAGATCGCGCCACTGCACTCCAGCCTGGGCGACAGAGCGAGCCTCCGTCTCAAAAACAAAACGAAACAAAAAAAACTGTTCTGTGAGAAACACTAACAAGAAAATTTAAAGTTAAGCTACAGAGTGTGAGAAAATATTTTCAAAACACACAAAGGACTGTTATCCACAATATACAAAAATCACTTAAAACTCAACGATAAGAAACACCAAACAAGCCAATTAGAAAATAAGCAAAATAAATGAAAAGATACCTCACCATAAAATAAATACAAATAGCAAATAAACACATGTAAAGATGCTCCATATTATGTCATTAGGGAATTGCAAATTAAAACAACTTAAGATACTATGACACCCATTAAATTAACTAAAACCCGAAACACTGACAACACCAAATACTCATGAGTATGTGAAGCAACAGAACTACTCATCCGTTGCTGGTAGGAATGATAAGTGATATGAACACATTGGAAGACATTTTGGCATTTTCTTACTAAGCTAAATATTTTCTTATTGTATAATCAAGGAATCATATTCCTGGATATTTACTCAAATAAGTGGAAAACATATGGCCACAGAAAAACTTGCACATAAATTTTTATAGCTGTTTGATTTACAATTGCCAAGAATTGGATGAAACAGAATGTCCTTTAATAGGTGAATGAATAAACAAAATACAGTAGACCCCTATTATTTGTGGGGAATATGTACCAGGACCCCCCCAGTGGATACCTGAAACAATGAATAGTACTGAACCCAATATATACTGTGCTTTTTTCCTATACACACTGATATTGTTTGCACATTTGTCCCTCCAAATCTCTTGTTGTAATTTGATTCCCAATGTCGGAGGTGGGGCCTGGTGGGTGGTGATGGGATCATGGGGGTGGGTCCTTCATGAATGACTTAGCACCACCCTCTTGGTGATAAGTGAGTTCTCGCTTAGTTAGTTCACACAAGATCTGGTCCTTTAAAAGTCTAGGGCCTCCCCCACATCTTTGCTCTCTTTCTCCTGCTCTCACCATGTAACATGTCTGCTCCCACTCCATCTTTCACCATGATTATAAGCTTTCTGAGGCCCTCACCAGAAGCAGATGCCAGCACCATGCATCCTGTACACCCTACAGTACTATGAGCCAATTAAACCTCTTTTCCTTATAAATTATCCAGTCAAGTATTCCTTTATTGTAATGCAGGAACAGCCTAACACACAAACATACATATCATAAAGTTAACTTATAAATTAGGTACAGTAAGAGATTAACAACACATAGATCAATGGAGCAGAATAGAGTACTCAGAAATAAAGACACATACCTACAACCAACGGATCTTCCACAAAGTTGACCAAAATAAATAATGGAGACAGGATGCCCTATTCAATAAATGGTGTTGGTAAAACTGAATAGCTATATGCAGAAGAATGAACTTGGACCCCTATCTCTCACCATGTACAAAAATTAACTCAAGACGGATTAAAGACTTAAATATAAGACTTGAAACTATACAAATTCTAGGAGAAAATCTAGAAAAAAACACTTCTGGACATTAGTCTAGCCACGTAGTTTATGACTAAGACCTCAAAAGCAAATGCAACAAAAACAAAAACAGACAAATGAGGCTTGATTAAACTAAAAAGCTTCTGCACAGCAAAAGAAATAATAAACAGAGTAAGCAGACAATCTACAGAATGAGTAAAAATATTTGCAAACTATGCATCTGACAGAAGATAAATATCTAGAATCTATAAGAAATTCAAACAAATAAGCAAGTAATAAACAAATAATCACATTAAAAATTGGGCAAAAGACATGAACAGACTTTTCTCAAAATAAGATATACAAGTAGTCAACAAGAATATGAAATATTGCTCAACATCACAAATCATCAGAGAAACGTAAAAGTAAAACTTCAATGAGATACCACCTAATACCAATCAGAATGGCTATTACTAAACAGTCAAAAAATAATTGTTGGTGAGAATATAGAGAAAAGGGAATTCTTATACAGTTTTTGATTATATAAATTAGTACATCTATAAAAAAATAGTATGGAGATTTCTCAAATAACTAAAAATAGAGCTATCATTTGATCTAATCATTTAACTATCAAACTACTGAGTATCTACCTGATATGGTTTGGCTGCGTCCCCACCCAAATCTCATCTTGAATTATAGCTCCCATAATTCCCACGTGTCATGAAAGGGACCCAGTGGGAGGTAATTGAATCATGGGGGCAGGTCTTTCTTGTGCTGTTCTTGTGGCAGTGAATAAGTCTCATGAGATCTGATGGTTTTATAAAGGGGAGTTCCCCTACACAAGCTCTCTTGCCTGCCACCATGTAAGATGTAACTTTCCTCCTCATTCACCTTCAACTATGACTGTGAGGACTCCCCATCCATGTGAAACTGTGTGTCCAGTCCATTAAACCTCTTTTTTTTTTTTTAAATAAATTACGCAGTCTTGGGTATGTCTTTATTAGCAGTGTGAGAACAGACTAATACATTCCCCAAAGGAAAATAAGTCATTCTACCAAAAGGACACACACACACTCATATGTTTACTGCCGAACTATTCAGAATAGCAGTCATGGAATCGAACTAAGCACCCATCAATGGATGGTTGAATAAAGAAAATGTTGTATATACTCACCATGGAAAACTATTCAGCCATAAAAGAGAATGGAATCATGTCTTTTGCAGCAACATGGACGCAGCTGGAGACCATTATTCTACGTGAAATAACTCAGAGACAGAAAATCAAATACTGCATGTTTTCTAAGTGGGAGCTAAACATTGAATATACATGGACATAAAAATGGAAATAATAGACACTAGAGACTCCAAAAGTGGGGAGGTAAGATGGGGGTGAGAGTTGAAAAATTACCTATTGGGTACAATGTTAACTGTTTGGGTGATGGGTACACTAGAAGCCCAAACCTCATCGTTGTGTAATATATCCATGTAAGAAATCTGCACATGTACCCCATAAATCTATAATAAAAATAAATTAAAATAGAACAATTATAACAATATACTATAATAAGGATTATGTGAATGTGTTCTTCCTCTGTTTCTCTCTCTCTCTCAGAATATCTTATTGTAGTGTAATTGCCTTCTTTTTCTTGTGATATATCACACTGATAACCAAGATGGCTACTAAGTGACTGAAGGGTACGTAGTATATATATATAGTGTGGCTACCCTGGAAAACAAGGATGGCCACGAGATTTCATCACATTACTCATAATGACATGCAACTCAATATTTTTAGACCATGGTTGAGCATAGGCAACTAAAACCACAGAAAGCAAAGCTGTAGATAAGAGAACTGGTGTATAGTACATCTGTATAACTGAATATTGCTGAGCACTAAAAATATGAGCTATTAAGGCACACAGAGACATAATGAACCTTAAATGCATATTGCTAAATAAAAGAAACTAGTCTCAAAAGGATACATCCTTTAAGATTCCAACTGTATTACCTACTGGGCAAGGTAAAACCATAGTAATGATAAAAAGATTATTGGTTGCTAAGGGTTTATGGGGAGGGGCAAGGGATAAATAGGTGGATCACGGGACAGTTTTAAGGTGGTGAAACTATACTCAATGATCCCATGATGATGAATACAAGGCATAATACATTTGTCAAAACTCATAGGGCTGTACAACTCAAAGAGTGAACATTAATTCAAACTATGGACTTTAGTTAAAAATAAGGTATTCATATCAGTTCATCAATTGTGGTAAATGTTTTATCCTAACATAGGATGTTAATAAAAGGGGGAATTCTGTAGTAAAAAAGAGGTATATAGAAACTACTTATAATACCTCTTTCAATTTTTCTGTAAACTTAACGCTACTCTGGAAAATAAAGTCTACGAATACAAAATCACTTAAACACAAGACACCTTTCTAAAAATAAATTATTGACTGAGAGATATCAGTGGGAATTTCATGGAAATCAGACATGATTATTATTAATCACCTGTCTATGCCAGGAAATATTTTCTCTAGTGCTCTATCTAAATCCCAGTGACTTTAAAAAAAATACTGAGACCTTTCAGTTTAATAGATATTTATACGGCACTTACTGCTTTAACCCTGAAGGACTAAAAAGAGAGCTAACAAAATACACAATTAAAAGAAAAAAAAACAACAAAGCTATGTTATGATTTTGAAAGATACGTGGGGCATGAGTAAAGGAGTAGGTGGAGGACTGACAATGCTATGTAAACAAAAGTAAGAATGCCAACATTGCTCAGAATTACCATAGACATCCACACACACGCACACAGAGAGAGAGAGAGAAAGAGAGAGAGCAAGAGAGAGTGAGAGAGAGAGAGAGAGAGAGAAAGAGAGTGATCACTAAAGTGATGATCACTTTGATCACCACTAAATAATATTAACTACTAAGCCTGATCTTCAAAGTCTAAGAATATAGCCTGCATTTACCCAGGCAGAGATTCTATTTTCCTTAAAATGATTTTAAATAGTTTTTAGCTTATTGCAATAACCTAGCCTTCATATTTAAATTAGTTGCATTAGGAAGCTATTTGTCTTGCAAACAAAGCTGCATTTATAGCTTTAGGTTCATTTCACAGTACCCATCATTTGCCCATCTGTCCTTCTACTTGTACTCAAATTACAACATAACTTTTACAGGGTATTCTTGTTTTGTTCTTATTTTCTTTAATTTTTAAGTTGGAGAGAAGGGTAATAACATAACCTAACAGGGAAGTATATTAATCCTAAAGAAGAAAAATTAAGGTATTTAGATATCAAAAAAATAAATAGAAATTCAAGAGAATCACAGCTATTCAAAAAATAGTCTTCAAATAAGAAAAACTAAAGCAAGAATTTAAAAAGCAATAGAAAAATAAGAATTTAAAAAGCAACGTCATATGTGGTATCATGTAAAACACATATACACTTTTGGTAAATATTTTTTGTAAATATTTTGTAAATACTAGTCAAATATGACAAATTTTCAATAATTCCAAAAAGTGTGTGTGCATATGTGCTTATTTTTTTCTTTAACCCATCAAAGATTTGGCAAACATTAGAACTTTTAGGACAACATCAGAGTAAACCTGGAGCCCAGTGTGGAAGCAGAACCCCAGAGTACTACAGCCACATTCTTTATAGCAGATTTATGAAAATGTAATTCATATGCCATGCAAGTTACCCATTTAAAGTATACAGTTCAATGGTTTTTAATATGTCCACTGTTTTTGCACTACATGCAAGTATGGAAAAGGTTTTCTTGTTGATAAATGGAGCTGACCATCACATATATTTGGATACCGAGTTAGGATGATGATTCAGGAAATCTCAATGTATTCACTTGCTAAGATGTTCCTAGACTAACATTGTTTTCAGACATCTGACAAACAGAAACACAAAACATTTCTGGGGCAGTTGGCTTCACCATTAACCAGCTACGGTGGCCTTGGGTTCATGAAAAACCTCAGTGATGGGCAGGACTCAGCGATTATGGGCTTCAGACATGCCTTTGTGCTTCAGCAGCTTCAGTGGCTATGGGACTCAAGCCTGGTACCACACTAGCTTCAGTGATTCCAAACTGCAGTGACCACAGAGGTCCCTTGAAAGATTGTTGAAGGATGTTCTCAAAGCCAGTCTGTGAAGACTGAAAGAAGTGCATACTTCTTCAAATGTTCAGATATCTACATATGGCTACAAGAATGAAGAACAATGAGGGAGTTGATCTCATAGAAGTAAAGAGAAGAATAGTGGTTACCAGAGGCTGGGGTGGTTGCCGGAAGGGGAGGCTGGAGAAGATATTGGTCAAATAAAACATATTTATACCTAGATAGCAGGAATAAGTTCAGGAGATCTACAGTACAGCATATAGTAAATGATGATATATTCTATCCTTGAAAAATGCTGAGAGTGAATGTTAAATATTTCCACCACAAAATTATAATTTTGTGAGGTAGTGCATTTGTTAATTAGCTATATTTAACCATTTCACAATGTGTGTGTACATATATGTATTTCAAAACATCATGTTGTACACAATAAGTACATATAATTCATGTCAATTTAAAAGAAATAAATTTGAGAAAAAAAAATAAATTTGAGAAAAAAATGATCACAACTAATTAAAATGTATAAAATATCACCCATTAAATAAGAATAATTGTAAGGAACCAAATAAAAAATAAAAGCAAATATATTAATCTGATGGACTTCATAGAAAATACAGTGGAGATGGTGAATTTAAACATAGATCAACACAAACAAATTGTACAATCTGAATAACAAAAAATAGATTTTAAAAATAAAGTGTGTCTCAGGGATCTACTAGACAATATTAGAGAATCTATAATAAGTATAATTGCAGTCTCAGATAAAATAGAATAAATGTAGGAAAATGTTTGAAGAATGAAAAAGATTTCTTCATGTAAGACACAAATTTACAGATTCAAGATGCTAAAATAAACCCAAAGCTACAAAACACAAAAATGTTCATACCTGGCTGGGTGTGGTGGCTCACGCCTGTAATCCCAGCACTTTGGGAGGCCAAGGCGGGTGGATCACAATGTCAGGAGTTTGAGACCAGCCCGGCCAACATAGTGAAACCCGATCTCTACTAAAAATACAAAAAATTGGCTGGGCATGGTCGTGGGCACTTGTAATCCCAGCTACTTGAGAGGCTGAGGCAGGAGAATCGCTTGAAGCCGGGAGTCAGAGGTTGCAGTGAGCTGGGATCACACCACTGCACTCCAGCCTGGGTGACAGTGCGAGACTCTGTCTCGAAAAAAAAAAAAAAAAGTTCATACCTAAACATATGAAAAGCCAAAGACATTAAAAATAAGAAGATAAAAATAATATATTTAATACAAGGAACAATGTTTAAAAAAATGGCTGACATCAGAAACTGTGGAGGCTAGAGAAATGGGAATCATTTTTTTTAAGTATTAGAAAAAAAGTAAAACTGTTACCCTAGAATTCTGTGTCCAGTTAAAATATCCTTCAACGATAATGGTGAAATATAGGGATGATTGCATTAACAAGAACAATAAAAAAACCTCCAGCAAAAATGGCCTAGTAAGCAAACAAACAACAGAGAGGATCTGTTGTCAGTAGACCTGCTACAAAAGAAATGCTAAAGGCAGTTCTTCGGGCTAGAGGATATGATACCAGATAGAAGTTTATGTTTTCAAAAATAATGGGGAGCATCAGTAGTGATAAATATCTAGGTAATATATAACAGATAATTTTATTTAAATATTTTACCTCTTATTATTCTCTTTATAATGCATGTGACTTTTAAAGACAAAATCTGTAATGCTACCATGTGGGCTTATAATATAGGTAGATATAATTAACACAATAAGCGTAGCATAAGGGGCTTATAGGATGATAATAGGACCTTTATATCTGTGAGGTTTTAGCATTTTATGTGAAGTTATATAACATTAAGTTTAATTTTGAAAAATGTATAATGCACATTATAATATCTGGAGCTACTACTAAAATATTGCATAGTAGAGGTAAAATGCCAATCTAAAAATTAAATAAATTAATTCAAACTGTTTTTAAAAGTTCAGGATTGTTGCGGAACACAAGATCAGCATACAAAAATGAGTTGCTTATCTAGACACTAGCTATGAACAATTCTCAAATGAAATTAGGAAAACAAGTCCAATCACAATAACATAAGAAAAATATATAAAAATATAATGTACACTATTGGGGTGATGGATGCAATAAAAGCCCATACTTCACCACTATACAACTCATCTACGTAGCCAAAAATCACTTGTACCCCTAAAGCTATTGAAATTTTAAAAAAATTACAAAGCACCTGCAACTAATCAGAGAGAGAGAGAGAGAGAGAGGGAGAAATAAATGACCTAAGTAAAGATCCTTGCATTGAAAACAAGAAAACATTCTTGAAATAATTAAGGGCCCAAATATATGGAAAGATACTCCGTGTGTGTAATTCAAAGACTCAATATTGTTGAATGGCGATGCTCCCAAAAGGTATCTGCGGATTCAATACAATCACTACTGAAATTCCAACTGCCCTAATTGTACATTTTAAAATAACTAAAAGAGTATAATTGGATTATTACTATCACAAACGATAAATGCTTGAGGGGATGAATACCCCATTTTCTATGATGTGATTGGTACACATTGCATGCCTGTATCAAAATATCTCATTCACCTCATATGTATATACATCTACTATGTACCCATAAAAGTTTTTTAAAAATAAAGAATTGTATACAACACATGCATATATCCAGCAATGAGTATAATTAATGCTTCATAGATCTGGCATGCAAATTGTCATTCTAAATTTGAGTCAAGTATAAAAAATTTCAGAAGAAAAATAGTTCCCCCAAGAAACCTATCCAAATCTGTGAAATATTTCTGTAGTCCACCAAATCACCCTTTAGCTTACAGACGTGTCTACAAATATTATGAAACTCACTGATGAGACTTTATAATCAATTGTTACATGTTAGAAAATATGATGTCAGGATACCACGACGAAAAATAATACTATATACAATGATTAGAACTATTTATCTGATTTTTTTAACATTAACATGTAAAAATGTCCTGATGGATCTCAAATAGTGATGTACTAAATGCTATAATGCCTGGGGTTTGCTTCAAAGCAACATGGCAATATAGTGAGAAAATGACTGGCCATCAGTTAGGCATTATGCAGGCTGAGTGATGAGTACATGGGAGTTCATTATAGTAATCTATCTACTTTCATGTATTTAAGATTTTTTAATAATAAAAAAATTTTTTAAATTAAAAATAAAAATTTGACCTATTTTCAGAAATAAATAAACTGAATTAAATTAAAATGCATGTGAAAATTCAAAGGATCTCATGTAGCCAAAAGAAGCTTGAAGAACAAAGTTGAAAAACTCATACTTTTCTATTTCAAAATTTACAATCCAGCTATAGTAAATCAAAACATTGTGGTATTGGCATAAGTTTGGATATTTGGGTCACTTAAGTAGAATTTTGAATCCAAACATAAACCCTCACTTTTTACACCTGATTTTTACAAAGATTCTTAGACACTTCAATAGGGAAGGAAATGTTTTTTCAACACACGACACAGAAATAAATGGATATCTGCATCCAAAATAATTATTTTGGACTTCTACTTTATACCATATTTAAAAATTATCTCAAAGTGGATCAAAGACACAAATGTAAGAGCTAAAACTATGAAACTTTTAGAATTCAGCATAAGCATAAATCATTTTGACCATGAATTAGGCAGTGGTTTCTTAGATGTGGCATCAACCACATAAGAAATAAACTGATACATTTGATTTCATCAAAATTAAAAACTTACGTGCTTTAAAAGAAATTAGAAAAGTGAAAAGACAACCCATAGAAGGGTGGAAAATGTATTCAATTTTTATCTGCTAAGAGTTTATTATCTAGAATTTAAAATAATTCTCACAAATCAGCAGTAAAAAGAAAAAAACAATTTTTTAAATGAGAATAGGTATTTCACTCAATAAGACATACAAATAGCTAATAAGCACATTAAAAGATACTCAATATCATTATAATTAGGGAAATGCAAATCACAATGGCAATAAGATACCACCTCACTCCCGTTAGGCTGGCTATGTTTAAAAATAAATAACAATAATGAAAAAGCACAAGTGTTGGTGAGGATGTAGAGAAATGAGAACTCTCATACATGGGAAAGAAAATGGTACAGGTTCTGTGGAAAGTAGTTTGGCAATTTCTCAAAATGTTTAGCTAGATTTATCATAAGAATCATAAATTACACTCCTAAGCATATACCCCAGAGAAATGAGAACAAGTGTTCACATAAAAACTTGTACAGAAATGCTCATAATAGCACTATACATAATCTACAAAAACTGTATACAAGTCATGAATGGATAAACAAATAGTCATCTATCTATACAATGGAAATTATTCAGGCATAAAAAAGAATAAAGTACTAAAATATGCTACCACACTAGCGAACCTTGAAAGTAATATGCAAAGTAACAGAAGCTAGATTTAATAGGCCATTTATTTTGTCTTTTCACTTATTTAAAATGGCCAGAATAGGCAAGTCCATAAAGGTAAAGGGTCAATTAATTAGTGGTAGCCATGAAGAAAAAACAGCGTACCCTATTCCTTTAAAAGCCAGGGTAAATTTCTGTCTACCCAGCCAAGGCATATTCTTCTTATGTGGAACTTCAACCAATATCTGCCTCTCAGACAGTTTGCAAGAAATAACAAAATCTATCCTTACTTTACATTCCCAAACAGACTCTTTGGCAGCAGTGACTCTCCAAAACCGCCGAGGCCTAGACCTCCTCACTGCTGAGAAAGGAGGACTCTGCACCTTTTTAGGGCAAGAGTATTGTTTTTACACTAACTAGTCAGGGATAGTACGAGATGCCACCCAGTGTTTACAGGAAAAGGCTTCTGAAATAAGACAACGCCTTTCAAACTCTTATACCAACCTCTGGAGTTGGGCAACATGGCTTCTCCCCTTTCTGTGTCCTGTGGCAGCCATCTTGCTGTTACTCTCCTTTGGGCCCTGTATTTTTAACCTGCTTGTCAAAGTAAAGACAGGTGTAAGAAATTATAAAAGTATTAATTTTGGGAACTGATATATGTCCATGAAATCTTCAAGATTTATGTTCCTCTGCCATGGCTCCATCTGGTCCCTCCATTCGGGGTCCCTGACCTCCTGCAACAATGGAAATTTAAAAATTCTTCAAACTGAAGGAAAATAATGACACAACCTACCAAAACATCTGGAATACAGGTAAGGTGGTGCTAAGATGAAAGTTCATAGCCCTAAACACCTACATCAAAAAGACTAAAAGAGCACAAAATGACATTCTAAGGTCACATCTCAAGGAACTAGAGAAACAAGAACAAACCAAATCTAAACCCAGCAGAAGAAAGGAAATAACCAAGATCAGAGCAGAAGTAAATGAAATTGAAAAAAAAAAGATAAATGAACCAGCTTTTTGCTGGTTCTTTGAAAAGATGAAGAATATTGATAGACCATTAGCAATATTAACCAAGAAGAGAGAAAATCCAAATAACCTCACTAAGAAACAAAACAGTAGATATTACAACTGACACCACCGAAATACAAAAGATCATTCAAGGCTGCTATGAACACCTTCACACATATAAACTAGAAAACCTAGAAGAGATGGATAAATTTCTGGAAAAATATAACCCTCCTAGCTTAAATCAGAAAGAATTAGATACCCTGAACAGACCAGTAACAATCAGTGAGATTGAAATGGTAATTTAAAAATTACCAACAAACAAAAAGTTCAGGACCAGATGGATTCACAGCAGAATTCTGCAAAACATTCAAAGAAGAATTGGTACCAATCCTTTTGACACTATATCATAAGATAGAGAATGAAGGAACCCAACCTAATTAATTATATGAAGCCAGCATCACCCTAATACCAAAATCAAAAGAACATAATGAAAGAAGAAAACTACTGACCAATATCCTTGATGAAAATAGATGCTAAACTAATAGGCAAAATAACTAGCTAGCATCATAATGACAAGATCAAATTCACACATACCAATATTAAACTTAAATGTAAATGGGCTAAATGTCCCAATTAAAGACTCAGACTGGCAAATTGGATAAAGAGTCAAGACCCATTGGTGTGCTGTATTGAGGAGACCCATCTCACGTGAAAAGACACACATAGGCTCAAAATAAAGGGATGGAGGAATATTTACCAAGCAAATGAAAGCAAAAAAAAAAAAAAAAAAAAAAAAAAACAAAAAAAAAAAAAACAAAGCAGGAGAGTTGTAATCCTAGTCTCTGATAAAACAGACTTTAAAACAGCAAACATCAAAAAAGACAAAGAAGGGCATTACATCATGGTAAAAACATCGACGCAACAAGAAGAGCTAACTATCCTAAATAGATATGCACCCAATACAGGAGCACCCATATTCATAAAGCAAGTTCTTAGAGACCTTCAAAGAGACTTAGACTCCAACAATAATAGTGGGAGACATTAACACCCCACTGTCAATATTAGACATATGAATGAGACAGAAAAATAACAAGAATGTTCAGGACTTGAACTCAGCTCTGGACCCAGCAGACCTAATAGATATCTACAGAACTCTCCATCCCAAATCAACAGAATATACATTCTTCTCAGCACCACATCACACTTATTCTAAAATTGTCCACATAATTGGAAGTAAAACATGCCTCGGCAAATGCAAAAGAATGAAAATCATAACAAACAGACCTCATAACTCTCAGACCACAGTGCAAACAAATTAGAACTCAGGATTAAGAAACTCACTCAAAACCACACAACTACATGGAAACTGGACAACCTGCTCCTGAATGACTACTGGGTAAATAACAAAATTAAGGCAGAAATAAATAAGTTCTTAGAAACCAATGAGAAAAAAGACACAATGTACCATAATCTCTGGGACACAGCTAAATCAGTGTTTAGAGGGAAATTTATAGCACTAAGTGCCCACAGGAGAAAGCAGGAAAGATCTAAAATCAACACCGTATCATAACAATTAAAAGAACTAGAGAAGCAAGAGCAAATAAATTCAAAAGCTAGCAGAAGACAAGAAATAACTAAGATCAGAGCAGAACCGAATGAGATAGAGATATGAAAAACCCTTCAAAAAATCAATGAATCCAGGAGCTGGTTTTCTGAAAAGATTAACAAAATAGATAGACCACTAGCTAGACTAAGAAAGAAGAAAAGACAAAAGAATCAAATAGACACACTAAAAAATGATAAATGGGAGATCACACCTGATCCCACAGAAATAGAAACTACCATCAGAGAATATTATAAATACCTCTAGGTAAATAAACAAGAAAATCTAGAAAAAATTGATAAATTCCTGGAAACATACACCCTCCCAATACTAAACCAAGAAGATGTCGAATCCTTGAATAGACCAATAACAAGTTCTGAAATTGAGGCAGTAATTAATAGCCTACGAACCAAAAAAAGCCTAGGACCAGCCAGATTCACAGCTGATTTCTACCACACAGGTACAAAGAGGAGCTGGTACCATTCCTTCTGACACTATTCCAAACAATAGATAAAGAGAGACTCACTCCTCCCTAACTCATTTTATGAGGCCAGCAGCATCCTGATACCAAAACCTGGCAGAGACACAACATTGTCTTGATGGAACGTATCTCAAAATAATAAGAGCTATTTATGGCAAACCCACAGCCAATATCATACTGAATGAGCAAAAGCTGGAAGCATTCCCTTTGAAAACTGGCACAAGATAAGGATGCCCTCTGTCTCCACTCCTATTCAACATAGTGTTGGAAGTTCTGGCCAGGGCAATCAGGCAAGAGAAAGAAATAAATGGTATTCAAATAGGAAGAAAGGAATTCAAATTGTCTGTGTTTGCAGATGACATGACTGTATATTTTGAAAACCCCCTCATCTCAGCCCCAAATCTCTTTAAGCTGATAAGCAACTTCAGCAAAGTCTCAGGATACAAAATCAATGTGCAAAAATCACAAGCATTCCTATACACCAATTATAGACCATCAGAGAGCCAAATCGTGAGTCAACTCCCATTCACAATTGCTACAAGAGGATAAAATATCTAGGAATACAACTTACAAGGGATGTGAAGGACCTCTTCAAGGAGAACTACAAACCACTGTTCAAGGAAATAAGAGAGGACACAAACAACTGGAAAAACATTCCATGCTCACAAATAGGAAGAATCAATACCATGAAAATGGCCATACTGCCCAAAGTAATTTATAGTTTCAGTGCTATCCCCATCAAGCTACCATTGACTTTCTTCACATAATTAGAAAAAACTACTTTAAATTTCATATGGAACCACAAAAGAGCCTGTATAGCCAAGACAATCTTAAGCAAAAAGAACAAAGCTGGAGGCATCGTGCTACCTGACTTCAAAATATACTACAAAACGACAGTAAGAGAAACAGCATGGTACTGGTACCAAAACAGATGTATAGACCAATGGGACAGAATCGAGTTCTCAGAAATAATGCCACCCATCTATAACCATGTGATCATTGACAAACCTGACCAAAACAAGCAATGGGTAAATGATTCGCTATTTAATAAGTGGTATTGGGAAAACTGGCTAGCCATTTGCAGAAAACTGAAACTGGACCCCTTTCTTACACCTTATACAAAAATTGACTCAAGATGAATTAAAGACTTAAATGTAAGGCCTAAAACCATAAAAACCCAAGATGAAGACCTAGGCAATACATTCAGGACATAGACATGGGCAAAGACTTAATGACTAAAACCCCAAAAGCAATGGCAACAAAAGCCAAAATTGACAAATGGGATCTAATTAAACTAAAGAGCTTCTGCACAGCAAAAGAAACTATCATCAGAGTGAACAGGCAACCTAAAAAATGGAGGACAATTTTTGCAATCTACCCATCTGACAAAGAGCTAATATCCAGAATCTACAAGGAACTTAAGCCAATTTACAAAACAAAAACAAACAAACGAAAACCAAACAACAACAACAACAAAAAACCCATGTAAAAGCAGGCAAAGGATATGAACAGACCCTTTTGAATAGAAGACATTTATGCAGCCAATAAACATATGAAAAAAGCTCATCACTGGACATTGGAGAAATGCAAATCAAAACCACTATGAGATACCATCTCATGCCAGTGAGAATGGGGATCATTAAAAAGTCAGAAAACAATGAATGCTGGATGGGATATAGGGAAATAGGAACACTTTTACACTGGTGTTGGGAGTGTAAATTAGTTCAACCATTGTGGAAGACAGTGTGGCAATTCCTCAAGGATCTACAACCAGAAATACTATTTGACCCAGCAATCCCATTATTGGGTATATACCTAAAGGATTTTAAAACTTTCTACTATAAAGACACATGCACACATATGTTTAGTGCAGCATTATTCACAATAGCAAAGACTTGGAACCGACCCAAATGCCCATCAATGATAGACTGGATTAAAGAAATGTGGCACATATATACCATGGAACACTATGCAGCTATAAAAAAGAATGAGTTCATGTCCTTTGCAGGGACATGGATGAAGCTGGAAACCATCATTCTCAGCAAACTAACACAGGAACAGAAAACCAAACACCCCATGTTCTCACTCATAAGTAGGAGTTGAATAATGAGAACACATGGACACAAGGAGGGGAATATCACACACTATGGACTGTCATGGGGTGGGGGGCTAGGGGAGGAATAGCATTAGGAGAAATACCTAATGTAGTTGACGGGTTGATGGGTGCAGCAAACCACCATGGTACGTGTATACCTATGTAACAAACCTGCACGTTCTGCACATGTATCCCAGAATTTAAAGTAGAAACAAACAAACAAAAAACCAGAAAATAGATGTTAAAATCCTTAACAAAATACTAGCTTAACAAATCCAACAACATATCAAAAAGGTAATCCACCATGATCAAGTGGGTTTTATACCAGGGATGCAGGGATGATTTACCATATGCAAGTCAATAAATGTGATACACCACATAAAGAGAATTAAAAACAAAAATCAGATGATCATCTCAATAGATGTATAAAAAGCATTCTACAAAATCCAGCATCCCTTTTTGAATAAAGCTCACAGCAAAATCAGCATACAAGGGACATAACTCAGTGTTAAAAAGCCATCTATGAGAAACCCACAGCCAATATAATACTGAATGAGGAAAAGTTGAAAGCATTCCCTCTCAAATCTGTAAGAAGACAAAGATGTCCACTCTCACCATTCCTCTTCATCTTAGTACTGGAAGTCCTAGCCAGAGCAATCAGACAAGAGAAAGAAATAAAAGGTATCCAAATGTGTAAAGAGGAAGTCAAACTATCACTGTTAGCTGACAATATGATTGCTTACCTTGAAAACCCTAAAGACTCCTCCAGAAAGCTCCTAGAACTGATAAAAGAATTCATCAAAGTTTCTGGATGCGAGATTAATGTACACAAATCAGTAGCTCTTCTATACACCAACAGTGACCAAGTGGAGAATCAAATCGAGAATGCAACTTCCATTGCTGCAAAAAAAAAAAAAAAAAGTAAAATACTTATGAATATACCTAACCAAGGATGTGAAAGACCTGTACAAGGAAAACTACAAAATACTGCTGTAAGAAATCATAGATGGCTGGGTGCAGTGGCTCACGCCTGTAATCCCAGCACTTTGGGAGGCCAAGGTGGGCGAATCACGAGGTCGGGAGATCGAGACCATCCTGGCTAACATGGTGAAACTCTGTCTCTACTAAAAATACAAAAAATTAGCCAGGTGTGGTGGCGGGCGCCTGTAGTCCCAGCTACTCGGGAGGCTGAGGCAGGAGAATGGTGTGAACCCAGGAGGCGGAGCTTGCAGTGAGCCAAGATTGCGCCATTGCACTCCAGCCTGGGTGACAGAGTGAGACTCCACCTCAAAAAAAAAAAAAAAAGAAATCATAGATGACACAAACAAATGGAAACACAGCCCATGCTCATGGATGGGTAGAATCAATATCGTGAAAATGACCACACTGCCAAAAGCAATCTACAAATTCAATGCAATCCCCATCAAAGTACCACCATCATTCTTCACAGAATTAGAAAAAAAATTCTAAAATTCATACGGAAACAAGAAAGCCCATATAACCAAAGCAAGACTAAGCAAAAAGAACAAATCTGGAGGCATCACACTACCTTATTTCAAACTATACTATAAGGCCATAGTCACCAACACAGCATGGTGCTGGTATAAAAATAGGCACATAGACCAATGGAACAGAATAGAGAACCCAGAAATAAACCCAAACAGAGAGAGCCAAGTTATCTTCGAGAAAGCAAACAAAAACATAAACTGGGGAAAGGACACCCTTTTCAACAAATGGTGCTGGGATAATTGGCTAGCCACATGTAGGAGAATGAAGCTGGATCCTCATCTCTCACCTTATACAAAAATCAACTCAAGATGGATTAAGGACTTAAATCTAAGACCTGAAACTATAAAAATTCTAGAAGATAACATTGGAAAAACTCTTCTAGACATTGGCTTAGGCAAGGATTTCATGACCAGAACCCAAAAGCAAATGCAATAAAAACAAAGGTAAATAGCCAGGACCTAAACTAAAGAGCTTTTGCACAGCAAAAGGAACAGATAGCAGAGTAAACAGACAACCCAGAGAGTGGGAAAAAATCCTCACAATCTATAAATCTGATGGACTAATATCCAGAATCTACAACAAACTCGAATCAGTAAGAAAAAAAACAAACAATCCCATCAAAAAGTTGGCTAAGGACATGAGTAGACAATTCTCAAATGAAGATATTCAAATGGCCACTGAACATATGAAAAAATGCTCAAAATCACTAATGATCAGGGAAATGGAAATTTATTCCTGCAAGAATGGCCATAATCAAAAAATTGAAAAAAAGTAGATGTTGGCATAGATGCGGTGATCAGGGAACACTTCTACACTGCTGGTGGGAATGTACACTAGTACAGCTACTATGGAAAACAGCGTGGAGATTTCTTAAAGAACTAAAAGTAGAACTACAATTTGATCCAGCAATCCCACTACTGGGAATCTATCCAGAGGAAAAGAATTCATTATACAAAAAAGATACTTGCACATGCATGTTTATAGCAGCACAATTCACAATTGTGAAATCATGAAACCAACCCAAATGCCCATCAATGAATGAATGAATAAAGAAACTGTGGTATGTATGTATATAGATAGATAGATAGATAGATAGATAGATAGATAGATAGATGATGGAATACTACTCAGCCATAAAAAGAATGAATTAACAGCATTTGCAGGAACCTGGATGAGATCGGTGACTATTATTCTAAGTGAAGTAACTCAAGAATGGAAAACCAAATATTATATGTTCTCACTGATATGTGGGAGCTAAGGTATAAGGACACAAAGGCATAAGAATGATACAATTGACTTTGGGGACTTGGGGGGAAGAGTGGGAGGAGGGCGAGGGATAAAAGACTACAAATAAAGTGCAGTGTATACTGCTTGGGTGATGAGTGCACCAAAATCTCACAAATCGCCACTAAAGAACTTATGTAACCAAATACCACCTGTACCCTAATAACTTATGGAAAAATAATTAAAATGAAAATATTCAGTAAGTTCTAAATTTGCTTGATTAATAGGCTTTTTGTTCTCTTGAGGATAATGAAATATTTCTTTCTTGATTTTGGTTTAAAACAACTTGAAATTTGAGGATCTTGCTGCAAAAGAGATTTAAAAAAAGAAATGCAGCTGTTTTCATTAAAAAATTAACTATCATTATGACCGCTCTCTTCCTGGAGAGAATATTTTTTAAATTCCTTTTTCTCTAACAGATTCATTTGCTGTCGAATAGCTTCCAGTTCCAGTAAGTCTTATATATTTTTAAACTTAAAAGGTAGTTGAGCATTTGAATATATTTTCTATTCCGATTATTTATAGAGGAGCACAGTAGGTGTTACTTAAAACTAATCTTTCTAGGCCCAATACTTTTAAGTGTCAAATGCTGGGTCAAATTCAGAATACAAAAGCAGATTATGTAATAATCTCTAGTCTCAGTTTGCTCATGGACTAGGAAAGTAGTTTTTGATCTTGGCTGCATATTAGTTATATGGCGTACTTAAACAAAATTGCAATGTCAATAACACACTCCAGAACAATTAAATTAGACTATTTGAGGAAGAGGGACCCAGGCATCAGTATTTTTAAAGCATCACAGCTGCCTCCAATTTACTGCCAAGGTTAAGTACCACTGAGTAGCTCAGTTGTTCTCATATATTAAAGGTATGTCTGTATCACCTGTAGGTCTTGTTCAGCCTTATATTACTGGATAATACTCTGGAGTTTCTGATTCAGTAGATTTTGGTGGGCCTCAGAAATTTGTATTTTTATCAGTTTCCTAAGTGATCGATCGGTAATTTTCAATCATAAATTACCATTAGAATTACCTCAGATGCAAAAGAAAAGAAAATAAAAAAGCAAGAAAAACAACAACAATGACAAAATACACCAATGCCTGTATCCTACTCACAGAGATTCTGCTTTGATTGGACTGAGGCAGAATCCAAACATCAGTATTTTTTCAAAGAAGTTCCCCAGGTGATTCTAATATGCTCCAGGTATGACAACAAGCACTTTATCAGAAACAAAAGTTCTCAAGCTCTGACTGCAAATTTGTATCACCTCAGAAAATATTCAAATTTCTGAAGTCTAGGCCACACCTCAGACAAATTAAATTATAATATTTTGTGGTGGGACTTAGGTATCATTTTTTAAAATGGCTCCCCATGTGATTCCAATATGCAGCTAAGGTTAAGAACATACTAGATAGTGGGGAGCGACTAGTACATATATAGAAAAAGATGTTATGAAGTATAATAAGGGAAATGGTATCATGCACAAACATAGCACTGAACTCAATGTGGTATCATTCAAATAATCTCCCCAAAAGAAGAAACACTTCTTATTAATCTTGATGAAATTAGTGGGATGGATGGGGACATTTGGTTTAAGTGTCATTTCACAGAAGTACATTTGGCTCAATAACTTCAGGTGTCTCTTTAGGTATCCCAAATTAAAATTTTATCTAAGCACTTAATTTTGTACTTTTAATGTTATTAGAATATTGGGTAAAAGGAAGTAATTAGACGTTTCATGGACGACTGGACGCTGGCTCTCAACTGACACTAATTCCAGGAGACACAAAACATCCTGTGACTCTCTCCTCAGTTCTAGAATGCATAGTTGGAATAGATACACTCAGCAGCTGTCAGAATCTCCATATTGCTTTCATGATCTGTGGAGTGAGGGCTACTATGTTGGAAAAGGCTTTTTCTCTTTGATATAAGAGAAAATCTCCACTAAATTTATAAAATATCTTGAAGGTAATGAGTTGTAAAATGTTTTTATATGTGATTCAGCTAAAATTATATTAAGAGAAAAAAGTATTGTCTTTATTATTAAAGAGGAAAGACCAGATTAAGGAGACCACAAAATAGCAGAAAGTCTAAATATTTCTTATCTTTTTAAATCTTCTGTGTTGGCATGTTTAAAAATCACATTCCAAAACCCAAATCCCTCTTTAACATTGTTATATTTCTCTTAATTTTCAATTTTTATATACAGTTGTAAATTTATTTTTGTAGGGTTTGCGGTAGACATTCTAGCTCATTTTATTTTATCTAAATAGCCTTTTGAACCCATATGACTTACTAAATAGAACGGACATACCATTTTAATTACATGTTAAGTTCCCAACTGGCACTGGGATATTTCTGTGCTTTATAATCTCTAATGCCTGAAGTCCTAGCCTATTAGTGTGAAAGGACTATCATGTTTTGTTAATTGGCTGTAGGGTATTTTTAATTTACAAAAACACAAGTCCTCAGTTAGTATACTTTCTCATATTTTTTTTAGCTAGCCTTAGGCATTTCTAAATGAATTTTATGGTCATTATATTCAAGTACTTAAAAAAGTGATTCTGATTGAAGCGATATTAAAATTATGAATTGAGTTTTTGAATCATTATCAGTTTGATTACATTAATTTTATAATTATATGTATTTTCAATTATTTACATATTTATATAGTTGTTTTATAAATTTATTAATATGGGCCTCGCAATTTTGCAAATGTGTTGCTAAGTATATTAAAATTGTCACTGTGATAGTTGAGAATACGTATTTTCCACCACAATTTTGAGAAATAAATTTTTGAGGAGATCCTTGGTATTTTTGAAGAGCTATGTGATTGCTCTTCTCTGTGAACCAGACCTTAAAGTAGGAAATACAACCATTCTGTTTGGAAACCTAAATGCAACGGGAGCAATTGGACTTAGGAGTGGCAGAGGTCAAGTGGTGGCACTCAACCACCAAAGGCAAGGTGGGCATGGTTAATGTAATGAACAGCACAGACAAATCAACAGTCAGGATAGTCTTAACTGTGTAGATGCCGAGACCAGCTCGGTCGGGGAGACCCTAACCCAGCGGCGCTAGAGGAATTAAAGACACACACACAGAAATATAGAGGTGTGAAATGCGAAATCAGGGGTCTCACAGCCTTCAGAGCTGACAGCCCTGAACAGAGATTTACCCACATATTTATTAACAGCAAACCAGTCATTAGCATTGTTTCTGTAGATGTTAAATTAGCTAAAAGTATCCCTTATGGGAAACGAAGGGATGGGCCGAATTAAAGAAATAGGTTGGGCTAGTTAACTGCAGCAGGAACATGCCCTTAAGGCATACATCTCTCATGCTATTGTTTGTGGCTGAAGAATGCCTTTAAGCGGTTTTCTGCCCTGGGCGGGCCAGATGTTCCTTGCCCTCGTTCCCATAAACCCACAACCTTCCAGCGCAGGCGTTAGGGCCATTATGAACATGTTATAGTGCTGCAGAGATTTTGTTTATGGCCAGTCTTGGGGCCAGTTTATGGCCAGATTTTGGGGGGCTTGCTCCCAACATGTAGACCTATTGCATTTGCTAGTTGATCATGATGTTCCTAGAAATGAAATAGATAGGAAGCCTACTGAAGTCTTACTTGATCTGTGTAAGTGGAAAAGTTTTAGACTACATGAACAAAAATCTAACCTGAATCATAAAAAGACTCACAGTACCTCAATCAATTCCTGGACATGAGCCAGTTTACAGACCCATACAGACAGACCCATAACTCCTTGAATGAAGGGGAAGCTAGACATCCTTGAGGAAGGACCTCAGTACACTTCCAAAAATTTATACTCTTAATCTTTCTTCCAACTTTTCCCAATGGGACCTACAGCCTTTTTCCAGGGTCACTATACATTGGGAAAAAGAAAATAATCAGAACTTTCAGGGAATAGTGAACACTGGCTCTGAACTAACACTAATTTCAGGAGACCCAAAACATCCTGTGGCTATTTACCCAGTTCCAGAGGGCATAAATGGCATAGATATACTCAGCAGCTGGCAGAATACCTACATTGGTTTTCTGATATATGGAGTGAGGACTATTATGGTGGGAAAGCCCAACTGTAATTCATTACAACTGCCTCTCCCTAGGAAAATAGTAAACCAGAAGCAGTACCTCATTTCTGGAAAGATTTCAGAAATGAGTACCATCTTTAAGGCTTGAAACATGTAGGGATCGTGATTCCACCAAATCATTTTTTAACTGGCCTATTTGGTTTATGCAGAAGACATATGGGTGTTGGAAAATGACAATGAGTTACGGTGCGCTTAACCAGGTGGTGACTCTAATTTCAGCTGCTGTCTCGGATGTGGTTTCACCATTTTGGCAAAACTGACACATCTCCTTATACCTGGTATACAGTTTTGATCTAGCCAATGTTTTCGTTCTCCATACTTGCTCATAATATCCTTCAGAAGCAGTTTACTTTCAGGTGCTAAGGCCATTAATACACCTCCACTATTACACTACAGGAGTGTATCAATTATCCAGCCATGTCATAATTTGTTTTGCAGGAATCCTGATCACTTTTCCCTTTCACAAGATATCACACTAAACCATTACATTGAGGATATGCTGATTGGACCTAATGAGCAAGAAGTAGCAACTACTTCAGACTCATTGATAAGACATTTGTGTGTCAAAGGGTAGAAAATAAACTAGGAAAAAAATGTTCTAGGGCCTTCTACCTCAGTAACATTTTTAGGATTCCAGCAGTGTGGCAACGGTAAGATATCTGTTCTAAGGTGAAGGATAATTGTTGAATCTGGCCCTTGTACAACCAAAAAAGAGGCACAACACCGAAAGATCCTCTTTGGATTTTAGAGGCAAAATATTCCTCGTTTGGGTGCATCACTATGGCCTATTTATGGAGTGGCCCAAAAAGCTTCTACTGTTGGGTGGAATTCAAAACAATAGAAGGCTCTGCAACATATCCAGTCTGTTGTGTGAGCTTCTCTGCCACTTGGCCCATATGATCCAGCAGATCCGATGATGATTGAAGTGAAAGTGGCAGTTAGAGATACTGTTTGGAGCCTTTGGCAGACCCCTATAGGTGAATCTCAGTGCAGGCATTTAGTATTTGTGGGTAAAGTCCTGCCATCCTCTGGAGATAACTACTCTCCTTTTGAGAAACATCTTTTTGCCTGCCACTGGGCCTTAGTAGAAACTGAATGCTTAACCATGGGCCCCAAGTAACCATGCTAGTTGAGCTTCCCATCATGAACTGGGTGTTACCTGAGCCATCAAGTCATAAAACTGGATGTTTGGAATATCATTCCATCATTACATGCAAGATACACACACACACATACACACACACACACACACACACACACACACACACACAGTTCTCAATCTAGAAAATGTTTATTATATATATACTGAACAGGTCCTGAAAGCACAAGCAGGTTATATGAAGAAGTGGCTCAAAAGTCCATGGTTCCTCACCCTGCCATATTGACTATTCTCTCCTTGCCTGAACCTATGGCATTATGGGGAGTTTTCTACGGTTAGTTAACAGAGGAGCAGAAGACTTGGGCCTGTTTTATGGATGGTTCTGCAAGATATGTAGGCACCACCATAAAGGTGACAGCTACAGCACCATAGCCCCTTTCAGAGACATTACCGAAGCACAGTGGTGAAGGAAAGTCCTTCCGGTATGCAGAACTTCAAGCTATGCACCTGAAGTTTCCCTCTGCTTGGAAGGCGAAATGGCCAGATGTTTGATTATATGTCAGCTGATAGTCTGTGGCCAACGATTTGACTGTATGGTCAGGAAATTGGAAGGGACATGATTGAAAAGTCAGTTACAAATAAATTTGAAGAAGGGGTATGTTAATAGACCTCTCCGAATGGGCAAAAATTTGCAGATATGTGGGTTCTATGTAAATGCTCACCAAAGAGTAAAATCAGCAGAGGAGGATTTTAATTATCAAGTGGATAACATAACCTATTCTGTGGATACCACTCAGCCTTCTTCCCCAGCCACCCCTGTTATTGTCCAATGACCTAATGAATAAAGTGGCCATAGTGGCATGGATAGAGGTAATACGTGGGCTCAGCAACATGGACTTCTACTAAGATTAACTTTGCTACAGCCATGCTGAGCACCTAATCTGTTAGCAACGGGGACCAACGCTGAGTCCCCAGAATGGCACCATCCCTTAGGGTGATCAGCTAGCTACGTGGTGGCAGGTTGCTTACACTGAACCACTTCCATCATGAAAGGGGCAGCATTTTGTTCCTGCTGGAATAGACTCTTACTCTGCATATGGATTTGCCTTCCCTACATGCCATACTTCTGCAAAAACTATTATCTGTGGAGTCACAGAATGCCTTATCCACCTTCATGATAATCTACACAGCATTGCTTCTGATCAAGGAACCCATTTCACAACAAATAGAGTGTGCAAGGGGCTTATGCTCATGGAATTCAATGATCTTACCATATTCTCCACTACCTTGAAACAGCTAGCTTGATAGCATGGTGGAATGATTTTTTTAAAACTCTGTTACAATGCCATTTAGGTGGCATTACTTTGCAGGGCTGGATAAAGTTTCTCCAGAAGGCTGTATATGCTCTGAATCAGCATCAAATATATGGTGCTGTTTATCTGATAGCCTGGATTCATGGGTATAGGAATCAAATGGTAAAAATGAGAGTGGTATTATTCACTATTATCTCTAGTGACCCACTAGCAAATATTTGCTTCTTGTTCCCATGACCATTTGCTCTGCTGGCCTGGATATCTTAGTTCCAAAGGAAAGGAAGTTTCTACCAGGAGACACAACAATAATTTCGTTGAACTAGAAGTTAAGACTGCCATCCAGCCATTTTAGGCTCCTCATATCTCTGAATCAACAGGCAGAGAAGAGAGGTACTCTGCTGCCTGGAATGACAGATCCTAACTACCAAGGTAAATTGGACTAGTACTCTACAATAGCAGTAAGGAAGAATATGTCTGGAATACAGCAAATCCCCTAGGGCATCTCTTAATCTTTGCTCAAATTCAATGGAAAACTGCAAGACTCAATTGAGGTAGAACTACTAATGGCCCAGACCCTTCAAGAATGGTTTAGGTTACCCCATCTGGTAAACAAGCACAATTAGCTGAGGTGGTTGCTGAAGACAAAGTGAATACAGAGAACGAGCAGTAGAAGGCAGTTATAAATGCCAGCTATGACCATATTACCAGTTACAGAAAGGAGGACTGTTAATTATCATGAGTATTTCTTCCTTATTTTGTTATGAATATGGGTGTGGGCAATCTTTGCTTTCTTCCTTTTTTATTCCCTTATATAACATATGATCGGTTGACTTTCTATCATAGTATCAAAGTATTGTAAATTTTACATCATAATATTTAAATTATCAGACATCAAGAAGAGTAAACATTCCTCAAGGACTTTACCTCTTCTTGTTGGGAAAAGGTTAGCGCATTTTTTGTTGTATGAAGGATAGTGGTATCATATTAGGAGGAATTATGGCCTGGTTATTACCTTTATTTGGAGATTAATTATGGTTTAAGGAGATGTATCTGGATGCCAAGTTGACAAGGACTGGACTTATGATGGTTAATTTTATGTGCCAATTTAATTAAGCCACAGGGTCCACAGATATTTGGTCAAATATAATTCTGGGTGTCTCTGTGAGCATGTTCGTTCATTAGATTAGCATTTGAATCAGTAGACTCAGTAAAGCAGATTGCTCTAAATAATGTGGGTGGCCCTCATTCAACAATTTGAATGCCTGAATAGAACAAAAAGGCTAACTTCACACAAGTAAGATTGTGGGAACGTTTTCTATCTAACTGCCTTGAGCTGGGACACTGGCATTTTTTGTTTTTTTTGTTTTTTTGTTTTCTTGTCTTCAGGCTTGAACTGAATAATTTGTTCTTGGCTCTTGAGCCTGCTGGCTTTTGGACTGGAACTTGAACTATTAGCAATCCTGGTACTCAGGGCTTTGGACTTGAACTGGATTACTCTATCGGTTCTCCTGGCTCTCCAGTGGGCCAACTACGGATCTTAGGACTTCTCAGTCTCAATAATCATGTGAGCCAATTCCTCATTTATATATGTGTGTGTGTGTGTGTGTGTGTGTGTGTGTGTGTATATAAAATATATATATATTTTGTGTGTGTGTGTGTTTCTCTGGAGAACCTGAGTGATACAATCAGAAAGTAACATAATTCATTAGATTGACAACATAAGTCATTACTAAAATATGAGATACGATTCAGCATTATCTTCTCATAAAATGTAAATATACATAAACCTCTTGAAGCAGTAAAGACTAATAATAAAAAACAAAGTGCTCTTATCATAAAAGATGAAATAAAAATTTCAGTTACGTGAATATTGAAAGCATGACAGGAATCCCTGTTGAGATGATGAGATGATTACAATTTGACATTATTTTTGGGATTATAAAGTGAATGCAGTAATAAGTTCAAGTAAGCAAGGATTGTTATAAATATTGACAAATGAGAGGGGAATTTCTTTTTCAATAGTGATAGGATTATTTGCCAAGCACTACCCACCCACCTAAAGGACTCTTTTATTGAGTGCCTACTTTAGATAAAAAACACAATTTTTCTATTTAGGTAAAACGATGTTCATGTTTATGTGCCTAGCAGGATGGTCACCATCATGATGCTGATGCTTGTTTTTTGATGGTAAATTTTTTCAGGTAAATTTTTATTCTTAATTGTATTTTTGGTAATGTTGGCTTTTTCAATAATTAGTGTGTATTACTAATATAGCCATAAAAGAAAATATATTCTCATTGGTGGAAAACATAAGCTTTCATGATTATTAGAGCAAGTTTAAAAATACAAGGATGTATAAAGTAGGTAATTGTATCACTAACCATTCTAATCCCACACACATATTGCAACCAATGTTAACAGTTTTCTTTACAGTCATGGAAGAATTTTCAAATATATGAACACATAGGTATGCTTTTTCTGTTTGTCTCCTGTTTTGTTTTGGTTTTATAAGTACACTCTACACACTATTCTTCAAACATTTTTAAATTTAATAAAGCTTCTCACTCCATGTCTCAATACATATAGCACTGATACGTTCTCTTTTATAAGTCATCAATATTTCATATCATGTATAAATAGTCTATCCAACCACTGATCTATGTACAAAATATGTTTTATTTCTATGTTTAACTACTGCAAAGTCACAATAAGTATTTTCTATATTTCATTACAAAAGGTAAGGAAACATCTTTTTGACCTAGTCCTATAAAAGTAGTTCTTAAGATACAGCCACCAAACACAAAGTAGAGTATTATAAATGTGATTCCACTAAAATAGAGAAGTTCTAGTCATCACATAAATCTCATAAAAAGAGTGAAAATGCTAGCCACAAACTTTAAAAAAAATTCTTACCAA
Organism: Homo sapiens; assembly: GCF_000001405.40. NCBI lineage: Eukaryota > Metazoa > Chordata > Mammalia > Primates > Hominidae > Homo > Homo sapiens. The sequence goes on from NC_000023.11 coordinate 142,735,166, forward strand.
ATATATGTGACAAAGTGTTAGTATTCTAAAGATACATATATATATATATATATATATATATGAACTTACATAAAACAGTAAGAAAAAGATAAGCCAAAAGGAGAACTGACCAAAAACATGAAAGATATTTTATTGAAAAGATCAATGACTGTACGGAAACAACTCTTATTAATCATCAGGGGAAAGGAAATAATGGCAACATTTATATATTATTTGATCATCTACTAAATGGGCAAAAGGTAAACAATATCTGACAACACCAAGTATTGCTGAGGAAATTTAAAATGAGTAAAGTCAAATATGTTAGAAGTTTATAGAGAATATGAGTACATAGCTAGTGCTCATAACAGTCCACACAGATACACTCAAGGAAATAGCTTAATCTTGCCTTTCATCTTACCATGTGAAGATGAATGTGTTACATACCTCTGACAGCAATTCAGCAGTATCTTCCCTAGGGAGATGAGACAGATAGATAAATGGATCGATCTCCATCTTAAATCAGTGGTTCTCAAACTTTAGCATGCATCAAAATTACACACAGATTACCAACATCCCTTGAGTCTGATTCAGCAAGTCTGGGGTGGGGCCTAATTATTTGCATTTTAACAAGTCCCCAAGTGATGCTCATGCTGTTGTTCCACAGACCACACTTTGAGAATCACTGCCCCGAGGGAACTCTTACACATGTGACTTAGGAGAGGTGCAAAATAATGTTCAAAACAGCTTTGTTTTGCAATAGAAAAAAATCTGGAAGCTCAACTTTCCAACAGGAGAATCTATTGATAAATTGTGGATTTGTACAATGAAATATAAATTCAGCAGTAAAAATGACTTACCTGCAGCTATACGCAAGAATATGAATGGATCTTAAAAGATAATGTTTAGTAGAAACAAAAGGAAGACTCAGAGTGCATGTATAAAATGACATTTTCATACAAGGAAAACTAATTATTGTTCATAGATACCAATGTGATAAAACTTCAAAAATGATGTTGAGTGAATGATGAAACTGATTTACTCTAGTAGTGGGAGTCAGTGTGATAGAGTGGTCAAAGGTGCTCATTTAATTTTTATGCACCATAAAACATACATACTTTACTTATATTAATATTATTCTGTGTATTTCAAATAGCACATCATAAATCATTGAATAAAAGAAAAAAAGACATACTTAGCAAAAACTAAAATACAACCAAAAGAAAGCAAGTGTGGCAATAATGTAAGACCATAGCTTAAGGGAAAATACATTAACTGAGGACAAAAAGGGTATTTACATTTGTAGAATTTAAAATCCAATGAAGCAATAACAATTGTGAACCTTTATACATATAAAATAAATTTAAAATGAGTAAAGTCAAATATGTTAGAAGTTTACAGAGAATATGCCAATCTATAATGAGAGGAAGAGAATAAATTACCTCTCATAATATACAAAAAGGAAAGATATTAATAATTCATGTAACATGATGAAAATATTTGGTTTTACATAACCTTCCCCCAAAATTTACTCATATTTTAAATAGTTGTGAAAGAATTACAAATATGAGCCAGGCACGGTGGCTCATGCCTGCAATCCCAGCACTTTGGGAGGCCAAGGCAGGCGGATCACCTGAGGTCAGGAGTTCGAAACCAGCCTGGGCAACATGGTGAAACCCCTTCTCTACCAAAAATACAAAACTTAGTCGGGCGTGGTGGTGGGCGCCTGTAGTCCCAGCTACTCTGGAGGCTGAGGCAGGAGAATCGCTTGAACTCAGGAGGCGGGGGTTGCAGTGAGCCGAGATCGTGCCACTGCACTCCAGTCTGGGTGACAAAGTGAGACGACTCTTTCTCCAAAAAAAAAAAAAAAAAAAAACAAAAAAAAGAAAAGGAATTACAGATATGAATTTTGTACTAGGACATAAGGTAGTTCTCATTAAATCCTGTAATACAGAAACAATGCAGGACACTACTTATTAAGAACAACGTAATAGACATTATAGCAAAATGAGATTGAAAAAAAAACATCCATGGCTTTGGTCATTTGTAAGAACACCGGTAGTGAAGAGTTCTTACATTTTTCTTCACAGCCAGCTTTCCTCTGGTGGGCTGCTTAATAGGGTCCCCTATGATCCTCAGAAATCCCATGACCCATCAAACTTTCTAGAATTTTCTAAGTTGAATGTAGACACAAAGGGACAGAGGTGGTGGAAGCAAGGTTTCTGTGGGTAAAACTTTAAGCAGGTCCTTGTAAAAAATATGTATCCTTAAATCATATCTAAGACTCATTGATTCAGAATCCACAGGAGAGATTTTTAGGAAATATCATAAGATAATGAATTCCTGTTACTCATATCTCCAGAGCTGCTCTAGACATTGTCTTTTCTAAGGCTTGTTTGTTCTAGTCTTCTTCCAAGTATTTGAGCTATTCCTGATTTCCAGTTAATTCCTTTTGTTCTCTTTAAATTAGCCAGGATTAATGTCTACAGTGTAATATCATACCTGCAGGAAACAGACCCTCAAGAAAATGTGTCTGAAATAGTTAATTGAGCTATGTTAAGATGAAAGTCAGGAAGATACCCTTTTAAATTCCAGAATGGTAAACTGGCAGACTATGTCAGGAATGAGGAAGAACCTACTAAAGTATGATTGAGGTATCCTGGGGCAATGAACCCACAGAATATGAAGCTCTGGAAAGCCAGGTAATTGCTGCTAAAAGCTAATTTAAATGAGATGGCCCAAGATGATTTTTCCTGACAGAATCAGATAAAGATCAAATCTCAAATTCTTCCCTAAAGGAAAGTAATAAAACTACTATCTGACCCCTTTGACAGACTTCTTTTTTTGATATTAGAGCTGAGATTGCTGAAAACCAAATTCAAAGATTGATTCAGAGTTTGAATTATTATTATTATTCCTGGGACACGTAAGTGACAAAATTATCACTGTGATTTGGAAAAAATAAGATATTAATAATTCCAGTGGTGATACTTTGTTGGATACAGAAAATGGGAATAACATCAAAGGGCTCAGAAATTCTCACAAGCATACCTAACTTGCCTAAGGAAGTGGTTCTGTTTCTTGCAAACAAAATCTAATGTCCCTGAAAGTCTTACATCTGGCTATTGTTGGGCAAGTATTGAAAGCTGGATTCTTCAGGAAACTGACTTTGATATGGAGCTTAGCGTTCAGGATGTTTGTTAGCGTTAGAGATGGACTTTTCAATAAATACCGATGGAAGAGAGAGGAAGGAAGCAGGATTGTGTAGAGAGAGAAGTCAAGCTGTGATGCAGGCCCAACCTCAAGAAACCAAACCCCATGAGGAGTTCTGAAGCTAGAATAGCCATTGAGATTCTCCCAAGTTGTGCCAAGATGACCAAACCATTATACTTCTGCATCAGTCATTGAATGTGTGCTAACCTGTGGAGGGGCACGCGACCTTAGGCAATGCAGGTCTCTGCAGCAAAAGAAACCTTCAAGGAGTTGCTTTGGACAGGTGAAGGGGTTTGCTGAGACTCCCAGTAGCTGTGTCAACAAGTCCTTCCTCAAATGGAGATCTGGAAAGTACATCTATGTTTCCATCATAGTCCACCCCGTGTGCTACTTGGATTCACTTTATATACATTCCAGCAAAAGCTTCTTCAGGATTTTTATGGACCTCTCTTCCGGAAGGAAGCTTAGAAGAGGAAGGTTGGTGGGATGAACCACAACTCCCACTGCTCTAGCTGGTCTCTGGGTCATTGCTGATACCGTTTTCATTCTTCACTCTCCATTCTAGGTTTCTCTCACATCGACATAGAAACTCTGCTGACATTGATGACTTGCCTGGTGGTGTGATACAGATGATCATTCATGAAGGGTCTGAGCCCCTTGCTACTACACCCTGTTCAGGCCTGGATTGCTGCATGTATTATGACAATGGAAATTGAGTACCAAAGAAACATCCTAGAGGCTTAACTGGGGACCACACATAGTCCTTTTTGTCCCCATGGGATATAAGTCACCATATGTCCTCTTGATGATCAGCATCGATTATCCCTGACAGAGTGGTGACTCCTTTTATTACCTTCTGGTTCTTTCACACAAGGAGCCAGGAATGCCAAGGCAGCAGTCACAGTTTATAATTAAATGTTAATCTTGCTGAGTCCTCTGGCATAAATGTTCTCCATTTGGAACTGAAGACCTCTGAACCTGCAAATTCCACAGTTTTAGGGATAAGAATATTTTATAAGTGAGTGTCCGAGTTGATGAGAAGAACTTCTTGGTTCCCAGATTCATCTCTTCTTGCTATAGAAATGCAGCATTATATAAATGTCTTTTAATTCAAGGTATAAATGGTCTTGGAGAATGACACGCTAATCTAGTAAGTATCACCTCTGAATTGGTATTTACGTTGTGTCTTTAAGAAGTTGTTTCAATGCTCCCAGAGACCGGCAGCTTCTGAGGAGTGACCAGTCCTGCTCCTTGTTATAATGTAAATCCTCTGAGACGACACAATGTTGTATGGAATCCCATACTGCTGGGTCAAACATTCATAATATTTCAAATTGTGAGGGCTTATGGAATGACCTTGTTGCAGAATTCCTGGGGCCTGAGTTATGACTCTTCCTCTGGTTTTTTTTTAAACAAACTCCACTTGGCATCCTTTTGCCAACACTAATATCTCCAATACCATATGGCCTGCCAGATCATATGTCCCCAGGTGGTAATGTTTCAGGTAGACAGGTATGAGCTAGCCAGGAGAAGGTTCTCCCTGCACCACCAGAAATGTCAGGCAATCATCAGGTGATGGTTTGGCAGTTATATTGCCTCTCAAAAAATGGTAATTTGGCAGCTGGCACCAGGGAGAGACAATCTCCTGATGGTCCACAGCTGTCACACTAAAGTGTTAATTGAATGCAGGTGCCAAGGGGAGGCAACTTCTTAAACAGATAAAAACACTTGAGATTGGTAAGCAGCTTCCAATAAAATCTCAGGAATTGGGTGAGTGAGCGCAGGCATGCAAATTAAGAGACAAAATGGCAGAGTATGACCTTCTGGGGGCATTCCACCAGAAAAGGGAAGAAAGCCTCAGATGGGCATGTGTACAACTTTCTAAACACACTGAGCATGCTGCATACTGCATATGTGGCCAGCCCTCCCTATGGGAAGAATCATGGGAAAAAGGAACAAGACACTGGGAGTGGGCCAGCCTATAAAGTCCCAGAATCAAAGTTAAATGCCACACTTATCGTTCAAGTTGCCCACCTGGGTCTCTTCCACGTGTATTTACTTTTCTTTCCTGTTGAAAAGCCTTTTTAAATAAACTTCCACTCCTGCTCTGAAACTTTCCTTGGTGTCTTTTTCGGCCTTATGCCGCTCAGTCGAATTTTTTCTTCCGAGCAGGCAGGAATTGAGGTTGCTGTAGACCCATATGGGTTCGCCCCCATAACTCAAGCCCCTTCTACCCCTAACAGTAGGTGTCCTCACATCACAGCCTGAACCTGATATAGGGCTCTTTCTTGCTCTGGGCCCTACTCAAAAAGAGCTGTCTTTAAGATCACTTGGTATACGGATGAATCAGTTTTTCCAGGTGCAGAATACAACGCTGAAAGAACCCGAAGAGATCTATCAGGTACTGTACTTCCTTCTTAGTGGAATGTGAAAGTTGCAGTAATCTGTCTTTTATTTTGGATGGTAGATAAATTTGCTGTGGCTGCCATAACAAAATACCACAGACTGGGTGGCTTAAAGGATGTAGTTTATTTTTTCACATTTTGTAGACAAGATCAAGATGTCAGTGCATGAGTTTGTTTGTTGGAGGCCTCTCTCCTTGGTGTGCATATAACCACTGTATACTCACATGATCTTTCCTCTGTGCAAGTGTATCCTTGGTATCTCTCTGTGTGTTCACATTTTCTCTTCTCATAAGGAAAATCGTCAGATTGTATTAGGGCACACCCGAGGGCCTGATTTTAAATTAATCACCTCCTTACAGGCCCTACCTCCAAATACAGACACATTTTGAGGTACTAGAGGTTAGGGCTTCAACATACACATTTCGGAAGAATAAAATTTCAGCCCACAGCAGATGGTACATACTGAAATGGCCCTGTACACTGGATACCTACATTTTTATTGATGTGTCTAGTGCCTCAAAATTCATAAATCTCTCACTCTCTAGAAAGTATAATAAAATCAAGATTTCTCATACTAGCCATTTCTTGTTGATTCAATCTGATTTGTATGATGTCATAAATATTCTGTATAAATATCTGCAGGTGCTTATATATGGGTAATGAGCTAAAATTACTTCTTGGAGTCATACCATGCAATTTTAATTTATTAATCAAATTGGGGGCAAGTGAGGTCAGGTGATATAACAAGTGAAATTCTCAATTGCATATGGTCATATTACACCATATAACGAAAAACTTATACTGTATTTTTTTTCCTCCAGTTTGAGATATAGTTAGGATATATTCCCTCAACCAATGGCAGAATTCCATTTGACTCCCTAACTTGAGCCAAGTAAGGGCTCCCAGTACCTATCAAACAGTTTATTCCCCTAGGAGAACTGTAATTTGCCACTATAAATGACTTGAAAGATTTAAGCCTATTGATTCTTATAATAGACCTATTTAATTCTCCTATTTGGCCGATAAATAGTCCAATAGGTCTTGGAGAATGTTACTGGATGTTAGTAAACTTAATCAAATAGAAACTCTATAGCTGCAGTTCAAGGTGAGGTCTTCTTACTGTAGCAAATCAAAACTGCTAATGGTACTTGGTGTGAATTTTTTCATCTGGTGGAAGTACTTTTCTTCTCGCTGATAATCAGAGAACACCCGCAGCAATTAGATTTTACCCAGGTGTATTAGTACACCTTTACCATTTTCCCTCAGGTGTTTGTTAACTTTGTTCATGCATAGTTAGAAGGGAACTGAACTGCCTCACCATCTTACAGGATATCCATGTTGGTCTGTTCCATTGATAAGGTATTGCTAAGAGGACCAGCGAAACAGAAACTATCAGTTTTCCTTGATGCCTTGGAATAACATGCAAACATGTAGAAAAGAAATCTCAGGAAAGTAGAGCAAATTTCCCAGGAACCAACTAATCTGAAGGCCTGTCAGGGCACCTCTTTCATGGTGAAGGAGAAAGACTTTATGTCCCTACTAATAAATAGAAAAATTCAGGAGTCTCTTTATTCTATGAAGATAACATAACATTTTTATTCTGACACATTTTCATGTGAGCCAGAGAAGAGAAATCTCTTCAGCTGCTTCTGTCATATCTTTTGCCCTTGTGATATGACAGATCAAAAATGATTAAAGTGTCACTAATATATTGGAATGCTTTATGAAGCCTGTGGTAAACTCAGATAGGACAACTTATATTGAAAACCATTAAAGTTTTGGAGTAAAGCCATAGCACCTGTTAAAAACAACTTTTGAGAAATAATTTCTGAGTTCCTACTGACTGCTGGTATATGTTAAAAAAACAGCATGAAACAGTAAGGAAATATGAGATCCAAGTGCTCATGATGAATTGTGTTTATCTGTTACAGCTGAACATAGAGTTCAGCATGTCAGAAAGTATTTTTTCATCACGTGGAAACTGTAGACCCTAAAGGCACAAATAACTTTTATGAATTTATTTTTTTACATTCAGGAAATGATCTTACTCATACTACAATTATGTCTCCCCATCAATTGACACCGATGGTCTTATGAGAAATATTATGACCAGTTGACTGAGAATGAAAAATAAACATTTGAATCTGGTTTGCAGATATTTTATGTAGAATATGCTTCATTATCCAAAATTAAACTCTACACTGTTACAGCTCCACTCTGAAATGACCCTAAAGGACAATAGAAAATGCAAATCCCAGTGGAAAGAAAGTAGAGCAATCTAATCAGTAGATCATCCATATTAGAAAAGAATATTCTCAGGCTCTGGCACTATTACTTGATGTTCATCTACATATCTCTTTCCCAGCCTCCTTGTCTTTAATCTACCAAGATTTTTATCTCCCACGTGCCTGATCATCCAACAAGAGCAATGCACACTACTTTACAGTTGATGTGGAATCCTAATCATAGACTGTCTCTCCTTGAAGGAAAAGTAAACAGCAAGAAAACTGTATTAGTCCGTTTCCATGTTGCTGATAAAGACATACCCAAGTCTGGGCAATTTACAAAAGAAAGAGGTTTATCGGACTTAACGGTTCCACATGGCTGGGGAGGCCTCACAATCATGGCAGAAGGCAAGGAGGAGCAAGTCACATCTTACGTGGTTGGTGGCAGGCAAAAAGAGAGCTTGTGCAGGGAAACTCCTGTTTTTAAAACCATCAGATCTTGTGAGTCTCATTCACTATCACAATAACAGCATGGGAAAGACTCGCCCCCATGATTCAATCATCTCCCACTGGGTCCCTCCCACGACACGTGGGAATTATGGGAGTTACAAGATGAGATTTGGGTGGAGACACACAGCCAAACCATATAAAAAATATTGAGAATTTATTGGGACATAGCAGACAAATAATATTCATTAATATTCCATATGTGCTTTTCTCATCTAGTCCAGTGATTAACATGAAAAGTAACAACACGGGTTACTTCAGAGGTTAAGTATAATCTCAACAACATGGGATTTCCTTCAACTAAGCAGACATATTAAGTGCCACCATCAATAAGCTAATATTCCAGCAACAGTAACTGGTGCAGGTTATATGATATAGGGATTAATGGACTACCTGGTCATAGGTCATAAGTGGATTACATTGCATTGATCCCATTTTGTAGAGGGCAAGATTTTTCTATACATATGAATATATTTTAATTAAGATTTACTACTCACACCCATCCTTTCTTTTCCAGCATGTATTAGTTTGCTAAGGGCATCCATAACAAAATCCCACAGCCTGGGTGTCTTCAACAACAGAAATTTATTTTTTCACATTTTTGGAGGCTAGAAGACCATGACCAAGGTTTCAGCAGGTTAGAGTTCTGAGGCCTCTCTCCTCGGCTTGCAAATGGCTGCCTTCTTGGTATGTCCTCACATAATCTTCTCTGTGTGCATTTACTCTTTGTATCTCTCTGTGTGCCCTAATCTCCTCTTGCTGTAAGACCATCAGCTAGGCCAGGTGTGGTGGCTTATGCCTATAATCCCAGCACTTTGGGAGGCCAAATGCGGGTAGATCACCTAAGGTCGGGAATTTGAGACCAGCCTGGCCAACATGGCGAAACCCCATCTCTACTAAAAATACAAAAATTAGCCAGGTGTGGTGGTGGGCACCTGTAATCCCAGCTACTCAGGAGGCTGAGGCAGGAGAATCACTTAAACTCAGGAGGTGGATGTTGCAGTGAGCCAAGATTGTGCCACTGCACTCCAGCCTCGGTGAGAAGGTGAGATTCCATCTCAAAACAAAAACAAAAACAAAAGAATATCAGCTTTATTTGATTAATAGCCTCATTTAACATCCTAATGTGTCCGGAATTGGTGGGTTCTTGGTCTCACTGACTTCAAGAATGAAGCCGTGGACCCTCGCGGTGAGTGTTACAGCTCTTAAGGTGGCGCGTCTGGAGTCTGTCCCTTCTGATGTTCAGATGTGTTCGGAGTTTCTTCCTTCTGGTGGGTTCATGGTCTCGCTGGCTCAGGAGTGAAGCTGCAGACCTTCGCGGTGAGTGTTACAGCTCTTAAGGCAGCGCGCCTGGAGTTGTTCGTTCCTCCCGGTGGGCTCATGGTCTCGCTGGGCTCAGGAGTGAAGCTGCAAATCTTTGTGGTGAGTGTTACAGCTCATAAAAGCAGCGTGGACCCAAAGAGTGAGCAGTAGCAAGATTTATTGCAAAGAGCGAAAGAACAAAGCTTCCACAGTGTGGAAGGGGACCCGAGCGGGTTGCCACTGCTGCCTCTGGCAGCCTGCTTTTATTCTCTTATCTGGCCCCACCCACATCCTGCTGATTGGTAAGAGTCGAGTGGCCTGTTTTGACAGGGCGCTGATTGGTGTGTTTACAATCCCTGAGCTAGATACAAAGGTTCTCCATGTCCCCATCAGATAAGTTAGATACAGAGTTTCGACACACAGGTTCTCCAAGGCCCCACCCGAGCAGCTAGATACAGGGTGTCGATTGGTGCATTCACAAACCCTGAGCTAGACACAGGGTGCTGATTGGTGTGTTTACAAACCTTGAGCTAGATACAGAGTGCCGATTGGTGTATTTACAATCCCTGAGCTAGACATAAAGGTTCTCCACATCCCCACCAGAGCAGCTAGATACAGAGTGTCGATTGGTGCACTCACAAACCTTGAGCTAAACACAGGGTGCTGATTGGTGTATTTACAATCCCTGAGCTAGACATAAAGGTTCTCCAAGGCCCCACCAGAGCAGCTAGATACAGAGTGTCGATTGGTGCATTCACAAACCTTGAGCTAGACACAGGGTGCTGACTGGTGTGTTTACAATCCCTGAGCTAGATATAAAGACTCTCCACGTCCCCGCCAGACTCAGGAGCCCAGCTGGCTTCACCTAGTGGATCCCGCAGCGGGGTGGCAGGTGGAGCTGCCTGCCAGTCCCCTGCCGTGTGCTCGCATTCCTCAGCCCTTGGGTGGTTGATGGGACTGGGCGCCGTGGAGCAGGGGGTGGTGCTCTTTGGGGAGGCTCCGGCCGCACAGGAGCCCATGGAGTGGGTGGGAGGCTCAGGCATGGTGGGCTGCAGGTCCCGAGCCCTGCCCCGCGGGAAGGCAGCTAAGGCCCGGTGAGAAATCGAGCGCAGCGCCGGTGGGCTGGCACTGCTGGGGGACCCAGTACACCCTCTGCAGCCGCTGGCCCGGGTGCTAAGTCCCTCATTGCCTGGGGCCAGCAGGGCTGGCCGGCTGCTCTGAGTGCGGGGCCCGCCAAGCCCATGCCCACCCGGAACTCCAGCTGGCCCGCAAGTGCCGCAGGCAGCCCCGGTTCCCGCTAGGGCCTCTCCCTCCACACCTCCCTGCAAGCTGAGGGAGTGGGCTCCAGCCTTGGCCAGCCCAGAAAGGGGCTCCCACAGCGCAGCAGCGGGCCGAAGGGCTCCTCAAGTGCCGCCAAAGTGGGAGCCCAGGCAGAGGAGGCGCCGAGAGCGAGCGAGGGCTGTGAGGACTGCCAGCACGCTGTCACCTCTCACTAATATCCTAACAGCCTCATTTAACGTAATCAGCGTTTTGTAGGCACTATCTTCAAATACAATCACATTCTGAGATATTAGGGTTTCAACATATGAATTGGTGGAGGCACAATTCACCCCATAACACTGCACTTATGAAACATTTAGTACAATTATAATACCTCATACAATTTTCCTTCTGCAAAGTAAACTGATTCACAAAGAAATATGAATGGACTGCCCATGTGATTCCATTGAAACTAACAAATACCCAGTGACTGAGGGAGAATTTAACTCACTTTTCTCAAAAGCTGATAATCAGGAAGATTAAAACATTACTAGAGGTACTTACTACCTGAACCACAAAATCAACAGGTTTGCTTTAAGCAACATATACAGAACCTATTTTTTCAAGAACATATGAAACATTAACAAAAAGGTATTTTCTACTATGTCCCAAAGGTATTTTAAATTAATACTTAAGAATCCAAAATATACCTATCACAGTCTCTGAGTATGGCATAATAAAATGAGAAATCAATAATGAGTGCTTTTATGTATAACTAAAAAATTAAAACTTTGGAAATAAACAAAAGCACATGAATCAAATAAAAAACGATGATGGAAATGATAAAGCATTTAGAGCTGAAAGGCAAGGGAGACATTACATAGCAACATTTGTGTTGTGCTAGAAAAAGAGAACTTAGTGGGAAAAGTATGGGTACAAATGCATGCATTATAGAACAAACAAACAAAATGATCAAAAATTAATGAGCTAGTTCTTCCACTCTATACATTAGAAAAACAGAAGAAACTCATAGAGATAGAAGAGAACAACAAAAATTAATGAATGGTAAATAAGAAGTAGATTCAACACACGCTAGCATTAGTTCTTTGAAAACACATAAAATTGGCAAACTGCTTGCAAGAGTATACAGGAGAAAATAATTCTAAAAATGAAAACAGACATAACTAAACCTTAAAGAGTGTCTCAAATAGTTTGGGGAAGTTTGGGAAAATTTGAAATGGACCACGCGAACTATCAAAAATGACTCAAGAGAAATTAGAAAATATGAATATAACGATTACAGAAATCAAATCTATAAGTTATTGTTAACAATGTTCTCCTGTAAGATTCCAGGCCCAGAAGACTTTGTACATCAGTAATGCTAAATGGTCAGAAAAAGAGATTTTTTTTTTTTTTTGAGATGGAGTCTCGCTCTGTCACCAAGCTGAATGTCACCAGGTTGGAGTGCAGTGGCATAATCTCCTCTCACTGCAGCCTCCGCCTCCCAGGTTCAAGTGATTCTCCTGCCTCAGCCTCCAGTGTAGCTGGGACTATAGGCTCACACCACCACGCCCAGCTAATTTTTGTATTTTTAGTAGAGACGAAGTTTCACCATGTTGGCCAGGCGGGTCTCAAACTCCTGACCTCAGGTGATCCACCCCCCTCGGCCTCCAAAAGTGCTGGGATTATAGGCATGAACCACCGCGCCAGGCCCAGAATCTTTTATTGAAACTGTTTCGGTTAAAAATTTTTAAAAAGAAATTCTTATTTCATTCATATATATATGTATATATGTGTGTGTGTGTGTGTGTGTGTGTGTATATATATATATATATATACAATTTTATTAATCTGGAATGGTTTGAAATCTGAGAAGTGTTAGCATGAGAAGGAAACATTACAGATTTATGAACAGAGATGCAAATATCTTAAATAAAATATTAGCAAACTGAATCTAGTAGTATATAAAATATATCATAACAATAGATTTCTTTTGAGATGAAGAGATGTTGTAACAAAACAAATCTATTACATCACCTTTAAGAGATTAAAGAAAAATTACAGGATCATATAAACGAAAGCACAAAAGAGCATTCAGTAAAAGAAACAGATATTTCTAATAAGAACTCTTAGCAATCTAGATATTTGGGAAATTTATAAAATATATTTGCCTAATATGTACAACAGGCATACATAAAGTGACTGACTTTATCTTTTATGTCAGAAGAAGACAAAAACTCTCATTCTCACTGCTTATTTTTCCTATCATACTAAAATTACTAGATAAGAACACCTGAAACAAAATAAATAAGAATAAAGGAAGTAGAAACAAATACAGTTTTGTATCAATATTAGATTCCATTGATAATATTAATAAAATTTTAAATAACTAATTATACAACTAACAGGAAGTGTGTAATATTTATAGATAAAAAAATGAAATTTTTGCTGAAGTACTAAAAAGATGACCCAAATAATTGGAGAGACCTAACGTATTTCTTGAGAAAAAGGCAATGTTTTAAAGAGGTCAAATCTTATACATATCAATCTATAAATTCAGTAACGACATGATGAAAAACTTGACAGCATTTTTGTAAGCTTTTTTTTAAGATTATAAGCCTACTTATTTGTGAAAATTAACATATGAGTGTGGAAAAAGCAAACGAAACCATACAAAAGCGGACAAGAGGAAAAGTAAGTTTCAAACTACTGACCTCATTTCCCCCAGCTGACCTCCCCAGAGGCAATAGCTATTCATATTTTCGTGCATTTCTTCCAGAGATAATCTATACATATGTATGTGTTTGTTTATGTATATAAAAATACACCCATTTCTACGGGATTGTTAGCATAACATTCACACTATGCTTTACTTTCTTTCTTTTAACTTTTTACTGAGTATATTTTGGAGCGAAATCCTGTTGACACATGTATATCTACCACAACTTGGAAATTGCTAGATAGTATTCCAGGATGTATTTGTTTTCTATTGTTGTTTTTAAAATTATCACAAACTTTGTGTTTTGCACCACCAAACATTTAATTTCTTATAGTACTGGAGGATCGGAAGTATGGGCTCAAATAAATTCAAAGTTTTGGCAGGGCTGGTTTTTTCTGGAAAGTCTAAGGGAGTATCTGTTTTCCTGTTTTCTTTTTTTTCTTTTTTTCAACTTCTAGTGACTGACTGGTTTTATCCCTTTGTTTGTGGCCTCTTCCTCTCGTCACTCCAATCTCTGTTTCTACCATTACACTGTCTTCTCCTCTGTAGTAATGTCTCTCACTGCTTTCCTTCATAAAAGGACACTCGTGATTACATTGGACCTATGTGAAAAATCCAGGATAATCTCCCAATCGCAAATTATTTTATTTAATATCATTTTCAAATCCCCTTTTTCTATATAAGGTAAAATATTTATAAGGTTTTGGGATTAGAAAGTGGATATCATGGGAAAGTTATTCAGTCTACCACAAGATATAGTAAAATAACAAAACAGATTTCACTACTTCCTTAACAATGTGTATTAAAGTTTTTTTCTAATTTGTTGCTACAGTAGACAGAACTTCAATGCATATCTTATAAAAACATGTATACATACATATAATAATATATAAAATATATAAATGAGGGAAGATAGGAAAATTTTCCTTGATAGAGGTCAACTAATTTAACTCCCTCCAAAAAACAAATTTTAGAGCTCCAATGCCTGTTTACCACATGTTGTGTTTATCTTTCAGAACTCTTATAAATCTAATTTTATTCATTGATTCTTCCCATCTTTGCAGGCGGTTTATCATATGAACAAAGCAGGACCTCTTCTTTGCTTCCCTTATAATTTATATACACCTTGACACATATATTTTTCTAATTGCATTGGCTAAGATTTCGAATGAAATGTTCAGTAGTCATTGGGAAAGTGTGCAGTATTGCGAACAATGTTTCCTTTTTGACATTTGCCAGTCTAACAGGTAAGAATGGTATTTTTTTATTATACTTTAATTCTGGGGTACACGTGCAGAACGTGCAGGTTTGTTATATAGGTATACACGTGCCGTGGTGGTTTGCTGCACCCATCAACCCATCATCTACGTTAGATATTCCTCCTAATGCTCTCCTTCCCCTAGTCCCCCACCCCCCAACCGGCCCCGGTGTGCGATGTTCCCCTCCCTGTGTCCATGTGTTCTCATTGTTCAACTCCCACTTAGGAGTGAGAACATGCAGTGTTTGGTTTTCTGTTCTTGTGTTAGTTTCCTGAGAATGATGGTTTCCAGCTTCATCCATGTCCCTGCAAAGGACGTGAACCCATCCTTTTTATGGCCGCATAGTATTCCATGGTTTACATGTGCCACATTTTCTTTATCCCGTTTATTATTGATGGTCATTCGAGTTGGTTCCAAGTCTTTGCCATTGTGAACAGAGCCACAATAAACATATGTGTGCATGTGTGTTTATGGTAGCATGATTTATAATCCTTAGGGTATATACCCAGTAATGGGATTGCTGGGTCAAATGATATTTCTAGTTCTAGATCCATTAAAGTTATTTTAATAAGATTATAGCTATTTTTGTTTATTTGTATGAACCATGTGTTCACATTCTTTTCCTATTTTTTCATGCTTTTCTTATTTATTTGGAAAAATTTTATGTTTTTTAAAAATTGTTTTATTGTAGTAAGAGCAGTTAACATGAGATCTACTGTCTTAAAAAATTATCCTGTAAAATATGGTATTGTTAACTATAGGTGTAGTGTCGGACAGCAGATCTCTACCACTTATTGGTTTTGCATAATTGAAATATTGTGCCAGTTGATTTTAAAAAATCCCCACTTGCCCCTCTCCTGCGGTCCTTGGTAGCCACTATTCTGCTTTCTGATTTTATGAGTTTGACAATTTTAGATACGTCATGTAAGTGGAATCCTGCAGTATTTGTCTTTCTGTGACTGTCTTGATTTTGCTCAACATAATGTCCTCTAGGTGCATCCATGTTGTCACATTTTGCAGATTTACCTCCTTTGAAAAGCTGAATAATGTTAACATCAAGTGCAGATACCACATTTTGTTTATCCATCCACCTATTGATGGGCGTTTAGTTTGTTTCCACATCTTGTCTGTGAATCTCTTAGAAAAACACTTTGGAGAAAATATTCATCACGTCAGTGATTTCCTGAATATAGCATCAAAAGGATAGGTAACAAAAGCAAAAACAGACCAGTGGAACTACATCCAACAAACAAGCTTTTGCACAGCAAAGAAAGCAATCAATAGAACAAAAAAGCAATCTACAGAATGAGAGGAAATAACAGATATGAGATTAATTACCAAAATACATAAGAAACTCCTACAACTCAATAGCAACAACGATAAAAGAAAAACAAAATAAAACAACAACAACAAAAAACAAATACTAATAGCCCAATTTAAAAATAGGCTGAAGAGCTGAATGTTATTTAAACAAATCCTTTGACAAATCTGCTGTAAATATTTCTCTGTTTGTCAAGTGATGTTTTTCTTAATAACATTTTGGTATGCAAGTGAATTGTTCTGCTTTGCAAGCGAATAAAGTTTTATATAGTTAAATTTGTATTTTTTTCACGGCTTCTCTAGTATTGGTTTTGCTTAAAAGAACTATGCTAACATTATTTGAAAAATTCTCACACTTTTCCTGGTACATTATGGTTTTGAATTTTATTTCTAAACAACTGATTCATCTGCAATTTTGTTGTAACAAGATAGGGACACAGCTTTATATATAGGTGACTAGCCAATTGTCTCAACACCATTTAATGAATAAACCCCACAAATTTAAAATATTATATTTAATATGTAATAATTGACACTTTCAGTTGGATCTCTTTTTGGATCTATCCTGTTCATTTGTTCTGTCATTCTAATACCGTACCAATTCCTACTAGTTTTAATAATTGTATCTTTGTAGTATTTTAAATTTTGATAGGGCTGGTGCTTCCTCATTGTCTTCCAGAATTTGGCTGGCGGTCTTAAAGGTTTATTTTGTTAATGTGAACTTTAGAATCTGTGTCTATAATATAGTATTTTATTGTCCAATTTTAAGATATTTTATACTGTATACCCAGATTTTTCTGAAAACTTTTCATAGTATCTTAAAGATTTCTTCACATAAGTACTGAATATTTTTGTTTTATATTTCATATGTCTATTTTAAATGGGAACCTTTCTTTCATTTCTAAGTTTTTTATATCTTGAAAAGTTATTATTTTTAACATATTCCTTTCTTAATGAGCCACGTTGTGGAATCCATCTATTATTTTCCCATTAGTTTTAAGTATATTTTTCTTTTAAAATATGCAACAGGCCAGGCGCGGTGGCTTATGCCTGTAATCCCAGCACTTTGGGAGGCCGAGGTGGGTGGATCACGAGGTCAGGAGATCGAGACCATCCTGGCCAACATGGTGAAACCCCATCTCTACTAAAAATACACAAAATTAGTCAGGCGTGCTGATGCACGCCTGTAGTTCCAGCTACTCAGGAGGCTGAGGCAGCAGAATGGCTTGAACCCAGGAGGCGGAGGCTGCAGTGAGCCGAGATCGCACCGCTGCACTCCAGCCTGGGCAACAGTGCGAGACTCTGTCTCAAAAACAAACAAAAAAAAAAAAAAAAGAAAAGAAAAGAAAATATGAAACACATGCAAATGGCACACAGTTTCAAAGTTACAAAGCTGTCTATGGGTAATATAAGTGACCATACCCTTGACCCCCAGTCCCCTATTTCCCCTCTCCTAAGGCAAACATTTTGATCGGTTTCTTATCAGGGCACAGCACAATATTTTCACTGTGAATTTTTTCTCTACAAGTGCATACGGTACTTACTCATTCCATTACATTTATATACCATAATTTATTTAATCATCCCCCAACTTACTGGCATTTAAGTTGTTTTCTGCTCTGGAAATACTTATCTATATGTTATTGTGCATCTATGGGACTATAATTGTAAGACAATTTCCTAGAAGATAAGTTGCCTGGTCAAAGGATACATAGCTTTATTTATTTTTCTGTTTAGACATTATATACATACATACACACACACACACACAGAGAGAGAGAGACATATACACACACATATGCACACAACCACACATACTCATATATGCATATAAATTTACTTACCTTTGTGTAAATTATTCCTGGACTTGCTATTTGAAGGAAGTTGAAGTGAAGAAGGGGCCAAGACCATCTTACAGGCTAGCAGGTGAGAATTTTGCTATGATTTAGAGTTCTATTTTATAAGTCAGTTCTGGGGTCTTCTCTTCTCCCCAGTAGACCTCATATCAACAATAGAGAACCACTCATGTGAAGTTTCTCTCCTCCATCTTGCATTATTATTGCCAACAGGCTTGCCAGGGGCTTCTTTATTCAGGCCCACTCTCCTTACTTCTCAAATTTGTTATCAAGTTGGGTTCAGAAAAGCTTCCTCTGTCAGCCTCATTATTTGTTATTTGTTCCCGTTATGAACCAGTTTTTGCTGTTCTCTTCAATATTGGACACTTAGAGTTGTGCTCAACCACTGGACTGAGATTAGTCATGAGAGCCCTACCTCAGTGTCTTCTCATATCTGTTTGACTTTCACTCCATTTAGAAGTCTTTTCTCATATATATACGTGGGGGTTATAGATATCCCCAAATTTATTGAAGATAATGTTTGTGTTATTTTTTTAAACATGTTTATTGCTTTTAAGGGTAGAATACCTGAAAGACAATGAGAAAACAATTCCATTTATTCTGTTATTTTAAAATTGAAAGTCTCTAATCCCTTTCCATTGATTCTTTTGTGTATTTTATGTGTATCAATTACTATAAATGAATAATATGCTTTCTTGTTTTGCATTCTTATGTCTCATTGGGTTGGCTCCTATATTCATAGCAAAATTAAATAGCCAAATTAATGGTGGACATTCTTCCTTTGCTTGTGCGCTTAATGGAGTCTGGGGCCGTTGGGGCCACCCTAGCTCTGGGGCCATGTGTGATGGCCTGAACTTGGGGTCTGTGGGTGCTAGCCTGGTGCTGAGGCAAGCCTAAATCATGAGGCCATGAGAGCCAGCCTGGTACCTGGGGCTGGCCTAGCAATGGAGCAGGCCTGGAGGCACGGTCTACTGGAACAGGCCTGGCAGTGGGACTGGCCTAGAACCTGGGGCCAAAGGAACCTACCTGGTGCTAGATTTCGCTGGAGTGGGTTAGGTGCTGGGGTCCAAGGCAAATTCTGGTGCTCACTTCCCTCTCCTTCCTTTTTACAGAAGATATCATTGTCCACACTCTGCTGCCTGGGGTTGGGGTAGGTGTGACACAGGTAATGTGAAACTGTCTTGACTACCCTCTTCAATGTGTCTTTTTTACTTCTATGCTACATCCAGGTGCTAAAATTTCTCAACTGGTTTACTTAGCTCTTGGGAAGGTAATTTTATGCATAGACAATTGTTCAAATTGATGTTTCTGGGAAATGATAAGCACTGGAAAATCCTATTCTACCATCTTTCTCTTTGAATTTCTCAGTTAAGCTTGTCTTTTGACTTGATAAGGGTAAACAGCAACATCATATTGAGGAAGTATACATTTATCCCATTTTTCTAAGTTTAAAAATATATTTAATAATGTATGTTTTGAATTATTTTCTTTAAGCATTTAAGCAACTGGAAAGTTGATATGTGATTTTCCTCTTTGTAATCTATTTGAAATAATAGAAATAATATTTCTGTATTTCTTAATACTGTATCTTTTCCACATCCTGGCAAGATCCTAATTTGTTCATTGTGAGTTATTCTCTCAGAAGACAATGTAGTGCAATGGTTAAAGAGTTTGAACTCTGAAACTACTGCCTGGATTTGAGTGCTAGTTCTGTCAGTTAATGTCTACTTGATTAACCTTATCCCTTGGCTTCAGCTTGTTAATGTATTAAACGGAGATGATTATGGTACCTACTTTGCAGAACTGTTGTAATAATTAAATGTGTAAACACATGTAAAGATCTTTTTTTGTGGCTAGTATTTTCACCCTTTTAATGAGATTTATGTGATGACTAGAAGTTCTCGATTTTAGTGGAGTAACATTTAGAATATTCTAATTTGTGTTTGGGGCTGTATCTTAAGAACAACATTTATATGACTAGGTCAAAAAGATGTTTTCTTACCTTTTGTAACGAAATATAGAAAATGCTTATGGTGGCTTCGCGGTAGTTAAAAATGGAAATAAAACATATTTTGTATATAGGTCAGTGGTTGAATAGACTATTTATACATGATATGAAATATTGATGACTTATAGAAGAGAATGTATCGGTGCTATATTTATTGATACATGGAGTGACAGGCTTTATTTAATTTAAAAATGCAGATTGTATGCACTCAGGAAATGTTAGCTGTTGTGCTGTAATTACTTATGTGTGGCTAGATCCTATTTGTACACACTTAGGAATTTTACTTGTTATTCATAAATATGGTCTTTTTTATGATTATGTTATTTGGGGGGCTTGGTATAAAATTATGCTATATGCAGAAAAACATAATTTTCAAGCTTTATTGTTGTTATTTATGGCTGTGGAAAAATTTAAATAGTATTGAAGATGGCCGTGGAGCAATATAAACATGTTATGCTTTTTTGGGATTGCACAGTGAAAATTTGAGAAAGTTCCTTTATAGTTGTTGACATATTTAAATATTCTACCCATTCTGAGGTCATTCTAGTGATTCATATTTTCATAGAATCGCCCCCCCCCCACTTTATTCAGGCTTTCCTCATTCTCACTTCTTATTTTTTGTGTTACATTTTTTTTCCTTTCCAGTCTTTTTTCCCCTATAGAATGAACTATTGATTTACATATTGTGTTGATTAATTTTAGGTGTAAACTGAATTAAAGAATACTTAGAGAACCGGTAAAACATTATTTTGGGTATGTCTGTGAGGTATGCTTGTGAGTCTGCGTAGATTAGGTGGGGTAGGTCTGCCCTCAGTGTGGGCTGGCATTATCCAATCTGCTGGAGGCCTGAATAGAATTTAAAAAGATAGAGAAAAGATTATTTCTTCTCTCTCTCATCTGGAGCTGGGACGCTTCTTCTCCTGGCCTTGGATAACAGAACTCCAGGATCCCTGACCTTTGAACACTAGATCTTACAGCAGCAGCCCCTAGCCCTTGGGTTCTCAATCCCCGGACTGAGAGTTACACCACTGACTTCTCTGGCTCTGAGGCCTGTGGACTTGGACTGAGCCATGCAACTGGCATCCCTAGGTCTCCAGCTTGCAGATGGCTTATTGTGGGACCTCTCTGCCTCCATAATAGTGTGAGCCAATTACTCTAATACATCCCCTCTCATATATCTATATCTATATGGAGAACCCTGCTAATATAACTATCTCACCACTTTTCTCAGATAAACCAATGATTGACATTATGTATGGGTTCTTCTATTTATATTTTCTATTTTTTGTTCCATATGATTACTGAAAATTAATTTGTCTTTATTGTTTACTTATTTTCATTAATTTTTATTTAATTTTTAATTTCAATAGCTTTAGAGGTACAGGTTATTCTTGGTTACGTGGAAAAATTGTATAGTGGAGAATTCGTAGATTGTAGTGTCCCCATCACCTGAATAGTGTACACTGCGTATGTAGATTTTTATCCCGTACGTAGATTTTTATCCCAAACCTCCCTCCAGCCCTCCCCTCTCTGTGTCTCCAAAACCATTATTTCACTCTATATGCCTTTGCGTATTCATAGCTTAGGTATCACTTATAAGTGAGAACATACGGTGTTTGGTTTTCTATTTCTGGGTTATGTCACTTAGGATAATGGCCTCTAGCTTTATCTAGGCTGCTACAAAAGACATTATTTTGTTACTTTTTATGGCAAGAAATATTCCATGGTGTACATATACCACATTTTTTTATCCACTCATTGGTCAATGAGCTCTAAGTTGCTTTTATATCTTTGCAATTGTGAATTTGGCTGCAGTAAACATATGTGTACATGTACACATATAATGACTTTATATATATATATATATATAGATATATATACACTTTATAATGACTCTCTCTGTCTCTCTCTTTCTCTCTCTCTATATATATATAATGACTTCATTTATTTGGGGTAGGTACTCAGCATTAAGATTGCTGGATAAAATTTTAGATGTACTTTTAGTTCTTTAAGGAAACTCCATATTGTTTTCCATGAAAGCTGTACTAATTTAAATTACAATCAGAAGTGTATAAGTGTTACCCTTTCTCCCATCCACACCAATATGTATTTTTAAAAAATTTTTAATAATGTCTATTCTTGCGGAAATAAGGTGGTATCTCATTGTGGTTTTGATTTTCATTTCCTTGATGATTAGTGAAGTTGGACATTTTTTCATACATTTGGTGGCCATGCATATATCTCCTTTTGAGAAATGTCTACTCATGTCATTTTCCCACTTTTTGATGGGATTATTTGGATTTTTTTCTTGATGATTTGCTTGAGTTCCTTGTAGATTCTGGATATTAGTCGTTTGCCAGATGCATAATTTGCAAATATTTTCTCCCGTTTTGTGGGTTGTCTGTTTACTCGAATGATTATTTCTTTTGTTGTCCAGAAGCTTTTTAATTTAATCATGTCCCATTTATTTATTTTTGTTTGTGTTGCATTTGCTTTTCGGGTTTTGTTCATGATTTCTTTGCTTAGGGTAATGTCCAGAAGAGTTTTTCCAAGGATATAATCTATTTATATCTTCAATTCACCTTGAATAGATTTAAATCTTCAATCCGTCTTGAATAGATTTTTGTATAAGATGAGAGGTAGTGATCCAATTTCATTCTTCTACATATGGCTAGCTAGTTTTCTAGGCACCATTTATTAAATAGGGTGTCCTTTCCCCAATTTATGTTTTTGTATGCTTTGTCAAAGATCAGTTGGGTTTAAGAATTTGGCTTTATTTTTGGGTTCTCTATTTTGTTCCAGTGGTCTGTGTGCATACGTTTATACCAGTACCAGGCTATTTTGGTAACTAGTTTTGTAGTATAACTTGAAGTCAGGCAATGTGATGCCTCCAGATTTGTTCTTTTTGCTTAGGATTACTTTGACTATGTGGACTCTTTTTTTTTTTTTTTGGTTCCGTACACATTTTAATTTTTTTTTCTAACTCTGTGAAAAATAATGCTGGTATTTTGATGGGAATTGCATTGAATCTGTAGACTGCTTTGGGAAGTATGGTCATTTTCAAAATAGTAATTCTTCCAATCCATGAGCATGGGATGTGTTTCCATTTGTTTGTATCATCTGTGATTTCTTTCAGCAATGTCCTGCAGTTCTCCTTATACAGAACTTTCACAATCCTGTTTAAGTATATTCCTAGGTATTTTTTTTACAGGTGTTATAATAGGAATTGAGTTATCGATTTGATTCTTAGCTTGGCCATTGTTGGTGTATAGCAGTGCTACTAATTTATGTACATTGACATTGTAACCTGAGATTTCACTGAATTCGTTGATCAAATCTAGAAGTCTTTTTTGGGGGGAGTCTTTAGGGTTTTCTAGGTATACAATCATATTATCAGTGACCAGTGGTAGTTTGACTTCCTCTTTTCCAATTTGGATGACCTTTATTTCTTTCTCTTGCTTGACTGCTTTTGCTAGGACTTCCAGTACTACGTTGCGTAGAAATGCTGTAAGTGGGCATACTTGTTTTGTTCCAGTTCTTCAGGGAAATGCTTTTAACTTTTCTCCATTCGGTATTATGTTGGCTGTGGGTTTGTCATACATGGCTTTAATTAATTTGAGGTAAGTCTCTTTTATGCCTATTTTATTGATGGTTTTTATCAATAAAGAGATGTTGGGTTTTAGTGAATGCTTTTTCTGCATCTATTGAGATGATTGATATAGTTTGGATCTGTGTCCCCACCCAAATCTCATATTCAATTGTACTCCCTAATGTTGGAGGTGTGGCTTGGTGGGAGGTGATTGGATCATGGGGGTGGATCCATCATGAAGGATTTAGAACCATTCTTTTGGTGCTGTTCTCTTTATAGAGTTCTAGTGAGATCTGGTTGTTTAAAAGTGTGTGCCACCTCCCCTCTCTCTCCCTTCCTCCTGCTCCAGCCATGAAAGACATGCTGGCTTTCTTTTTGCCTTCTGCCATGATTGAAAGTTTCCTGAGTTCTCCCCAGAAGCTGAGCAGATGCCAGTATCACACCTCCTATATAGGCTGTGGAACTGAGAACCAATTAAAACTCCTTTTTTTTTAAAATAAATTACCCAGTCTCAGGTATTTCTTTATCACGGTGCAAGAATGGATTAATACAATGATCATACTGTTTTGTTTTTAGTTGTTTATGTGATGTATCACATTTATTGACTTCCCTATGTTAAACCATCCCTGCACCTCTGAAATGAAACCCAGTTGACCATTGTGTATTATATCTTTTATGTGCTGTTGGATTTGGTTAGCTAATACTTTTTTGAGTATTTTTGCATCTGTGTTCATCAGGAATATTGATCTGTATTTCTTTGTTTTGTTATGTTCTTTCCTAGTTTTGGTATCAGGGTGATTCTGGCTTCATAGAATGACTTAGGGAGGATTCCCTCTTTCTCAATCTTTTGGAATAGTTTCAGTAGGATTGGTACCAATTCTTCTTTGAATGTCTTGAAGAATTCAGCTGTGAATCCTCTGGCTCT
Organism: Homo sapiens; assembly: GCF_000001405.40. Lineage (NCBI taxonomy): Eukaryota > Metazoa > Chordata > Mammalia > Primates > Hominidae > Homo > Homo sapiens. Next base: position 142,759,733 of record NC_000023.11, read on the forward strand.
GGGTGGTTATTTTTTGACATATTTATTTTTATTACTGATTCAATGTCACTGCTTGTTTTTGGTGTCTTCAGGGTTTCTATTTCTTCCTGACTTAATCTAAGAGGGTTGTATGTTTCTAGGAATTTGTCCATTACCTCTAGGTTTTCCAGTTTGTGTGCTTAGAGGTGTTCATAGCAGTCTCAGATGATCTTTTGTATTTCTGTGGTGTAGGTTGTAATGTTTCCAGTTTCATTTCTAATTGAGGCAGAATGAGGAATGGCTTCTCTCAGTCCATGCAGGAGACTGGGAACAGACACAAGACTCCTCCCACTGCCATTCCTACTTTTATAGTCCTCATTTCTCTCTAAATCAGTTCCAGTGCTGGGTAGGGTTAAGAGCTTCCACCGTGGCCTGGATTTCCAGTTTACCTTGAGGGTGTGTCTATCCTAGAGGCAACTTCTCTCCCTTTCACACTCTGAGGACTTACAGTTTTTTGCCTGGCTCACAGTGCAGGCTCAGCCTGCCGCCGTTGAAGTCATTTGGAGACCTCAAGGCTATCTCCACTTTCATTCCCTAAGATTTTAAATCTTGGATTACTGTCACCTTTTCAAACACAACCCCTCCTGTCCTAATTATTTGTAATTTCAATATACACTTATGTCATCTTTTCAATACCCTGATCTCTCAGTCCTTTGGTCTCCTCCCCTTCCATGGTCATTTCCAACCTCCTCTCTTAGCCAACCAACACCCCCATGGTCATACCCTAGAAGTTGCCATTAAATATGTCCAAATCCTTGAGCCCTTAAATGTCGTACATACTAGTCTCTTGACTACCCATCCTAATCTTTCAGTTCACTTTTTCTAGTTCTTCAACTCCAAAAACTCTTAGATCACATTGAAACCTCCAATTCTATAATTTAACCTGTTTAATTGCCCCTTACCTTCTTTATTCCCTTGCTTTCTTTCTCACCTAGCTTTAATACCACAGCTCATCATTATAACTCCTTTGCATGTACCCTCAATTGTTTTAACCCTTTCCCACTTAATTTTACTCTCCTGGCAAAATCCCAATTCTGATTAAAATGAATCCCTTCATACTTTTCACTTGCACCTATGCAGTTGAACTTAGTTGGATGAAGCTTCCAGAATTATGTTCCCTATTCTCATTTGAAATTCAGGATCGCTAACCTTAAGACAGTCCTTAATTCTATCTGCTAAACATTGTATTTTCCTAATGCATTTTTTTACTATACATTTAAATGTCTCATATTTTTTTTCTTCTACTACCACTCTTTCATTTACACTCTCAGCTGATAATTTTATTCTTTAATTCATTGGGATGGTAAAATCAACTAATAGAGAAATTCCACAGGCTTAATTCACCACATCTACCTCTCTGCCTGTATCATGCCTTATACATGTTGTGCCTGTCTTATTTCCATGGATGAAGCCTTTATTCTACCAGTCCACATGTGCACTGATTTTAGCCTCTTCTCACTTACTGATAGACGTATTCCTGCAATGAAGTTCTCAATAGAGCAGCCAGATGCTATTAAAACACAGGCCAAAAATGTTACGCCTGCAGGATTTTCCCATCTCACTCCAGGTGAAAGTTTTCACAATGGACTACAGGACCCTTTACAATCAGGCCCTGTTTTCTCTCTGACCTCATTGTCAGTTACTGCCCTCTCTGTTCTTCTTCCTTTCCAGCCACACTGAACTCCTTTCTATTTTTGCGACATGTGAGGCTCACAGATTCTCTAGGTTTTGAATTGTTATTTCTTCTGTTTGAAGTACCCTCTGTTAGATCCGTTAGATCTTTACATCTCTGCTCAGATGTAACCTTTTCAGTGTGGCCATCCCTGACACCTCTCTTTAAAATAGCAACCTCTTCTGACAATATTGAACTTTACAGGAGCTCTGAGATCCTGGATAACAGTTAAAAATTACTTCCCATACTTTTATGTACCTGAAAACAACAGAGTACAAAGAACTACCCCTCACAAAGTGACGGAGATAAGACTCAATGGTTTCCCTCTTGTTTACCTAGACAGACTCAGTAAGTTTTCATTCCTTGCCTTATAAATGATTAGCTGGTCTGTTTTTACTCACTGACCAATCCAAACACAACACCTGACTTGACCAAACTTTAGCTAAGTTTCTCTCCTTCCTACAGGCCCCTGAACTTGACCTCTCCACAGCTTGAGCTAGCTGACCACTCTTCTTCACTTCCCCTCCCAAAAGTAGGCTATCCACAAAAGAAAAACATTATCTGATCCATCACACCACCCAAAGCCTCACACCCAGCTTTTTCTAGCCTTGTTTACTCATCATTATAAAAGAAAAGCCCTTTTTTACCTAATCTTTGAAATACTTGCAATTCCTACCTTGGGTGGGGGGGTGTGGGGGAAGCTCTTTTTTCCCTATTGTAATAATCCACCTTTTCTTATTACAATCATCTTTTCCAATAAAGTCTCTCCTGGCCTAAATACAGATTTGTTTTTATTTGATGCTCCTTAGAAATTCATATCAGATTCCCTAACTTATTTTTCCTCCGTAGAACTTATCACCACCTGACATGCTATGCATTTTACTTAGTTGTTTATATTTTGTCTCTTCTCATTAGAATGTAAGCTATGTAATGAAAGGGATTTGTATCTGCTTTGGTTGCTGTTATATTATCAGCAACTAGAACTATGTCTTGCACAAAATAATTATTTAATATATATTTATTGAATAAAGAACAGAGAGCAAATCCATTCTATCATCAATATTTTATGATTACTTTATTAAGCTTTTTAAATAAAACACAAGATAATGTTGAAGTATTTTTTTCATTCTTTTTTTTTTTTTTTTTTTTTGCGACAGGGTCTCGCTGTGTCACTCAGGCTGGAGTGCAGTGGCATTATCATCACTGACTACAGCCTTAACCTCCCTGGCTCAAGCAATCCTCCCACCTCTAAGCCTCCTGAGGAGGTGGGACTGCAGACATGTGTCACGACACCCGGCTAATTTTTGTATTTTTTGTAGAGATGGGGTCTAGCCATGTTGCCCAGGTTGGTCTCAAACTCCTGGGTTTAAAGGAACTGCCCACCTTGGCCTCCCAAAGTCCTGGAACGACAGGCATGAGCCACCACGCCCAACCCTGTTGAAGACTTATTTACCTTTAAAGAGTTTCAGTTCCCCTCTTTCTATTCCTCTTCCACTCTTTCTCAGAAGAAATCAAAAACAATATGAATATTTTCAATTTGTTTTATAAATCTTTATAAACTACATGCAATCTTGAAAATTATATGATCTTATGGATGCTTATAAATATGTATATATATCATATTGTATCTTAATACCAGGTTTTTGAGTTCTTATCTGTCAATCTATATAGTATGAGAGTTGACAGAGTAAATCCTCTCTCTTTTTACTTATGTTCAGAAGTATTTTGCTTATTCTTTGCTTCTTACTCGTAGGTATGATTCTTAGAATAAGGTTTTCAAAGTCCATTGGTTTATATGGTCAATTTTACTCATAGATTTTAAGTGTTTAAAGTGCTAGCTTTTGTTTTCTACCACTTCATTTAGGATTTTTGCATCTATATTCATAAGTGATTTTGGACTTGAGTTATCTTTTCTTGTACTGTCCATATCTTATTGTTGTGTATAAGATATGCTTGCCTCTTGGAGTGTTAGGTAGCTTTTCTTCATTTTTTTTTCTTTTTTATTAACCACTTTATTGAGATATAATTTCCATACCATAGAATTTACCATTTAAAATATACAGTTCAATGATTTGGGACACATTACATTATTTTTTCTTTCTTTCTTTTTTTTTTTTTTTTCTGAGACAGAGTCTCACTCTATCACCCAGGCAGGAGTGCAATGGTGTGGTCTTGGCTCACTGCAACCTCCTCCTCCCTGGTTCAAGCGATTATCCTGCCTCAGCCTTCCAAGTAGCTGGGATTATAGGCTTGTGCCACCACACCCGGGTAATTTTTGTATTTTTATTAGAGACGGGGTTTCACTATGTTGCCCAGGCTGGTCTTAAAATCCTGACCTCATGATCCACTCGCCATGGCCTCCCAAAGTGCCGGGATTACAAGCGTGAGCCACCGTGCCGGGCCCTTTTTTTTTTTTTTTTTTTTTTAATTAACCTTTAAGTTCTGGGATACTTGTGCAGAACATGCAGGTTTGTTACATAGGTGTACACGTGCCATGGTGGTTTGCTGCACCCATCAACCAGTCATCTACATTAGGAATTTCTCCTAATGGTATCCCTCCCCTAATCCCCCACCCCGTGACAGGCCCCAGTGTGTGATATTCCCCTCCCTGTGTCCATGTGTTCTCATTGTTCAGCTCCCACTTATGAGTGAGAACATGCGGTGTTTGGATTTCTCTTCCTGTGTTAGTTTGCTGAGAATGATGGTTTCCAGCCTTATCCATGTCCCTGCAAAGGACATGAACTCATCCATTTTTATGGCTGCGTAGTATTCCATAGTGTTTATGTACTACATTTTCTTTATCCAGTCTATCATTGACAGGCATTTGGGTTGGTTCTAAGTCTTTGCTATTGTAAATATTGCTGCAATAAACATACATGTGCATGTGTCTTTATAGCAGAATGGTTTATAATCCTTTGGGTATAAACCCAGTAATGGGATTGCTGGGTCAAATGCTATTTATGGTTCTAGATCCCGGAGGAATCGCCACACTATCTTCCACAAGGGTTGAACTAATTTACACTCGCACCAACAGTGTAATAGCATTCCTATTTCTCCACATCCTCTTCAGCATCTGTTGTTTCCCGACTTTTTAATGATCGCCATTCTAACTGGCATGACATGGTATCTCACTGTGTTTTTGATTTGCATTTTGCTAATGACCAGTGATGATGAGCTTTTTTCCATATGTTTGTTGGCCGCATAAATGTCTTCTTTTGAGAAGTGTCTGTTCATATCCTTTGCCCACTTTTTGATGGTTTTTTTTTTTTTTTTTTTTGGTAACTTTGTTTAAGTTCCTTGTAGATTCTGGATATTAGCCCTTTGTCAGATGGATAGACTGCAAAAATTTTCTCCCATTCTGTAGATTGCCTGTTTACTCTGATGATAGTTTCTTTTGCTGTGCAGAAGCTCTTTAGTTTAATTAGATCCCATTTGTCAGTTTTGGCTTTGGTTGCCATTGCTTTTTAGGTTTTAGTCATAAAGTGTTTGCCCCTGCCTATGTCCTGAGTGATATTGTCTAGGTTTTCTTCCAGGGTTTTTATGGTTTTACGTCTTACGTTTAAGTCTTTAATCCATCTTGAGTTAATTTTTATATAAGGTGTAAGGAAGGGGTCCAGTTTCAGTTTTCTGCATATGGCTAGCCTGTTTTCCCAACACCATTTATTAAATAGGGAATCCTTTCCCCATTGCTTGTTTTTGTCCGGTTTGTCAAAAATCAGATGGTTGTAAATGTGTGGCATTATTTCTGAGGGCTCTGTTCTTTTCCATTGGTTTATATATCTGTTTTGGTACCAGTACCATGCTGTTTTGGTTACTGAAGCCTTGTAGTATAGTTTGAAGTCAGGTAGCTTGATGCCTCCAGCTTCGTTCTTTTTGCTTAGGATTTTCTTGGCTATACGGGGTCTTTTTTGGTTCCATATGAAATTTAAAGTAGATTTTTCTAATTCTCTGAAGAAAGTCAATGGTAGTTTGATGGGGATAGCATTGAATCTGTAAATTACTTTGGGTAGTATGGCCATTTTCACAATATTGATTCTTCCTATCCATGAACATGGAATGTTTTTCAATTTGTTTGTGTTCTCTCTTATTTTCTTAAGCAGTGGCTTGTAGGTTTCCTTGAAGAGGTCCTACACATCCCTTGTAAGTTGTATTCTTAGGTATTTTATTCTCTTTGTAGATATTGTGAATGGGAAGTCAGTCATTTTTTGGCTCTCTATCTATTATTGGTATATAGGAATACTTGTAATTTTTACACATTGATTTTGTATCCTGAGACTTTGCTGAAGTTGCTTATCAGCTTAAGGAGATTTGGGGCTGAGACAATGGGGTTTTCTAAATATACAATCATGTCGTCTGCAAACAGAGACCGTTTGACTTTCTCTCTTCCTATTTGAATACACTTTATTTCTTTCTCTTGCCTGATTGCCCTGGCCAGAACTTCCAATACTATGTTGAATAGAAGTGGAGAGAGAGAGCATCCTTGTCTTGTACCAGTTTTCAAAGGGAATGCTTCCACCTTTTGCCCATGCAGTATGATATTGGCTGTGGGTTTGTCATAAATAGCTCTTACTATTTTGAGATACATTCCATCAATACCTAGTTTATTGAGAGTTTTTAGCATGAAGGGGTGTTAAATTTTATCGATGTTTTTTTCCGCATCTATTGAGATAATCATATAGTTTTTGTCACTGGTTCTGGTTATACGATAGATTACATTTATTGATTTGCGTATCTTGAACCAGCCTTGCATCTCAGGGATGAAGCTGACTTGATTGTGGTGGATAAGCTTTTTGATGTGCTGCTGGATTCAGTTTGCCAGTATTTTATTGAGGATTTTTGCATCAATGTTCATCAGGGATATTGGCCTGAAATTTTCTTTTTTTGTTGTGTCTCTGCCAGATTTTGGTATTAGGATGATGCTGGCCTCATAAAATGAGTTAGGGAGGATTCTCTCTTTTTCTATTGTTTGGAATAATTTCAGAAGGAATGGTATCAGCTCCTCTTTTTACCTCTGGTAAAATTCGACTGTGAATCTGTCTGTTCCTGGGCTTTATTTATTTATTTATTTGTTTTTGCTTGGTAGACTATTAATTACTGCCTCAATTTCAGAGCTTGTTATTGGTCTATTCAGGGATTTGACCTCTTTCTGGTTTAGTCTTGGGAGGGTGTATCTATCCACAAATTTATCCATCTCTTCTAGATTTTCTAGTTTATTTGCATGGAGGTGTTTATAGTCTTATCTGATGGTAGTTTGTATTTCTGTGGGAACAGTGGTTATCTCCCCTTTATCATTTTTTAGTGTGTCTATTTGATTCTTCTCTCTTTTCTCCTTTATTTGTCTGGCTATTGGTCTATTTTGTTAATCTTTTCAAAAAACCAGCTCCTGGATTCATTGATTTTTTGAAGGGTTTTTCGTGTCTCTATCTCCTTCAGTTCTGCTCTGACCTTAGTTATTTCTTGTCTTCTGCTAGCTTTTGAATTTGTTTGCTCTTGCTTCTCTAGTTCTTTTAATTGTGATGTTAGGTGTCAGTTTTAGATCTTTCCCACTTTCTCCTGTGGGCATTTAGTTCTTGAAATTTCCCTCTGAACACTGTTTTAGCTGTGTCCCAGAGATTCTGGTACATTGTGTCTTTGTTCTCATTGGTTTCAAAGAACTTATTTATTTCTGCCTTAATTTTGTTATTTACCCAGTAGTCATTCAGGAGCAGGTTGTTCAGTTTACATGTAGTTGTGTGGTTTTGAGTGAGTTTCTTAGTCCTGAGTTCTAATTTGATTGCACTGTGGTCTGAGTTTTATTTATTTTTTGTTATTTGTTTGTTATTATTTCTGTTCTTTTGCATTTGGTGATCAGTGTTTTACTTCCAATTATGTGGTCAATTTTAGAATAAGTGCTACGTGGTTCTGAGAAGAATGTATATTCTGTTGATTTCGGGTGGAGAGTTCTGCAGATGTCTATTAGGTCCACTTGGTCCAGAGCTGAGTTCAAGTCCTGAATATCCTTAATTTTCTGTCTCATTGATCTGTCTAATATTGACAGTGGGGTGTTGAATCTCCGACAATTATTGTGTGGGAGACTAAGTCTCTTTGTAGGTCTCTAAGAACTTGCTTTATGAATCTAGGTGCTCCTGTATTGGGTGCATATATATTTAAGATAGTTAGCTCTTTTTGTTGCATTGATCCTTTTACCATTATGTAATGCCCTTCTTTGTCTTTTTTGATCTTTCATGGTTTAAAGTCTGTTTTATCACAGACTAGGATTGCAACCCCTGCTTTGTTTTTTCTTTCCATTTGCTTGGTAAATATTCCTCCATCCCTTTATTTTGAGCCTATGTGTGTCTTTGCACATGAGATGGGGCTCATGAACGCAGCACTGCGATTGGTCTTGACTCTTTATCCAATTTGCCAGTCTGTATCTTTTAATTGGGGCATTTAGCCTGTTTACTGGTTACTGGAAACCAGCCCCACACCACCCAACAGGTACCCCGCATCTGGCAGAGACAAAGGAGTTAGAAAGAGACAGAATAAGCATTTAAAAGGTGAGTCCAGGGGACTGGAGCATCTGAGGCTTGCTCATGGCCCAGAGCTCTCGTGCTCTGCCCAATTTATTGGTTTATAAGTTCTTTGTTCTTAGGGCAGATGGGAGGGGGAAGAAGGGATGCGGAAAAGGATTAATCAGTGAGGGAGAACTCCTGAGTCATTCGATAAGATGTATAGCAGTGGCGGTTCCTGTGAATTTCCTTGAGCAAAGGCGGGTGTCTAAACTACTTAAGATCTTTAACTTATTGGGAGTGAAACAGGTCGGAGCGGGTTTCAGGAGGAGCCAAGATGTTTGGTTATACTCCACTGCTTCAAGGGAGTGTTATCTCCCTGAGCAACCTGTGGAATGCCGCTGGGCGCTTATGCTCTTGGGGCATAAAGACATGAAAGCAATAAGGAGACTTTTCTCCTCAGAGGCCGCCCATGGCTTCCCATGGGTGTCTCACACAGGGGAGACCAACTCAACTGGCACCCCAGAAACTCTCTTTCCCACATTTACTTTTAAGGTTAATATTTTTATGTGTGAATTTGGTCCTGTCATCATGATGCTAGCTGGTTATTTTGCCCGTTAGTTGATGCAGTTTCTTCGTAGTTTCTATGGTCTTTACAATTTTCCATGTTTTTGCAGTGGCTGGTACTGGCTGTTCCTTTCCATATTTAGTGCTTCCTTCAGTAGCTCTTGTAGGGCAGGCCTGGTGGTGACAAAATCTCTCAGCAGTTGCTTGTCTGTAAAGGATTTTATTTCTTCTTCGCTTATGAAACTTAGTTTGGCTGGACATGAAATTCTGGGTTGAAAATTCTTTTCTTTAAGAATGTTGAATATTGACTCCCACTCTCTTCTGGCTTGTAGGGTTTCAGCAGGGAGATCCGCTGTTAGTCTGATGGGCTTTCCTTTGTTGGTAACCCAGCCTTCCTCTCTGGCTGCTCTTAACATCTTTTTTTTTCATTTCAACCTTGGTGAATCTGACAATTATGTGTCTTGGGGTTGCTCTTCTCAAGGAGTATCTTTGTGGTGTTCTCTGTATTTCCTGAATTTGAATGTTGGCCTGTCTTGCTAGGTTGGGGAAATTCTCCTGGATAATATCCTGAAGAGTGTTTTCCAACTTGCTTCCATTCTCCCTGTCACTTTTAGGTACACCAATCAAACGTGGGTTTGGTCTTTTCACATATTCCCTTACTTCCTATTGGAGGATTTGTTAGTTTCTTTTCATTCTTTCTTCTCTAATCTTGTCGTCACGCTTGATTTCATTAAGTTGATCTTCAGTCTCTGATATCCTTTCTTCCACTTGATCAATTTGGCTATTGATACTTGTGTATGCTTCACGAAGTTCTCATGCTGTGTTTTTCAGCTCCATCAGGTAATTTATATTCTTCTGTAAACGGGTTATTCTAGTTAGCAATTCTGCTAACCTTTTTCCAGCGTTCTTAGCTTTCTTGCATTCGGTGAGAACATGCTCCTTTAGCTTGGAGGAGTTTGTTATTACCCACCTTCTGAAGCCTACTTCTGTCAATTCATCAAACTATTCTCCGTCCAGTTTTGTACCCTTGCTGGTGAGGAGTTGTGATGCTTTGGAAGAGAAGAGGCCTTATAGTTTTTGGAATTTTCAGCCTTTTTGCACTGGTTTTTCCTCATCTTCGTGGATTTATCTACCTTTTTCTTTGATGTTGGTGACCTTCAGGTGGGTTTTTTTTTTATTATTATTATACTTTAAGTTCTAGGGTACATGTGAACAACGTGCAGGTTTGTTACATATGTATACATGTGCCGTGTTGGTGTGCTGCACCCATTAACTCGTCATTTACATTAGGTGTATCTCCTAATGCTATCCCTCCCCTCTCCCCTCACCCCACGACAGGCCCCAGTGTGTGATGTTCCCCTTCCTGTGTCCCTGTGTTCTCATTGTTCAATTCCCACCTATGAGTGAGAACATGCGGTGTTTGTTTTTTTGTCCTTGCGATAGTTTGCTGAGAATGATGGTTCTCAGGTGGGGTTTTTGTGTGGACATCCTTTTTGCTGATGTTGATGCTATTCCTTTCTGTTTGTTAGTTTTCCTTCTAACAGTCAGAACCCTCTGCTGCAGGTCTGCTGGAGTTTGCTGGAGGCCCACTCCAGACCCCGTTTGCCTGGGTATCATCAGTGGAGGCTGCAGAACAGCAAAGATTGCTGCCTGTTTCTTCCTCTGGAAGCTTTGTCCCAGAGGGGCTCCCACCAGATGCCAGCCAGAGCCCTCCTGCATGAGGTGTCTGTCGACCCCTGCTGAGAGGTGTGTCTCGGTCAGGAGGCACATGGGTCAGAGACCCACTTGAGGAGGCAGTCTGTCCCTTAGCAGAGCTCAAGCGCTGTGGTGGGAGATCCCCTGCTCTCTTCAGAGCCAGCAGGCAGGAATGTTTAAGTCTGCAGAAACTGCTCCCACAGCTGTCCCTTCCCCCAGGTGCTCTGTCCCAGGGAGATGGGAGTTTTATCTATATGCTCCTGCCTAGGGCTGCTGCCTTTCTTTCAGAGATGCCCTGCCCAGAGAGGAGGAATCTAGAGAGGCAGTCTGGCTACAGCAGCTTTGCTGAGCTGCAGTGGGCTTTGCCTAGTTTGAACTTCCTGGTGGCTTTGTTTACACTGTGAGGGGAAAACTGTCTACTCAAGCCTCAGTAATAGTGGGCTCCCCTACCCTCACCAAGCTCAAGCATCCCAGGTCGACTTCAGACTGCTGTGCTGGCAGTGAGAATTTCAATCCAGTGGATCTTAGCTTGCTTGGCTCCATGACAGGGGAATCTGCTGAGCTAGACCACCTGGCTCCCTGGCTTCACCCCCCTTTCCAGGAGAGTGAATGGTTCTGTCTCGCTGGTGTTCTAGGCACTGCTGCGGTATGAAAAAAAAAACTTCTGCAGATAGATAGCTGAGTGTCTGCCCAAACGGCCGCCCAGTTTTGTGCTTGAAACCCAGGGCCCTGGTGGTGTAGGCACCCGAGGGAATCTTCTGGTCTGTGGGATGTGAAGACCATGGGAAAAGCATATTATCTGAGAGGGAATGCACTGCTCCTCATGGCAGTCTCTCATGGCTTCCGTTAGCTAGAGGAGGGAGTTCCCAGACCCCTTGCACTTCCCAGGTGAGGTGATGCCCCACTCCGCCTTGGCTCACCCTCCGTGGGTTGCACCCACTGTCTAACCAGTCCCAGAGAGATGCACTGGGTACCTCAGTTGGAAATGCAGAAATCACCTCCCTTCTGTGTTGATCTCACTGAGAGCTGCAGACCGGAGTTGCTCCTCTTTGGCCATCTTGGGAAGTGTCTATCTCTTCTTTTTCTTTTACCTAAAATATTATTGATAAGATTGCGGTTATCTATTTCCTAAATAATGTATAAAATTAACTTGTGAAAGCTTCTGAGCCTGGTAACTTTGTGGGGAGGAGAAAGAAAGGAGTCTTATTTTTTAAGTTATTACTGATTCTTTAGAGATTTCAACTTATTCTTGAGTCAGTAAGGGAAATCTGTCCTTTTCTAGACAATTATTTGCCTTATCTAGGTTTACAAGTGCATCAATGAAAACTTATTTGTCTCTTGACTGCTCTCTTCCTTTACTGCTATCCAAGCCACTATAATCCCTTGTTTTTACTGTTATAATAACCTCCCAACTGGTCGTTGCTCCCCATTTACCGTGTAGCAGTTCAAATAATATTTTTAATATAAATAAAGTCATGCTATTCCTCTCATTAATTTATTTATTACACGTAAACTAAAATCCAAACTTTATCATACTCAAATTTTCTGTCCATGCTTCTATCTAAATCCCTTAACATTATTTCCTTTGCTCGCCTACTGCTAATCACATTGGCTTTCTTTCCTACACCTCAGATAAGCCATTCTCCATCTTACTTATTTTGTATTTATTTATTTGTTTATTTATTTATTTATGTGTGTGTGTGTGTGTGTGTGTGTGTGTGTGTGTGTGTGTGTGTGTAGAAATGGGGTCTACCTATGTTGTCCAGGTTGGTCTTGAACTCCTGGGCTCAAGCAATCCTCCCTCCTTTGACTCCAAAATTGTTGCAATTATAGGCTTGAGCCACCACACCCAGCCTCATACTCACTGTTTGATCTTGAAAATTGCCATTCCTTTTGCCTTAATAGGTCTACCCCAAGGTTTTCTAGATAAGTGGCATTTTCTTGGCATTCGTGTCTCAGCTCTATAGTCATTTCCTCTGGGAAGCATTCTCTGACTACACTTTTTAAATTATATTCCCCTAATTTCTCTCTCACACATACATGCACATTTTGACATCAGCTCCATTTTATTTTCTTCATTGCATTCATCTAGAAGTATTTATTATTGCAGTTAAGTAAGTGTTTTGTTCATGGATGATAAAATCTTGTAGTGGTGAAACCTATTCCCCATATTTTCTTTCATGTCTCTAGCACCTAGAATAGTGCCTCATACATGGTCATAGCTGGCTATATATCACAGGAGAGGAGCTGTTTGAGCTGTAACTTAAGTAGGTCTTTTCTCAGTGGAGAATGGGAGCAAGATATTAAAGCATATGCCCAGAAGTCTCTGTGCAAATAAATAATTACATCATTCTGTCATTTTTTTTCTGAGACGAAGACTAAAGATTGAATGGTAATAAATAGGGAATATAAGGCATATCTTGCTATTCTCAGCATTATTGAAACTATCAGTTGCACTACTCTAGAGCACTCAATAGATTATGAATTTTCGTCATCAAATAAATTCAAAACACCACAATATTTTTGAGTAAAGTGAATAGTCAAATATGTCAAATATTCACAATAGCAAAGATATGGAATCAACCTAAATGCCCGTCAATGATAGACTGGGTAAAGAAAATGTGGTACATATACACCATGGAATACCATATATCTATAAATAAGAATAAGATCATATCCTTGTAGCAATACAGATGGAGCTGGAGGCCATTATTCTAAAGAAACTAATACAGGAACAGAAAACCAAATACTTCATGTTCTCACTTATAAATGGAAACTAAACTTTGAGTACACACATAAACTCAGAGAAAAGATAACAAGCACCAGGGCCTACTTGAGGATGGATAGTGAGAGAAGGGAGAGGATTGAAAAACTATCTATTGGGTACTATGCTTATTACCTGGTTGAAAAAATAATCTATACACCAAACGCCGATGACATGCAGTTTACCTATATAACAAACCTCCACATGTACCCCTGTACCTAAAATACAAGTTTAAAAAAGTGTAAAAATAGTTGAGGAGATAGAGTTAAATCTAGACCAACTATATGAGCACTATGTTGCTCCAGGGTAGTGCAGTTCCTACCAATAGTTACTAGTTTCTACTATAACAAAACAAAACAAAACTGCCTACATAATACTAAGCAGTTGATCTGTACTAAAACAACCAGAGATTTCTTGCCACAGATTTAAAATTTAAAAAACATACATTGGAATATAATTTAACTCTATTTATCTCTGGAGAATCCATCACAAACATAATTTTACTCAAACTCAATGTTTGGAAGTAAAAGTAAAGACTGAGATATTTACTCATACAATGCAATTGGATTTTAGATAAGCACAGATTTGTTAGCCCTTGTGTTTGATGAGTGGCAAATAAAACTATAAATTGTCTATGTAGTATACAGCGATATAGAATTCAAGACACTGGAATTAATGTGTCACAACTGTGATTGCCAATGGAGTTTATGTAAAAAATGGAGTCATGATAATTTTCAGATCCTGCAGATCATTTTTGTCAGACATAGTGCTTGATAAAAGATTCTGGCTCATCCATGGAAGCTGTGATACCTTATTCAAATCATATCAATACCTTGAGCTTCAATATCTTATTCTTAAGAGTAGAGAAAATATTACTTATTTCCCAGAATTATTTTAAGATCTAGATAAAATCATACATGTCGTGTTTGCACATGGTATGATTGGGGTTTGTTTCAATTAATTTTCATTGTGTAACAAATTACCCTGAAACTTACATGCTTAAAACAACGTTCTTTTATATAATTATTGCCTGTGGTCAGCAATTTGGGATGGGCTTAGTTGGATGATTCTTCTGGTGGTTCTGCCAGGGTTCATTCATTCGGCTATGATCAATTAGGACAGCAGCAGGGACTGGATTGTGTAAAATGGCCTCACTTACATGGTTGGTGGTTGGCAGGCTGTTGACCAGGACTCCTTGGTTTTCTTTTATGTGACCTTTTCCTTTTTTTTTCCCCAAATCTCGAGAACCTGTGAGCTATATGGCTTTTTCATAAAGCTACCTCAGACTCATTCACATTGTGGCAGCATTCTAAAAGGGCTAGAATGAGAACTGCAAGACTTATTGAAGTTTAAGTTCTGAAATAGCATATCACATATGCCACATTTTACTGGTGAAAAAAAGTCATATTGCCAGCACATATAAAAGAGGTAGGAAAAACTCCACCTTTTCCTAGGAAAAGATGAAAATAACGCATGGTCATTTAATCAACGACAGTGACCTTAGTGAAGTAATCTCAGCAGAGTGATTTAGTAAAGGAGTTAACTTCTAATGAAATAAAGAATGAAATGTAAGTAAAGAAGTAGAAACTACATTCATAGATACTTCCAATAAACTTATCGGTAAACAGGAAGAGTATAAAAGGGTGTTGGCTGAAAGATACGGAGTCAAAAAATTTTTAAATGTTTAGATTGGAGGGCCACAAGAATACTCAAATGCTAAGGGGAAATTTAGAAGCATGGAGGAGGCTGACAATAGAGAATAGAAAATGAGTAATGGAACAAGATTTTGGAATGAATGGACTCAAGCAGTGCACAGGAGGAAGGAGAACCTTCTTTGAGATGAGGAAGTTAAATATAGTTGCCATTGACATAAATATATTTGTAGAAAGTATTGGAGATGTTACAGGAGAGTTTCCCTTAATGACTTTTCTTGATGAAATAAGAGTTATGCTGATGTTAGGTATAATTTTGAATATTACAGATTTGTAGTGATACAAATGTGCACTGAAGTGTAACCTTTACTAACATTCTCAATAGCTAGTTGTAAAAGTGGACATTCTAATAGTTCAATGGAATTAGAGTTGGGATGTTTCAGTACAATTGCGGAAAAAGAGCCCGAGGGCAAGGATTTTATTGGTGAAAAAATTATTTAATGGACAGATTATGGAGTATAGTTTGGATGAGTTAATTAATAAATTGTGATTAAGGAAATTGGATCAATTGTTATAAATTAGCGAGGATTAAAAACTGTAGTGATAGGACGAAAGAACATGAAAAAGTTAAAAGTAGAGAAAAGAATTCGATGACAAAGTATAGTGTGATTATATGGTGTGTCTGGGACAGTCCTAGTGTTAACTCCTAACAGACCCACCCTTGCATTCTCAAAAGTGTCCTCATTTGGACATTAAATTATATGGTCACTTAGCACCTTAGATTTTAAGATTAAAATGGGGTGGGCATTTCTGAATGCAGCAGTGATGAGAGTGTTCCTCTTAGACTTCTTTCTACGGTAGGAAATGAAATTAATTGAAGGCCCCAGCTGCTGCCTTGTCCTGAAAACCATCTCATGTTTATGCCGAGGCCTCCCATGTGCTGCTTGCCACCGAGGATGAAAGGATAATAAGAGGACACATTTCTGGAAGATATAGAACTCCTTTGTGATCAGTTTGGGTCAAGGCCTTCCCTACAGCTTGCCCAACCTTGCTTAGAGTGCACTGCAGTCTAGGTTGCTCCCATTCAACCTTCTCTCCCTCTCTTCTTCTTTTGGAGTCAGATATACATGGAGATTTGACAGCTCTTTCAGTTTCCCCAGGTCCTTCCATATTCCCTTTTATATAGACATTTGTCCTAATAAAATCTTTGCACGTTTAATCCTGTCTTAGTGTCTGCTTCTCGGAGGGATCCAGGCTAAAACAAATGGTACCCAGAGTAGTTCAAAAAAAGATTGGCAGTAAGATCAGGATTTCATACTTGTTCATCCGCTGGAGCATGGATAGTACTTGGCAGAAAACAGTTGTTAAATTGTTAAATATTTCAGCTTTCATGACCTTGGAAGATATCTCAGTGGTGAGGAATGCTGTAAAAGGTGCAGTGAAGCAGGCATTTGGAACTTATAAGAATGTTTGCAAAGACAGCAAAGTTGGCTGGTTAATGCTAAATTGTATTGACACAATGCATATGGATAATGAGAGACTTAGAGCTGTTAACAAGCAGTTAATACGTGAGTGCAAGAACTAGAGGGCCTCAGTGGTAGCATATAAAGAGGCCCTCATCACCTGTAGCAGAAGGCCAGACACAATCAAACAGCAGGCTGAAGAACTAATTGTGAGGGTTGCAGAGCCCCAGAGACGACAAAGTGGTCTGTTATGCCAAGGTCAGGGTTCTGGTAGGTAAAACCTATAATAGTATTCTGAATACTTAAAGGAGTACATCTGGATGGCTGTTCTGAAGATACTTTACAGCTCTCCCACACTCTGTACACACCAGAAATGCATAGGTGGCCCACCCCTCCCTTTAACAACTAGGATTTCCTCTGTGATTCAGGAGGCTTCAGAAGCCTATCTCCAACCGGGCAATTGGTGCTTCTTTAGATACTGCCCCCACCTACTTTGTTGTCTGTAAGGTTTATAACTAGTGTGAAATCCCAGCATAGCCTGGCTGTGGGCAAACTGGGACTCATAAAGAATTTAAGAGATTATATACTTAAAGAATTGCAAGTACTATCCAGCATATACCAGCAGTAACCATGGCAGTACCTCAGGGATTGGGTTTTAAGTGTTCTTGACAAAGTCAGACTGGAAGGCTGGATAAGTAAGGATTAGTTGGACTTGAGTACATTTTTTAGGGGCATGAGATTGAACGCTCTAGCAAAGACCTCAGGGAACAGGGCAAATTTGCTGCTAGGATGGCTCTTAGAAGTGTTGAAAAAAATGATGGCCAATGTTCAGCAAAGGAGGCATGCATACATGTCCCTGGAATATGGTAGAAAAAAAAAAAGAGCCCTAGGGAAGTGGACATCTTGGAATGGATATATTAAAGCTAAAAGAACCACAACAGAATCATATTCCCTGAGAGAAGCCATAGTACATACCATTCACCAAAGCCATTGGGATTACACTGATGTTAGGGGCACAGGCATCATTGAGAAGCTCAGGGGTGGCCCTCCTCTTTAATTTGTGTTTAATATTAAGGAAGGCAGTCAAAGAATTGGACTCATTATTGGCCATGGTGCTAGTGGATCCATAGTCTAATAGTGGCCAGGTGGCAGTGCTTAACTGTCAGAAGTCAAAAGGCTGAATTTACCACAATGATAAGCACGGTGAGACTAGCAGCCAAAAGGGCTTGATCTGCAGGGAGCTGTAGACATGAATGGAACATGGTATAACTAGAAGCAAAATAGAGATGGACATCTAGGGTTCTGCTTAATACTTACCACCCTAAAAAGGCAGTCATGGAAGAGCAGAAGGCTGAGGGATGTCACCTCAATAAAGAGTCACAATTCTGGGCAGGGTGTGGTGGCTCATGCCTGTAATCTTAGCACTCTGGAAGGCTGAAGTGGGAGGGTCACTTGAGCCCGGGAATTCAAGACCAGCCTGGGCAGCATGGTGAAACTCCATCTCTACAAAAATTTCAAAAATTAGCTTGGCATGGTACTGTGCACCTGTGGTCCCAGTTACTTGGTAGGCTGAGGTGGGAGGATCACCTGAGCCTGGGGAGATCAAGGCTGCAGTAAGCCGTGATAGTGCCACTATGCTCCAGCCTGAAGCCTGGGTGACAGTAAACCTGTCTCAAATAAATAAATAAATAAGAGTTAAAATTTGTTCTTTGGTGCCTAGATCTGAGCTAATTTTCACATCTAGGATTAGTTGACTGAAGAGGCCTGAGCTTCTAGAGGAAAGGAAAGGACCCTATAACACCATAGCCAGTATATGCCATGACAGTTCTCTAGTCTTTCCCCAAAGTGATCTATGGTCATTTACTCAAGTGTGGTGAAGTGACAATAACCAGACATTTCAAGAACTATTACACGTAGGGTCTGAGTTGTACTGACACTCAGAAACCCAAATAATCATTATAGCTCTCCTGTGGGGAAGAGGCCTATGGGAACCATGTAGTCAGTGGAGTCTTAGCTAAAATTTGGCTCAGAGTGGACCCAGTGGTTATTTACCCAGATGCTAAGTGCATAATACGAATGGATGTAAATGGGAGTTGGAGTAATTCCCACATTTGGCCCTTGGTTTATGGGGTATGAGATACTGTGGGGAAAGCCAGTGGGAACCAGTAAAAAGGCTCCCCACCTACTCCGGATAAGATAGTAAATTTCTAAAAATTATCGTACGGGGAGTTAGGCTTTAGGTAAATTATTAAAGCTTGAAAGATGTTAGGGTGGTGGTTTATATAATATGAATAATCAATTCACCAAGTTGATTTCCATCCTGGAAGGGTCAGTAGTTTATCCTCACAAGGAGAAATACTTATCCAGGCATGAGGAGTTGCTTTTTCTGCTTGTAAGAGTCTCAGACAGCACCACTTTATGCAGGCTTACAGAATTCCTGATTCGTAAGTATGGTATCCCATACAGCATGGCATCTGACTAAACTCTCTCTCATGAAAAAGGAGGTGCAGAAATGGGTCAGATGCCACTGAGTCCACTGATCATATCACCCACCAGACCATCCAAAGGCAGCTAGTCTCACAGAACACTGGAACACCCTTCTAAAGGTACAGCTGAAGTGTCAGCTCAGAACACCTTGAAAATGGGGCACCAACCTACAAGGTATAGTGTATTTGTTAAATCACAGACTGCTGTATCATGCTGTGCTCCAGTATTAAGGATGCATGAGTTAAGAATCCAAGTGGTAGAAGCAGGCGTGGCCCCAGTTGCTCTCACTCCTAATGGCCCAATGGGAGCTTATACTTTCTGTCATTTCAACTCTGGGTTCTGCCAAGCTGGAGGTCCTGTTTCTCAAAGGGGATGCACTCTTTCCAGGAAACATAGCAAGGGTTCCATTGAACTACAAGTCAGAGGTTATTTCAGGGAACTTTGGATTCCTTGTGCCCCAGGACCAAGAAAGTGACAAGAGTCACCATAATGGCAAGGGTAATTGATCCTGGCGTTCAGGAGGAGGTGTGGTGGTTTTTACACAATGGTGACAGGGAGGAATTGTGTGGTGATCCTAGGTAATCCACTTGGGCACTTCCTTGTACTCTCTTGCTCCATTCTAACTGAACAGGGAAGTACAGCAATTCCAGACTGAGAAGGCCTCAGACCATTCAAGAATAAAGATTTGGATAACACCAGCAGGAAGTCAGCAAGATCTGCAGAGGAGACAGCTGAGGGAGAGGTGAATTTAGAATGAATAGTAGAGGAGGGAGAAGATGGCACACAGTTGTGGCCCTAAGACCAACTACAATGATCAGGGTTGTAGTTCATCCCACTAACTACCTTCTTACCTTTCTCACAGAAAGAAATGTCCATGGGACAATGCAGCAGCTTCTCCACAAAACTATGTGGAGTAAGTCTGTGTGGCCAAAGGTGTTGACAGTGGCAGACATAAGAATGCACCTCAGACAATTTGCTAAAAGAAAAAAAAAAAATGACCAAGGTCCCCAGCTGTTGCACTTTGAAATTAGTCCCTGTGTTTGTCCTGAGGAAACACTTCTCATGGACTGCTCCCAGAATTTGAATAACCAGCAAGATACTAAGGCAAACCCATTTATGGAAGATACCGGGTTCATTTGTTGGCTGACTTTGGTTCAAGGACTCCTCCGTGACCTTGCCAAAACTTCCTTAGACTGCACTCCACTCTAAGTCACTTTCACTCAATCTTTTTTCACTCTGTCCTTTACTTGGAGTTGGAAGCGCATGGCAATTTAACAGCTTTCCCAGCCTCCCCATCTTATTCATATTTACTTTCACACAGGCATTTCTGTTAATAAAATTCTTTCACATTTAATCAATATTAGTACCTGCTTCTTGAAGGCTCCCAGCTAAAACAATGGTGACTAAAAAGAAATGTATAATATAAACTTGGAAGTGAGTGACTGGGAATAAATGGGGTCATTGGAGTTCAGGAGGAGAAGCGAATGAAAAATTAGGTTTTTGTGTAGGTTGTCCAAGTTATAATGCTGTACGTGATGGAAGCAGAGATAGTTTTAAGTAAGTAGTTCAATAGGAAAGTTTTCAGTGAATATGAAAATACTTTCCTGAAGAATATCTGTAAATAACAAAATCTTAGAGGCTAAAGTATAGTATAACAAAGAGAATGAACTCCAAAGAAAATATTGTACACAAAGAAAGAGAATTACTAGCCTAAAATGAGAAATGGGAAGTGAAAATATTGCTGGTGACTATAGCTACAGTACCTTAAAAACTGAGTAACTTTTGAGAAGCTACAGGGAAGTTTTTATTCTCAAAGGAGATCCAAACATCTGCTATTATGAAGAGATAAAAGAAGCATTCTGTATAAATATACAAATATTTATATGCATATACAATATACATATCTATTTATGGAATAAATATACATCATATAAATACACACATGTGCAAACACATGCAAGGGTATAATGTAGTATAAGGTAGTTTGTTTAACAGAAAAATGCATGCAAGTGGTCCAGTTAGAAATGATTGGCAGTGATGGTAGCAATGAGTGTATAAGTCAGGAATAATAAAAAACAAAACAGGATAGTATGAGATTATGGAAAATGTTAGGTGAACAAAAGGTAAATAAAATGATGGTAGAGGTAAAATATTTCTGTAGTTTCATGGTTCCAAGAAAATTATATATAATTTAAATATGCAGTGGGCAGAACTTTGGGTAGTGCAACCAGTTGTGCATTTTGCTTGGAAGGAGAAATGGTGAGACAATTGATGATGTGCAGATTCATGGTCTGTGGCCAGTGGTTTGGCTAGACTGTCAGGGACTTGGTAGGAACATGGCTGGAAGATTGGTGAGAAAGAATAATGAGGAAGAGTTTTGTGGATGGACATCTCTGAATGGCATAAAATGTTATGACATTTGTGCCATGTGAATTCTCACCCAAAGGTGACCTCAAGCAGAGGAAGATTTTAATAAAGTAAGTATTATGACACATTCTGTGACCACCACTCAGCCTCTTTCCCCATTCACTCATGTCATTGTTCAATGGGCTCATGAACAAAGTGGCCATGGTGTCAGGGATGGACATCATGCATGGTGTATTAGTCAGTTCTCATATTGCTATAAAGAAATGCCTGAGACTGGGTAATTTATAAAGAAGAGGTTCGATTTGCTCACAATTCTGCAGGCTGCACAGGAAGCACTGAGGCATCTGCTTGGCTTCTGGGGAGGCCTCAGGAAACTTACAATCATGGCAAAAGACAAAGGGGGAGTGAGTACTTCAAATGGCTGCAGCAGGACAAAAAGAGAGAGCAGATCTCATGAGAACTTATTCACTATCATGACCAAGGGGGATAGTGCTAAACCATTCATGAGAAACAACCCCCATGATACAATCACCTCCCACAAGGTCCCACCTCCAACATTGGAGATTACAACTGAATATGAGATTTGGGTAGGGACACAGACCAAAACCCTATCACATGGGCTCAGCAACATGGACTTATCAAGATCAACCTGGCTACAGCCATGCTGTGTGCCCAATCTGCTAGCAGTAGAGAACAACACCGAGTCCCAAATACGGCACAATTCTTTAGCGTGATCAGCTAGCTATTTGGTGTCAGGTTGTTTACACTGGACCGCATTCATCATGAAAGGGGCAAAATTTTGTTCCTACTGGAATAGAAATTTACTCTGGATATGGATTTCCCTTCTTTGCACACAATGCTTCTGACAAAACTACCATCCATGGATTTACAGAATGCATTATCCAGCATGGTATTCCACACAACATTCCTTCTCACCAAGGAACTCACTTCACAACCAACCAAGCATGTCAATGGGCCCATGATTGTGGCATTCGTTGGTTTTACCATGATCTCTAGAATCCTGAAGCCACTGCCTTGGTAAAATGATGAAATGGCCTTTTGAAGATACAGTTACAGTGTAATCAAAGTGGAGTGGCAATGGCAGTACCTTTTAGGGTTGGGGCAAGGTTTTCCAGAAGGCTGTATATGCTCTGAATCAGCATCTAGTATATTGTACTGTTTTTTCCATAGCTAAGAGTCATAGATCTAGGTATTAAGTGGTAGAAATGGGACTGGCACCACTCACCATCACCCCTAGTGACCCATAGCAGAATTTTTCTGCTTTCTATTTCCTTGAGTTTATTCTCTACTGGGCTAGAGGTCTTAATTTCAGAGGGAGAATTGCCTCTATTAGGAGACACAACAAAAATTCCATTGAACTGGAAGTTAAGACTGCCCCCCAGACACTTTGGGCTCCTCATTGCTTCTGAGTAAACAGGCAAAGAAGGAAGTTACAAGGTTAGCTGGGGTGATTGCTCTAGACTATCAATGGAAATTTGGACTACTACTCCACAGTGAAAGGAAGGAAGAGTATGTCTGGAATACAAGAGATCTCTTAGGGCATCTTTTAATATTATAACATCTTATAATCAAGGACAATGGAAAACTGCACCCAATTCAAGCAGAACTATGAATGGCCCAAAGCCTTTAGGAATGAAAGTTTGGGTTACTTTACCAGGTGAAAAACCATGACCGGTTGAGGTGTTTGCTGAAGGCAAAGGGAATACCAGCTGGATAGTAGAAAAAGGTAATTAAATATTTCAACTGTGACCATGGATCAGTTACAGAAACAAGGAAACTTTAATTGTCAGGAGTATTTTCTTCTTATTTTATTGTAAATATGTTTGCATGTACATGTACAGATATTAAGCAAATATGTTTGTTTTTTTCTCTCTTATTCCCTTATCATTAACATAAGATGTACTGGGTTTATATCAATATTTAAGTATTGTTAAATTTATGTCATAGTACTTAAGTTACAGGTATCAGAAGAAGAGTAAATATTAATCAAAGACTTGAGCTCCTTTTGCAGGGAAGAGATTAGTGCATTTTCAGTTGCATATCTTGTTAGGTGGAATTATGACCTTGCTTTTGTCTTTATTTTGAAAATAAGTATGGTTTAAAGAGATGTGTGTGCCTGCCAAGTTGACAAGGGGTGGACATGTGATGCATAATTTATCAGTCAACTTAAGTGGGTTAAGGGATGTCCAGATAGCTGGTTAAACATTAATATGGGTTTGTCTATAAGAGTATTTTCAGAAGAGATTAGCATTTGAATCAGTAGACTGAGTAAAGAAGATCCACCCTCACCAAAGTGACGTGGGCATCATCCAATCCGACGAGTGTCAGAATATATTGAAAAGGAGGAGGAAGGGGGAAATTGTTTATCTTTTTGAGCTGAGATACTCACCTTCCATCCTTGGACAAAAGAGCTCCTAGCTCTGAGGCCTTTGGACTCAGACTGCATTACACTATTGGCTTTCCCGGGTCTTCAGCTTGCAGAAAACATATTGTTCTCTACTTCAATAACCACTTGAGCAAATTCTCATAATTTCCACTTATATGTATGTATATGTATATTTATGTATCTAAATCTATATATACAGGTATATAGTTATACAGATATTTATATCTATATCTATCTATATCAATAGATATATATAGTGTGTATATATATATTCTATATGTATATATCTACGGAGATATCTATCTATCTATAGATATATTCATATAAGAAAGAAGATTTTACATATATATATATATATATATATATATATATATATATATCCTATATGTATATAGAGAGAAGATATCAGTCTTCTCTGGAAAGAATGTGGATGGCCCCCAAGATCTGGAAAAGATAAGAAAACTAATTCTCCTCTAGAGCCCCTATAGAAGATATCTCTCCATATACATATAGGATATATATATATATATATATATATATATATCTTTTCTGAATATATATATAGAATATATATATCCTATATATAATATAAGATATGCTATATATAATATACTTATATAATAATATGTTATTATTATAATATATGTTATATACCAGTAGCATATATATATATAGATAGATAGAGATAGATAGAGATATATAATCAGTCAACTTAAATGGGCTACTTAAATGCATTTCTAGTTCTGTTTTCTCTGGAGAACCCTGAGTAATACAGTGCTGTGTCTATATTAACATACACTGATATTTTAGAATTGATACATTTTGCTTTTTGCTCCCTAGTTAGAGATTGTTAACTTTGGCTTTTAATTTCAAATTGAATGGAGGAAAACCATTTTTTGCACTATGAGTTTCCCACAATGTCTTTATTTCTGTTAAAATTAATTCAATTATTTTCATTTATTTGTATTCCTCCACATACACGATTTTATACAGCTTCCTCATCTAATTAATGGGACACAAACTCACCATATTAATGATGCCTTACATTTGTACAATGCTTTGCACAACATTTATTTCAGAATCTCATTTGTGTTCACAAAAAGTGAGAAACTTTGAAGATTAGACTTTTTTTAAATTTTAAAGAAAAGAGATCCAACAGAGTTAGAACATACTGAAATTTCTGACTTCAAGTCCTGTGGTCATTTGTACCACTGCATAGCCACCAAATCTTTTTTCTTTTTTTTTTTTTTTCCTCAAGACAGAGTCTTTCTCTGTTGCCCAGGCTGCAGTGCAGTGGTGCGATCTCCGCTCACTGCAACCTCCGCCTCCCGGGTTCAAGCAACTCTCTTGCCTCAGTCTCCCGAGTAGCTGGGATTACAGGCACGCGACACCGTGCCCAGCTGATTTTTGTATTTTCAGTAGAGACGGGGTTTCACCATGTTGGCCAGGATGGTCTAGATCTCCTGACCACGTGATCCGCCAGCCTTGGCCTCCCAAAATGCTGGCATTACAGGTGTGAGCCATGTCGCCCGGCTCTTTTTCTTAATCAAGGAAGAAAAGGGATAAAAGAAAAATCCAAAGATGGACAGTCTCTGCTAACCTTTCACAAATCATATGATTTTGAATGATATTAGAGATTCAAATATTAATTCTGTATGCATTCCATTGTCATTAAATCACATTTAAAGCCCACATTTAAAGTTCTGGCAGAAGAACTGGTATCATACTAATCCTTCTTAAGGTAACAATTGTAAACACTAGAATTGTTGTTTAAAATATTACAAAGACATATTATCTTACATTTCTGAAGGTCAGTAATCTAAAATAGATTCCAGAGCTAAAGTCAAATGTTCAAGAGCGCTTCCTTATTTTCTAGAGACTCTAGAGGAAAATTAGTTTTCTTACCGTTTCCAGATCTTAGCGTCCATCCACATTCTTTCCATATTCAAAGACAGCAAATTTTGGTTGAGTATTTCTTAAGATGCCATTCCCTAGTTCTGACTCTTCTGCCTTTGTCTTTCACTTACCAGGACCAATGTAATTACACTGGGCCCAGCTGGATAATACAGGATAGTCTTTCCATCTCAAAGTCAACTGATTAACAATCTTAATTCCATAAGAATTCTTAATCCCCCTTTACCAAAGTTCAAGTTCCACAGATTAGAATGTGGGCATCTTTGAAGAACAATTATGCTTACCACATAAGACTTTTGAGAGTCAATAAAAGCAGGCAAAAATTGGAGAGATTTTGACCTTTAAATGGAGGGAATTACAGGGAGTAAGATTCAGTTTCACATTGTTAAGGGTTTATCTTAAAGACATACCCCAATCCAGACACCACACGTCAATCTGAAAGCTTCAGTCATATTATTTTAAGCAGACAGGGCAGAGATTGGGGCTTCCAAAGTAGCGGCAAATTGAGTGAGGAAATTTCAGGGGAGGAACCCAAAGCTTGGCAACCCCTAAAATCTGCACATAAACTCCACTCAAATCCACAGCTACAGGAGTTTGCTACTAGCCTGGGCAATATAGGGAGACCCTGTCTCTGTAAAAAATAAATAAATAATAAATAAATAAAATAAAAATTAAAAAAAAGAAAAACTCCATGACTAATTCCTGAAACGCGCATGAGTAAGAGGGATTGCAAAGTAACAGCTGTATGTCTAAAGGAACTAACCATAGATTTCAGGTAAATTCCACTGTATAGGGTTAGGGGGAGTGTATGTAGTTTACTACCTCATGGAAGAAACATCAGAATTCTTCAGAGAAAAGTGATAGCATCAAGATTTTCTTTTTTTTTTTTAAATATTATTATACTTTAAGTTTTAGGGTACATGTGCACAACGTGCAGGTTTGTTACATATGTATACATGTGCCATGTTGGTGTGCTGCACCCATTAACTCGTCATTTAGCATTAGGTATATCTCCTAATGCTATCCCTCCCCCCTCCCCCTGCCCCACAACAGTCCCCGGTGTGTGATGTTCTATAATATACAATGTATCAACAAAAATATCCGGTTTCCAATTAAAAATACTTAACATATGAAGATACAGAACAATAAATAGTAAATAAATATTAAATAAATAGGACAGCAAACAGTGAAGGTAAATAAATAAAAGCCAATACCAAGATAACGGCAATAATATAATTAGACTATGTAGGCATTACTAAAGCTATTACGAGCATGTCCAAAGAGTTAAAATGCAGCCATGATGAATTAACAGAAAAGAAATATCAATGACAAAATTATAATTATAAAATCGGTGGGGAGAAAAAGAACTGGAGAAAAGCCATCTGAAGTTAGAAAGTCACTGAATGGGCTTAATATTGAACCTGAAAATCAGCTTTACACATGAAGGAACAGGAAGGTATTCTTCAGTCATTAGCCCTTCTTGAGAGTAATGACCGCAGAAATTTCAGAGCAAAGAACTGATGATATCTGACTTAAACAAAAGTTGGATACAAGGTAGAATACAACTATAAAAACTAATATATTTTGACAAAGTAAAACTAATATAATTGAATTTTCATGAAGATGTGAGAGGGAAGATAAAATAGAAAAATGCCATTGATATTTTATATACAATAAGTGTACTTAAATATGCTACTAATATATATATTTTTATCAGATAATAAAATGTTCCATAAGAAAAAAGGGAGATAAGGGTGTTAAAATATATTAGTACAGAGGTAATAATCCCTAGAACAAAATATAGCAATGTAGTAAATATAGTAAACAATAATGTGTTGTACATTTCAAAATCTGTAGGAGAGTAAATTTCAAATGTTTTCATCACAAAAAATAAGTGTTTAAAGAGATGGGTATGTTATCTTGATTTAATTATTCTACACTGTATTCATTAAGTCATAGTATCACTTTTTACCCCATATTTATATGTATATAGTTATATATATAAAACTATAATTTGTCAACTTACAACTTAAAAATAAAAATAAAAAATATAAACTCTCTTAAATACCAAATAATAAAAAAACCCCACACAAATACAAATAAAAATATCTCTCATATGAATAAACTTAGCAAATATGACATAGTATACACAATCATAAAATATTATGATGGAGTTGATAACAAATATATCAGTCATATAAATAAGTGTTAAAAGATTTAATTTGCCTATTAAAAGAAAAATAGCTTCAATGTGGCCAAAGCAATAACAAAATAGGCTATATACAAGAAACAAGTATAGCCAAAGTGACTCAGAAGGGCTAAAAATAAAGGGATGGGCCAAGATATACCAGAAAAATGGAGAAACAATCAGGGATAATTATTTTGATATCAAAGCGTAATTTAAGCCAAAAAACACCAAACATCTAAATATAACCAATAAGAGCAATTTTTAATCTATAAGCCAAAATTCACAGTGGTGGCATAACAGTTACAGATACCTATGTAACAAAAAACACAGCAATCCCCTTTATGAAGAAAAATGGAAAGATATGTAGTGCAACATAGACAGACACATGCTGATAGGAGACATTGACACTTCCTTCTCAGTATAAAAATCCATTAAATCAACAACAAATAAGTATGTGAAAGACCTGAAGACATAATTAGCAGGGTAGATCTTGTGGCTGTTGAACGTTGTACTGTGATACTAGAGACTATACCTTTTTTTTTTCCCCAAAGGTCATAAAGTATTCACACACACAATGATCATATACTGGGTAATTAATAAAATATGTAATACAGAAGGGAAATCTATCACAAAGAACATGCTTTAATCAAAATAAAATAAAACTAGAAATTATTAACAATATTTTAAAAAGCCCTTCAATTTAGGAATGAAGGGAGCTTCTGTTAAGCAATTCTGAGTAAAAGGGAAAACAGAAACAAATCGCATAATCTCTAAAAAGCAATGATAGTGAACACAGTTCATGCCAGAGTTTATGTGATATATTTAAAGCAGTAATATAGAGAAAATTTCTATCACTAAATACTTTGATCAATAAAAATGAAGTGAGAAAACTGTCTTAAATTCTTATCTCAAAAAATAATCAGAAAATAAGCAAACTAAATACAATTATCAGAAAAAATAAATATAAATATGATATTGAAGTAGTTAACAAAAATCACTAGACTGAATTAAAAATCAAAATTTTGTTTTATGAAAATAATAAACCACTAAGTAAATTGATCCAGAAAAGAAGAAAGCACAAATATATATAAGAAGAAATAACAGTGGCAGTAGG
This sequence comes from Homo sapiens, assembly GCF_000001405.40. Taxonomy (NCBI): domain Eukaryota; kingdom Metazoa; phylum Chordata; class Mammalia; order Primates; family Hominidae; genus Homo; species Homo sapiens. The sequence continues at coordinate 142,788,529 of NC_000023.11, forward strand.
AAGGGAATTAAAAAAAATAGGAGATCACTTTGCAGAAAACCTTTAGGCAAAAAATTTAGAAATATACATAAAATGGATATCTTCATAGGAAAATACAGATCGCCAAATTTGACCCCAATTGAGGTAGAAAGCTTTGGTTCAATTTTTATGGAAGGTACAAAGTTACTAATGCACCACCCCACAGTAAGCACCAGCCCCACATGGTTTCATAGAGAAATATTAGAAAATCTTCAAAGATTGGGTAGTTGTGATGCTACGAAAACTTTTCCAAAACAAACTCCTACTGAAGTTTTATGAAATACTAAAATATTGATACTTTAACCTAATAGATAGTACAATAAAACCTACATATAATTGCACTTATGGATATAGATGTACTAATTAAAATACTAGCAAACATAACCCAACACTGCATTCAGAATATAACATACCATGACCAAAAGAACTTCATTCTATTAATGTAAAAAAAATCACATTAATAGAATTAAGGGGAAAACATATGATTATCTACAGTGATGCTAAATGAAACCTCCAACAATATTTAAAATTATTCCTGATAAGACCCTCAAGAACTTAGAAATTGATGGAGATTTTCCAAACATTATATATATATAAATATATGTTTATAAATATAGATAGACAGATAGATAGATAGACAGATAGATAGATAGATAGATAGATAGATAGATAGATAGATAGATAGATATAGATATAGATACTTTAATCCTAAAGGCAAGATCTTACCTACTGCAGAAACACTGGAATAATTTCTGCAAAGATGATGAATAAATTAAAGCTGCTCACTGTATTCTTTACTGTGCTTTAAAAAATAAATGCACTTTATGTTTTAAGGAATCATTAGGTTCACAGCAAAATCGAGGAGAAAGTACAGAGTTACCACATACCCCTCCACTACACACACAGTCTTCCCCACCATCAGCATCCTGAAGGAGTATGGCACGTTTGCTCTGATCAATGAACCAGCATTGACATATCATTATCAATCAAAGTCTGTTGTTACATGAGGGCTTACTGCATACTGTACATTCTATGAGTTTTGACACGTGTATAATGAAATGTATCCATCATTATAGTATCATACAGAAGACTTTCATTGCCCTAAAGCTCCCCATCCTCCACTAATTCATTCCTCCCACTCCTAAACCCCTGGTAGCCACGGATCCTTTTACTGTCTCCATAGTTACGCATTTTCCAGATGTCACATGGGTAAAGTCATGCAGGTTATAGCCTTTTCCTATTGGCTTCTTTAACTTAGTAATATGCATTTAAGTTTCTCCCATGTCTTTTTATAACTTGATAGTTCATTCTTTTAGCACTGAAAAAGATTCCATTTTCTGGTTGTATTACAGTTTTTTAAAATTCATTTAACTATTGAAGGATTTCTTATTTTTTAATTCCTTTCTTAACCCCATTGTTGTTTCTTATTACATATATCTGTGCTTTTTCCTTTTCTTGATCAACTTAATTAGTGGTTTATTTTATTATTTTTTATAAAACAAAGTTTTTATTTTTAATTGGATCTAGTGTTTTTTGTTTGTTAGCTTGGTTGTTTCCAAGTTTTTGCAACCATAAATGAAGCTGCTATAAACAATTATGTGCAGATCTTTGTGAGAACATAATTTTCAACTCATTTGGGTAAACACCAAGGAATGTGAATGCTGAATAATATGGTAACAATATGTTTAGTTTTGTAAGAAACTGCCAAACTGTCTTCCAAAGAAGTTGTACCATTTTTTTTATTATACTTTAAGTTCTAGGGTACATGTGCACAACGTGCAGGTTTGTTACATATGTATACATGTGCCATGTTGGTGTGCTGCACCCATTGACTCATCATTTAACATTAGGTATATCTCCTACTGCTATCCCTACCCCCTACCCCACCCCACGACAGGCCCCAGTGTGTGATGTCCCCCTTCCTGTGTCCAAGTGTTCTCATTGTTCAATTCCCACCTATGAGTGACAACATGCGGTGTTTGGTTTTATGTCCTTGCGATAGTTTGCTGAGAATGATGGTTTCCAGCTTCATCCATGTCCCTACAGAGGACATGAACTCATCCTTTTTTATGGCTGCATAGTATTCCATGGTGTATATGTGCCACATTTTCTTAATCCAGTCTATCATTGATGGACATTTGGGTTGGTTCCAACTCTTTGCTATTGTGAATAGTGCCGCAATAAACATACGTGTGCATGTGTCTTTATAGCAGCATGATTTATAATCCTTTGGGTATATACCCAGTAATGGGATTGCTGGGTCAAATGGTATTTCTAGTTCTAGATCCTTGAGGAATCGCCACACTGTCTTCCACAATGGTTGAACTAGTTTACAGTCCACCAACAGTGTAAAAGTGTTCCTATTTCTCCACATCCTCTCCAATGCCTGTTGTTTCCTGACTTTTTGATGATCGCCATTCTAACTGGCGTGAGATGATATCTCATTGTGGTTTTGATTTGCATTTCTCTGATGGCCAGTGATGATGAGCATTTTTCATGTCTGTTGGCCGCATAAATGTCTTCTTTTGAGAAGTGTCTGTTCACATCCTTCGCCCACTTGTTGATGGGGTTGTTTGTTTTTTTCTTGTAAATTTGTTTGAGTTCTTTGTAGATTCTGGATATTAGCCCTTTGTCAGATGGGTAGATTGCAAAAATTTTCTCCCATTCTGTAGGTTGCCCGTTCACTCTGATGGTAGTTTCTTTTGCTGTGCAGAAGCTCTTTAGTTTAATTAGATCCCATTTGTCAATTTTGGCTTTTGTTGCCATTGCTTTTGGTGTTTTAGACATAAAGTCCTTGCCCATGCCTATGTCCTGAATGGTATTGCCTAGGTTTCCTTCTAGGGTTTTTATGGTTTTAGGTCTAACACGTAAGTCTTTAATCCATCTTGAATTAATTTTTGTATAAGGTGTAAGGAAGGGATCCAGTTTCAGCTTTCTACATATGGCTAGCCAGTTTTCCCAGCACCATTTATTAAATAGGGAATCCTTTCCCCATTGCTTGTTTTTGTCAGGTTTGTCAAAGATCAGATGGTTGTAGACGTGTGATATTATTTCTGAAGGCTCTGTTCTGTTCCATTGGTCTATATCTCTGTTTTGGTACCAGTACCATGCTGTTTTGGTTACTGTAGCCTTGTAGTATAGTTTGAAGTCAGGTAGTGTGATGCCTCCAGCTTTGTTCTTTTGGCTCAGGATTGACTTGGCAAGGCAGGCTCTTTTTTGGTTCCATATGAACTTTAAAGTAGTTTTTTCCAATTCTGTGAAGAAAGTCATTGGTAGCCTGATGGGAATGGCATTGAATCTGTAAATTACCTTGGGCAGTATGGCCATTTTCACGATATTGATTCTTCCTACCCATGAGCATGGAATGTTCTCCCATTTGTGTGTGTCCTCTTTTATTTCATTGAGCAGTGGTTTGTAGTTCTCCTTGAAGAGGTCCTTCACATCCCTTGTAAGTTGGATTCCTAGGTATTTTATTCTCTTTGAAGCAATAGTGAATGGGAGTTCACTCATGATTTGGCTCTCTGTTTGTCTGTTATTGGTGTATAAGAATGCTTGTGATTTTTGCACATTGATTTTGTATCCTGACACTTTGCTGAAGTTGCTTATCAACTTAAAGAGATTTTGGGCTGAGACGATGGGGTTTTCTAAATATACAATCATGTCGTCTGCAAACAGGGACAATTTGACTTCCTCTTTTCCTAATTGAATACCCTTTATTTCTTTCTCCTGCCTGATTGCCCTGGCTAGAACTTCCAACACTATGTTGAATAGGAGTGGTGAGAGAGGCCATTCCCGTCTTGTGCCTGTTTTCAAGGGGAATGCTTCCAGTTTTTGTCCATTCAGTATGATATTGGCTGTGGGTTTGTCATAAATAGCTCTTATTATTTTGAGATACGTCCCATCAATACCTAATTTATTGAGAGTTTTTAGCATGAAGGGCTGTTGAATTTTGTTGAAGGCCTTTTCTGCATCTATTGAGATAATCATGTGGTTTTTGTCTTTGGTTCTGTTTATATGCTGGATTACGTTTATTGATTTGTGCCTGTTGAACCAGCCTTGCATCCCAGGGATGAAGCCCACTTGATCATGGTGGATAAGCTTTTTGATGTGCTGCTGGATTTGGCTTGCAGTATTTTATTGAGGATTTTTGCATCGATGTTCATCAGGGATACTGGTCTAAAATTCTCTTTTTTGGTTGTGTCTCTGCCAGGCTTTGGTATCAGGATGATGCTGGACTCATAAAATGAGTTAAGGAGGATTCCCTCTTTTTCTATTGATTGGAGTAGTTTCAGAAGGAATGGTACCAGCTCCTCCTTGTACCTCTAGTGGAATTCACCTGTGAATCCATCTGGTCCTGGACATTTTTTGGTTGGTAGGCTATTAACTTTTGCCTCAATTTCAGAGCCTGTTATTGGTCTATTCAGGGATTCAACTTCTTCCTGGTTTAGTCTTGGGAGGGTGTATGTGTCCAGGAATTCATCCATTTCTTCTAGATTTTCTAGTTTATTTGCGTAGAGGTGTTTAAAGTATTTTCTGATGGTAATTTGTATTTCTGTGGGATCGGTGGTGATATCCCCTTTATCATTTTTTACTGCGTCTATTTGATTCTTCTCTCTTTTCTTCTTTATTAGTCTTGCTGGCGGTCTATCAATTTTGTTGATCTTTTCAAAACACCAGCTCCTAGATTCATTGATTTTTTGAAGGGTTTTTTGTGTCTCTATCTCCTTCAGTTCTGCTCTGATCTTAGTTATTTGTTGCCTTCTGCTAGCTTTTGAATGTGTTTGCTCTTGCTTCTCTAGTTCTTTTAATTGTGATGTTAGGATTCAATTTTTTGAATTGAAATTTTAGAAAGATCTAAAAGATCAATTTTAGATCTTTCCTGCTTTCCCTTGTAGGCATTTAGTGCTATAAATTTCCCTCTACACACTGCTTTAAATGTGTCCCAGAGATTCTGGTATGTTGTGTCTGTTTTGTATTCCCACCAACAATGAATGACAGTTTCTGAGGTTCCACAACCTCACCAACATTTGATGTTATCAGTCTTTTGGATTTTGACCCCTCTAATAGTTGTCTAGTGGTATCTCATAATTTTAAATTGCCGTTCCCTAATGATATATGATGTTAAGCGTATATTCATATGCTTATTTGCCATCTGCCTATTTTTTGGTGAGGTGTCTGTTGATATCTTTGGCCTATTTCTTAATCATGTTTTTTTTTTCTTATTGTTGAACTTTTAGTATTCTTTGTATATTTTAGATAACAGTCCTTTATGAGATTTGTCTTTTCCAATTATTTCATTCCAGTCTGTGGCATATCTTTTCATTCCCTTGACAGTGTAATTTTGCAGAGTAGAAGGTTTTAGTTTAAGTCCAGTTTATAGATTATTTTTTATGAATTATTTGTTTGACGTTAGATATAAAAAGTTGTTGTCCTACTCAATAATATCTAGATTGTCTCCAATGTTATCTTCTAAGACTTTTATAATTCTGAGTTCTACATTTAGGTTTTCAATCAATTTTAGTTTATTTTTTAAAAGGTTTAATGTCGGCCGGGCGTCGTGGCTCACGCCTGTAATTCCAGCACATTGGGAGGCCGAGGCGGGCGGATCACAAGGTCAGGAGATCCAGACCATCCTGGCTAACACAGTGAAACCCTGTCTCTACTAAAAATACAAAAAAATTAGCCAGGTGTGCTGGCGGGCCCCTGTAGTCCCAGCTACTCGGGGAGCTGAGGCAGGAGAATGGCATGAACCCGGGAGGCGGAGCTTGCAGTGAGCCGAGATCCCGCCACTGCACTCCAGCCTGGGCGACAGAGTGAGACTCCGTCTCAAAAAATAAATAAATAAATAAATAAATAAATAAATAAATAAATAAAAGATTTAATGTCTACATGTAGATTTATATCTCTGAATGTGTATTTCCAGTTATCCCAGCACTATTTGTTGGAAAGATTATCTTTTCTCCATTATATTGCCTTGCACCTTTGTCAAAGATCAGGTGACTATATTTGTGTACATCTATTTCTGGGCTCTCTATTTTGTTCCATTGATCAATCTGTCTATTACTTTGCCAATTACACACTGTCTCGATTATTGTGGCTTTATAGAAAGCCTTTAAATCAGGTAGTGTGGGTTTTCCAACTTTGTTCTTGAACTTTAATATTGTGTTGGCTACTCTTGGTCTTTTTCTCTCCATTTAAACTTTACAATCAGTTTGTCGATGTACATAAAATAACTTGCTGGGATTTTTATTGGGTTTATATTGAATCCATAGATCAATTTGGGGAGAGCTCACATCTTGACAATAGTATGCCTTCCTAGCCATAAACCCCATAAATGTGGAATATCTCTCCCTGTATTTACTTCTATTTTTTTTCTTTTTTCATCAGAGTTTTGTAGTTTTTTCATAGACCTTGTACATATTTTCTTAGATTTATACCTAAGTATTTCATGATTAGGGGTGCTAATGTAAATGGTATTGCTTTCAAGTTCCACTTATTCATTGCTGATATAGAGAAAAGCTATTGATGCTTCTATGTTAATCTCGTATTCTGAAACCTTACTGCTATCACTTATTAGGTCCAGGAGTTTTCTTGTCAATTCTTTCATATTTTCTACATAGAATACTGTTTCATCCACCAACACAGACAGTTTTACTTCTTCCTTTCTAATTTGCACACCTCTCATTTCATTTTCTAACTTTATTAGCCAGAACTTCCAGCATGATTTTGAAAAGAAATGATAGAAGGAGACATTCTTGCCTTGTTCTCAGTATTAGTGATAAGGCTTCTAGTTTCTCACCATTAAGTAGAGTATTAGCTATAGCTTTTTGATAGCTATTCGTTATCAAGTTGAGGAATTTCCCTCTATTTCCAGTTTGCTGAGAGTTTTTATGATGAATGAGTTTTGGATTGTAATTATTATTTTGGACAAATGTATACATGATTTTTAAGAATGCTTTGGAAAATAATAATTGATTCTTAGATAACACAAATCTTGCCTTCAATGCAAAGAACTGGGCAACATCATATCCGTTATTAGTTGAACCACAATTTAACATTCAAAAACATATGCATTTTATTCATTGCAAAGCTGAAATGGAAGTTAGAATTAATGAAAACATAATGTGCTGAACTCTTGATATGCTCCAGGCACTGTTTCAAGTGCTTTACATGTATCATCAATCCCCTTCCTACAAAATGTTTTGCATGCTCCCCATTTTACAGTTGGCTAATCTAATGCACAAAAAGTTTAAACGACACTCTCAAGGTCACAGGAACAAGAAGTTCTTTTAAGTAGAAAGGTGAGATGTGATCCTATACATTATGGCTCCAGAGCTTTTATTTTTATTTATGCTTTCTCCAAGTATAGAGGATGTAATATAAAATATAATAAAAATAAAAATATTTCCTGATCACTTACAGTGTGCTAGTAATCATGCTAATTACTTTATATGTGTAGTTTAATTTAATCTTCACAACATAAGTGGGATATATTTAACATCATTTCACAGAAAAGGAAAACTATGGTTCAGAAAGATTAAACAATTTGATGAAGGACGCTGGCCAACAAGGTGGTAGGGCCAGTGTTGTAACTATGTTCTGTCAGACTCGAAGTATGCTATACTACGATTATTAGTGAAATGTTTGTGAACATAATTGTAAAATGGCATTAAGTACATATAACCCTGTGATAAAGATGAAGGATACAATGCAAGCTGGGTGAAAATCATGAAAAATTACTTGGTTACTCTACAGTTCTTCTTTGATGAGATATTTGTTCAGATTATTCATTACTACTTATTACTGGGCTACAAGTATTAGTTAATGAAACCAGGAAAGGGATGATAAATCAGTTGTAGCCATAGTAACTGATAAAAAATTGAAACCAGCTCTATTTTCAGATGCTATGATAATTCATCTAAATACCCTTAGAGATTTAATAATAAACCTAATTGAAACAATATAATCATTCAGTAAGATAGCAGGTTATAAAATAAATTATCAGGAGAATAATTTATTAAAGCTAACAGAAATCATTAGCTTTCATATATAAAAACAGTTATACGTTTCTCTTGAGTTGTTCCTAGCCAAAGACAGTACATAATGGTTACTAGAACAAGACCATTTCTTCCTGCTCTCCATAAGAGTCCCCTAAGTTAACATTTGCTTTAATAAATCAGATCAACCTGGTTGAGCCTTTTCCAGAACTGTTTTTTGATCTGAGGTTCTTGCTGTCCATTTTTTCTTCCTTCCTGATTGTTTCAAAGGTGTCAAAAGTGTTCATGGTCAGAAGTCTTTCTCCTTTTTGGCTCTCTCTCCCTTTATCTTTTATGGGCATTTCTCCCGATATATTCATTAAAATTTTAATTCTTTCTTGACTCTGCTTCTCAGAGGAACCAAGGTGTCACAACTTGCCAACACAATTAATGAAGAACTTTTTCTGATACAAATGTTATACAAAAGATATTACAATAAAAAAGTATACTGACTTATATTCTCCATAAACATAGACACAAATAACCACAATAAAATATTAGTAAACTTATTATTTGGATATATGAAAAGATAAAATATATCATGACCAAATAAGATTTATGCTAGGATTACAAGTTTGTGTTAACATTCTAAAATCCATGAATGCAATTCATCTATAATAACATTTTATAAAGCTATATAATCATCTAAATTGATGCAGATGGATCATTTGAAAAAGCACAACATCCATTCATGATAAAAACTTTCAGCAAACTATAATAGAAATTTGTTTCTATATAATAAAGGACATCTATATAAAATCTGCAGTTTAATATCATAGTTAATAGTGAAAGATTGGATACTTTCTCCCAAAGAAAGGGAAGGATACTTGCTTTAATAACTTCTGTTCAATATATTATATGTCCTAGCCAGTGCATTAAGCCATAAATAAATATTTAAATAACTTACAAATTAGAGAGGAAAACGTAATAGGACCCCTATTTAGTAACATCATGATCATGGGCATGTAAAATTCCTAGAAATCTACAAAAAGCACAAAACTAATAGAACTAAGAAGTAAACCTAGTGAAGTGGAAGAACATAAGATAAATACACAAAAATCACAGGGTTATACCCCGATGAGGGATTGGACTCATTATTGTTAAACTGTCAATCAACTCCATATGTATGAATAGATTCAATAGAAATCTAATAAAAATCCCAGCAGGCTCCTTTGTAGAGTTGCTGATTCCAAAATTTATGTTGAAATTCAAATTAATTAGAATATCAAAAAGATAATCAAATTTAATATATCTTGTCTTGATTGCTGTACTATAAAGCTACAGTAGTCAAGACAATGTGGTATTTGGAAAAGGCTAGATTAAAATAAAGACTTAGATAGATAGGGTAGAAGTCCAGAAATAGACCCATAGATATATGGTGAATTGATTTTTTTTTACAAATGTCCTGAGGTCATTCAGTGGGAAAAAGGTAGCCTTTTTTAATAAGTGGTGCTAGAACAGCTATCATATTAAAAAAATCAAGACTACTTATCATAAAATGTTAACATAAAATAACTTGAAATGGATAATCTGAAAACATCAAAGATATATTATAAAATATGTAAATAAAACTGAAGAAAATGGTTAGGCAATAATTTCTTAAGACCAAGAACAATAACAGCGAAAAAAATCCCAATCACTGTAAATTACACTCCACCAAAATTAAAACATCTCTTGGAAAAAACACAGTTAAGTAAATGAAAACACAAGTCACAGACTGAGAGAAAATTTTAGCAATATGTATATCTGAAAAATAATGGTATCTAGAACATAAAATAACTCTTAAATGTCAATAATAAAAACAGCTTAAAAATATGGCCAAAGAATTGAACAGAATCTATAGGGAAAAAAAAAGCATCAATGACCAAACTGCCAACTACTAATCAGGGAAATGTGATTAAAATAACATTGATTGTCCACTATACATCCATTGGAATTAAAGAGTGAAAATAATAGATATCACCTGGGAGCAACTGGAACCCTCACATGCTACCGGTGGAAATGTAAACTGATACAAGCACTTTAGAAAAGAGTTGGGCACTTTCTACAAAATTAAAAAATATGCCCAACACATGATCTATCTATTCTACTATAAAGTATTTACTAAAGGTAAAAGGAAATATATGTCCATAAAAAGGCCTAAAATACATGTACATAGCAGCTTTATTCATAATAGCTGAACTTCGAAGAAACCTATATATCCATTAACGCATGATTAGATAAATTTTGGTATATCTGTACAATTAAGCATTACTAGCAAAAAAAAAATGGAAGAAACTATCAATACATACAACTACATTGATATGTGTCAAAAATACGCTGAGTGAAAAAAGTCACCTATAAAACAGTACATCTAATACTATCTCATTTGTATGACATTCTAGAGGAGACAAAATGTATCCATGGTACTATGAAGCTGATTAGTGGTTGCCTAAGGATGGGGATGGTTGAGATTGAATTCAGTGGGGCACAAGGGAACTTTCTGGAGTGATAGAAATTTTTATACTTTGATCATGGTGTAACTTTATGGGTGTATACAGTTAAGAAACCATTAAAATGTATGGTTAAAGTGGGCCTATTTATTATAAGCAAATAATTTTATAAAAAAACTAAGAGTGACACATAAAAGGAAAGAAAAACTGTTTTTCCATTTCATTATTCCCATATTACCTGAAAGAAAAATCCAGCTTATAAAGGAAACCGTTCACCCTTTCTTCACCTATTTTTCCTAAGAGCTGGTGCATTAAAAAAAAAAAAATGTTGAAACAGCCATGCCCTGAGAGAGTTTTGCTTATTGCATAGAAGAATTGTTATAATATCAAATTAAATTGCATTGCACAAGAAAGAACCACACTTTTGTGTAACTCAAAGAATATTTCCTCAAACCTGAAACAGTTTTCAATGGTTTGCACAGTGAATTAGTTCTGTAGCCCGTATTCATAATAGGAGTTTTACTTATGTTCTACAGCTGATGAAGCTGAAAATGGGCCTTGTGCTTTGGGGGTTTAGTTTCTCATTTGGAATTCATAGAAGAAAGCTTATTTTACCATTTTAAATTTAAAAAAATTAAAAAACAAATATATTATGAGTTCCTGCTTAATGGAATGCTCAGAATGAGTCACATTTATTTGAAACTGTCTCAGCGGGCTCTTTTTATTATTTAAAGAATATACTTATGAAAAGATTCCTAGAAATCCTTTGGTAAAAAAATGCACAATTCATAAAAAGCATATGTATTAAGAGTAAGGACACCGTATTTCTCTTTTCAGACTCACCTAGTAATCCTTTTTTCTTCCTGATTATAAATTTTCCAGGAAGCAAATGACAGTGAATATGTTTGTTCCTTTTACCAGGATGCCAGCTATAATTTTTTTTTCGTTCTGTCTAGTTCTTATCGCTCTCAATGCTAGAAGAATGACAGTGAATGTCAATTTCATTCACCGCTATATGTATCCTTCTGGTTTTCATATTTGGAAAGCTTACTGAAGGAGATAAAATACATGTTGCATTCTAGGTAACTATACCACAGAAAAAAATGACTAGAACATCTCTTGTAAATAACCTTCAGTTGTTGATATCCTTGTGTACTTGGAACCTTTTCAATATTGAAGCCTCACATATTCCTATAAGGCTATCAGAATGCTATTATCATAAAGCGGGAACATACTTAATAGGATATACTACTCTATATTTCTACATGTTATAAAGGTTTCAATATATATTGTAAAGTCTGCTCTTCTATGAAGGTGCACATGTTTGTGTGTGTATGTACACACATACACGCATTTGCATAGATACGTCTTGGCAAAATAATATTCAAACTTAGTCTATTTGCTCTTTTAGAATTCTTATTATTTAGTGTACTTTAGGTTTCTGTATTTAGGGATTATCAGGCATAAAAGATTTAAGACATTTTTAGTTGAAACAATGCAGTTTGTTGGAATCAACTCATCTTCAATCTGCATATGCTACTTCAAACAGGAAATATGTTCTTTAAAGAGTAGAAATAATGTTATGCATAGGGTAGGGAATTGATCACTTTAATAGCCATTTATTGGGCATCTGCTATTGTCAGGCCAAGATAAATATGACATGATGCTCGCTTTCAAAAGGCTAACAAATAAAAGATATGATTGGGATCATATAGAATTCAGGGTTAAACACACACACATACACACACAGGTGTGCACACACACGTGACACTAATAAATTCATAGCATATCAGAATAAGAAGGGGTTTAGAGCATATACAAGCACTTTTTGAACACGTGCAGTGACTGAGAACTTGTTAACTCTTAAAACAGCTCATTCCATCATTGGCCAGCTATCTGTTAGAAAGGATTTTTCTTACATTAAATCAAAACCTATTGCTTTGTCACTTCGACACTATAGTCCTAGTTATTCCCTCAGGGACCATAGGAAATAAATCCCAATATACTTTTTGAGAATATTATTCATTTTAAGCTTTCTCTGTATTGAAATGATAAGAGACTCAACCCTTATTCATACATTCTATCATCACTGAGAGAAATCTTAATATTTATGCTAAGAAAGCATGACATCTTATTTTTAAGTTTTATGAAAAAGTCCATGTTTTTAACTTGCAAATGTCAAATATTGGCTAAACTCAGGACTTAAAGTAGATTTAATGATGGTAAAAGGGGGAAAATACATAGGAAAATAGCATTTATTCACTGTTTACTGGACACTGGAAACTATGATAAAAACTTACTCATATATCACATAGTATCAACAAACAGTCCCATTAAGTGATATTTTATTCCCATTTTCCAGATGAGGAAAGTAAATTTCAAATAGCAGATACTGCTTTTCAATCCATGTGGGTTTGTCTTCTGGCCTCTGCTTGAGATTTTGCTTGCTGCAATACTGACTTTCATGATTCACCTTGCTTCTTTAGTCATCTGGCCTCTCAAACCCTGGCCTAGACGTTTAGCTCCCCCAGTTCTCAGATGCCCTTTCTACCCTTTGCAGAATCATTAGGTTCCTGGATCTGACCAACAAGTAGTGCCTGAATATACTCGTGCTTTCTTTTCACTCTGTTAGTTGTTTTCTTTGCTGTATAGAAGCTTGATGGAACCTTATTTGTCTATTTGTGTTTTTGCTGCCTCTGCTTATGAGGTCATGTCCAAGAAATCATTGCTGAGACCAATGTCATGAAGCTTTTTATTTACGGTTTCTTAGTAGTTTTAAATTTTCAGGGGTTGAGTGTGGTGCTTCATACCTGTAAGCCCAGCACTTTTGGAGGCTGAAGCAGGAGGATTGCTTGAGCCCAAGAGTTCTAGACCCTAGGCAACATAGTGAGACCCCATCTCTATACAAATATTATTTCAAAACTTTTAAAGAAAATAAAGTTTCAGTTCTTAAGTTCAAATGTTTAATCCATTTTGAGTTGATTCTGTATATTGTGTGAGATAAGCACCTAATGTTATTCTTCTGTCTGTGAATATTCAGTTTTCCTCACATCATTTATTGAAGAGACTATGTGTTCTTTCTATTGTGTGCTGTTGGCAACTTCATAGAAAATCAAATAACTCTAAATACATGGATTTATTTCTGGGATTTTTATCCTGTTCCATTTGTTGATGTGTCTGTTTTTATGCCATTACCGTGCTGTACCACTTTTATTTTTATTTTTTATTGATATATAATATTTGTATATATTTATGGTGTACATGTGATGTTTTGTTACATTCATAGTATGTGCAGTGATCAAGTCACGGTATTTATGGTATCCATCATCTTGACTATTTATCCTCTCTGTGTGTTGGAAACATTACTCACCCTACTGTAACGTTAAACTCACCTACTCACTATACTCACACTACTCACCATACTCTACTATTAAACATTAGAATTTATTACTTCTCGCCCTACTCTAATATTAACTATACTCACCCTACTCAAATATTATTCATTCTTGTGTTGCCTTCTATCTCGTTTCTTAGGTCTAGTAGTAATTATTTTCTAAGCGGGAGCTTCAGTTTTTGTTGCATATATATTTAGAATTGTGATATTTTCCTGTTGAACTAGTCCTTTTATCATTATGTAATGTCCCTCTTTGTCTTCTTATTCTGCCATTCTTTATCTTTTAAATGGACCATTTAGGGCATTTACATTCAATGTTAGTATTGAGATGTGAGGTACTGTTTTATTCACTGTGCTATTTCTTGCCTGAATATTTGGATTTTTTTTTCATTGTGTTATTGCTTTATAGATCTTGTGAGATTTATGCTTTAAGGAGGTTCTATTTTCATGTACTTTGAAAATTTGTTTCAAGATTTAGAGCTCCTTTTAGTTGTTCTTATAGTGATGGCTTGGTGGAGGCGAATTTCCTCAGCATTTGTTTGTCTAGAAAAGACTCTATCTTTCCTTCATTTATGAAGCTTAGTTTTCCTGGATACAAAAATTTTGGCTGATAATTGTTTGGTTTAAGGAGGCTAAAAATAGGACACTACTCCCTTCTAGCTTGTAGGGTTTCTGCTTAGAAATCTGTTGTTAATCTGACAGGTATTTCTTTATAGGTTACCTGATGCCTTTTCTTCAGAGCTCTTAGATCATTTCCTTCATCTTGACTTTGGATAACCTGAAGACTATGTGCCTAGGCAATGATCTTTTCACGGTGAATTTCCCAGGTGTTCTTTGAGCTTCTTGTATATGGATGTCTATATCTGTAGCAAGACTGGGGATGTTTTCTTCAATTATTTCCTCAAATAAGTTTTCTGAACTTTAAATTTCTCTTCTTCCTTGGGAACACCAATTATTCTTAGTTTAAATTTTTAACATAATCCCAAACATTTGGAGGCTTCGTTCATTTGTTTTAAATTCTTTTTTCTTTGTCTTTGATGGACTGGGTTATTTCAAATGCCTCGTCTTCACGGTCTGAAGTTCTTTCTTCTGCTTGTTCAATTCTATTGCTGAGACTTTCCAGCACATTTTGCATTTCTTTAAGTGTGTTCTTGATTTCCAGAAGTTGTGATTGTTTTTTATTTACGCTATCTATTTCACTGAAAAAATTTCCTTTCATATCCTGTATCATGCTTTTTGACTCCTTTAAGGTGGACTTCACCATTCTCTGGTGTCTCCTCAATTAGCTTAATAATTGACCTTCTGGATTCTTTTTCTGGCAATTCAGTGATTTTGTCTTGGTTTGGATCCATTGCTGGTGAGCTGGTATAATCTTTTGAAGGTGTTAAAGAACCTTGTTTAGTCATATTACCAGAATTATTTTACTGGTTCCTTCTCATTTTGGTAGACTATGTCAGAGGGAAGATCTGGGACTCAAGTGCTGCTGTTCAGATTCTTTTGTCCCACAAGGTGCTCTCTTAATGTGGTGCTCTCCCCCTTACCCTAGGAATGGGGCTTCCTGAGAGCCAAAATGCAGTTACTGTTTTTGCATTTTTTTTGGTCTAGCCACTCAGCGAAGCTACCGGGCTCCTGGCTGGTACTGGGGAGTGTCTGCAAAGACTCCCGTGATGTGATCCATCTTCAGGTCTTTTAGCCACGGATACCAGCACTTGCTCCTGTGGAGGTAGCAGGGGAGTGAAGTGGACTGTGAGAGGGTTTTTGGTTGTGTTTTTAATACACTGGTTTTGTGTTGGTTGGCCTCTAGCCAGAAGGTGGCGCTTTAGAGCGCATTAGTTGTGGTTCTATAGGGAGGAGGCAAACTTGCCCTAGAAACTCCTTGTTAAGTATTCAGGTTTCTCAGGCTATAGGCAGGGCCTATAAGAGATTACCACCTTTGTTTTTGGCGACTAGGGCCCGTAGAGAAAGACCACCACGTGGGGTCAGGGATAGGCATGTGGGAGGTCAGCCTCTCCTTAGGTGGGGCTTGCTGTGGCTGCTGTGGGGAATGCGGGTGTGGTTCCCAGTCCAATGGAGTTATATTCCCAGGGGGATTATGGCTGCCTCTGCTGAGTCATACAGGTCACCAGGGAAGTAGGGAAAAGCCAGCAGTCACAGGCCTCACTTCACTCCCACTAAGCCTGTAGTCCTAAAGGCCAGTCTCACTCTCACCGTGCCCCTCCAACAGCACCAAGTCTGTTTCCAGGCAGCCAGTGACCAGGGCCAAGAACTTGGCTCAGACAATGAGCCTCCCGATTGAGAAAGCAAGCAGACTCAGTTTTTCGGTGTCTCAGGGAACCTGCAGTGGCAATCCAGTTTCTTCAAAGGGTCTGTGGATTCTCTTGGCTTTCCTGGCAACTTCCTGTGATAGTTCCTGGAGCAAAAGTTCACGATGTGAGTCTCCACACACTGTTCTGTCCATCTGAGCGGGAGCTGCAAGCTAGGCCTGCCTCCTAGTCACCATCTTAATTCTCAGGTATTTCTTTATAGTAATGCAAGAACAGCCTAATACAGAAGATTGGTATGGAGAGTAGGGCATTGCTATAAATATACCTGAAAATGTGAAAGAAGCTTTGGAACTGGGTCATGAGAAGCGGCTGGAAAAATTTGGAGGGCTCAGAAAAATACAGGATGAGGAAGATGAGGGAATATTTGGAACTTCTTAGAAACTGGTTAAATGGTTGTGACTAAAATGCTTATAGTGATGTGGACAATGAAAGCCAGGCTCCTGAGGTCTCAGATGAAAATGAGAAACTTATTGGGAATTAGAGTAAAGGTCATTAATATTATGTCTTAGGTAAATACTTGGCTGCATTCCGTTCATGTCCTAGGGATCTTTAGAAGTTTGAACTTGAGGATGATAATCTAGTGTATCTGGTGGAAGAAATTTCTAAGCAGCCAAGCATTCAAGAGGCAGGAAAACTTGCTAGGACAATAGAAAGCAGAAGTGTTGTTGCAGAGATCCCTCCCTCTATTTTTTGTATGTGTTTTTTTATTTTGGTAAGAAAACATAACATGATACCTACCTTTTAAACAAAGTTTTAAGGGCATTATTCATTACTGTGAAGTATAGGCACAAAGTTGTATGATATATCTCTAGACCTTATTCATCTTGCATAACTGAAACTTTGTATTCATTGAACAGCAAACATTCACTTCTATTTTAAGGTCTGGATTTTCCAGGTAATACAGTAACTAGGCAGAATTCTATTTGCATGCATTGTATTTGAATAAGCTAATAATTTAAACACATCCACTTAGCAAAAATTGATCTATTTGGTCAAATAACCGGCTATTTTGAAAGTAAGTAGGCCAGGCGCAGTGGCTCACGCCTGTAATCCCAGTACTTCGGGAGGCCGAGGCGGGCGGATCACGAGGTCAACAGATCGAGACCATCCTGGCCAACATGGTGAAACCCCGTCTCTACTAAAAATACAGAAATTAGCTGGGCGTTGTGGCGCTTGCCTGTAGTCCCAGCTTCTTGGGAGGCTGAGGCAAGAGCATCGCTTGAACCTGGGAGGCAGAGGTGCAGCGAGCAGAGATCGCGCCATTGCACTCCAGCCTGGTGACAGAGCGAGACTCTGTCTCAACAAAAAAAAAAAAAAAAAAAAGAAAGAAAAAAGAAAAAAAAGAAATTGTCTACCAATATATCCAAGACACACAAACTCAGGCATGTAAACATGTGGCTTTATGACATATAGTGCAACACCATATGGCTCTCAAGCTCCACATCTTCATAGAGCAAACTGAAAGACTTATTCCTTTTTAGCAATTCAGCAGAATTCAGTAATTTTTAAGTCAAACTCAAGTAATGTAAACTCTTTTACTGTCTAATTCAAAGTTTAATAATTTTGGATAAATACTCATCCCTTAATAGTCTCTTTTCTTCCCTTTGTATGCCCTTTTTCCTGATATGTGCAAAGTTTCTAGGTGGTGGTGGTGGGGGCAGTGCTTATGCATCATTCTGGCATAATGAAAATGGTTTCTCATCATTGCTAGATGAAGTTTGAGTTTTCTCCTGCCTCTCAATCTCTGGACGTCACCTTCCATCCTTAGGCACAATGTTCAGCGTACAGTAGGATTTTATTTTTTGAGATGGGTTCTCACTCTGTTACCAAGTTGGAGTGTAATGGCACCATCTCAGCTCGCTGCAACCTCCATCTCCCAGGCTCAAGTGATCCTCCCACCTCAGCCTCCTAAGTATCTCGGACCACAGGGACATGCCACCATGCCCAGCTAATTTTTTGTATATATGGTAGAGATGACATTTCACCACGTTGCCCAGTCTGGTCTCGAACTCCTGAGCTCAAGTGATCCACCCGCCTCAGCCTCCCAAAGTGCTGGAATTACAGGGGTGACGCACTGCACAGCCCCACAGTAGAAATTTGGTAAGGGTGTATTTTTTGTTTAAATCAGAGGCAACAGTTTTGAGACCTCACTTTTATATTGTTTATGTGAATTTATTACACACTGGACAATGTAAGACCATTCTGTAATATCTTCTAAAGTAATGCCTTACAAACAATAGATATATGACAAACATTTGATGAAAAGATTTGAATTATTATCTGAAATTCCACAAAGAAATTTGAGGTTGTTCCTTAATTTGGTGAAAGTTTAGGGAGTAAAATGTAGGAATGAGAAGGTTTTGATTCACACAGTATCTCAGTTTGCATTCATCAGATTTGTTTTATGTCTATAATTTGCATATCCAGGTGTATTAGTCCATTTTGATGCTGCTGATAAAGACATACCCCAGACTAGGCAATTTACAAAAAGAAGAGGTTTAATTGGACTTACAGTTCTATGTAGCTGGGGAAGCCTCAAAATTATGGCAGAAGGCAAAGAGAAGCAAGTCCCATGTTACGTGAATGGCAGCAGGCAAAGAGAGAGAGATTGATCAGGGGAACTCCTCTTTTTAAAATTATCAGATCTCATGAGACTTATTCACTGTCATGAGAACAGCATGGGAAAGACTTGCCCCCATGATTCGGTTACCTCCCACAGGGTCCCTTATACAACATGTGGGAATTCAAGATGAGATTTGGGTGGGGACACAGCCAAACCATATCATTCCACCCCTGGACCCTCGCAAATCTCATGTCCTCACATTTCAAATCCAATCATACCTTCCCAACAGTCCCCCAAAGTCTTAACTCCTTCCAGCATTAACTCAAAAGTCTACAGTCCAAAGTCTCATCCAAAGCAAGGCAAGTCCCTTCCACCTATGAGCCTGTACAATCAAAAGCAAGTTAGTTACTTCCTAGATACAATGGGGATACAGGCATTGGGTAAATACAGCCATTCCTAATGCAGAAATTGGCCAAAACGAAGGGGCTCCAGGGCCCATGCAAGTCTGAAATCCAGTGGGGCAGTCAAATCTTAAAGCTCCAAAGTGATCTTCTTGAATCCATGTCTTGAATCCAGGTTATACTGATGGAAGATGTGGGTTTCCATGGTCTTGGGCAGCTCTGCCCCTTTGGCTTTGCAGGGTACAGCCTCCCTTCCGTCTGCTTTCATGGGTTGGCAATGAGTCTGTGGCTTTTCCAGGTGCACGGTGCAAGCTGTCGATGGATCTATCATTCTGGGGTCTGGAGGATGGTGAACCTCTTCTCACAGCTCAACTAGGTAGGTGGTGCCCTAGTAGGGACTCTGTGTGGGGGCTCTGATTCCACATTTCCCTTCCACACTGCCCTTGCAGGAGTTCTCCATGAGGACCTCGCCCCTGCAGCAAACTTCTTCCTGGGCATCCAGGCATTTCCATACATCTTCTGAAATTTAGACAGAGGTTCACAAGCCTCTATTCTTGACTTCTGTGCACTTGCAGCCTCAACACCACATGGAAGCTGCCAAGGCTTGAGGCTTGCACCCTCTGAAGCCATTGCCTGAGCTCTACCTTGGCCCCCTTCAGCCATGGCTGAACCAGCTGGGATGCAGGGCACCAAGTTTCTAGGCTGCACACAGCATGGGGACACTGGGCTCCACCCACAAAACCACTTTTTCCTCCTAGGTCTCTGGGCCTGTGATAGGAGGAGCTGCCATAAAAGGTCTCTGACATGCCCTGGCGACATTTTCCCTATTTTCTTGGTGACTAACAATCGGCTCCTCATTACTTATGCAAATTTCTGCAGTCAGCTTGAATTGCTCCTGAGAAAATGAGACTTTCTTTCCTATTGCTTTGTTAAAAACATGCGGGAATTCAATATGACATTTGGGTGGAGACACAGCCAAACCATATGACCAGGCTTCACTAGGCTGTGAGTATAAAATTAGGTCACACTGGTTTTCTTTCCTTATTACCTTTTAATGCCCAATTTACAAAAGCTCAAGCCTCTACCAAGTAGAATGTAAGAATCCACAAAACAAACTAAACCCAATTGTTTCTGGTGAAGAACAGACTTGTCAGCCGTGTATTTACAAATAATCTGTGGTGCTCTTTCTCTGCTGTTCCCATGCTTCCTAGCCAGTGGTCACTCTTCAGGCCACCACCTAAAGAATGCTCACTGTTAGTACTGTCAAGATGCTTTTTTAAGACTGCCATCATCTGTGCTAAGAGTTTTTTATCCCAGTGTCTCCAGGAATTTCATGTAGTGATGATTTACCTACAAAGCTGGCAAGATTAGCCCTTGCCTTGGTTTGCCATCTCATTGTGTCAGCTGGGCCCTGAAATGACACCGCTTGCATCCAGAGTCTCATAGATTCTCTCAGGAACATTGTCCCTTCAATTTCTTCAATTATATTTATCACAACTTTTTTTTTGTAATTTATTTGTTTTTATTGAGATGGAGTTTTGCTCTTGTCGCCCAGGCTGGAGTGCAGTGGTGCAATCTCGGCTCACTGCAATCTCTACTTCCCGGGTTCAAGCAATTCTCCTGTCTCAGCCTCCCGAGTAGCTGGGATTACAGTTGTGTGCCACCATGCCCTGCTAATTTTTGTATTTTTAGTAGAGATGGGGTTTCACCATGTTGGCCAAGATGTTCTCGATCTCCTGACCTTGTGATCCACCTGCCCTGGCCTCCCAAAGTGCTGGGATTACAGGCGTGAGCCACTGCACCCAGCCTATCACAACAATTTTTACAACCAAACCAAGAACACTTAATATTTGCATTTCCTACCTATATCAACATATATATTTTTCAGTAAAAATCATAGAGGATATACTTACCACAGGCATTTGCCGAATGGGTGTATGCTGTCTCAATATATATTAATAATACGTTTGAAGGAGTTTATTTCCAGAATTCCAGTGCATTTCTAGCTTAAATACAGTGAATTTTAGTTAAAATTCCTTTTTTCTTTGAACATTTTCGATAATTACTTCAACTTATCATGAAATTGTACAGAAATAGAGCATATATGTTTAATAATAATAATACATTAATAATTATGTCAAAGATATGTAACAAAAATAAATGCTTTCAAAAAACAAGCCAAAAGAGAAAATATAATTTAGTGATATTTAGATTCTTTCGAGAAAAACAAATGTAAAAGAGAATGATAATAAAATCCCATTTACTAACTGCCAAGTGGTGAGATAAACAGTATATGCAAGACACTAGAAGGAAAAACAACTGCATGGGTAATTATAAACTTCAGTAATTCTTTTGCAATTCTTTGTTATAATTATTTTTCATTTTTCAGAGACTGTAGAAAAGTATTGTCATAATGGAATATGTAATATAGTTCCTCATCAGAGGATTGTGTGTTAAAGATTGAAATAGGAAAATACATTCATTAATAATTAGAACTTCTCTACAATGAAATTCATATCATAAATTTCTGATTTCTGTAATGTGTGCTTAACTTCCTAACCATGTCCTTTTCCATCGGCATTTTGTAAAATCACTCAATAAGCAATTTCTAGACCACAGATTTTCATGCTTCGTGGCATGTTGGAATCACCTGGGAAAGCTTTCAAGAAATAATTGATGCCAAAGATCCGCACCTGAAGATTCTGATACAATTGGTATATGGTGTGCCCTGGCATTTAAAAGGCCTAAAGCTCCACCAGGCAACTTTAACACACAGCCAAATTTGAAATGCTCTGTTGTAGAGTTAGAAGACGTCTTATATAAATTTCCACCCATCATGATAAACATTGTTAAAGATATAGAGGCAATAATTTATAAAGTTTTAGAGTAGAAGCTCTGAATTTTAATTGCCTAGATTGGAGCCTAACATATCATGTATGTGTCACTTTAAGCAAATTATTTAACCTCATTAAAATTTAGTTCCCTCATATGTAATAAAAAGAGGAACAATGTTACTTATCTCTGATTTGTGATGAGGATAAAATTAAATAAATTTTGTAAAATATTTAGCAGAATCTGGCACATGGAGTGCACTCAATACCTATTAGCAATCCAAATCATGGTTATTAATAAATTCGATAATACATGTGGTTCATATATCAAAGTATCTGGCACACTAATTATTTGTTGATATTATGTTATTATTATTATTTAAATAACATAGGTAATTGTTGCCTCCTATGGTCACAATACTGAATGTAAACCTTCTGCAGCAGCCAATTTTTAAAGAGTTTGATTAACTCTTGCACTTAAAATATGGATGGGAATGAAATACTTCCC
Organism: Homo sapiens; assembly: GCF_000001405.40. Lineage (NCBI taxonomy): Eukaryota > Metazoa > Chordata > Mammalia > Primates > Hominidae > Homo > Homo sapiens. The sequence continues at coordinate 142,811,036 of NC_000023.11, forward strand.
TTTTTTAAAGATGAATTTGGATAATGTCCCATGTTATCCATCTTCATATTCAGCATATAGCTCTGGTAGTCAAGATAAAAGGTAAATTAATTCTGAGATATTATATGTTATATAAATAGATGAAATAATAATTTTCATCTGTTTTAGATTAACAAATGGTGTATTGTGTTTGCTTTAATATTTTCTAAGAAGTGAAAAGCTCTCATCATGTCTACTTCAAAAGTGATGCAAAAACGTGTGGTATCAAAGAGAGATAAATAAATAACACAAAAATGAATTGAAGAGTGTCACTTAAAATTCTCATTTGAGCATTTCCCTTAAGAACTGGAACAATACAAGAATGTCCACTCTCATCACTCCTATTCAGCATAGTACTAAAAGTCCTACCTAATCAGGCAAGAGAAAGAAATAAAAGGAATCCAAATAGTAAAAGAATAAGTCAAATTATCTCTCTTCATTAATGATATAATTGTATATGTAGGAAATCCTAAAGGTTTTCTTTAGGCTTTCCTAAAAGGCTAAAGAAAGGCTGCTAGAACTGATGCACATATTCAGTAAAGTTTCAGGACACAAGATCAATGTACAAAAATCAGTAGCATTTCTATACACCAATAGCATTCAAGCTAAGAGATAAATCAAAAATACAATCCCATTTACAATAGCCACAAAAAATAAAATACTTAGGTGTATATCTACCCAAGGAGGCTAAAGACCTCTACAAGGAGAACTAGAAAAAAATTGCTGAAATAAATCGTAGGTTACACAAACAAATGGAAAACTTTCCATGTTCATGGACTGAAAGAATCTACATCATTAAAATGACCATACTGCCCAAAGTAATCTACAGATTTAATGTTGTTTCCACTAAAAAACCAACATCATTCTTACCAGAATTAGAAAAAAACTATCCTAAAATTCATATAGAACCAAAAAATAAAATAAAATAAAATGCCAGAATAGCCAAAGCAATCCTGAACAAAAAGAACAAAGCCAAAGGTGTCACATTATCTCACTTCAAACTGTACTTCAAAGCTATAGTAACTAAAAGAGCATGGTACTGGTATAAAAGTAGACATGTAGACCAATGGAACATAATAGAGAATCTAGAAATAAGGCCACACAGCTACATTAAACTGATCTTCAACAAAGTCAACAAAAACAAGCAATGGGGAAAGTACTCCTTATTCAATAAATAGTGCCGAGATAACAGGGTAGCCATACACAGGAGAATAAAACTTGACCCTTACCATTCACCATATACAAAAATTAACTCACAATAAATTAAACACTTACATGTAAGGCCTCAAATTATAAAAATTCTAGAAGAAAACCTAAAAAATACCTTTCTGGAAATTGTCCTTGGCAAACAGTTTATGATTAAGTCCTCACAAACAATTGCAACACAAACAAAACTTGACAAGTGGGACCTAATTAAACTAAAGAGTTTCTGTACAGCAAAATAAAAACTATCAACAGAGTAACCAAACAACCTTCAGAATGGAAGACATATTCACAAACTATGCATCCAACAAAGGTCTAATATCCAGAATCTATAAGGAACTTAAACTATTTAATAAGAAAAAAAATACCATTAAGCAAAGAACAAGAATAGACATTATTTTTTTAAAGAAGACATATGAGGGGCCAACAAACATGAAAAAATGCTCAACATCACTAATCATCAGAGAAATGCAAATCAAAACCACAATGAGATACCATCTCACACCACCTGGAATAGCTACTATTGAAAAGTCAAAAAATTAACAAATTATGACAAGGCTACAGAGAAAAGGGGACACTTACACACAGTTGGTGAGAATGTAAATTAGTTCAGCCCCTGTGGAAAGAAGTTTGGAGATTCCTCAAAGAACTAAACATAGAACTACCATTCAACCAAAACATTCCATTACTAGGTATATACCCAAAGGAAAATAAATCATTCTGTGAAAAAGACACATGCATTTGTATGTTTATTGCAGTACTATTCACAATAGCAAAGACATGGAATCAATCTAAGTGTCCATCAACAGTGGACTAGTTAAAGAAAATGAGGTACATATACATTATGGACTACCACGCGGTCATAGAAAGGAACAAAATCATTTCCTTAAGAGCAACATGGATGCAGGTGGAGGCCATTATTCTTAGCAATTTAACACAGAAACCAGTAAAGCAAATACTACATGTTCTTACTTATAAGAAGTAGAAACTAAATATTGAGTGCACATGGACATAAACATGGGAACAATAGACACTGGAGACTACTAAAGATGAAAGAGAGAGAGGGGGTCAATGTTTGAGGAACTACCTATTGTGTACTGTGCCCACCACCTAGTTGACGGGATCATTCATAACGCACATCTCAGCATCATTCAATATACCCATGTAAAAAATCTGCACTTATACCCACTGAATCTAAAATAAAAGTTGAAATAACAAAATTCTCATTTGGAAAAAACGAGGCCAAAATGAAGGCAATGCTGGATCCATCGTGTATACTGATTTTTTTTTTTTTTTTTTTTTTTTTTTTTTTTTTTTTTTTTTTTTGAGACGGAGTCTCGCTCTGTCACCCAGGCTGGAGTGCAGTGGCGGGATCTCGGCTCACTGCAAGCTCCGCCTCCCGGGTTCACGCCATTCTCCTGCCTCAGCCTCCCAAGTAGCTGGGACTACAGGCGCCCGCCACCGCGCCCGGCTAATTTTTTGTATTTTTATTAGAGACGGGGTTTCACCGTTTTAGCCGGGATGGTCTCGATCTCCTGACCTCGTGATCCGCCCGCCTCGGCCTCCCAAAGTGCTGGGATTACAGGCGTGAGCCACCGCGCCCGGCCGTGTATACTGATTTTTAAAACTTTTTATTTTAAAATTATTTCTGAATTGTAGAAAAGTTGCATAAATAGTACAAACTGATCTGTTTAAAGTTTTCCCTAATATTAATGTATTACATAACCACAGTGTATTTATCAAAACCAAGTTACTAACATTGGAGCATTGATATTAACTGACCTTTAGAAGTCATTTCCATTTCACCGGCTTTTTCCCTAATGTCATTTTTGTGTTCCAGGATCCAATGCAGAAAACCACATTTAATTTAGTTGTCATGTGACCTTAGTCTCCTCTAATTGGTGACAATTCCTAAGTTATTCTTTATCTTTATGACCTTATCAGTTTTGAGAAGAGCTGGACAGTTGTTTTGTAGGATTCTTTTTAGTTTAGGTGTGTTTGATGGTATCTCACGATTAGGATTCAGTTATGGATTATTGGGATGAATACTAAAGAGGTGAGGTTCCCTTCTCAGTATAACATTTCAAGGTATTCATGAAGTGGATATGCCTGATTTCTGTTCATGCTAACCTTGGACACTTCGTTAAGATTGTATCTGACTGTTCTTTACATTAGCAAGTTACAATTATTCCATTTTAAATTAATAACTATGTTGGTAGTGATACTTTGAGACTATTTATCCTGTTTCTCCTCAAACTTTTTTTTCACTAACTTTAGTGATCACGAAGACTCATTGCTGGATCTTGCTTGCAACAATGGTCACTTAGTATTCTAATTGTGATTTTCTATTTCCCTCCATCCTTTTACATTTTTCAATTGGAATTCTTTACTAAGAAAAAGGTGTTCTATCTCCTGCATTTACATATTTATTCAGTTACTTATTTCAGTATGGACTCCTCACAGATATATACTTTATTATACAGGTTGCAATACAGTACTATCATTATACATTTCATTCTTTACAGTCTTGCAATTTTGTCCACTGGGAGCTCCTTCATGTTGAAATTCCTGGCCTTTGTTATGCCTTCTCCTTCTTTGAGCACTTCCAGACTCATTTTGTATTTTTCCTGTCCCAGTCTTGGAATGAACTACTTTATAAGCAACTCTGGTTCCTTTCAATAGAAAATGGTATTTAGAAACCAATGTCTGGGGGAAAGATGTGGACATTGCTACAGGGGTATCATTGCTTCTAGGCCTTTACATTTGGAACAGTTTGGAAACATATATGTATAATAACTCATGCATACATGTATCTATCTATCTAATATCCATATTTGTATTTCTATGCCTATATCTATCTATCCTCTATCTATGTATATATTAAATAAATCATGGGGTCACACTGATGATATTTCCAATTCCAAACCACAAGTCTTATTCTAGCATTCATTTCCTCCTCTTTTTTTTTGTAGTTCATTTCTCCAGCAGTGAAAAAGTTGGTACTCATTGTCTACCATATATTGACTTATTTTTTTCAACCTTAGTGCACTCATACAATAATTTCGGAATTGCTAAGTCATACTTCTATGAGAACCAAATTTATTAACTGGAGTAGATACACAGGGTTATTTTTGTCTTTACCTATCTAGTCAAAATACCAGTTTCCAAAGTAATCTTAGCTCCAAATATATTCAAAATATATTCATCAAAATATTATGCTGATGTTTTAACCTTCTTAATAGGAACAAAACATTGTTCTTTTAATTCTCAGATTGAGATTTATCAAATACCCCATGCCTTCATTTCCTTGAATAATGTATCATGAGGTAATGTGTTATCTTGAGGCAGGCCATCCTACATATGGATAGTTTTAACTATTGAACATCTCTTAATCTGAAGCCAAAATGTATCTCTCCAGCTTTTATATATTAGACCTACAGGATTATAAATAGCATATTCAAAGGTTATAGAAATTGACTTAGAAAAAAATCTTTGGATTCTTATGATTTAATTATTTATAGGCATGTACTGGGATCATTACAGATGCTTATTTGTACATAATAATCTAGTAGAAAAAAGGAATAACTTTATTCCAGTTGTACCTGAAAGCTATGACTAATCTCATACTATGATTGTATTTATCTAATTGTTAGTGAACTGTGGCTTTCCATATAATAACATACAAACATGTATAATAATATTAATACACACATTTAGAAAACAGTCTGTGAATACATCTTTTGTGTCATCTCTTTTGTGGAATTATTCTGGATGAATTATCTTCCCCATAAAAAACTCCTTTGCTACAACTGAGATTTTATTAACAAAAGCAGTCATGATAAAGTGAAAGACATGTACCTTGTGTGGATAAGTGAAGTCTGTGACCCATAATTTGTTCAGTGTTAAAAAATCAATCTTTTAAGATACAATTATTTTATGAATCAGAGGGAAAATAATATTTATCATGATTAACACCATTGTCTTCATTGTATATTTTCTAAGCTGCTTGTGAGATAGTTCATATTTATAGATTTTTCTTTCTGCATGATGGCACAGGGCCAAGGCAGCAGGCAGAGGAGAAAGCAGATGTGCGCAGAACCAGAAGCGTCTCTGATTCTGGGTGAGCAGTGACAGGGTGATGCGCGGACTTAGGAAGGCCATCAAATACTCAAGTTCTTGGTATTCACTGATGCCAAGTACACAGTGGATGTGGCTTATATGGGATGTGTGTTGTCTTTCTTAGTGTTATTTAAATACTTTAATGCCTTATTATATTTTATCATCCTGTTCCTTAATACATAATGCATACTCAAAAGGTGTTTTTGAATTAATGAATGGCTTTTCAGATATTAACTGTTAAGAGTCATGGGAAAGCGAGCCACAACTTGTAGCTCAACAGTGAGTGACAGGCACGCCCATGTTTCCCAGCTGCCTTAAGGCCCAAATTCAGTGATGAGTGGGGCAGAGATTTCTGAATAATCTTTGATCCATAGTCTATGCAGAGTCCTCATAAGCTCAGAGGATAATGAAGTTGAAGCAATTCATCAGTTCTCTGAGAATTTTGTCTTCAGTAATTGATCATTCTTTCAGCCTGTTGATTTTCCCTTTAAAGAAAAATTGTTTTTTCTCTCTTCTAGTTACTGTGAATGAACAGTGGCATTCATCATTATGAGCAATTCTAATTTCAATCGAATTTAGCTGTCATTCATTATATATTACAACTTTAGAAATAAAGTGGGATTACTGTTTGAAATAATTTTCTCATTTTTTGCCCCCAATTTTTATCAAAACCAATATAAACTAGATGATTTTAGAGTTTCGTCCTCATGGGGATATAACCTTGCTACTTAGCCCTTAATAATTATTTGACAACAACCAGTAAGTTGAAATAAAAATATTTATATATATATATATGTATACATATATGTGTGTGTGTGTGTATATATATATATAGATAGATAGATACCCCCTTATTAGCAGCATTTATATGCTTTGACATTAAGAATTAGCACAATTACTTAGGAAATTTAAGTCAAAAGTCTACTAGTGGAAAACATATTTGGATATTTCAATCATATTCAAATAACAAATTCCTTTAAGCAAATTAGTGCAGATGCTTAACCAATTCAGATACAAAATAAAATAGTATCTCCAAATTTATCCATGTTGACACAAATGACAGATGCCCCTTCCGCCTTAAGGCTGAATAGTGTTATACTGTGTATATATACCATATTTTCTTTATCCATTCATTTGTCGGCAGACACTTAGGTTGTTATCATATCTTAGATGTTGTGAGTAATGCAGCAATGAATGTGGGAGCACAAATATCTCCTTGAGGTACTATTTTCAATGCTTTTAACTGTGTATCTAGAGAAGGGATTGCAGGGTCATTTGGTAGTTCTATTTTTTAATTTCTTTGGAGCTTCTATATGGTTTTCCACAATGGTTATGACAATCTACATTCCCACAAAGGGTACAAGACTTTCCTTTTCTTCAGACACTCACCAACACTTGTTATCTCTTGTCTTTTTGATAATAATGTGAGATGATGTCTTGTGGTTTTGATTTCCATTGTGCTAATTAGTGGTGCTGAACACCTTTTTATATAACTGTTATCCATTTTAATGTTTTCTTTTGAAAAACATCTCTTCATGTATTTTGCTCATTTAAAAAATTAGATGGTTTTTGGTTTTCATTTTTTCCTATTGATTTGTATACATTTCTTATACATTTTGAGTATTTACCACTTATGAGATAAATGGTTTTCAAATATTTTTTCACATTCTGTAGCCTGATTTTTTATTTCATTGGCTGTGTCTTTGGCTGTCTTAAATAAAATAAGCCAGACACAGAAAGAAAATGACTGCCTAATCTTTACTTACTTATATGTGGAATCTAAGAAAAAGTAGAATACATAAAAGCCTAGAGGAGAATGGTGACATCTCCAGAGATGGAGAGGTGAGAAAAACAGGGAGATGTAGGCAAAAATGTACAAAGTCGCAGTGATGCAGGATGAGTAAGTCTAGAGATCTAATGCACACCATGAAGACTATAGTTAATACTCTAGTATTGTATACTGGAAATTTGCTGTGAGAGTTGATTTAAGTGTTCTTATCACACACAAAAAAGATGACTGTGTTACATGATGGATATGTTAATTTGTTTGACTGTAGTAATCATTTCACTATGTATTAAAATATCATACTGTAGACCTTACATATTTACAACAACACAATTTTAAACAAATATTGGAGTCTAAATATTGAAAAATAAAATGAAATAGAGCAACATGGGCAGAAACAACAGAAATAACAGAAATTGAAACAAGATATCAACTCTCAAAACAATTTTTTGTATATATCAAAATTGTTCCATTTGTCTTCTAGAAATCTAATCGTATTAACTCAGCCTGAATCAATCAATCATTTTTGAGTACTGAGTTTGTGCAAAGTGTATCATACCTAAGGATAGGATGGGGTGCATAAAGAAGGGAGCATAATTTTGTGAAAAATAATACATTTTTTTCTTCTGTGCATTTTTGTGATTATCCTTCCTGGAATAAACTTGGTGTGATTTAACCTTCTAGAAAAAAGAGCCTCGTAACTACTATTTTCAGAATACCTTTGATGACAGTTTCAAACGTCTCTAATCTTCCATATCCATTTTATCTGATAGTATCCTGGACATCTTTTTTTAAATACCCTGTCTACATTGTTGGATAACTTTGCATGTACTCAGAAATGTGCCAAAAATTATGACAATATTTATATTACAGTTGTCCATAGTGGCAAAAAAAAAAAACCCAATGGCCCACATTGGTTTAATTATGATATGACCATATAATGGAATACCATGCTACAATAAAAAAATATGCTTTAGAATCCGGGGGAACAAGATGGCTGACAAGATGCAGCCCAAAAGTGTCGTTCCCAACAAGACCAAATTGTCGAGTAAACCACATAATTTGGGCAGATCTTTGGAGATAAAATACTAAAAGTGAATAGAGAGGCTATTCTTAAGCTGAGGCTGAAAAGGGAGGAAGCTGGGAACCCTGTGCAGGGTACCCAAATGCCAGGGCTAGTTCCTGGCCCCGAATGGCTTCTGGGAAAGTGAAGAAACCGATGGATGGCTCACTCTTGTCAAGGACCTCTGGAGTTGTAGCTACGGGGGACCCAGCATTCCCCATGGATGTGTGAGCTAGCAGGGAGAACTCCCTGGGGAGCAGGGAGAGACAGGGTTTCAGATGGCATGGAGCCTGGAAGTTTTGTGCACTGGGCAGCTCCAGTGGATAGCGGCCATAAATGCCCATCCCCCAGGTCTCCCCATCCCCATCAAGGAGGCACAGGCCCCAGCTGACCACTGAGCCAGGAGAGAGCAGAGCCAGCTTCTCTGTAAGACTGGGGCACATCTGCTCTGCAAGCCATGGTGCCTGCTGACCCTTCCCAGGGTCCATGCATAGCCACTTTGCAGGCGCAGGTGCACAGCACAGCCTCCACAGCCCAGCCTGAGAGTGTTGCTGCACCTCGGATATCCCAGTGAAGCCAGAAACCAAACCCTACTCATGGGATGTTCCGGTGCTCCCGAGGTTGCAATGTGTAGCCAGAAGTATGGAGCCCAGAACAGTACTTGGCCAACACTTGACTGTGGGAGGAGCCCCCCCCCTCACAGCGCTGAAAGGAGCAAGACACATGGATTCCTGGGCCAGAACGGGAGTGGGATGTACCTCTCTCCACAGGGCAGGTCCAGAAAGACTGTGACATATATTCCTATTGCAGCATCTATCCAAAGCTGCACTGCTTTTCTTTCTTTTTCTGAAAGAAGTGAAGCTTTTATCTGCTATAAGTCCTTCACACATGCTCTTCTTTTTGCATAGGACACTTTTTCCCACTACTTTTTCCCTGTGTACTTTCTACCTGACTTCACATCTCAGTGTAAATATCACTTTTTTTTTCTGAGATGGAGTCTCGCTCTGTGGCCCAGGCTGGAGTGCAGTGGCTTGATCTGAGCTCACTGCAAGCTCCGCCTCCCGGGTTCACGCCATTCTCCTGCCTCAGCCTCCCTAGTAGCTGGGACTACAGGCACCCGCCACCACGCCCAGCTAATGTTTTGTATTTTTATTAGAGACGGGGTTTCACCGTGTTAGCCAGGACGGTCTCCATCTCCTGACCTTGTGATCCGCCCGCCTCGGCCTCCCAAAGTGCTGGGATTACAGGCGTGAGCCACCGCGCCCAGCCAATAGTTCTTTTTTATAGTTTTGTGAAGAATGTCATTGCTAGTTTGATACAAGTATCGTTGAATCTGTAATTTGCTTTGGGCAAAATGGCCATTTTAATGATATTGATTTTTCCAATCCATGAGAGTGGAATGTTTTTCCCTTTGTGTCTTTTCTGACTTTTTTTGAGCAATGTTTTCTAATTCCCATTGCAGAGATCTTTTACCTCCCTGGTAAAACGTATTTTAGTCATTTCGTGGCAATTGTCAGTGTGATTGCATTTCTGATTTGGCTCTCAAAACGGGGGCTGTTTTTGGTGTATTGGAGTGCGAGTGATTTTTGTACATGGATTTTGTATCCTGAAAATTGTTGAAGTTATTTATCAGCTGAAGGAGCTTTTGGGCTGAGACTATGGCATTTTCTTGGATATAGAATTATATCATCTGCAAACAGGGATAGTTTGACCTCTCTCTTCCTATTTGGATGTCTTTTTTTTTTTTTTTTTTTTATCTTGCCTGATTGCTCTAGCTGGAACATCCAAAACCATGTTAAATAGGAGTGGTGAAAGAGGGTGTCCTTGCCTTGTGCTGGTTTTCAAGAGGAATGCTTCCAGATATTTCCCATTCAGTATGATGTTTGCTGTGCGTTTGTCATGGATGGCTCTTATTATTTTGAAGTATGTTCCTTCAATACCTATTTTATTGAGAGTTTTTTTTTTAACATGAATGTGTATTAAATTTTATTGAAAATTTTTCCTGCATCTATTGAGATAATCACGTGGTTTTTGCTTTTAGTTCTGTTTATGTGATGAATCACATTTATTGACTTGCATATGTTGGACCAACCTTGAATCCCAGGGATGAAGCCTACTTGATCATGGTGGATTAGCTTTTCTATTGTGCTGATGGATTTGGTTTACAAGTATTTTGTTAAGGATTTTTACATCAATGTTCATCAAGGATATTGGCCTGAAGTTTTCTCTTTTTCATTGTCTCTCTGCCAAGTTCTGGTATCACAATGATGCTAGATTCATAGAATGAGTTGACCGATAATCTCTCCTCTTCAGTTGTTTGGTATAGTTTCAGTAGGAATAATAGCAGCTTTTCTTTGTACATTTGGTAGAATTTGGCTGTGAATCCATTCTATCCTGGGCTTTTTTTTGGTTGATAGGCTATTTATTACTGATTCAATTTTGGAGCTAGTCATTGTTCTGTTCAGGGAATCAATTTCTTCCTGGCTCAATTTTGTGAGGGTATATGGGTCCAGGAATTCACCCATATCTTCTCGGTTTTCCAGTTTGTGTGCATCAACATGTTCGTAGTAGTTTCTGATGGTAATTTTTTATCTCTGTGGGGTCAGTGGTAACATCTCCTTTGTCATTTCTAATTTTTTTCTATCTTCTCTCTTTCCTTCTTTAATAGTCTCACTAGCAGCCTATCCCTATCAATCTTATTAATTTTTTCAGAAAACCTACTCCTTGATTCGTTGATCTTTTGAATGGTTTTTCGTGTTAGGTTGTTAATTTGAGATCTTTCTAGCTTTCTTTATGTAGGCATATGGTGCTATGAACTTCCCTCTTAACACTGTTTTAGCTGTGTGCCGGAGATTCTGGTATGTTGTAACTTTGGTTTCCTTCACTTCAAACAATTTCTTCATTTCTGACTTAATTTTATTATTTACCCAAAAATCATTTAGCATGTTTAATTTCCATGTAATTGTATGGTTTTGAGTGATTTTTTTAGTCTTGACTTCTATTTTTATTGTGCTGTGGTCTGAGAGTGCGTTTGGTATGATTTTCGTTCTTCTGCATTTGCTGAGGGTTGTTCTATGGACAATTATGTGGTCAGTTTTAGAGTATGAGTTATGTACATCTTAGAAGAATGTATATTCCATTGTTTGGGGGTGGAGAGTTCTGTAGAGGTCTACCAGATCCATTTGGTCCAATGCTGAATTCAGATCCTAAATATCTTTGTTTAATTTCTGCCTTGATGATCTGTCTAATACTTTCAGTGAAGTGTTGAAGTCTCCCACTATGATTGTGTGCAAGCCTATGCCTATTTATAGTTCTCTAACACTTGCTTTATGAATCTGGGTGCTCCCGTGTTAGGTGAATATATGTTTATGATAGTTAGGTCTTCTTGTTGAATTGAAACATTTACCATTATGTAATGCTCTTCTTTGTTTGATCTCGGTTGGTTTAAAGTCTGTTCTGTCTGAAATTAGGATCGAAACCCCTACTCTTTTCTGTTTTTCATTTGCCTGGTAGATTTTCCTCCATCCCTTTATTTTGAGCATATGGATGTCATTACATGTGACATGTATATATTCTTTGTAGAAATGTCTATTCAAGTTGTTTTGCCCATTTCTTAATTTTATGTATGTATCCTTAATATTAACCTCTTATCAGTTATATGGTTTACACATATTTCCCCCACTTCTGTATGTTGCCTTTTCGCTCTGTTGATAGTGTTCTTTGATGTATAAGTTTTAAATTTTTATGCTGTCCAATTTACTGATTTTTTTTCTTTTTTTACCTGTGCCTTTGGTGTCACATCCAAGAAATTATTGCCAAATCCATCATAAACATTTTCATCTATGTTTTATTCTAAGGGTTAGCTTTTACGTTTAGATCTTTTATCCTTTTTGAGTTAATTTTTGTTTATAGTGTAAGGTAACGATCCAACTTCATTTTCTTGCATATGGATATCCAGTTTCCTCAGCATCATTTGTTGAAGGGATATTCTTTTTCCTATTGAATGCTCTTGGCACTCTTGTTGAAAATCTCTTTACTTTTGAATGAAGATTGAGTTCTTTTTTTTATTATCTGTGGAACAAAATAGTTGGTCTTTATCATATCTCAAATAAAATGTTTAATTTACCACTTCGTACATTTAATATATGTTTCTCTTTTGGCTGACAGAAAATATAATTCATTTCAATTCCCATTCACCATTTTGGAGGTACTCATTTAAAATGATGTCACAGTGTATATCAGCCTCGTGGTTTATATATACGCCACTTTTACCACTACTAAAATAATTCAAAATTTTGGAGCTCTGAATAGATCAGAAGAAAATGAAATATGATAACCTTTGTCATTTGATGATCTTTGTCAACAAACTCAAAAGAATATTGTTCATATTATAATTTATTTTCCTATTTTTCATTAAGAACCAATGGTCATTTTGCCAAGTTGACAGATTTTTTATAGCATCAGCTACTTGGGGCTACAGTCCAATGTCAGTAGCATACATATGCTATTATTAAATGAATTGTCAGTAGCAGTGACACCAATGATAAAACAAGGGAAAATAAATCATATCATCTTTTCTATTGAGCCATTTTAAACAGCTTATTAAACAGAAAAACCCAGGTACATTTTGAACCTTTACTCAAGAACAAAAGGAAAGATCTGGGGTAAACGCATGTTTCTGTTTGCAGACTCACTATAGGAAAATCTGTCATGTTCGTTTACATTTACTCTAAGAAAAGACTTTAAAAATTAATCTTTATTTCTAACATTCTCAATTAATCCATACATATATGAACTATGATAAGAATTGCAGCTACCAGCTTTGTAGAATTCTTTCCCCATTGTCTCCTCTTCTAAAGAGAAAAAAGTCTGCTATAGTAAGAATATTTGTGTGAATAATAAATGAGAGCATGAAAAATCACATAAAACTTTTGGGAACTATGGAAAATCTTAAATTTTTTTCTTCAGGCTATATTTCTTATAGCATAGACGTTTATTTAGAAATAAATAATCTAGAATCTTGGAAACTTTAGTATCTGTACCAACAATATATTTAGAGGCTTTAACAAGCTTTTGTTTTGAACAAAATTCTAACTTGAAAAGAAAGTAAATAACTATGAGGGTATCTTCTCCATTAGTTTAGTGAATGGTTAAAGAAATAAATGAAAATTAGCTCGGTTTTCTAAACTACGTCAAAACTAGTTAGAGAAGAAGAAAGACTCCAACTTTTTGAGAACTTGAAAGAAATGCAACTGTTTTACATACAAATGATATATAGGGTAACAAATTGGAGCTAAAGATAGGAAGAGTTTTATTGACCGACAATGAGCATTTCAATAGTTTCTATCAGAATGTGATTTTAAAATGCTCAAAAGCAATTTGCTAGTTCTATGAATTTTCTTAAAGTGTTGGCAAATACATAAAATCTAGAAGAGCTTAATAGGCCTGGTCACAATTGTTAAATATTCCTTAATTAGTAAAGTCCAAGTTACAGTAGATTTTACTGCTTTTCGGAACTTGAGACCAAGAACCTTCATCCATAGTAAAGTTTTCAACATAGTATTTATGATTTGGGGGCAATATTTTTCAAATATTTTCATTTCTTTAGGTAGATATTTTAAGAGACTTTGCGTCAATTTTTCAAGTTTAGCTTCTGTTAGCTTTATTACTTTGTCATTTCAATATCCTCATTTCAAAAGAAGGAGGAGGAGGAGGTGAAGAAGTAGAGAAAAAGAAAGAGAAAAGAAGAAAATAGTTCTGTTGTCATGATAGTATCCCTCTGTTAATCTGGGATTCAATTTGAACAGATAATTGACTGCATGTATAATTCATGTAGATAAGGATTGATGCACACAAAAATTACCTCAGTTGAGGATGAAAAATGGCTGTCAATGAAACTAACGTTAGTTAGCAGAAAATAACCCACAGACATTAAAAGGGATATGATAAGAACAGTAATTTTTTCTCTTTTGGTATTTTTGATGAAAAAGAAGGTACTGAAATTCTTTCCAAGAACATCATTTTGGAACTATATGTCCAATCTCCAAACTTTTCAAGGTAATAATTTGACCCTGTAGGTTGTTATGTTTTTTTTTCATTTTGATTTCCTGAGCAGTCATAAAATACTTTATGTCCAGCATGGAATGAGCTGATCTAATACTCCAAAACCTGGTGTATGGAATCTAGTCTACCACTGGTGTACATTTGGCTGTCTGCAAAACTTGTTTCTTTTTGGGTCCTCTACACAATATGACCGTTTTCAGAGTGCATACTAAACAAGCAATAAGTAGTTCTGGATTAAATATAGGAATATTTCTGCCATTAGTCACATAATCTGTGAGGTGACACAACAGATAATCTCCACATAATCAAGTAATATCCATCATCAATTTAATTCAACTATCAATTATTGAATACTTAATGTCCACCAAGCATGGTGCATATGAGCTGGGGTTACCACAACAGTGAGTAGGGCAAAATAAGGCTGATATGGTTTAATCTACCTCCCTGAAATCAAAAATAATAAGGGTCAATGTCAAGATTCAAGATAATGTCTTTCAACAATGAAGCAATGGATTTGCTCATTATATTCATATTTAGATATTATATATTAATGTATTTTTACATTAGAGCGGTCATCACTGAGTTCGTTCAGTCACATTAACCACAAGTGCATGGAATATACATAATATATATGGATATCAAATATGTATGCATTTCATCAATATCCTATTAAAAATTAATGTGATTTCTCAAACATATTTAAAATGATTGGTATTCTCTACATAGCACAGTGTAATGGTTGAGACCATAGACTTTCCAGCCAGAAGGCCAAGTTTTTAATCCTGGCTTTGCTACTTAGTAGCTATTCTACCTTGGGCAATTTATTTAACTTCTCTGTGCCTTGGTTTCCTCAAGTATACAATTACTATACCTACTTTATTGGGTTGTCATGGGCATTAAATAAATATATAAATATATATATATGTATGTGTGTATATATATGTATGTGTGTGTATATATATGTATGTGTAGATATATGTGTATGTATATATATGTGTATGTATATATGTATGTGTGTGTATATATGTATGTGTATATATATGTATGTGTGTGTAATATATATGTATGTATGTGTATACATATAAGTGTGTGTGTGTGTGTGTATATATATATATGTGTGTGTGTATATATATATATTCGAGATGGGGTCTCACACTGTCACCCAAATTGGAGTGTAGTAGCTCAATCTCAGCTCACTAAAATCTCTGACTCCTGGGTTCAAGCGATTCTCCCACTTCAGCCTCCCAAGTAGCTGGGACAACAGGCATGTGCCACCACACTGGCTAATTTTTTTTAATTTTTATTTTTTGTGGAGACGGGGTTTTGCCATGTTGTTCAGCCTGGTCTCCAACTCTGAGCTCAAGTGATCCACCTGCCTCAACCTCCCAAAGTGCTGAGATTAAAGGTGTGAGCCATCGTGCCCAACCCAAAGGTTTCTGATAAAGAACTCAGAAGTACCTAAGTGTGCTTCTTCTTTCTTAGCTTTGTATTCAAATAAGTTTCCATTACCTAAATATTTTAGAGGAATCTGGACTTTTAAGGTGCTAAAGAAGAAAGTTATAGCTGGATATGTTCTCTACATGATGGAATAGGTAAGGCACACTCACAGTCTATCTAAGTTTAATACAAAATTACTGTATAAAGACATGCATATTCAGGTACAGAGTACACAAATTTTTGTTGCATTAGTAAGATGGTCATAGATTGAACATATAAATGTGAAGAAAGTAGAATATATTTTCGTGGCTGGGATTTCAATTCTGTAGGTTTGATGAAAATAGGTGCCATCATGAATAGTCATTATATATGAGAAGAAAAATGTAATGAGAACCAAATGTTATGAACAATTTTATAGGTGAAAGCAATATTACATCATGCCTTTCCAAAGGACTACATAGGACAGGAATTGAATAAGTATGACAATGTAAGAAGGTGAAAATGTTGGCCTAGTGTCTGAAGTTTTCCTATACTTCATCATAAATTGTGGAAATTACTGCACTCTATTTTACTTCCGTCTTCATAAGAAAGCAGATTCAAGCAAGTACAAAGTCAGATTGTACTCTTGTTATACTGTTACCTCAAATTACACTAAATTAACCTTTCTCATTTAGAATGCAATTCTTCATATGTAGAAACTTGCATGCCAGACTTAAATAGCAAGTTTGATTTTCTTCTTTTCTAATATTGGCTTAAGCTTTTTTCTAGTGGTAGTTAAGTGTAATGAAGAAAATGAAGATTGATATGACTGTATAACCTTTGGTATATTATTTAGCCTCTCTGAAGCTATTGTTTCTGCAAGATGGGTATAATAGTAATTATCTCTTAGAATGGTAGTGCAAGATGAAATTGTATTTTTGAAATACTAATCCATTTATTCTCCTGATTTATAAGCTCCCAGTCAAGCATTTTGATACATTTTGCCTCAGTGGAAGGATGTGACAGGACATAAATCACATCACAAAATGAAGAATTCCTGGCTTTGGTTGCCAACCAAAAACTTTAGGAAAAAAGAGAAACACTGAGAGGAGAAACAAAGATTTTTGTTTATCCCTATATTTGTTACATATTGCTGCATAACAAATTATCCCCAAACATAGCAGTTTAGAATAACAATTTATTGTTTTACGGTGCCTGTGAATCAGTAAACTGCTGAGTGAAGGTTTTTCATAAGACTGTAATCAAGATGTCAAGTATGATCTCATCTAAGTTTGGCTATGAAGGGAGGAGGTGCCAAGACACCGGAATGACAAACGGCAGACAAATTCTCAAACCGTTCAGTATGGTGCAGAAGTTGCAGCAAGGGTCACACTTGAGAAGCCTGCAAGGAGAAATGAGGACTATCTCACTAGCTTTGTGTACATATCAGACTGCCTAAGTGGATGGCTAGCACAGGGAAATGGATGTACCACACTTCACTCACCTACACCGTTCTCAGTAAACTCTTTGGTGCTTTGTGTAACCCCTGAGGGACTCAGATACAAGGTTGGGGAAATGGGAAGGAAGAAATCCTGCAATGACAGTGATTCAGTTTTGCCCCTCCCTGGTAGGTGTGGGCCCACAAAGATAAGGTAGGTTAAATCATGGGGAAATAAGGAAGTTCTATTTCTTCCACACTTGGTTTTGCAGATTAGCTTTACATCCCACATATACAAAGGGCCTAGTTTATATCTTGAGACATTATAAATGTTTATTAAATGGTAGCTATTATTATTTTAATTAATTTTCCTTACCAAATATCATTTAGAACACCTCGGAGAAATAATTCTTCCTATGTAGAGAACACAAGCTCTTTTAGAACCAGGAGTCTACATTTACGTTGGGAATATACGGAGCAATTCATTGAGATTGAAATCTGGCCCACTGCTGGTCATCTTCTCATACCTGTTTTCATAATGGCAGCTGACCTGGAGACATCCTACTCTTCTCATCAAGAAAATGGAGACTTTCATCCTCTCAGCAATATACTATTTAGAAGTAGATGGTAGTGCAGAGGTATTGCATTCACCAGTCCTCTTATTACATAATATAGCTTTTTAGATTATTTTTTTCACTGAATCGCAGAACAGAGTAAAATATATAAGTTGATAGATTAATTGTAATTGCTAAATAAGTACATTGGAAATGCTTAACCATTTACATCAGAAAATAATTGCAAATATTTACTGAGTAACTAACATGTGCCAGGCACTAGTCTAAGTGCTTCGTATATATTATCTCATTTAATCCTCATCACATCCTTACAAAGTCAATACCATTATTATCATGATTTTATAGATGAGAAAACTGAATCCTAAGTTCATACAGCTGGTAAGTAAATAAGTCAGTATCTGGACTCATACATTCTGACTCTGAAGCCTGTATGCTCAGTCACTTTCTCAAGAATAAGCTAAATAAGCTTAGGATCAAAGTTGAAAAAACTCTTTGATTCAGATAGGGAGACTACTCAAAGTGCATTTGGTTCAGAGCTCTGCTACTGACTATCCAAATAGGTTTGTGCAAGTTATTTAATATTTGTTGACCTCATTTTTCTCATCTGTACGCTAGTACTTGTGTGCCATGTCTGTGGTAAGAATTTAAAAAGCAATACAGAGCGTAAAATGTATTATCAATTTTCTTAGATCAAATTTGTTGTTATGTTATGTTATGTTACGTTATGTTATGTTATGTTGTG
The DNA here is from genome assembly GCF_000001405.40 of Homo sapiens. Classification (NCBI taxonomy): domain Eukaryota; kingdom Metazoa; phylum Chordata; class Mammalia; order Primates; family Hominidae; genus Homo; species Homo sapiens. The sequence continues at coordinate 142,829,459 of NC_000023.11, forward strand.
TTGTTATGTTATGTTATGCTTTATGTCTGGGATTCTTAGATGATCAATTGAGATCATTTCAGTGAAGACATTTTGAAAATTATGTCATAGATAAATGGAAAAAAACTATATTGGTTACCACTACCAGTATAATTAGCTAAAATTTGTAATGTACCAGGCACTGAGCCAGATAATTTTATTCATGAGCTAAAAAAACATTCAAGAATTTTTAAAAACTATGAAGTAAGTACAGTTCTATAGATAAGAAAAGTAAGCCCACAGAAGAGATAGGCAGCATACTCACAGTTACAACCAGGAAGTGCTAGATTATGGAGACACCCTCAGATACAGTTATTTCTAAAACTATGCACTTCATATTATAAAACACTATAGAGTGGGAATTGATCAATGAAAACACATGGACACAGGAAGGGGAACATCACACACCGGGGCCTGTTGTGGGGTGGGGGGAGGGGGGAGGGATAGCATTAGGAGATATACCTAATGTTAAATGACGAGTTGATGGGTGCAGCACACCAACATCGCACATGTATACATATGTAACAAACCTGCACGTTGTGCACATGTACCCTAAAACTTAAAGTATAATAAAAAAAAACACTATTGAAAACACACTACTTCAAGCAGTTTAGAGTCATTGCACTTGTGCCCAAAATAGCTCTATTTTTAAGGAAACAGCCAGTTACTTTAGCTGGTAAAGTGATATTTAATGCTAGTGATTTCTATTTTAATGGTCACTACATTTTAGGTAGGGCTTGATGAACTTAGAGAAGGGGAAGGGGGTTACTACAACCCCTGAAAGAAATAAAATCTTTTACTCTTTTATTTTATTTTATATTTTATTTTATTTTATTTTATTATTATTATACTTTAAGTTTTAGGGTACATGTGCACAACGTGCAGGTTAGTAACATATGTATACATGTGCCATGCTGGTGTGCTGCACCCATTAACTCGTCATTTAGCATTAGGTATATCTCCTAATGCTATCCCTCCGCCCCCCCGCCCCCCACAACAGTCCCCAGAGTGTGATGTTCCCCTTCCTGTGTCTATGTGTTCTCGTTGTTCAATTCCCACCTATGAGTGAGAACATGCGGTGTTTGGTTTTTTGTCCTTGCGCTAGTTTACTGAGAATGATGATTTCCAATTTCATCCATGTCCCTACAAAGGACATGAACTCATCATTTCTTATGGCTGCATAGTATTCCATGGTGTATATGTGCCACATTTTCTTAATCCAGTCTATCATTGTTGGACATTTGGGTTGGTTCCAAGTCTTTGCTATTGTGAATAGTGCCGCAGTAAACATACGTGTGCCTGTGTCTTTATAGCAGCATGATTTATAAAAGATGTTATACAATGATCATGTTATTTCATCCATCTATTCTTTCATCAATCCATTCATACATTCCTTCAGTAAATATCTGTAAATCAGACTAGTCTGCCCTGATAATCTGCATTGCTGAAAGATGACTCTACGTAGCACCAGAACAAGATATATCTGAGTTCTAATGGCAGCCTCAAAGCTTCCCATTTGTGTGAAATATAAAAGTCACATAACTTCAACATTTAAATAATAGTAGTATTTGTCATACATAGTTATGAGTACTAAATGTGATATTTTATGTAGAACTCTTAGCACAGTGCCTGGCAAATGACAAGCACATAGTAGTGCTTACTAATTTTCATCTTATCACAAATATTCTCCAATTTATGTTAAAAATACTTTTATTATAAAAGTTCACTGTGTCTTAATTGGTTCTCTGGAAATAGAAAAACTATTTCCTTAGACATAGTTGGTTATCTGGAAACAGAAGGACTTTTTCTTAGAAGCAAATTATAAACATTTCTCGGATTCCTAGATTACACTGCCCGATTCCATTAAGGCCATCATGGAATTGTATACGTGTTATTTATCATGTTTCAGCCAAGATACAGGTCAGGAGTCTTCAGAGCCCCAGGTAAAAGGCTGGGAGAAACAGTGGTGGGGATAACAGTTGAAGGGAAGAGTTGTAACTATGTAGCTACATAAGAAGGGGAATGCAATCATTAAAATTAAAGACTAGATTTGAGTAAATTGATTTATTTGATATTAATAATTTATTGAAGAAGCAGAAGTAGAACTACAAAAAAAAAAAAAGCTAAAATGAAGGTTGGGTTGAAAGTGGAAAGTCAGTCCAGATGCAAGACGCCGGGTTCTAAGAATAAGGCCAGGGGAAACAAGGATGGGAGAGGCTAGGCTGGGAAAGGAACCAATGAGAAGACAAGAAGACCTGCCCTTTTCTGCGGTCAGACAGGAGAGAAGTCCTACATCTCATTGGACTTTTTCAACTACATTTGTACTTTGATGTTTTATTCCTGCTTTTGAGGCTGGACAGCTATGCAATAATGAGGTCAAGGAAGACTGTATACGTCCTGCTAAGACATTTGGACTGAATTCTGAAGACCATGAAGAGTCAGTAAAGGAATATAACCTAGGGAGTCAGCAATAAAATATTAGTCTCGATTGTTGCAGACTACTTTAAATGCAGAGTTAATGTCACATCCTGCTTCCAGGCAACTGGACAAAATACTGTAACTTGAAGCTTTCACTTGGAATCATTTAGTATTTTTCACTTGTAATGAAGCAGTCACAAAAAGATAAACATTTCGTGTATTAACATAAAAATCTCTTGGGTGATGTTATAAAACAAAGTATTTATTAACAACATAGCTGTATTATTTTTAACCAGCTGGGATGCATCATTCATTAATCCTCTTTGCCATTTTTGGAGATCACCAGACATAGATGTCCATGGCAGCATTTCTCTTGGGCTAAACACTTTAACATGTAATGTAAAAGCTTTTTATAGTGGAATGTAGGTTTAGCTAGAGTGTCCACTCAGCACTAAGATATGCGGGGATTTTTTTTTCTCCTATATTAAATCAAATTTGTTGACATGTTGCTCCATAGAGTTTTTAAAGCCTGATGTCTTCCTAGATGTATTATAAACTCTGCAGAGGATCCTGAACCTCAGAGAGCACTACTTGCCATGGTGCTCTATTTCTAAAGTGGATGTTCAATAACTTCATCTCCCTGGAAGGAGCTGGCACTATGGAAATTAGACTATTTTGCTTGACCAGTTAGAGGACAATGGAAAGATGTTTACAGAGTCTAACATGCAATAACTGATTGTTTAAGCATTTTCTTTTCCCACCTATCAGGAGAATATAAAAGTTAGAAACGAGGCCGGAGTAGTTGTTCAATCCACAGTGCTATCTCTATACTGATAGGTGTTCTTCCCTCAGAAAACAAAAGAGGATTACATTTCTGAACATCTGAATTTTCAAAAGATCAGAATTTTGTCATGTTCTAAGATATATTTCAGTTTATATGTTTCCCAAACATTCCAGCCTTGTATGAAAAAGTATGCTTAAAATAATTAAAATGTCTTCTGATTCTTTACAGCCATAATCAATGACAGCAAATGTTGCCTGTACCAGTTTGTTCTTCCTGTTAGAATGCATTATCACAAACCTGGTGGCTTAACCAATACAAATGTATTAGCTTAAAGTTCTGTGTATCAGAAATCTGACAGATTTCACTAGGCTAAAGTCAAAGTATCGGCAGGACCACCTTCCTTTCTTGAAAATCTAGAAGAGATTCTGTTTCCCTGACATTTCCAACTTCTAGGGGCCACCCTCACCCCTTGGCTCATGGTCCTCTTGCTCTATCCTGAAAGACAGCAGTGAAGCATATTCAAATATCCCTCTCTCTGAGCCCTGCTTCTCTCACATCTCTTTCCCCAACTGACCCTTTTACCTCTCTCTGATAAAGACCCCGGGTTTACACTGGGCCTCCCTGGATAATCCAGGATAATCTCCTATCTCAGCCTCCTTAACTGTATCTGTTCTCATCACTTGCTTTAATTTCTCCCTCAGTGACCAGCTGTTGCCTGCACAGGTTTCCCCCAACTAGTGTTCTCCTTCTGTTTCTATGAAGAATGAACAAGTAATTAAGTTTGATAGATGTAGAGCGAGAAAGAGAGAAAAGGAAAGAGGAGAGAGACTGAAGCAGGATTCTGGGCAAAGTCTGAGATGACCTGATGACCTGTGTGGTGAGTGAGTGATATCCATGTTGCCCATTTAAGGGATGGTATCGCTTGCCTCTGTTTTTCAGATGTGTTCAGGAGAGTTTATTCTGCTGTTCTAACCCCACTCAACTGTTCATAACCTCTTCCTTGAATTTCATCCTCATTATTTGTTCTGTTCTTATATGCATGCTTTCCCCCTGCTCCATGGAATGCCCTTCCCTCACTTCCCTCCTGTCCAGAATCCCTTTCAAACATCTATTCTTAATGAATACATTCTCACCTTTTCACTCCAAACCAATAAATCCTTCCTTTATGCTCCGATGAAATTGTGTTCATGTTAAAACACTTTCAGCTCCATCAGAATTAGTTGCTTGTGTTTATGTCTTTCCCTGTTAAACTGTGAGTTCCTCAAGTTTTCCATCCCAGCCCATATCACAGTCCCTTGTATAGAGTCTATTGCTGGGGAAACAAACACATAGTTTGTTTACTAGCCAACATGGAGAGTCAAGGGGCTGTGCTGGCCAGATGCAATGAACACTCCTGGTTCTGGGCTCTGACTATCACAACTCTGTTGCTTTTCATTTGTGAAAAGTCTGCAGGAAATACCTAATATAGATGAATAAATGAAGGTAGAAAATGATTCGGTATTATCATTTTAGTGCTTATTTTCCTCATCACCTGTAAAGGGAACCTCAACAATATTAACAGCCACCATTTAGTGGTGGCTGTATGAACCACATTTTTGTGTACTTTGTATGAAACCACTTAATCAGTGCTAAACTTGCCTTATCTTATTTACAATTCCAAATAGCTCTATGAAGTAGGTATTCTTCTTATCTACATTTGACTGTGAGGAAACCAATACTGAAAAGTTGTTTTGCCTAAGATCATCATGCTATCATCAAATGTCAGAACTGAGATCTGAACCCCTACCTAACTGATCTCCTTAGCCTCTATGCAATACACTTCCTAAGTTCACTGCTTTTGCTGTCAATGTGGTTTATAAAACCTTGTCCCATTCCTGATCTTGAAGGGACAGAGTAATATAATGGTTCATAACCCAGGCTTGAAGTCAGAAAGGAGGATTAAAATATCGGACTCCTTTACTTAGAATGTGAACTCTTTGCAAAAGTTACTTACCTTGCTTGAAGCTCAGCTTCATTATTTTCAAGAATAGGAATTTTAAAAATAATTGGAATAATATTTCCTAACTCAGAAGTTTATTGTGATGAATAAATGAGATGATACACATAAAATATTTATCAAACTACCATGCTATATTCCTCCTAGTTTTCCTGTGAGGAGTAACTTAGATAATATATCTAGGAAATAGGAATTTACAATGGCAGTAGAAATTAAATAGTAATATATATGCTCAACATGTTATAATAATGTATAATATATGATATTAAACAATATACAAAGATAAACGTGGTCTTTCTCATTGGGGAAAAAACTATTTACTTATCAAATATACTTTATTTGAGAGGGAAGCTTTCACTTGGTTTATTCATTGCAAATTTCAAAGCAGCATAATCTAAAAGAATAGCATTTTGTTTTATTTGAAAATTAGCACCATTGTTTTTGCCGTAAGGGGGACATGAACATAAGACACAAATTCTTACCCAAGTCCCATTATACACAAGGCCCTCAAAACATCCCAAATTAAATAAATCGCATATGTAATAGACAGACAGGACTCTCATCATAAAGCAGCATACATATTGCAGAAGAGGTGAAAACAGTTGACACAGCAAATCTAAGAGATTTGCTATCAAGAACAACTAGGACGGGGAACTCACATAGCAGACTCCAAGGCATGGATCACCTCAATATGTCCTAGAGAATCAACCTTTTTTCATTTACTCTAAGCTTCCTTAATACCACAGTGTGGTGAGACAGCTAATTAAAATGTATCAACTTACAAAATATAAAAAGATAGATCAAGACAAAGAGATAATAACTATAGCAAAGAAAACGTAGTTAGGGCTAAAGTTAGCGATAAGAAAATAAGATGGCCTACCCTAAAGTTATATGCTATTACTAAAGATAAGTTATAATTTTTTCTTTGAACATCTCAGTATTCATAGTTAAGAGAAAAAATAAGGTTTACATAATCAAAAAATAAAATCATATAAAGCAGTTGCTCGGGTGAACCATAACTCCTCCTGGCACTAAGGGGTCTGAGAGAAACCTGTGTGGATCCACTTGATAAGGTCACTGTATGTTGTTGTGGATATAATCCTTTACAGTATCCATGCAGTAAATGTCTTGGTGAATTTCATATTACTACTTTGGATGCCCAATTTCAAAGTACTACAAGTACATGACACCAGTGCATGGTTCAATAAAAGCAATTTGATAGAGCCCAAATAAGTGTGTTCAACTTCTTCACCCTCTGATGGCTGGCTTGATTCAGGAATGGCTCAAGAATAGCTGGAGTACATTTAAACTCCAAACTGCACTCTGCTGAATCCCATAGTTCCTTTCAAGATAACAGAGCTGGAGGGTGGCTAGGTGCGTGGATCCCTACCCCTGCTTTAAAAAGAGTAATTCTGCTTTTGTTTGTGTTAATACTGGGGTCCCACATAATATTTAATTTGAAAACAGAATGTGGTCTTCTTTTTTTCTTGAAAAAACTGTAAATAACTAGTTTAGAGGAATGTCTAAGTTTTCAGGAAATCTTCCAGTGTGAATGGCATTTGTTACAGCTCGGTTTTTAAAAACTATTTATTCCTATCTTTTGTTTTCTTAAGCTTTCTTTTCCTTTCAAAGAATTTATTTTTATATTCTTAATTTCAATATTATTTTTATTCAAAATCAAATTCAATTGAAAAATTATTTCAGGGGCCGTGTGCAGTGGCTCACGCTTGTAATCCCAGCACTTTGGGAGGCCAAGGCGGGCGGATCACGAGGTGAGGAGATTGAGACCATCCTGGCTAACACGGTGAAACCCCGTCTCTACTAAAAATACAAAAAATTAGCCGGGCGTGGTGGCGGGCGCCTGTAGTCCCAGCTACTCGGGAGGCTGAGGCAGGAGAATGGCGTGAACCTGGGAGGCGGAGCTTGCAGTGAGCCGAGATCGCGCCACTGCACTCCGGCCTGGGCGAAAGAGTGAGACTCTGTCTCAAAAAAAAAAAAAAAATTTCAATAATTCTGTTTATAAAACGTGGTTATTGCAATGATTCAAATATCATAGACAATTCAGTAGTATCTTGCCACTTAATTTTACCAGCTTAATGAAACTTCTTTGTTATGGTACGTAGACTTACATATGTTTCATTTTGCTTATAAAAACTTGAAAAATTTTTACATATTTGCATGTGTTTATATAAATATATGGAGACATACACACACCCACTTACTATGCACACATTCACAAAAACAATTCTTAACATGCTCTGATTAACATAAGAATCATTTTGAATACATATGTGTAGTTGTATGCATATATATACATAATCTTTTATATTCTTTTTTATAGGTGCATAGTAATTCAAATTATAGAAGTAACATACTTTTTTCAAACATAACACTGTTGATATGCATTGAGGATATTTCCAGGATATATGATTTTTTTTTTTGGTATTACAAAACCATGCAGCTATAAACATTTATTCTTTACCCACCGAATCTTCATTTCTTTTCCTTTTTTTTTTTTTTTTTTTAGACGGAGTCTTGCTCTGTCCCCCAGGCTGTAGTACAGTGGCATGATCTTGGCTCACTGTAAGCTCCGCCTCCCAGGTTCATGCCCTTCTCCTGCCTCAGCCTCCTGAGTAGCTGAGACTACAGGCACCCGCCACCATGCCCGGCTAATTTTTTTGTATTTTTATTAGAGACGGGGTTTCACCGTGTTAGCCAGGATGGTCTTGATCTCCTGACCTCGCGATCCTCCCGCCTTGGCCTCCCAAAGTGCTGGGATTACAGGTGTGAGCCACCGCGCCTGGCCTGAATCTTCATTTCTAAGGGTGAAATTATCAGACCAAAATGGCATGAACATTTATTTTAATAAATACTTCTTGAATATTTTCTACCAATAATGCCATTAATGCATGGTCCTTGTAAAGTTAAAGAAAGAGGAAAGAAACACAAAACATGGCTAGCAGTTAAAGACAGATTTACTTTAAACAAAACCTGAGAGGCACTCCTGGCCAATTTCGGTCAGGAGCACTTTCCCTTACAGACTAAGAGAATATATTGGTTTTAGGGTGAGGGGGCTTATTACAAGCTTGGAATGTTTATGTGTGTGGAGAAGGTTATGGCGGGGTTGGAATCTCTCTGGGCAGAGGGGAGGTTATCTTGGGGCAGACATCTTCCCAGCCCTGAGTGGGGTTTGTCTTGGGACTAGCACGTCTCTCGTCAGGGAAGAATGTGGAATGTTTCCGGTCGGAGATGTTATTTGTGGTTTATGCTCATGCTGACTTTAGCCGTTAGGCTGACACCCTATGGATTTAGGCAGTTTTTTATTAAGGTGAACTTTAGAAGGAGGGGCTTGTCCAAGATGGCGATGCTCCTGCTCTGTCAGTCCTAACAGCAGTGTATAAATGTTTTTATTTTCTCATCACCCACCCCCATCAACAGATATCATCTGTCTCATTTAAAAAATTTTTCTTAGTCAAATTATTTTAATTTTAATTTTTATTGTTTACTCCTAGTAAAGATGTACATATTTCATGTTTTCTTCTCTTAAATGTAACACAATAATAAAATACATAATGCAAAAACTACCAGAAATACAAGAAGAATCACACATTATTGCAATTACTGTGGAAGACTTTAATAAATCTCTTTAAAACGTTATCAGGTTAACTAGATTTTAAAGATTTGTATTATCAGTAATCACCTGTATGTGTGGGTGCATACTTTGTACCTTACAAATAGAGACCACACCTTCTCATATGCTATGTAGCCTTTACAGAAACCATCACCATTTGACAACAGGTGGACAACAGATTGCTTGTATTTAAATTTTCTGCTAAGAATCTGAAAAGTAGATATTGCATTCTGCATATTCTTCATCTTAAACACCACAGAGATCAACACGCTAGAGCCAGTCGAGTTTCTTCTGAGAAGGATATGCTGAGGATATGGCTTTAGCTATAAAATACTATGGCAATAGGCATGTCTATTTGTTTTCTACTGCCGTGTAACAAATTAACACAATCTTAGCAGCTTAAAATAATAAACATTGAAATAAATGTCTCACAGTTTTGTAGGTAAGAAATACAGGCAGAATTCAGACTGGTTCTTTACTTTAGGTCTCATAAGGCCAAATTCAAGGACTTGCTTTTAGGAATATGAAACAGAAAATTCATACTAAGTGATATTCTATATGACCAAGTATAAAAATTACTTAGTTTTTATTAATTAGCTAGGGTTAGCCAAGGCCTAAGAGTAAATGTGACCTCTCTTCCTTGCATTTGCATTATACATATGTGATTCTCTCAAGAATTCTTACACTCCTACTTGAATCACGTTCATTTGCTCTAGAGAATTTGGAAGAGTACTCAGCTACCATGATGGGAAAGAGAAAATGAACACCAAGAGAAGAGATTCTTGTTTTAATTTAATTTTTTACCAAACTCAGAATATGTAAAGTTCCAGAAGGTATCTTTCTTCCTCTCTCTCTCTCTCTCTCTGTCTCTCTCTTTCTCCTTCTCTCTCTCTCACATACATACATACATACATACATACACACACGTATATACACACGTGCACACACACACACACACACAGAGTGCTCACCTTTCCTGCTCCATCTTATTAAAATTATCTAAAAAACCACTTGAAACATGTTTATCTTTCTTTTCCTCCTAGCATTTAACTCTACATTTCTATGCTTTTTATTTTTTCTTATTTAGATCTCTTCCACTGACTTGCTACCATGGAAGGTAAGTTTTATAGTCTCTCACTGCACTTCTGGCCTGATCCCACTCAAGAACATTTTTCTCCCCATAACTCCACAGTAAAATAATTTCACAATGTGTTTTCATTAATATTCAACCTTTTTATTATTATGCATATGCCATATTACTCACAGATTAACCATGAAATAATATACAATAATTACATTGAGTTTATTGCATAACTTTTCTTTCACCCACTAGCTAATAATTGTCTCCTTGTTGTTTGTCTAGTATCTGCCATTAACTCATCCTCAAACTCTCTACTAGAATGATACCTCTCCTTACAACAAATTTAAACATATCAAGTAATGTGTTATTTTATTTCTATCTCTTCTCAGAGATATCCTTCTTGGAGCCCTTGGTTGTTCAGGCCTAATCTGAAATAGTCCTATAAGTCAGCTGCAGAGGTTTCATCCTGATAACTCCCTCTATTACCATTCCAGGCATTATTTTTATCTCTTTTTAAATATTTTTTAACTTTTAATTTTTGTGGATACATAGTAGATGCATATATTTTGGGGGCATGTGTGATGTTTTGATACAGACATGCAGTGTGTAATAAGCACATCATACAGAATGGGGTATTCATCCCCTCAAGCATTTATACTTTGAGTGACAAATAATTAAATTATGCTCCTTAAGTTTTTTAAAAATATACAATTAAGTTATTCTTGACTATAGTCATCCCGTTGTGCTATCAAATAGTAGGTCTTATTCATTCTTTCTAACTACTTTTTGTATGCGTTAACCATTCCACTTCCCTCTCATCACCGCACTGCCCTACCTAGCCTCTGTTAACCACCAGTCTACTCTATGTTCAAGAGTTCCATTGTTTTGATTTTTAGATCCCACAAAAAAGTGAGAACATGTGATGTTTGTCTTTCTGTGCCTGGCTTATTTCACTTAACGTAATGATCTTCAGTTCTACCCATGTTGTCGAAAATGACTGGGTCTCATTCTTTTTTTTGGCTGAGTGTTACTCCATTGTGTATATGTACCACATTTTCTTTATCCATGTATCTGTCAATGGATACTTAGGCTGCATCCAAATCTTGGCTATTGTGAATAGTGCTTCAACAAACGTAGTAGTGCAGATATGTCTTTAACATACTCATTTCCCTTCTTTTGGGTGTATATCCAGCAGTGGGATTGTTGGGTCATGTGGTAGCTCAATTTTTAGGTTTTTAGGAAACCTCTAAAATGTTCACTATAATGGTTGTACTACCTTACATTCCCACCAACAGCCTATGAGGGTTTCTCCACCTCCTCGCCGGCATTTTTTATTTATTACCTGTCTTTTGGATATAAACCATTTTAATGAGGGTGAGATTACATCTCATTGTAGTTTTGATTTGCATTTCTCTGATAATCAGTGATGTTGATCACCTTTCCATATGACCGTTTGCCATTTGTACGTCCTTTTTTGAAAAAAATCTACTCAAATATTTTGCCCATTTTTTGATCAGATTATTTGGTTTTTCCCTATAGAGTCGTTGTAGCTCCTTACATGTTCTGGTCACTAACCCCTTGTTAGATGGGTAGTTTGCAAATACTTTCTCCATTCTGTGGGTTGTCTCTTCACTGTCTTGGTTGTATCCATTACTGTGCAGAAGTTTTTTTAACTTGATGTGATCCCATTTGTTATTTTTGCTTTGGTTGCCTGTGCTTGTGGGGTATCACTCAGAAAACGTTTGCCCAGCCCAATGTCTTAGAGAGTATTCCCAATAATTTTTTGCAGTACGTTCATAGTTTGAGGTCTTTAATCCACTGTGATTACATTTTCCTATGAGGTAGGAGATATGGATCAAGTTTTATTTTTCTGTATATGAATAGATATCCAGTTTTCCTAGCATCGTTTATTGAAGAGATTGTCTTTTTCCCTGTGTGTGCTCTTGGCCACTTTGTCAAAAGTGAGTTTACTGTAGGTGCGTGGATTTGTTTCTGGGCTCTCTATTCTATTCTGTTGGTTATCTGTTCTCTGTTATTATCCCCTGGAATAAACTTTCTATCCCTGTCTCTTTCTCCACCTACTCTTTAAAGCCAATAACTCTTAGATTTGCTTTTTTGAGGCTATTTTCTAGACTCTGTAGGATGCTTTATTGTTTTTCCCTTAAGAGTGGTAAGGTCCCCAGGCCCCGGATGGTTCCAGAAACACTGTCTGGGAATCAGGAGCTCGTCCCCTGATTTCCTTTACGACCCGAAGTCCTTTAACACCCAATTTCCTATGTTCGAGATTTTCAGGCACCTAAGCCCTCATTGTTGCAGAGGAATAGTTATATTTGTAAATTTCAATATTATTTAATCGGAAAAAGTATTCAATTGTAGATGACATATTTGTAAAATTTGTGTAAATGGAGCAATGTGAATCACACATTTGTTGAATGTTAGAGGACAAGAAGAGTGCTTTTGATCTCTTGTCTAGAGATGTCTGTGTCTTAAACTACCTCAGAATGTCATGATGAAAAGTTAGCTGTCTATGAAACAGTTTATTTGGAATAACATGTTTATATAAGGACAGAGCTTTGTGTTAGAAAATTGTGTTTTCGATTTTTATTCTCTTTGCTCAATTTTGGAATTAAAAAGCTGCATCTCTTGCCTCAGTTCCCAGTCTTTAAAACGTTGCTAATTCTGATTCTCACTCTACTGAGATTATTGTTAGTGGATGTCAAGAATGACATGAGACAAATGAAAACATTTATAATCCTTGAGGTGTTGCTATAAAGAATGGATATTTAATTAATTCAGAAGACAGCTTGGACACATTTCTGGCTTTTGATGGCCTATTAGGTAGGACAAAATGCTATGCCTCTGTGACAGGAAGACCCAACTTTAAAGACCAAAGCTTTTATTTCTCTTAGTAAACAGTCCAGAGTAAGACACACTTCTCTGTTCCATTTAGTTACATAGGAGGTTAGGCTACCTTTTATTTATTTGCCATTCTCCCTGGGCATTGTATATATTGGCATAGTTGAAATTGCTTTGCAGGTATGTCTGTGTTCTAGCCCACAGGAAGATGAATGAGCATAAAGAAATTCATTTCCAATGTTTTAAGACCCAGTCGTAGAAGTAGCATGCTATCCTCTTCCATTTATATGAAACCCTAATATTATGGATGAAGGGCAGAATGGCTACTCTGGTAAACCTGGGCGTGGGTAGTTGAGTGGGGATGAGAAAAGACCATCAGAGTAGTGAGAATGATCTAGTACTTTTCAGAACACTGCTTAGGGTCCAGCTCAGAGTTGTTTTGTCTCCCCAAGGAAAGTCCTTGGTTACTGTCTTCCTTCTCTAAAGTGAAAATAGATTACTTTTCTCCAGAAGCAGACATATGAAGTTTCTTCTCAGAGGTTTAGCTGCTTTCAATATATCAGCAACGTATTTTTAAAATCTAGAGGAAAACATTTTTCTTTCACCTCACTAAATGAGTCATTTTCTTATACTGGTTCTTGCAAGTTTGCTCAGCTCTCCTGCACATTTTCTGAGGAAACACAAAATGTTCAAATCTCTCATTGCATCAATTGGTCATCCTACAATGAAATCAGGAAATAAGAGGTGTTGTTTGTATCATATTTCCAGTCTTTGGTGACAATCACATTTCTCAATTATCATCTCGATTTGTGGACCATAATGGAAATGGAAATACAGCATTTACATGCATTGTACGTTTCAAATTTTGCAGGTCGCTTTAACTTTTGGAAGCTCATATAATTTTTTAAAAAGACTTGATTTTAAAAAGTATGCTTTTCAAAAAATGACTGACTTACAATACTAACAGCTTGAATTATTCAAGTGCCTCAGGTTCAATTCGACCCCATGTCGTGATGTTAGTACAGCTTGACATGATCATGTGAAATCGGTAATAATGTGTTGCTGACCTAGCAATATGGTGGAACATCTGAGAGAACATTGACAGTTTTCCAAAACCTTCCTGATTAAACATTCATTTCCCTTTTTAACATGCCTCTGCTTAGAGAGCTTGAAAAAGGTTTGTTTTTAATTTTCGTGTTTTTTTTGGCAAGTTGGCCAATAGTTTACAAACATTTTCCAAATAATATTTCTTTCTGCATTGCTTTCAGCACCTAGGATTACAGAGGCTGTTACTTTATAATGCTCTACGATGTTTTTAGCATTTGCATGTCTATTCATCATATCAATTGTAAATTACAAGCTCTTGAAAATCAAGGATTTATTATTTATTTGTATTTTTCCTCTAATAGCGTTAAATACATTTCTGAGCATACAGAAATTATTAGATAAACATTTTTTATGTATGTGTGAATGAATGAATAACCATAACCAGTGAGTATGCCTGGATATAGCAGACTGAATCTGTGAATTCAGGCTTCCCTTGGCTTCCAAAATTATTGAGATGCTAAAAAAAATAATAAAATAAAATGAAGTTTATATATATAACTGAGGCCAGACATGGTGGCTCAAGCCTGTAATCCCAGCACTTTGGGAGGCTGAGGTGGGCAGATCACATAGGAAATCAAGGCCATCCTGGCCACATCGTGAAACCCCCCTCAACTAAAAATACAAAAATTAGCTGGGTGTGGTGGCACGTGCCTGTAATCCCAGCTGCTCAGGGGCCTGAGGCACGAGAATTGCTTGAACCCAGGGGACAGAGGTTGCAGTGAGCTGAGATCGTACCATTGCACCCCAGCCTGGCGATAGAGTGAGACTCCGCCTCAAAATATATGTATATGTGTATATGTATATATGTGTATATGTATATATACACGCATATACATGTACGTATATATACGCGCATATACATGTACGTATATATACGCGCATATACATGTACGTATATATACGCGCATATACATGTACGTATATATACGCGCATATACATGTACGTATATATACGCGCATATACATGTACGTATATATACGCGCATATACATGTACGTATATATACGCGCATATACATGTACGTATATATACGCGCATATACATATATACGTATATATACACGTATATACACATATATACACGTATATACACGTATATATACGTATATATACACGTATATACACGTATATACACGTATATACACATATACACATAGGTATATACACACGTATATACACACGTATACACACGTATATACACACGTATACACACACGTATATACACACGTATACACACACGTATATACACGTATATACAC
Source organism: Homo sapiens (assembly GCF_000001405.40). Lineage (NCBI taxonomy): Eukaryota > Metazoa > Chordata > Mammalia > Primates > Hominidae > Homo > Homo sapiens. Next base: position 142,844,608 of record NC_000023.11, read on the forward strand.
ACGTATATACACGTATATACACACGTATATACACACGTATACACACGTATATACACACGTATATACGTATATATACATAGACATATATGTATATATACATATATGTATATATACATATATGTCTATGTATATATACGTATATGTATATATACATATATGTGTGTGTGTATATATATATATATATATATATATATATATATATATATAAAACTGAGTGTCAAAGAAATGGAAATTCAAAAATAAGAGAGAAATCCAGCAAGAGAGAATGAGAGCAAAATAAAGAGGAAGATATTAAGAGGGAAAAAGAGATAGAGGAAGAAAGGGAGAGAGGGAGAGAAGAAAAGAAGGATAAAAAGAGAGAACGAGAGAGAGAGAAAAAAAGACAGCAAAATCAGAGCAGAGTAGGAGATGGGTGATGATGCTGTAGCGGCTCCAGTGGCCTATAAACTGACTAGAATCTTTAGCCTTTATTGTATGGCGCCGGAGACTCAAATGAACAATGTATGTCAGCTATTCCTCTGAAAGGAATGCTTCTTGTGAGTTACACCTTGGTGAGGAGGTTTTTCCTTTCTGGTTCCATTTCTACCCAAGGTATCACAGACCTCCACCTTCTATTCGGGGGCAGGGGAGTATACATACATGCAGAGCTATTGGAAGGTATTGTTTATGTGTGATGAGTTAACGGGATACCCACACTCAAAGGTAGCTTAATGCTTAGTCCGTTACACAATATTAAATCATATAGTCCACGTATGTATGTGATTATTTGTTTAATGATCATCTCTGCCACTGTATTATGAGATCCTTGATGCGATCCACACAAAATCTTGCATATAATTACAGGGCGTTGAGATACTCTCTGAAGACAATCTGTTCATTTAACAGATATTAACTAAGCAGTTACTATGTGGTAAGCACTATACTTTGCAGTGGGTTATAGGAGTAAGCTGCTCCTACCTGGCTCTTGACCTTATGTCATTTTCCTTATTCTTACCTTACTATAATCATTAGTGTGCCATCATATTTCCACCTGTGAGATGATGACCTGCTTGAGAGTTAAAATCTGGACCTAGCAGAGTTTAGCACATGGCTACAGAAGAAGGAAGTTGCACTTTTTAATGATTTAGCACACGAAGAAAATAGTGACATTTCAAGTAAATTAGCTATTTTTTATTTTTGGTAAATGTCACATAACCTACCCACCCCAACCAGATGATAAGTGGGTGGTACAAATTGCTGCCCAAATAAGTTAATAAATGAGTAATATTTAATGAATAATCATTCTAGGAAGCTGGAAACCTAATTTCATATCAACCTAGAAAATAGAGACTTTACACTCACACAACCTCAGTGAATTTCATGGCAATACAAACAATGATAGATTTTTTTAAATTTTAAATTTTTATTTTTCATGGGTATTTTTGGGGTATATGAGATACTTTGATACAGGCAAGCAGTATAAAATAAGAACATCATGGTACACAATGTATCCTTTATAGTGTATCCATCATAGTACACATTGTATCCCTAATAAAAAGCATTTATACTTTGTATTACACACCATCCAATTATACTCTTTTAGTTATTTTAAAATATACAATTAAATTATTATTGAGTATAGTCTCCCTGTTGTGCTAACAAATACTAAGTCTTAATCATTCTTTCTATTTTTTTTTGTACCCATGAACCATCCCCACTACCCTCTCACCATTCCCTATCTCCCCTGGTCTGGTAAACATCCATCTACTTCCTATCTCCATGAGATTATTTTATTTTATTTTTTTTAGATCCCCCAAATAAGTGAGGACATGTGATGTTTGTTTTTCTGTGCCTGTCTTATTTCACTTAACATAATGATCTCCAGTTCCATCCATGTTGTTGCAAATGACTAGATTTCATTCTTTTTATGGCTGAATAGTACTCCATTGTTTCTCCAGGACTGGTCCCTGGTACCTTCTTTAGTTCATTTAGTGAGGTCATTTTTTCCTGGATTGTCTTGATACTAGTAGTGGTTCATCTGTGTATGGGCATTAAAGAGTTAGATAATTATTCTAATCTTCACAGTCTAGGCTTGTTTGTGCCTGTCTTTGTTAGGATGGATTTCCATGTATTTGAAGAGACTTGGGCCCCAAGCCCAATAACACTGTGATTCTTGCAGATGCATGGAAGTACCACCTTGGTCATCTTGGATAAGACCTGGAAGTATTTCTCTGGATTACCAGGCAGAGACTCTTGTTCTCATCCCTTACTTTTTCCCAAACAAATGGAATCTCTCTCTCTGTCTGTGCTGAGCCCCCTAACTCTAGGTGTGGGGTGACACAAGTACCCCTGTGGCCACTACCACTATACTGCGCTTGGTCAGACCTGAAGCCTACACAGCATTTGGGTTTTGCCCAAGACACTCTATAACCACTATCTGGCTACTGCCTCTGTTCACTCAAGGCCCCACGTCTCTACTGTCAGCAGATGGGGAAGCCAGTAGGTTTGCGTCCTTCCCTTCAGGGTAGCGCATTCTCCTAGCTCCTGGCTGGTCCAGAGATACTATCTGGGAGCCACTCATTGGAGTAAAAAAACTTAGAAATCTACCTGGTGTTTTATTATACTGCAGCTAAGCTGGCCTTCAAACCACAAGACAAAATCCTTTCTGCTCTTCTCTCCCCTTTCCACAGTCAGAGGTCCCTCTTCCAGTGGCCACTACCACCCCTGGCCTGCAGGATGTTCCGCCAGGCCACCACCGATGTTCTCTTAATGCCCAGGGGCTCTTTCGTCAGCTTGTGGTAAATACTGCCAGGCCTGCGAGTCACCCTTTAGGGCAGTGCCTCCCTTTGGGCCCAAGGCAGTTTTAGAAATGCTGTTAAGGAGCCTAGGTCTGGATTCGGGGACCCCAAGAACCTGCTTTTTGCTGTACCCCACTGTGGCTACGTGGGTATCTAAAGTGCAAAACAAAGTCCCCTTTACTTTTCCCCTGTTTTTGTCAAACAGAAGGAGTCTGTCACCATAGCCACCATAGCTGGGAATGTGCTAGGTCTCACCTGAAGCCAATACATCGCAGAGTCTTACTCAAGGCCCCGTAGCATACTACCTGGATATCACTGTTAGTTATTCAGGGTCCAAGGAATCTTTAGTCCGCGGACGATGAATCCTGTCAAGACGGGGTCCTTCACTTCAAGAGACCAGTTTTCCTTCTGGCCCAGGGTGTGTCTAGAAACGGTATCTGGGAGTTGGGGCCTGGAATCGGGGCCTCACGATTCTGCCCAGTGCCCTGTCCCATTGTGACTGAACTCTTAATTAAGATGCAAGACAAAGTACTCTTCACTCTTCTCTCCTCAAACAGATGGAAGGAACCACTTTCATTGCTGCCAGCTGCACTACCTGAGGTTTGGAGAGATATGGTGCAAGCCCTCTTTTAGCTGTGCCATCTGGTGTCTCTCTCTGTCACGTGCCAACCTAGTTCACTGGTTCTCAGAACTAGGACTTGCCTAGGAACTGCAGTCCTTGTGTCCTAGACTGTCATTCAAGTATACCTAGGACCTCAGAGTACTTTTGCCTGTAGTGATGAGGCTTGTCTGAACTCAGGTTCCGAGTGCTGGGATGGGTGATTCTCCTCTGGCTAGGGCTGGTCCGAATGCTCCCTTGGTGTGTGGGCATGGACTGAGTCAGCATCGCTTTGCTCTCCACCGCAATAGGGCAGCACTGAGTTTAACGCTAATGTTATAGGAGTTATTAAGAAATTATTTTAGGTAGCTAGAGAGGAAAAGGTGTCCTTGGGAAGTTTTTGTCTCTTTCAAAGCAGCTCCAAAAATGTTTCTTGTCTAGCAGGAAAGCCCTGGCTCTTAGAGCCAGGCAGACAACCTTTAATATGCAAATGCAGGCCATTAGAAACTGGATCCACCCAAACATGGCAATTCCCACTGTTATCCTCTTGCCCTTGCCCCTACATGTGCTTGGCAGCATGGCTGCCCCCACATATCCCCACGTGTGTAAAACATCATGGCGCCCTGTATTTGCAAATTAAAAGGCTAGGATGGGAGGGCCAATTATTTTACGAACTGCGTGAATAACATGCCTGATCAAACCAATCCCCTGCGCCCTATGCAAATCAGACACTGCCTCCTCCAGCCTCCTCATATAACTGGCTGGTTTCCACCACACTCAGGGTTTCCTCTCTTGGCTTTAGGGCCCCCCTCCCTCTGTCTCTGTATAGACAAAGCTTCTTCCTTCTTTCCCCTCCTTTCTTTCGTGCCTATTAAACTCTCCTCTCCTTAAAACCACTCCACTCATTGGAGCCATATCACTAAGTCCCCCAGTTGCTGTGTGCTCTGTCTCCCACATGCACAGACTCTTTCTTCATGCCACACAGCTGCTGGTGGAGAACAGGGGAGGGGTGGGGAGCAGGGGAGGGGTGGCTTCGGCGATGATTCAAGACTGTCTTTCCTACCCTCTTCTGTGCCTCTTTCAGTGACGTAAAGTTAAAACCATGTACTATTATTGCCCACTTGATTTTTGTTTCTTATTACAGTGCTTTTTTGTGTGTAGTTAGTTGTTAAAATTTGGTGTTCCTATGAGGAGGGTGATAGGTGGAGGATTTTATTTGGCTGCCTTGCTTCACAATGATAGTTTCATGACTAGTACTTCCTTCACTTCAGAATGACAGATTATAACAAGTTTGTGAAAAAGGAAAAACTGTAAAACAGCAGAAGAAAAATTAACTTTTATGAACTAGTGATTAGTTGCACATTTCTTAATGATGATAGCAAGTGAGCCAGATAAATATTTGTTTCTACTCATGTCCTAATGTTTGTTTTTACATTTTTTTGTTCTAGAAAAATATTCTCAGACGTTTTCTGCTTTTATGATTCTTTTAAATATTAAGCTTTGATTTTTATTGAATGCTGTCTGTTGTTTATAATTATTTTCAATAGCTATCATATATTTAATCTGTACTAAAAATACTCCACCAACCTGTTTCACACCTCCTTGCAAACTAAGGACAAGCCCCAAGGAATTTTATAGATCTGATTCTACAAGTGTTCATGTAACAGACAACTGTTATGTAATACACACTTTTTTAGCAAAACCAAAAAGGAAACCTGCCTTATTCATTTTATAAGACTGAAATAACTTTGACACTGACACTTTACAGGGACAGTACAATAAAGAAAAATTATAGGCCTATCTCATTAATTAGAATATATGTATATATATAAAAACAATCCTCAATAAAATGTTAATATTTATTCTAACAATGCATGAAAAATATGATGCATCATAATAAATTAATATCTAACCAGGCATTGTGAGGATGATTTTATATTAGAAAACCAATTACTAAAATTCAAAATTTAGTGTCCATTCATAATAAAGCTAGAGAACATAACAAGCACAATAATTAATATATCCCACATAATAAATCATAGAGAACTAGAATTATAGGAGTTTCTGTAATTCATAATGTGTGTCGATTAGAAATCTATAATGAACGTTGTGTTTAGCATTATTTCTTTAAAAGCTGTCATTTACAAGTCAGGATCACGTCAAGGATGCCTTGTATCATCGCTTCAGTTCAGGATAGTAATGGATTTCCTAGTTTGTGCAATAAGACATGAAAAAGAAATAAGTGCTACAAGGGGTTTGTAAAGGACATAAAAATCATTAATTTATAGATGGCTTGATTGTCTACATAAGAAAATCCTAGACTACAGAAACAATTAGAGTTAATAAAAATCCATTAAATTTGTTATATGCAAGAAGACCATCACATAATTAATATTATTCCCATATATCTTAACTACCAATTAGAAATAGACATTACAAAATTTCCATTAACAATAGCAACCAATAGATTACACTTCTTAGGATTAAATCTTTTAAAAAAATGCAATAACTTGATAGAGAATATTTCATGAAGACCATGAAATTTTACCTTACAAATAAATATTTTAGCATATTCTCCTATAAAAAACTTAATATTATACTGATGTTAATGCCCTAAAAGTTGATCTAGTAGCACAATTTTCTTGCAACAAAACTCAAGGTGGGATTTAATGAAACTTAAGAAGCTGAGTTTAAAATAAACAAATTGCTAACAATAATTTATATATATTTTTAAGAAAATACACAAGATGAGGAAGTTTGCCCTACCAAATATCAAAACATTAGAAAGCAAAAGCCCTTAAAAGTATGTGATTTGCATGACCAAGAACCCAAAAGCAAATGCAACAAAAACAAAGATAAATAGATGGGAATTAATTAAACTAAAAAGCTTCTGCACAGAAAAAGAAATAATCAGCAGAGTAAACAGACAACCCACAAAGTAGGGGAATATCTTTGCAAACTATGCATCTGACAAAGGACTAATAGCCAGAATCTACAAGGAAGTCAAATCAGCAAGAAAAAAAACAATCCTATCAAAAAGTGGGCTAAGGACATGAACAGATGATTCTCGAAAGAGGATATACAAATGGCCAACATATAAAACAATGCTCAACATCACTAAGTATCAGGGAAATGCCAATCAAAACCACAATGCGATACCACCTTACTCCTGCGAGAATGACTATAATAAAAATAATAATAATAGACGTTGGCATGGATGTGGTGAAAAGGGAACACCTTTACACTTCTGGTGGGAATGTAAACTAGTACAACCACTATGGAAAACAGTGTGAAGATTCCTTAAAGAACTAAAAGTGGAGCTACCATTTGATCTAGCAACCCCACTACTGGATATCTACCCAGAGAAAAAGAAGTCATTATATGAAAAAGATCACTTGCACGTGCATGTTTATAGCAGCACAATTTGTGATTGCAAAAATATGGAACAGGCCTAAATGCCCATCAATCAGCGATTGGATGAAGAAAATGACATATATACCATGGAATGCTACTTAGCTATAAAAAGAAACAAAATAATGGCATTCTCAGGAACCTGGATGAAATTGGAGACAATTATTCTAAATGAAGTAACTCAGGAATGGAATACCAAAAATCATATGTGCTCACTTCTAAGTTGGAGCTAAGCTATGAGGACACAAAACATAAGAATGACACATTTTACTTGGAAGACTCGGTGGTAAGGTAGGAGGGGGGTGAGGCAAAAATAAAACTACATATTGGGTACAGTGTACACTGCTCGGGTGATGGGTACACCAGAATCTCAGAAATCACTACTAAATAACTTATCCATGTAACTGAACACCACCTGTTTCCCCAAAACCTATTGAAATACATAAATAAATACAAAATATTAAAAATTTTAAAAATTATATAATTTGTCCCAGTGATAATCAAATGAATCAATGGGCACAATATAAACTTCAGAAACTGTGTTATGTATTCATAAAAGAAGTGTCACTGAATATTTGTAAAGAGTATAATCTCTATAATCCAAAACTGCTGGAGTTCAAATACTTCCTCTTCTACTTACTGGTTGTGTGGCTGACACTGGGGAAAATATTTGAACTTTCTTTACATCAGTTTGTTTAACTATGGAAGAGAAAAACTCTTCCATATCTACTTCATGAAAGTGTAATGAGGATTAAGTGATATAACCACAACTACTAACACGTAGCATATGCACAATGGTTGTTAGCTGTTATATGGGCATCTGGTATCTAGTAGAAGTGGCATTAGAAATTAGTTGTGAGAGCATGAACTATAAATAACATATGTTGACACCATGACCTCTCTACTCTAGATAAATTTGAAAATTAAAAAATTCACAGTTTTAAAAATGTAGAATAAAATATGAGACTCTATCTTTAGTATAACTGAGCAGGGAAATGTTTGTAAATAAGACCCCAAAGGTTCAAGTCAACAAAGAAAAATGGTTAATTTGACATCAAAATTGAAATTGTCCTTAGGGCAAAAGGCATCATATACTAAGCGAAATTATAAGCACTGACTTGAAGAAGATATTTGCAATGTATGTAACTGAAAATAATTAGCATGCATAATATACACATAATTCCTATGACGTGATTTAAAAATTTAAATGAGCTAATAAAAGTATAGCCAAAGAATAAGAAGAGGTAATTCACAAGAGAAAAAACATGGAAGGCTACTAACCGGGGAAACATGCACAATTTTGTTAATATACAGAGAACTGCAAAATTAAGAAATGAGATATCTCATACTCATCAATGTGGCAAAAGTTAAAGGTATGACCGGCCAGACGTGGTGGCTCACGCCTGTAATCCCAACACTTTGGGAGGTCGAGGTGGGTGGATCACCAAGTCAGGAGATCGAGACCATCCTGGCCAACATGGTGAAACCCTGTCTCTACTAAAAATACAAAAATTGGCCGGGCGCGGTGGCTCACGCCTGTAATCCCAGCACTTTGGGAGGCCGAGGCGGGCGGATCACGAGGTCAGGAGATCGAGACCATCCTGGCTAACACGGTGAAACCCCGTCTCTACTAAAAATACAAAAAATTAGCCGGGCGTGGTAGCGGGCGCCTGTAGTCCCAGCTACTCGGGAGGCTGAGGCAGGAGAATGGCGTGAACCCAGGAGGCGGAGCTTGCAGTGAGCCGAGATTGCGCCACTGCACTCCAGCCTGGGCGACAGAGCGAGACTCCGTCTCAAAAAAAAAAAAAAAAAAAAAAAAAAAAAAAAAAAATACAAAAATTAGCTAGCCGTGGTGGCACGCGCCTGTAGTCCTGTAGTCCTAGCTACTTGGGAGGCTGAAGCAGGAAAATCACTTGAACCCGGGAGGCGGAGCTTGCAGTGAGCCGAGATCGCGCCACTGCCCTCCAGCCTGGCAACAGAGCAAGATTCCGTCTCAAAAAGGAAAAAAAAAGGTATGACCATGCCACATTTTGAGGCGGATATAGACAAAAAACACTCTGTTACACTGCTAGTGGGCATGCACAATCGTAGAACCAATGTGAAGAGCAATTTGTCAACACCTAATAAAAATGAGTATGTGTATTCCCTAAGGTTCATCAATTTCCTTCCTTGGTACATTCCCTAAAAAAATAAAAACAAAACAAAAACTGTATCACAACTTTTGTGAGCTGAATTGTGCCCTAAATGCATGTTTGAAGCTGTAATCCCCATAACCCCAGAATGTGGCTATATTTGGAGACAGGGCCTTTTAAGAGGCAGTTGAGTTAAAATGAAGCTCTTGGAGAGGGCTCCAGTCTAATCTGACCAGTATCCTTGTAAGAAGTGGAAATTTGGACACATAGAGACACAGCAGGGATATATGAGCCCAGAAAAAAAGACGCTGTGAGGCCATAGTGAGAAGGTGGCCATTTATAAGCTAAGGAGAGAAGCCTCAGGAGAAAACAAACCTGCCAGCACCTTGCTCTGTACTTCTAGCCTTCAGAACCGTGAGAAAATACATTTCTGTTGCTTAGGCCACCCAGTGTGTGGTATTTTGTCATAGAAAACCGACATAACATCTATCACATGTGCACATAAATATATGCAAGAGTTTTAAAATATGTGTTGAAACAATGCAACCAACCTAACCACTCAATAGATGAATAGAGAAAAAAAATAAATTAATTAATTCTGAGAGGCATTCTGTGATGCCTATTGGTTAAGAAATCAGCATGTAGAACCTGGTAAATCCCTAACTCTGTCACTTACTGACTGTATAAACTTCGTTAAAGTAACTTGTTTTTCTCTATGTCTCAGATTCCATATTTGTATAATGGGATAATAGTGCCTTCCTCATGGGGGGATTTGAGTATTAAATGAGTTAATACATGTAAAGCCCTTAGTATAGTGCCTAATATATTGTAAGGCACTAATGTAAACGTTCATATTATGAGTAAACTATTATATTCATAAGAATAAAATAAATTAATGTATAAAGGTCATGACCAGTATAATGAGAATTAATCTCTATCCGCAATGTTTTATTAGGAAAAGTTCTCACTCAAATATTTCAACATCTTTATATTTGAGTGATAAATAGGTGATTGTAATATAACTCTCTGTACTTTTCTGCATATTTGACATGCATTATAACTCACAAAAAAAAGATAAAGTCAATTCAAAGGTTTAGAATGCCTAAATGATAATAACTTTAGGGTTGAATTGAAATTGACCAGAATAATCAAATGCCCAGTTTTCAATCTGGATCTGATTTCAGTTCTGCAAAGCTCTACCAAAATTTATGGAAGCCATGTGAGGCACAGGACTGGTTGGAAGCAGGCTTAGAAAAAGGACTGAGTGAAGAATTATCTATTGGGCTGGAAATCGACACTGGATTCAAAGTTATAAACCCAGCAATTTACTATCTATAAAGGAGATGGAAAAGAAAAAAAATCATTTTAGCTCCATGAAGAGCCCTGAAGTAAAATTTATTTCAATTCTCAATGGGGAATAACAGTTCCATTATCTCTGCTTCTTTAAAAAGTCAACAAGGGTTGGGAAAATGTCAGAATCCAGATATGTATGTGTGGTCATGGTAATTCAGTAGGAAAATATATTCCTGTGGGAAAAAAAATGCTTGTGATATGAAAAGAAAGAAAGTATATATGTGGTCCAGTCAGGTAGTTGGCTTTACTGCTTTCATTTTCTAATTGATGAAATGTTTTTGCAACCTCAGCACCTTTTTGCATTATTCGATTTTAAAATAACCTGCATTATTTTGAATGTCACCATCAAAATAATCTTATTTCTTAGATACACGACTTCAATTTTGCAATCATTCTGAAGACTGTACAGTTTATCACCATTACTAAATATTTAATATCTCTTGCCCTTCTATGGACCTTTGAAGCTAATAGCTTAACTAGTGCCTTCTGATAGAATGTTGTATTCAAAAAGCTAATGAATTTATTAAAGAACAAGCACATCCCATTTCAGCAATGAGGAAAAATCAGGAGGAGGAATAGTGAAAACAAATGAATCATATTATGGTCACTCTGATGTAACTATTTGAACCAACCTCTTTTATGTGGGCAAGGCCTGGGGGCCAAGTACATTTTATTCTTCAAAGAAATAATTATATTAACTATAAAATACCCTTTAGAGAGTTCTCAGGATTAGAGGGGTGAAATTCAGATAACTTCCACTTTAGCACTGATACTTGAAGATACAATTATTTAATCATAATTCCAGAATACATTTAAAGGCAAAAAATGGCATCAGTGATTGATGTTTGATAACATACATTTTTTTTCGAAAGTAGAGGAGAGCAAATTCTGATTAATTATTCCCTTGGCTGTAGTCTCAAGTCCTGGAAAGTATGGAGGCCCTCTTTATGATGAGGACTGTAGAAATGGAGTTCTTTGTTTTAAGTAACTAACTGACTCTGCTCTCCTGAGTTTCTCAACTTAAAGGGGAACAGAAATAATTTTCAGCAAGCTTCTTTTCACAAATATATGCAGAAAAACATTTGCCACTGAAAATGTATTTGGTTTTCTTTCATAAAGATAAAATTCACACTGAATTTCCGAGCAAAATTTGATTCAGTGGCATTTCTTGTTTTTTCATACTGTTCCTTCTACCTGGAATGTCCTTTCCTACGATGTTCGAATGTTCAAATTCTACAAAATTTTGCTAAGCCACCTATTTGGGACGGTTATTTCTGACCCTTTCCCATTTCCTCTTCTCTGGCAACCCTGTTTTGTTGTCCCCTATTGAATAAGAAGAAAGAGGAGGAGGAGGACCACCACCACCACCACCATGAAAGCAAATGGCTCTCATTTAGTGGGCATTTTTTATTTAGGTGACTGTGTGCTTCATATCCGTGATCTACTTTAATTTTTCACAATAACCTTGTAAGGCAGGAAATATTATCAACATTTTATTTTACAAAGGAGCATCCAGGTTTCTCCTAGATGTTAATTACCTAAGGTCATTCATCTAATAATTCATGGGATACAAATTCGACACCAGATCTACTTAAATCCATTTCACTATGTTGCCTTATTATGATTATCCTCTGCTTTATTTGCAATGCTTTGCAAAAAAAAAAGGTGTTCAACTCTTTTTTGTTTTGCTAACTATATGTATACATGTCAGAGAGCAAGATAAAATAATATACTACTTTCAAGATTAAAAAAATATTGAGCTGAAAGAGGTCATATCACATATGACTATTTTGGGGGTAATAGTAATAATAAAAGCCTTTCCAGTTTCCAGAAATATTCCACATGATGTAAAAGACATTAAAAGTTCAAAAGGTAGCATATGATTGTTATGGTTAGCATAACAATAGCTAGAGAGTACACATATTATATTTAAAAATGATTTGTCAAAATATTTTGCTTTCATATAGAAAAAATACATTCTATGTGTTAGGCTTGTAGATACTCCAATTGACATTAAGAGCTATCTAAAACACTTAAACTCTTAAAGCTGTGCAAAGTAAGTCAATTGAAAAGGTTAGGTATCAGCATTAATAATATCCCCAAATCATGTTATCATTATTAAATATTAAGAAAGCATGCTAAGGCAGAATGGATGGGTGTCAGATAGAAAGCCACTGTTTTCATTTTCTAGGGCATAATTTTCAGGTTGTACTAAATTTACATAGTTGATTCTTTTAAATTCTTGCCCAATTTTTACTGTTGAAGGTAAAAACAGCTCTTCAGTATATTCTTAGAAAAATAAAACAAAAAATACTATTGCTGTGGTGGCTGTTGTTTTTGCTAATTTCATCACTAAGCATCTTCTTGGCAGATACACAACTGACCAGATTTGTTGAAAAAATGTGAAATATCGTAAGTTGTTAATTTATTGAACACTGTTGTTTAATATCTGTGAAATACTTACTTATGGTGAGTTTCTAAAATAATTGAAAATGGATAAATTAAATTTCATGTTAAATAATACCAATATTTTAATTGCTAACCTGAAATAATCAGTCCTGAAATGTTATGGAAAGTTCCACTTTTTCAAATGATTAAATAAAAAAAGAATGTAATACTGTAGAAATGAGAAAAATGCTTGGCACACAATAGCACCATTTAAGACGACAATATCAGCAAAGGAAATTTAGATAAGAGCTACTGAAATGGGATAAGATTCAAGGAACATTTTTAAGAACTACTACAAAGACTTTCGCTGGGGATTTTAAAACAGGGGAACAGATGGGGAAAATAATTGTCTAACATTTATGTTAATGTACCATAAAACTCCAATTATCCAGGCTGCTTGGGGAATCAGGTGTTTGGTTTAATTTTTTTGGTTAGCCGAGGGTTACTCTAAAACCCAGTAGTATCTCAGTCATTGTTGAAAATCATTCCAAATTGGTTTAATAGTGCCTAGGAATTATAATTGTGTGTTTCTTGGTGTATAAGACAATGTTTCAAGGTCATTGTTCTGAACATAAATTCTGATTGGGCAAAACTATGATGGTAGACAGAATGTTGAGTGAATCTAGGATACCCAGGAAGTAATTTTTAGAAAATAAATATATAACATAAATATATATAGCATTGATTTGCTCTTTCTTCTAAAGCACCGGCCTCCTATGCAAGCAATAAGCTGATTGTCTTCTGGGTATGGCTCAGGGATTTTTTGGGAGTCTCTTGACTCAAAAAATGTTCCTAGCCACACCTGTAACCATTAAAGATGTAGTAATTTGAAAGAATAAATTAATCATTTAAAAAATACAATTATCTCTGGAAAAGCTGACAATTGATTTGTCTATGCCATAGTTCAAATTAATGTGATTAAATTGCTTTCTATCAAATAGCTACCTAAGGTACGTAAACAGATGGAATGGGACTTTTAATCGGGAAAGGGAGTTTAGAGCATATAAGATTTCCAAGGAATCATGCAGTGCCTACATATTAATTAATGAAGGACAAAAAATCGTCTTCATTAGGAAGATATTTTTAAACCTTTCATTACTAAAATAGCTAATGTTAAATTATCTCACTATTTTGTAATTGCCCTTTTTATTCAACATTATCCATTAAAACACTACATATTTTGTGATGACACAAACTGTCTTATTCATAGTATTTATCATACTTATATGATTTTTTAAAAATATGTTAGACATCACTATTGTATTCATTGTGATCAACATACTTCCTGGTACATAGTAGACATTCCATAAATATTTTTGAAATAATAAATTGTATTAATGATGTAAAACTATTTTCAAAGAATAAATAGATAAAAGAGATTTTTATAAATAGCAATCGGTATTATTACTATTGTCATTATTATGTCAAAATTACTCTGGAATATTCATAAGTGAGGAGATCAATGTTTGGGGAGGTTACATGTATTTATAAAACCATGGGTATCTTCTTTATAAAAATTTTCATAATTTATAACTGAATAATTTTTGTTTGCTTTTAGTCTACAGTACAGACTACAAGTTCTAATATGTCAGGGGCCCAATGTTGTGGTATTTATGCTATATCATTAAATGTGTGTGAGTATCTGCTATATAGTAATTGTTTGAAAAACAATGGTTGAATAAATCAACGATTAAAATTGTATTGATTACATTTATTATTTTCTCCATGTTTCAAGAAAAAGGAGGAAGAAATGTTTCAGGATATGTCATGTGTTTATTATTAAAATGTCCACTTATAAATGAAACAATATCATTCTGCAATTATGTAACTATTTTTATGAGACGGTCGTTTGTCTACAAGATATGATATGAAACAGAGAGGACAGTTCACACAAAATCAATAACAAGCATAAATTTTGAGCCACATTGAATGATTTATCCTACACTTTGAAATATTTCAGCATTAATTTCACGTTATGTGCAAAAAGCTGGCTTCTTTATATGAGTTTTCAAATGCACATACACACACAGAGACATCTATCTTGTAACCTCATCTTGTTATAACATATGTTGCTAATATGGGCCCACATAATGTGTAACAGCGATTATCAATTGTGTTCTAGACATCACACCTGGCTTTCGAGAACAAAAATAGGTAATCTGTAGCCCTTATTCTCAAGTAGATTATACTCTATTGAGAAATACGGATGCATGTACAAAAATGGATGATGTATAATTGTTATAATAGTGGTGTTTGTAAAGTGTTATGGGAATCATTTATTCTTCCTGAGTTAAGTGACGTGAACAGTGATAGTAAGAGAAAGTGAGAGAGAAGTTATATCTGTACTGGGTCTTGAAGGAAGAGTAAGCTTTTATTGGTGGAGTTAATAGTGACAGATATTTCAGGAAAATGGAACTGCACGGATACTAGTCAGAGGTATAAAAGACTATTATATATTTGGGGAAATTATAGGAGATTAAGGAATATATACTCTGGCAACTTTTTGAAAAGCCTTTTAGATTAAGGTAAGAAGTTTGAACTTCAATGGCTAACGGGGAGCTAAGTGTGAGAAAGCTGAAGACTGACATGGTCAGCAAATGGTTTGATAATGTCACTCTGATTCTGTGAATGGTGGCTTGGGGGAGGAGGGCAGAAATTGAATGCAGAAATCCAGCATCAAGGTTACTTCAATAACCCAAGTGGAAGGTGATGAAAAATTAAATTTTAAAATGACAGTGATGGTAAAGAAAAAAAAAGAGAAACAAATGATGTAAAAGAATTTCCATAGTTTTTAGAGATGGTTTTATTGGTTTTATGAAGGTCAGCTCGCATGTTATTCCAAATTTTGTGTTACAGTATCTTTTAATTTAAATTCAATACATATTACTAATGGTTAATTAATATCCAAGGCTGTGTGTTTGGTATAGTAGACAGGCCAGTAATATACATCCTGCCTTCAAGGAGTTTACAATTCCCTAGAGATAAAGATATTTTAGTAAATAGTATTTAGTATAGTGTTTAATAGTTTATAAAGTATGGATAGACAATACAGCAAGTGGTCAATTCAACTTGAGGAGATTAGAAAACAGTTCATAGTGACAGAAGATGCTTAAACTCTATGAGTCTGTCAGGAAGAAAGGTTCAGAATGGGATACCATCCAGTGGATATGAGGAAGAAATGAAATAGGTGAAGGTTCTTGGACATATTTAAAGATTCTTTCTTCTATGTCATGCCCAGGGATCTGGATATACTTTTTAATTAATTATGATAATGTTATGTCTTTTAAGCAAAAGACAGAATAGATTAGTTCTGGTGTTCTGACTGCCTTCAGGTTACAGGATGAAGATCAGATTGGAGGGGTGCAAGTTTGGAAACCAGGAGGCCATTTAGGCAGCTGTTTTGGTCGTTCAAGAGACAGACAATGAAGCTCAAGCTGGGATCCATAGCAGTCAGAATATAGAGGAGACAATGAATTGGAGAGGTAATTTAAAAGTAAAAGCTACTGGAATTGACATGATAGATGAGGGAGAGGAACAGTTTTAAAGATGCCCAATACCACAATCGTTTTTATTATGTGGGTGATTTTTTAAGTTTTATTTTTAATTGACAAATAATAATGGCATGTTTCTGGAGTACAATGTGATGTTTTGGTATAGGTTTATATTATGGAATTATTAAGTCAAGCTAATTAACAAATTTATCACCTCACGTACTTATTTTTGGTGATGACAATATTTAAAATCTACTAGTTTAGTAATTTTGAAATATACAATAATATTGTGTCATTCATTATAGTCACAGTATTTCGCAATAGATTACTAAAGCTTATTCCTCCTATCTAGCTGAAACTTTGTACCCTTTGATCAACATCTCCCCTTTTTCCATTCATGCTATTCCCACATCCTCTAATAACCACCATTCTACTCTGTACTTGTTTGAGCTCAACTTTTTTATTGCACATATAAATTAGATTATGCAGTTTATATCTTTCTGTGCCTGGATTATTCCACTTAAAATAGTGTCTTCCGGGTTCATCTATGTTATCACAATGAACAGAATTTTTGTATGAGGCTGAATAGTATACTATCATGTATATTAGCACATATTCTTTATCCATTCATCTGCTGATGGACACTAGGTTTCTTTCCATGTCTTACCTATTATGAATAGGCAAAATACCTGTAATGAACATGAGATGATAGATGTCTCTCTGGAATACTAATTTATCAATTTATTTTGTTACATGGCTAAAAGTGGAATTGCTGAATCATATGGTAATTCTATTTTTAGTTTTCTGAGAAAACTCTATACCGTTTTCCACAATGGCCATATTAATTTACAAGTCCACTAACTGTGCACAAGTGTTCTCTATTTGCCACACCCTTGCCAACACTTGTTATCTTTTGTGTTTTTGATGTTATCATTCTCACAGATGTGACGTAATACCTAGTTGCTGTGGTTTTAATTTTGTATTCCATGATGACTAGTAATAATGAGCATTTTTTCATATGTCAGTTGGCCTTTTGTATGTCTTCTTTTGAGAATTTTTTTTTTTTTTTTTTTTTTGAGATGGAGTTTCACTCTTGTTGCCCAGGCTGGAGTGCAATAGCGTGATCTCGGCTCACTGCAACCTCAGCCTCCCAGGTTCAAGTGATTCTCCTGCCTCAGCCTCCTGAGTAGCTGGAATTACAGGCACCTGCCACCACGCCCAGCTAATTTTTCATATTTTTTTTAGTAGAGACAGGGTTTCACTATGTTGGCCAGGCTGGTCTCGAACTCGTGACCTCGTGATCCTCCCGCCTCAGCCTCCCAAAGTGCTGAGATTACAGGCATGAGCCACCATGCCTGGCCTTGAGAAATGTCTTCTTAGGTTTTATGCCCATTTTTAAATTGAGTTGTTTTCTTGCTATTGTGCTGAGTACACAATATATTTTGGAAGTTAGATTCTAATCAGATGTATGGTTTGCAAATGTTTTCTCCCATTCCATAAATTTGCTGTTTTCTCTCTTGATTTTCTTTACTGTGCAGAAGTTTTTAAGTTTTATGCAATCACATTTGTTTATTTTTGCTTTTGTTGCCTGTGCCTTTGTGGGCATGTCCATGAAAACTTTACCAAGACCAATGTCGTGGAGATTTTCCCTATGCTTTCTTCTAGTAGTTTTACAGCTTCAGGACTTACATTTAAGTCTTTACTCCATTTTTATTTTTTATGATGACAGAGTCTAATTTAATTCTTCTGCATGTGGATGTTAAGTTTTTCAAAAACTATTTATTGAAGAGATTGTCCTATATCCACCTGTATTCTTAGCACCTTTGTAGAAAATACATTGGCCATGAATGTGTAGGTTTATTCCCGGGTTTTCTGTCCTGTCCTCTTGGTCAATGTGTCTGCTTTTATGCCTTGCTGATACTGTTTTGATTACTATAGCTTTGCAATACATTTTGAAGTCAGTTAATGTGATGCCTCCACCTTTGTTATTTTATCTCAAGACTGCATTAAATAGTTGGGGTCTTTTGTGTTTCCATTTGAATTTTGGGATTTGTGTTTGCTTGTTTGCTTTTGTGAAAAATAGCGTTTGAATTTTGACAAGGATTGTGTTGAACCTGCAGCTCACTTTGGGTAGAATGGACATTTTAACAATATTAAGTCTTCCAATCTATGAACATGGGATATCTTTCTATTTATGTGTGTCGTCTACATTTTTTAAATCAATGCGTTATAGCTTTTAATACACAGATCTTTCACCTCCTAGTTTAAGTTTACTCCTAAGTAATTTTTAATGCTATCATGAATGAAGTCGACTTCTTAGTTTTTACATAATTTGTTGTTAGTATAAAGAAATGCTACTGATATTTGTGTGTTGATTTTGCATCCTGCAACTTTACTAATTTTATGATTCCACTGTTTTTTTGTGGAGTTTTAGGGTTTACTATATGTAATATCATGTCATCAGCAAACAGAGATGATTTCAGATTCTCCTTTCCTATTTGAATGCCACTTATTTATTCATTTACTTATTTAACTTAATGCTCTGTCTAGAACTTCTAGTATTATTGTGAATAGAAGTGATGAAAGTGGACATTTTTGTCTTGTTACTCGTCTTAGAGAAATGGCTTTCAACTATTACTGTTGAGGATAATGTTAGCTGTGGGTTTTTCATATGTGATCTTAACTGTGTTGAGGTACATTCTTCCTATACCTAATTCCAAATGCTAAATATAAAATGTAGTTAACATACTGGCATTAAAAATGTCTACCATCAGTTGGCTCTTAAAGTGCTATGTGTATGCCAAAATAGCATATTGTAAATGAGATATTCAGAGATCAGGAGTGGATATCATCATTGAGAGCAAGGACTTTGCAGTTGCAAATACCTGAGTCTGGTGACTAGCCTATGCCTTTCAAAACACTTAGCCTCTCTGAGCTTGATTGTTCACATTCAGAAGTTAGAATTAATGATGATATTTTCTTCCTAGGGTTAACAAGTAATACCTCCTATGTGAATTGTATTGCTATGGTGGCTAACACACCAAAAAAAGCTATAAATGCTAATATTGCATTATGTGTCATTATGAAAATGTTAATATGCAGAACAAAAAAGGAAGCACAGGCAAAGGGAAAGAAAGGAAAAAAGTAGAGAGCGTGTGTGAGATAATAAACACATGAAAGAAAGAAAGGAAGAACAAGAGGCACAGTAAGCATATAATTATAAAGTGACACAAAAGCATCTGATGTTTTCTAACACAGCAGCATTATAAAGTTACCCACACAGATGTAAAACGTCCATTTTTTTCAAGAGTATAAGAAAAAAAATGTGGTGATGCTTGTCCTTCTGCTGCCACATAGAAGGGAGCACTGAGTCCCAAGGTAAATGAGAGAGGTTATTTCGCTGTACATGTAGAACAGAGGAAGAACAATGGTAATGACACTCAAATACCCATCAGGAAGGGATTTGATCTATTGGCAAGTCTCTTACTGCTGACCTGCAAAGAATGTGAGTCTTCCTTCAGACCATGCGTAGTTCTGCACTGAACAAAGAACCCTGAAGGTAAGGAGGGGTGGTAATCAATCCTTCAAAGCTCAGAAAGCACTTTTTGTAGCCTAATATGACTTACTTATCTTAATCTTTCCATTGCATGAATACAAGGCAAATATTATGGATTCTCCTTTAAAAAGTACAGAAAGCTCAAGGAGAGGAGAGACAGAGAGAGAGAGAGAGAGAGAGAGAATGAATGAATCATGTCCTTGGATTTCAATCCAGATTTCTGAGTATTCAGTAAGTGATTTTTCCCAATTTTCGTTTAGTTCCTACTGAGTTCTTCTCATGGGGATCTTTCATATTCTCAACTGATACTATTTAATCTTTTCAGAAAGTTTTGAAGTCCTATTCAGCTGGATTTCATTACATGAACAAAGCACAGTGATAAAATTTCCCCAGAAAGTGGTTTTTTTTTCCTCCTTGCCTATGTCTGTAATCATAATGTTCTTGTCTTTTTGGGGATTTTTTTTGACCATTTGATATCCAGTTTAGTATACTCAAAATGGTGACGAGTTACGCCATGTGGATAGGGCCATTGGATACAGGTTACATTGAATGCTTTGGAAGACAGGATCAATAAGATTCCTTAACTGGGTTGTAAAGATACTAGAATTCTTAATAAGTATTTGAAAAATTTCACTTCTCATTGTGCTGTTTTATTCCAAACTCTACTGTGTTAATTCACCAAGCACTTATTCAGATCCTATCAGAGATATTGCACAAATACTATTTCTACCATTTAAACATGATTCCAACAAACACTGAACCTTTCTTATGTGCATGACATTTTGTTATGTGCTTGGATTAGAGAAAAGAGAAAGAATAACAAAGTATAATAGGAAGATATAGCTATTGATAAGGTTAAGGAACTTATGGGAAAAATAAAGCATTCGTCTTAATAAGAAGTTGGAACAACTGTTAACATTTTGAAAGTGAATCTACAGTTTTCAAAGTAGCAAAATGAACGTTTAGTATTTCCAATGGAAGGTAGAGAAGGAGGAAAGAAATTGAAGTAGAAAGACTATATAAAACGATAATTATAATGTTTAATTTGAGGAATTAAGGTATAGAATAAAGGCCAAAAAATAAAATGGAAAGAAAAATAAGCATCAGAAAACCAAATAAAACAAAAAGACAGAAAAGGAAGCTTATGATTAAAGTATTCTAAAAAACTTTTATATCTTCAGAGAAAAGTGGTAAGTCAATCAGCTTTAGAGAATTAAAGAATGAAGATGATGATACTTAAGGCATTTGTGGAACACATATAAGTAGACTGTGCAACATGCAAAAGTTCCAACAGTACAGAAAAAAATAAATTTAAGAAATTGTTAAGCCATAAAAATATAAAAAGGCAAGAGAAATAATTTAAAAATTAAAAACAACAAATCATAAACTAAGATGATAGAAATGCTTCCAGTAAGCCAGCAATCACAAGAAATTTAGAAAACAAACATTTTATGGTTGCATATACAAACTAAACTATATACTGCTTATAAAATATATGTCCAAAATATAAGATTAACGGTAAAATAAATTATCTATATCTACATGCATACATACACAGACGTGTGTGTGCATGTGTAGCAAACACTAAATAAGACAACAGAAAAAAACCTGGTATAGCTCTATTAATAATAGACAAAGTATATTTTAATGCTGAATTATTGCAAAGGGTGAAGCCGTATACCTATAGACTTTTCGTTATGTGAGAAAAATGAACCACTATTTTGTTTCTGTTACTTGCAGCAGAATGTAATCCCAATAGGCATATTAGAAATTGTATTGTTTGTGGTAGCTGAGAGAGACCATCTAGGTATCCATCACAAATATAATAGATAATGGATTAATAGTCTAAAGCGGTCAAACTAATAAACTAGATATGCTTACACTATCATATCTGAATTTTACAAATACAGTGTTAAGTGAAAAATTAAGAAATACAATGACATTGGACTATCATTCATGTAATTTGTAAATGTGTACCCATAAGAATAGCCAGCGTTTCCTGAGGGCTTACTATGTGCCTGATGCTTTTCTAAAGACATAATTTTCTTTTTTTATTTTATTTATTTATTTATTTATTTATTTATTTATTTATTTATTTGAGAAGGAGTCTCACTCTGTTGCTCGGGCTGGAATGCAATGGCACAATTTCAGCTCACTGCAACTTCTGCCTCCCAGGTTCAAGTGATTCTCCTGCCTCAGCCTCCTGAGTAGCTGGGATTACAGGTGCACGCCACCATGCCCAGATAACTTTTGTATTTTTAGTAGAGACTGGGTTTCACCATGTTGGTCAGGCTGATCTCAAACTCCTGACCTCGTTTTCTGCCCACCTCAGCCTCCCAAAATGCTGGGATTACAGGTATGAGCAACCACTTCAGGCCTAAAGACATCATGTTTAATTAATTTATTAACTCTTCACAATAATGCTAGGAAATGGAATAGCAGAGATGTTAAGCAATTTTTCCAAAATTGCATAGCTATTTAGCCTGAGAGCCAGGATTTAAACTGAGGCAATCTATCTTCAGAATCTTCACTCTTAACCACTATGCTATATGTTGTATAATTTTGCAAAGACACATACATATCCAAAGACATATATTAATAAGAGTATGAAGATGGGGCAGTTATTTACATTTTCCTCCAAACGCAATGTTGAAATATGATTTCTGGTGTTGGAGATGAACCTAGTGAGAGGTGTTTTGGTCATGGAGTACATCCTTCATGAATGGCTTGCTGCTGTCCTTGCAGTAGTGAGTGAGTCTCACTCTGTTAGTTCGTGCAACAGCTGTTTGTTTGAAAGAGCCTGGCATCTCTCTCTTGCTCCCTCTCTTGCCATATAACTTGCTTGTTCTCTCTCTACCTTCCACCATGGGTAAAAACTCCCTGAGGATTCACTAGAAACCAAGAAGTTGTGGGTGCCATGCTTGTACAACCTGCAGAACCATGAGCCAAATAAATCTTTTGTCTTTATAAATTGCCCAGTCTCAGGTATTCCTTTAAAGCAATGCATAATGGACAAATACAAGCAGAAGTCAGGACAAAACAATAGATTAAGATAAGACAGGAAACTTGTGTAGATCAATAATGAAAGAGTAACATGTCCCAAGGATGTGATTAGCACACTGCTCTGCATCTGAGGTCAAGAAAGTGTGTATGTGTGTGTGTGTGTGTGTGTGTGTGTGAAAGAGAGAGAGAACAGTCCTGATCTAGCTCAGTGTAACTTCAACCGTAATTTAGAAGCTATGAGAAGATCTTATTTCCTGTCTTTTAACTGACAGATCAAAGGGTTCAATAACAATTTTGTAATTATTACAGTTGTTTCCCTTCTTTCATACACCTGTGTTATAGGTAATTATATCCAGACATTCCCTGAAATCCTCTCTCTGTTTGTTGCCCATACTGTCAGTATTCAATTGACAGATAATAATAGAAATACAGCAACAAGCTCAGTACTGCAGGCACTACATCACTCTTCCTCTGATGTTATATTTATATCTTTTTAGTTATCTCTTTAAAAAGTGCAGTTGAAAACAAGTGCAAAGTCAGGATACATACTAAATACTTTCAGACAAGTTTTGTACAGATATAAAGTAAGTTTACAATTTTTGATAATACCACTTTATTCAATTATAAATCTTATTTTCTCAGCTCCTTGTTTAAAAGTAAGTATGAGTGAGTTACTAGTCACTAGTCATAGGTCTATATGAAACAGGAGAGTCCCCTGATCTCCTTTACAGGACGTGCAACAGGGGTGTGGTTTGCCTGTTCGGTCACTGCCACTGCTCAAAACCCTGAGGAGTGGGAGAGCATGCAGATGGACTGGGGCAGGAGCTGAAGTGGGCATGTGTTACAATGTGCCCTTTTAGCCCTGCCGTCCATAGACAGCTTTAGTGTTAACCAGCTCAATGGACCCTCTGCCTTTGTGAAGGGCATGGGGCTAGTGTGACAGCTTTCTGCATCCCAAGCTCTTGCCCAGCATCCCAGGAAGAACTGGGTCACACACGGGCTTGAAGTATAAATGCGGGGTTTTACTGAGTGGTGAAGGTGGCTCTCAGCAAGATGGATGGGGAGCCAGCAAGGGTGATGGAGTGGGAAGATGATCTTTCCCTGGAGTCTGGCCATCCAGTGGTCAAATTCCTTTCCAGCCGCCCCCAGACGAACTCCTCTCAGAGTTCAGGCATTCCTCCTCTTCTCTCTTTCTTTGTCGCATTGTTTTGCCATCAGTCTGCTTGTCTTCTTGTCTTCTCACCTGCTGGTCTGCTTCTGGAGTCTGCAGTTTGAGGTTTATATGGGTACAGGATAGGGGATGTGGCAGGCCAAAAGACAACTTTTTGGGCATGAAAACAGGAATGCCTGTCCCCATTTAGGGCTGTGGGTCTCCAGGCTTGAGGGTGGGGCCTTTGACAGTGAACTGCCCTCTTCTACCCAGTGTTTCCCTCTCTCCTGTCCAAATGACTTATATGACCTTTGTTATAAATAGACGACCAATAACTCCAGAAGCTCCCAGGTCCAAACATAAGAATAAATTGAGGAGGAAAAAAAAAACTTTTTTTTTTCTGAGTTGAGATTAGGTAATATTAAGAACTTTGAACAGCCAGAGTGTAGCACAAAGGCATCTGGTATTTAGGAGAAAAAATGCACCATTATTTGACTCATTGATTCATTTAAATCTAATGTCGCCAGGCATGGTGGCTCACATCTGTAATCCTAGCACTTTGGGAGGCCAAGGCAGGTGGATCACCTGAGGTCAGGAGTTCCAGACCAGCCTGGCCAACATAGTGAAATACCGTCTCTACTAAAATACGAAAATTAGCTGGGCATGGCGGCACATGCCTGTAATTCCAACTGCTCAGGAGGCTGAGACATGAGAATCACTTGAACCCAGGTGGTGGAGGTTGCAGCGAGCCAAGATTGTGCCACTGCACTCCAGCCAGGGTGACAGAGTGAGACTCCGTCTGGAAAAAAACAAAACAAAACGAAACAAAACAAAAAGTAATGTATTATTCAAGGTCCCCCATAAAGCCTACACTAAGAATGGTGATATGTGATATGATTTGGCTGTGTCCCCACCCAAATCTCATCTTGAATTCCCACATGTTGTGGGAGGAGCCTGGCGGGAGTTAATTGAATCATGGGGGCAAATCTCGTGATAGTAAATAAATCTCACAAAATCTGATGCTTGTATAAGAGGAAGTTTCCCTGCACAAGCTCTCTCTCTTTGCCTGCCGCCATCCATGTAAGATGTGACTTGCTCCTCCTTGCTTTCCACCATGATTATGAGGCCTTTGCAGCCATGTGGAACTGTAAGTCCATTAAACCATTTTTTTTTTTTTTTGTAATTTGCTCTGTCTCAGGTTTGTCTTTATCAGCAGCATGAAAATGGACTAATACAGTAAATTGATACCAGTAGAGGGGGGCACTCCTGTAGATACCCAAAAATGTGGAAGTGACTTTGGAACTGGGTAACAGGCAGGGGTTGAAAAAGTTTGGGAAGCTCAGAAAAAGACAGGAAAATGTGGGAAAATTTGGAATTCCATAAAGACTTTTGAATGGCTTACATCAAATTGCTAATAATGAAATTGACAATGAAATCCAGGCTGAGGTGGTCTCAGATGGAGATGAGGGACTTGTTGGGAACTGGAGCAAAGGTGACTCTTTTTATGTTTTAGCAAAGAGACTGGCATCATTTTGTCCCTGTCCTAGAGATTTGTGGAACTTTGAACTTGAGAGAAATGATTTAGGGTATCTGGAGGAAGAAATTTTTAAGGAGCAAAGCATTCAAGAGGTGACTTAGGTGCTGTTGAAGGCATTCAGTTTTAAAAGGGAAACAGAGCATGAAAGTTTGGAAAATTTGCAGCCTGATAAAGCATTAGAAAATAAAATCCCATTTTCTGAGGAGAAATTCAAGCTGGCTGCAGAAATTTGCATACATAATGAGAAGCCAAATGTTAATCACTACAACAATGGGGAAAATGTTGCCAGGGCATGTCAGGGGCATTTGTGGCAGCCCCTCCCATCACAGACCTGGACATTTAGGAGGAAAAAAATGGTTTTGTGGGCCTGGCCCAGGGTCCCTCTGCTGTGTGCAGTCTAAGGCTTGGTGCCCTGCGTCCCAGCACTCCAGCTGTGACTAAAAGTGGCAAAGGTACAGCTCGGGCAATGGCTTCAGAAGGTGGAAGCCCTAAGCCTTGGCAGCTTCCACATGGTGTTGAGCCTGTGGGTGCACAGCTGTCAAGAATTGAGGTTTGGGAACCTCTGCCTGGGTTTCAGAGGATGTATGGAAACACCCGGATGCCCAGGCAGTTTACTGCAGGGGTGGGACCCTCGTGGAGATCCTCTGCTAGGGCAGTGCGGAAGGGAAATGTGGGGTCAGAGCCCCCACACAGAGTCCCTACTGGGGCACTGCATAGTGGAGCTGTGAGAATAGGGCCACTGTCCTCCAGGCCCCAGAATGGTAGATCCACCGACAGCTTGCACCCTGAACCTGGAAAAGCTGCAGACACTCAATGCCAGCTTTTGAAAGCAGCCAGGAGAGGGGCTATGTCCTGCAAAGCCAGAGGGGCAGAGTTGCCCAAGACCATGGAAACCCACCTTTTGCATCAGCATGACCTGGTTGTGAGACATGGAGTTAAAGGAGATTATTTTGGAGCTTTAAGATTTGACTGCCCCGCAGGATTTCAGACTTGCATGACACCTGTAACTCCTTTTGTTTTGGCCAATTTCTCCCATGTGGAACAGCTGTATTTACCTAATGCCTGTACCCCTGTTGTATCTAGAAAGTAACTAACTTGCTTTTGATTGTACAAGCTCATAGGCGGAAGGGACTTGACTTGCCTTGTCTCATGTTAGACTTTGGACTGCGGACTTTTGAGTCAATGCTGAAATGAGTTAAGACTTTGGGGAACTGTTGGGAAGGCATGATTGATTTTGAAATGTGAGGACATGAGATTTGGGAGGGCCGGGAGCAGAATGATATGATTTTGCTATGTCCCCACCCAAATCTCATCATCTTGAATTCCCATGTGTTGTGGGAGGGACCCAGTGGGAGGTCATTGAATCATGGGGGCAAGTCTTTCCCATGCTGTTCTTGTGATTGATAGTGAATAAGTCTCACGAGATCTGATGGTTCCGTAAGGGGGAGTTTTCCTGCACAGTATCTCTCTCTTTGCCTGTCACTATCCACTTAAGACGTGACTTTCTCCTCCTTGCCTTCCACATGATTGTGAGGCCTTCCCAGCCATGTGGAACTGTAAGTCTATTCAACCTCTTTTTTTTTTTTTTAATTGCCCAGTCTCAGGTATGTCTTTGTCTTTATCAGCAGTGTAAGAATGGATGAACAGAAGTGGATTTACTATACAAGAGACTTTTTAGGGGCACTGCTTGTGAGGGAAAAATGGGGGAAAAAGGCCAGAAGAACCATTACACCACAATACAGGGTGGACACTTGTGAAGGAAAGAGAGAAGGCAGAAAGTTTATATGATGTGTCTTAGACTACAGAAGAGTTACTCTAACCCTAGGCTTAAGAGAGTTCGGCAAGGCCAAAGGAAAATCATCATAAAGCAAAAGTCAGCTATCAAAGGAGTCTTTTTCTTTTCTTTTCTTTTTTTTGAGACAGAGTGAGTCTCACTCTGTCGCCCAGGCTGCAGTGCTGTGGCGTGATCTTGGCTCACCGCAACCCCTGCCTCAAGTGATTCTCCTGCCTCAGCCTCCTGAGTAGCTGGGACTACAGGCGCACGCCACCATGCCTGGCAAATTTTTGTATTTTTTTTTTTTTTTTAGTAGCGAGAGATGGGGTTTCACCATATTGGCCAGGCTGGTCTCGAACTCCTGACCTTGCGATCCACCTGCCTTGCCTCCCAAAGTGTTGGGATTACAGGCATGAGCCACTGCACCTGGCCAAGTTTTAAATCTCCCAGAAGCTTGTCTGCTTTAGCATTCCTGCTGTGCTTCCTCACAGGCTGAGAGCAGGATGGAGGTTAGGAGGGCCTCCACAGGAATACAATGGTAGATCAGAGTATAGCAGCAGGACCGCCTGTCAACTGCGGTCAGAGACCTCAGAGCAATTGAATGTCTGAAAGGTTGGTTTTCATGCCTCCAGGCCTATAATACACTCAACATTGTACTAAACACTAAATGGGATAGGAGCAGATTGGTAGGTATTATGCACTGGATGTTTGTGTCCCCCACAAATTCAATGTGTTGAAGCTGTAACCCTTAATGTGATGTTATTAGGAGGTGGGGCTTGGCAGAGGTAATTCGATTTAGATAAGTTAAAGAGGGTGGTGCTCCCAGGACGTAATTTAGCATCCTTATAAGAAGAGGAACAGATAGATAGTAGAGCACTTGTGCTCTCTCTCTGCCATGCAAGGATACAGCAAGACAGCCACCATCTACAAGCCAGGAAACAGGCCCTCACTAGGAAGGAAATCTATTGATGCCTCTAGAACAGTGAGAAAGAAATAAATGTCTGTTGTTTAAGTCACCCAGTCTATGTTACGTTATAATAGCAGCCTTAATAAATTGAGGTAGATATGAAAGAAGATGCTGGTCATGCCCTTAAGGTGCTAAGAATATATGGGTGGAAGCAGACAAACCAAAAAATACAAGATAAAAAATAGAAACGCACCAAATAGTGTCATTAAACATGTATCGTGGAATCATATCTACCTCAAAAAGTGTGAAAATTGAGAAGGCAGTTAGAATGGCATTGCTGGGGTTCAGGGGAAAATATGATGACCTAGGTAAGTGAAATCAGAAAAGAAATGTGGAAAAGCATCTAAGATACATTTCAGAGGTGGAATTGACAGTAGCTAGTGAGTAACTACATAGAAGATAGAAACAAACCAGAGAATATTATTACTATAGCAAATTGATCCTATATTCACAAACCATTTTCTGATCATATCTACAAATTTATCTCCTGTGTATTAGCAGAGAAGCCTCTTTGCAGATAACTGGACCCAGTTCTTGAGACAAGTATATACAGTCATGTGTTGTTTATGGGGATACATTCAGAGAACTGCATTCTTAGGCAATTTCATCATTGTGCAAACATCATAGAGTATACTTACACAAACCTAGACGGTATAGCCCATTGTAGACCTAGGCTATAAGGGACAGCCTATTGCTTCTAGGCTACAAACCTATACTGCATGTTACTGTACTGAATACTACAGACAATTGCAACACAATGGTAAGTATTTGTGTATCTAAATATATTGAAAACTAGAAAATGTACAGTGCAAATATGTTGTAAAAGATACAAAAATATGGCTTAGCTGTATAGGAGGCTTACTGTGACTTGAACTTGAAGGGCTGGAAGTTGCTCTGAGTCAGTGAGTGAGTGGTAAGTGAATGTGAAAGCTTAGGACATTACTGTATACTACCATATGCTTAATAAACACTGTACACTTACTTAGGGTACTCTAAATTTATTGAATAAATTCTTCTGTACTAATACCCTTAGCTTACTGTGCATTTTTAGTTCATAAATTTTAATTTTTTAAACATTTTGACTTTCATGACACTTAGCTTCAAACACAAACACATTGCACAAGTGTAAAAAAAATTGTTTTTCTTTTTTCTTCATGTAAGACGGGTTATGTGCCAACATCTTAACAAGGTGGGAGGGTGGCGTATCTCACGCATGTGTGTGAACACCCAATCATCATGCTTATGAACTACGAAATTACTATTTCTTTATATCCTTATTCTATAGGCTTTTTATTATCTTACTTTTGAAACATTTTTGTTAAAAGCTAAATTGCAAACAAACGAATTAGCCTAAGCCTACACAGTGTCATAATTATCAGCATCGCTGTCTTCCACCTCCACAGCTTGTCCCAATGGAAGGTCTTCAGGGCCTCTCACGTGCATGGAGCTGTCATCTCCTGTGATAACAATGCCTTCTTCTGGAATACCCCCTGAAGGAACTGCCTGAGGCTGTTTTGTAAGTAGGAAGGGTACACTCTAAAATACTGATAAAAAAGTATAGTATAGTGAATACATAAACCAGTAACATAGTCATTTATTGTCATTTTCAAGTATTATGTACGGTACATAATTGTACGTGCTGTAGTTTTATAAGACTGGCAGTGCAGTAGGTTTGTTTACACCAACATCACCACAAACACATGAGTAACTTGTTGTGCTAGGATCTTATGGCAGCTACAGCTTCACTAGGCAATAGGAATTTTTCAGCTCCATTATAATCTTAAGGAACTGCCATCATAGATGTGGTCTGTCATTTACTTCAATGTTGTTACATGGTGCCTGACTATAGCTGTCCTGTAAGTTACTAACCTGGCAGTGAGTTTTATTAATTATCACTGTCTTGTAAGTTTGAGGAAGATTTTTCAGTCCCATATAAGTTGACAATTCTATGTAAACTAGTACCACTGATATCCTGGAGTGTGATCATTTCTCCGATTTACTGCTCTCCTTTTTGAGACCCTGTCTGAAACCAACATCTGACATTTTTCTTTGACATTTCTTCTTAATGGAAATGGAAACTGAATAATCAACATATGACAATGTTTGAGAGCTTTTGCTTTGTCTGTGAGGTGCAGTCTATGTCCAAATAATTGATATCTACCTCTTAGGAAAGAGAATATATGAATAGCTCCTCTCAGAGTTCATGGTGATGTACCAATCACTGTGTATCTTCCTTAGAAATTTGCAACCCAAATGCCCATCAATGATAGACTGGATTAAGAAAATGTGGCACATATACACCATGGAATACTATGCAGCCATAAAAAAGGATGAGTTCATGTCCTTTGTAGGGACATGGATGAAGCTGGAAACCATCATTCTCAGCAAACTATCGCAAGGACAAAAAAACAAACACCTCATGTTCCCACTCATAGGTGAGAATTGAACAGTGAGAACACTTGGACACAGGAAGGGGAACATCACACACCGGGGCCTGTTGTGGGGTGGGGGGAGGGGGGAGGGATAGCATTAGGAGATATACGTAATGTAAATGACGAGTTAATGGGTGCAGCACACCAACATGGCACATGTATACATATGTAACAAACCTGCACGTTGTGCACATGTACCCTAGAACTTAAAGTATAATAATAATTTAGAAAGACCTTAAAAAAAAGAAAGAAATTTGGGTAGTGCTGGAAAGTTTGTTTTTGCTCTGGAGACATCTCAGAAAAATAAGAGGAACAGCAAATCTAAACATGACAAACCATTCTTTTGGTTCCTATCATATGATAAGCACTATCACTAACAACAACACATACTACTACTACTACTACTAATGAAACAATATATAAATATAATCATAACAAATAAATTATACCTCATTTTATTTAAATTTTCTCATAAAGCTGGAATGTATCAATCTCATGAAGTTACCACCTATGCTTTAAAGATTCCTCAAATCTATAAATAAATTTATCCCCAAACCAAGATTTATCAGCATCCTCCAGAAATTTTCAATCCTTACATATATTCAGTATTCATAAGTAGGTTCCAGCTTATTACAGAAAGTAATTTCCATAACCAGGTCTCATGTACAAAATAGATGCAAATGCCCTTCTAGAGGGTCTGTCTCAGCACTCAAAAAGTTGGATTTTCTTACCTTACAGTTTGCCATCTTGTGCTTTATAGATGTACCAAGCCGATATTAAATTTATTTTATATATATATATATATATATATATATTTATATATTTGATACCTATTATGATTTGAGGGGCCTAGGACATACCTCTTTACAAGAGAGATATGGTACCTTCCTCCATGGAATTTATAATCTAGTGAAAGAAAGAGATAACATACAGTTGAATAAATAAGATGATTATTTAGAGTGATATAACTTATGGAAATTATAAAACAGGTTTCAGCATGCAATGAAGTGTTACAAATACAAATGTTACACTCACAGACCAACTCCTTCATAAAGTACTTTCTTTCCTTGTAACTCATGACAAGTGTCACAAATTCATTTACTTAAACTATTTATTGAATATCTACTCGATTGCATTTTTCTAGGCAATGTGGATAAACAAAACCAGCAATGATTCCCGACATTATAAAAATTATTCTAGTGGAAGCAGCATTCCTTGTCATAGGTGTCACTAATACTTATGGTCAGAATGTCCAAATTGTTTCCCAAATTATGTATTGTCTATGTCATATCAATCAACTGGTACGAAGAAATTTGGAGCTGAGACCGCTCAGAGCAGTAAATGTGCTGAGAAAGACCCTAAATTAATTTTAATATAAAAATCATTAGAATGCTGAAGTTGCATATTTATACTTTTTAAGCTGTATATTTTTGTGCTTACTGTGGCTTTGTACTATGTATAATGTAAAAGAAGGAACGCAGAAACTTTTTTCTTCCAAATTATAGTGAGTATAATGCACATCATTTAGAGACTATTTTAATTAGAGAGTTACATAAGAGGTTAATAAAGCCATCCCAGTCACATTTTTGAATATTAATTTTTTAAATTGTAAAGATCTGCACAGAAAAAAACAGTCATAAACATCAAATTAGAGCCGTGTTCTAACAGTCAAATAAACCATTTATTGAATTTAATGAAGATCCTTTAAAGCAGTATCACAGAAGCTTCTATACTGAGAAATATGATGTTGCTCTTTTTTAAAAAGGAAGTTAACCATCCTTTTTTTCTAGAAGCAGTGGCAACTCAGAACATTACACCATTTCCTTGGCACCTTGCTGAGCCTCTACTATATGCAGAACACTGTATTACTGAGGAAAACAAATAGAACATGGAGTCTATGCCATAATTTCTTTTTTTTTAAATCAACTTTAATTTTACATTAAGGAGTAAATGTGCAGATTTTTACCTGGTGCATGACACTGAGGTTTGGGGTAAAAATGATCCTATCATCCATATAGTAAGCATAGTACCCAATAGATGGTTTTTCAGCTCATGTGCCTCTCCCTCCCTTTCTCTTCTGTTAATAAATAATTGCTACTACTAATGATAGTACAATACTATACTATACTGTATTAATAGTAACATTAATAATAATTTTATTAATGATTGTTTTCGTCTTTATGTCTATGTGTATCCGATGTTGAGCTACCACTTATAGGTGAGAACATGTGGTATTTGGTTTTCTCTTTGTTCATTAATTCACTTAGG
Organism: Homo sapiens; assembly: GCF_000001405.40. NCBI lineage: Eukaryota > Metazoa > Chordata > Mammalia > Primates > Hominidae > Homo > Homo sapiens. The sequence continues at coordinate 142,877,505 of NC_000023.11, forward strand.
ATAATGGCCTCCAGCTCCATCTATGTTACTGCAAAGGACATAGTTTTGTTCTTTTGTATTCTGCCCTAATTTCCGAATGACCAACAAGAGCACAGAAGTCTTGGTTAATGTGACAGTTGACTAGTTATCCACAAGGATATCCAGAAGAAATATATTAATTTTGAAAGTTAGCAAGAGTAAGAGAATAATTCTTTGTAATCATATCTCTAGTAAGTATCAGTAATTACAAGTTTTCACAATCTTAGCATTTTCTACAGTAAATTAATTCTCTAGAACTTCTCACAGAATTCAAATTTTCCACATTGTACACAAAATTAATTTTTATCTGAAATTGCTTCCTTTTTTAAAGCTTGCTTTCAACCATACTAATATGTTTTTCTTACTTTTATAGTTTTTTAATGAAAATATTTTTAAATATTGTGTACACCATGATGTTTTGAAACATTATACTTTGTGGAATGGCTCAACTGACTGCATTAATATATGCATTATCTCATATATTTTTCATTTTTATGCGGTGAGCAAACATCAAATCTATTCTCTTCATAATTTTAAAGAATACAATACATTGTTATTAACTACAGTCGCAGTGTTGTACAAGAGATGACACTATGTTTTATTAATGTGACATAAAATTACTTGTTTAATGACATTTAAATCTTTAGCTAATTATTTTACTGGCATTATGCACACATAGTAAAGTCAATGCTTATTTCCTAAGGTTTGTCTCATGTTGCTTTCTTTATATGTGGAAGCCCAAGGAGCTTGCCACCTAATAATATACCAAAAGGCCTATATTATACATATAATTTACATTTATTTGTGTATTTTCCAAGAACCACATGCCTAAACTTTATTGTTTAGTAAGATACAGGGACTTGATGAGTCTACCACTAGTAAGACTGTTCTTGGAGACAGACATCTAAGCTGTTGCTAATGTTTTGACTGACTCTTCAGCCACAACTATCTTGGTCTTGACTGCGCAGAATTTTGATTCGTGATATCCTACAGTTACTAAAACCTTGGCATGAGTTGTTTTATTAATTATGGTATCAAGAACTCTAAAGTGTCTGAGATTTTATTATGCTGGCAAGCTAAACACTTAGCATGCCACAATTTCATGAATGATGGCAGAAGACATACAACTTGTGGACGAGAGCCAAAAGAATTTGTTACATACAGCAGAGGAGTACGCATGAGCTTCATATTTACATTAGTTCTTCTTGCCCCCAAGTTCAATGGGGGGGGTAATACAGAGTGGGCCAAGTGAATAGTGTACAAACAGGTCTGGTTACAACTAAAAAAAATTGTGCTTAGAAAACCCCCCCAATGTTATAAGGGGGCTCATATGGTTTGGCTGTGTCTCCACACAAATCTCATCTTAAATTGTAGGGCCCATAATGTCCATGTATTGTGGGAGGGACCCAGTGGGAGATAATTGAATTATGGGGCCGGTTTTCCCCATATTGTTCTCGTGGTAGTAAATAAGTCTCATGAGAGCTGATTGTTTTATAAGGGGAAACCCTTTTTTGGTTGGCTCTCATTTTCTCTCTCGTCTGCTGCCATGTAAGATGTGCTTCTTGCTTTTTACCATGATTGTGAAGCCTCCTCTGTCACGTGGAACTGTGAGTCCATTGAACCTCTTTTCCTTTAAAAATCACCCAGTCATGAGTATATCTTTATCACCATCGTGAAAATGGACTAGTAGTGGGGCTGTTGACAACTCTGCCTAACATTTGTTTCAGAGAAAGACATTATTTTTAGATTCTGGCAAAGAAACAAATCTGTTCTGTGCTCTGAAGGGAGACATTATCTCTATATTCCAAGGCAGCTTGCTATACAAACATCCTTCAAAAGACTGTCTTGAAAAAGGCTGTCATCCCCACTAAACAAGACTTGCAACCATGTGAGAGACCCAAGGAAACATGTCTCCCAATATTTTCTTGTAGATTTTGCTAATTTATCTACTCTTAGTTTATTTGAGGTCAACAAGTAGCCTTGGGAACTGCTCGATAACAAATTACTAGACATCTGAGCTTCTCAGGGGCATCCTTATCTTGAGGTAAATGACCACAGGACCCGCATTTACTTTCTACGGGTTGAGTATTCCTTACTAAAATGATTGGGACCAGAAGTGTTTCAGAGTGGATTTTTTGGATTTTGAAAGATTTGCATTACACTTAACCGGTTGAGCATCCCAAATCTGAAAATCCAAAATCTGGTATTTTCCAATGGGCATTTCCTTTGAGACTTATGTTGGCACTGAAAAAGTTTATATTTTGGAACATTTTGATGATTTCAGATTTTTGAATTTGGGATGCCCAACCTGTATTCTATGTTTTAATGGGGCTTCCACGTGTATTTTATTAGGGCCCAGGGTTCAGTGGGTCCCTGAACTCATCTTGTGGCTAGTTCTAGAATGCACAATTAGGATAGACATTCCTAACAGCTGGTGAAATCTCCACATTGGTTTTCTGACCTGGGGTATGAGGGCTATTAATTATATTGGAAAAGGCCAACTGGAAGGCACTAGAACTGTCTCAATCTAGGAAAATGGTAAATACTGAATATAAAGCAATTCTGCATTCCCAGAAGGAATACAGAGATTAGTGCCACCATCAAGGACTTTAAAGATGCAGAGACGGTGGTTCTCATCACAACCCCATTCAAGTCTCCCATTTGGCCTGTGTAGAAGACAGATGTCTCTTGGATAATGATAGTGAATTATCATAAGCTTAATTATGTGGCGACTCCAATTGCAGCTGCTCTACCAGATGTGGTTTCATTGCTTGAGCAAATTAATAAATCCCTCTGGTATCTGGTATGCAGCCACTGATCTAGCAAATGCCTTTTTCTCCATACCTATTCATATAACCCACCAGAGCAGCTTTCTTTCAAGTGGCAAGACCAGCAATACACCTTCACCATCCTACTTCAGGGTTACATCAACTCTGCAGCCCTATGTCATAATTTAGTTTAAAGAGAACTTGTTCACCTTTCCTTTCCATAAGGTATCATGCTGGCCCATTACGTTGATGACATTATGCTGATTGAACCTCGTGAGCAAGAAATAACAACTACTCTAGACTTATTGGTAAGACATTTGCATGTCAGGCAAGGGAAATTATTCCTCCTGAAATTCAGGGGCCTTCTATCTTAGTGAAACTTCTAGAAGTCCAGTGGTATGGGGGCATGCCAAGATATCCATTCTAAGGTGAAGGATAAATTTTTGTATCTGGTGCTTCTTACAATCCAAAATGAGGCACAACACCTAGTGGACCTCTTGATTTTGGAATCAACATATTCCGTTCCTTATTTGGGTGTGTTACTCTGGCCCATTTACCCAGTGACCTTTAAAGCAAATAGTTTTGAGTGGGGCACAGAACAGAAGCCTCTGCCACAGGTCTGGGCTGCTATGCAAGCTGCTATGCCACCTGAGCCACATGATCCAGCAGATCTAATGGTGCTTGAAGTGGCAGTGGCAGTAGAGATGCTGTTTGAAGTTTTGGGGGAAGACCCCTATAGGTAAATCACAGCATGAGCCTTTTAGATTTTTGAGCATGTCTTTCCATTATCCATAGATAAGTACTCTTCTTTTGAAAAACAGCTCTTGGCCTGCCACTGGGCCTTAGTGGAGACTGAATATTTAACCATGGCAACAAAATGGTCATGTATTCTGAGCTGGCCATCATGAATTTAGTGTTATTGGACCCAATAAGTCAAAATGTTGGGAGTGCAGAGCAACTCTTCACCATCAAATGGAAATGATATTTATGTGAATGAGCCTAAGCAGGCCCTGAGGCACAAGCAAGTTATGTGAGGAAATGACTCAAATCCTATGGTCTCTATCCAAACTGCCTGTATCCAAACTGCCTTCTCTCTCCCCCAGCTTGCACCTATGACCTCATGGCGAGTTTTCTAGCATCAGTTGACAGAGGAAGAAAAGACTTGGGCCTGGTTTACCAATGGTTTTGCACAATATGCAGGCACCACCTCAAAGGGGAAAGCTGCAGCATTATAACCCCTGTTGGGGACATCCTTGAAGGAAAATCCTCCCAATGGACAGAACAGCAAGAAGGGCAGCTGGTTATTTACTTTGCTTGGTAGCAGAAATAGCTAGACGTGTGAATATATGCCCTTCCATGGGCTGTAGCCAATGGTGTGATTAGATTATCAGGGTTTAGAAAAAAAAAAAAACATTGGTGGAAAATTGATGACAAAGAGAGATATGTGGATAGATCTTCCTGAATGGGAATACAACATGAAACTATTTGTGTTCACTAAGTGCTCACCAAAGGGTGAGCTCAGCCTCAAAGGTGAGGACTTTACTAATCAAGTGGATAGGATGACCCATTTGCTGAGTATCAATCAGTCTTTCCCAGGCCACCCGGTCATCACCCAATGGACTCATGAACACATTGCCATGGTGGCAGAAAGGGAGGTTATTCATGGACTCAGAAACAAGGACTTTCATTTTCCTAAGCCAATATAGCTATGGCCACTGCTGAGTGTCCAGTCTGCCAACAAAAGGGACCTGCACTGAGTCCCTGATATGGAACTATTGCCCCAGTTGATCAGACAGTTACCTGGAAGAAGGCTGATTACATTGCCCACTTCCATAGGAAACAAACAGGGCAAGCGCTTATTTTCTTACTGGACTAGAAGCTTACTGTGGATATGGATGTGCCTTCCCTGCACACAATGCTTCTGCCAAAACTACCATTCATGGACTTATATATTGCTTCATCTGCCATCATACTATTCTACACAGCATTGCGTCTGATCAAGGAACTCACTTCACAATAAATGAAGTGAGGCAATGGGAACAATGTTTATGAAATTCACTGTTCCTTCCACATTTTTCAGCATCCTGAAGCATCTAGCCTTGTAGAATGGTGGCATGGCCCTTTGAAAACTTTGTTAGAGCACCATCTATGTAGCAATTCCTTGCAAATCTAGAACAAGGTTTTCCAGAAGGCTGTATGTGTTCTGAATCAGTGTCCAATATATGGTACAGTTCCTCCCATAGGCAGAATTCATGGTCCTAGTAATCCAGGAGTGAAAGTAGGAGTCGAACCACTCCGCGTCATCTCAAGCAACATACTGGCAAATGTTTTGCTTCCTATTACTGCGAATTTATGCTGTATTGGCCTAGAGATCTTAATTCAAAGGGAGGAATGCTTCTGCCGGGAGACACAATAATTACCCCATTAAACTGGAAGTTAAGATTGTTATCTGGCCACATTGAGTTCCACATACCTCTGAGTAAACACGTCAAGAAGGGAGATAGGATGTTGGCTGCGGTGATTGATCTGAACTAACAAGGGTAAATTGGACTGTTGTTATTCGACAATGGAGGTAATGAGGAGAATGTATGGACTACAAGAGATCTCTTAGTGCTTCTCTTAGTATTATCATGTTATTTAATTAAGATCAATAGAAAATTATAACAACCCAATTCAGCTAGGACTATGAATGGCCTAGAATTTTCAAGATTGAAGCTTTGGGTCATACAACCAGATAAAGAACCACAACCAGCTGATATTCTTTCTGAAGGTAAAGAAAATACAGAATGAGTAGTAGAAACTAGTTATAAATCCCATTCACAATTGCCACAAAATAAAATACCTAGGAATACAGTTAACCAGGGAGGTGAAAGATCTCTATAATGAAAATTACAAAACACTACTCAAAGAAATCAGAGATAACACAGACAAATAGAAAAACATTCCATGCTCATGGATAGGAATAATCAATATTGTTAAAATGGCCATACTGCTCAAAGCAACTTACAGATTCAATGCTATTTCTATCAAACTACCAAATAATAAATTCTTCTTCACAGAACTAGAAAAAAAAAGTATTTAAAAATTTATATAGAACTGAAAAGGAGCCCAAATACCCAAAGCAATCTTAAGCAAGAAGAATAAAGCAGGAGGCATCACACTATCGGACTTCAAACTGTACTACAGGGTTACAGTAACCAAAACAGCATAGTACTGATAAAAAACACACATAGACCAATGGAACAGAATAGTGAGCCTGAAAATAAGGCCACACATCTACACCATCTGATCTTTGACAAAACTGACAAAAACAAGCAACAAATAATAAAGGAATCCCTATTCAATAAATGGTTCTGGGATAACTGGCTAGCTATATGCAGAATAGTGAAACTGGATCCCTTTCTTACACCATATACAAAAATCAACCCAAGATGGGTTAAAGGCATAAATGTAAAACTCAAAACTATAAAAATCCTGGAAGATAACCTAGGTAATACCATTCTGGACATAAGCACAAGCAAAAATTTCATTACCAAGACACTAAAAGCAACTGCAAGATAAGCAAAAATTGACAAATGGGATCCAATTAAAATAAAGAGCTTCTGAACAGCAAAAGAAATTATCAAAAGAGTGAACAGACAACCTGCAGAATGGGAGAAAATTTTTGCAATCTAGCTATCTGACAAAGGTGTAATACCCAGACTCTACAAAAAAATTAAATTTACAAGAAAAAAAACAACACCATTAAAAAGTGGGAAAAGGATATGAACAGACACTTCTCAAAAGAAGACATTTATGCGGCCAACAAACATATTTTTAAAAAGCTCATCATCACTGGTCATTAGCAAAATGCAAATCAAAACCACAATGAGATACCAACACATGCCAGTTAGAATGGTGATCATTAAAAAGTAAGGAAACAACAGATGCTGGAGAGGCTGTGGAGTAATAGGAACACTTTTACACTGTTGGTGGGAGTGTAAATTAGTTCAACCATTGTGCAAGACAGACAGTGTGGTGACTCCTCAAGGATCTAGAACCAGAAATACCATTTGACCCAGCAATCCCATTATTAAGTATATACCCAAAAGATTATAAATCATTTTACTATAATGACACATGCACACATATCTTTATTGCAGCACTGTTCACAATAGCAAAGATCTGGAACGAACCCAAATGCCCATCAATGATAGACTGGATAAAGAAAATGTGGCAAATATACACCATGGAATACTATGCAGCCATAAAAAAGAATGAGTTAATGTCCTTTGCAGGGACATGGGTGAAGCTGGAAACCATCATTCTCAGCAAACTAACACAGGAACAGAAAATCAAACGCTGCCCATGTTCTCACTCATAAGTGGGAGTTGAACAATGAGAACATATGGGCACAGGGAGGGGAACATCACACACCAGGGCCTGTCGGGGGTGGGGGGCAAGGGGAGGGATAGCATTAGGAGAAATACCTAATGTAGATGATGGGTTGATGGGTGCAGCAAACCACCATGGCACATGTGTACCTATGTAACAAACCTGCATATTCTGCACATGTATCCCAGAACTTAAAGTATAATTAAAAAAAAAAAAAAGAAAGAAGAAGAATAGGTGTATGGCTGCCAAGTTGACAATGGGTGGATGTGTGATGGTTAATTTTATTTGTCAGTTTGACTAGTCACAGTGTGTTTAGATTAATCATTATTTCTGGGTGTGTCTGTGAGGATGGTTTCAGGATGAGATTAGTATTTGAATCAGTGGACGCAGTAAGGTTTATTGCCCTCTGCAATATGGGCAATAAACGTTGAGGCCTGGAATAGAACAGTAAGCCAGAGAAAGGAGCAACTAACTTTGAGTGCTTTTTGCCTGCCTGCTTCGGCTGATATAGCTCATCTCATTTTCTCTGACCCTTGGTCTGGAAATTACACCATCAATTCCCTGCATTCTCAGGCTTTGGGGCTTAGATTGAAACTTTGCCACAGGCTTTTCTGGTTCTCTAGTTTATAAATGGCAGGTCTTAGGATTTCTTACCCTGCATAATTAAGTGGGTCAATTGATCAGTATGGATAGACAGCTAGCTAGCTAGATATAGATAGATAAAAATATATATTTATCTATCTGTATATGTATATATGCATATATATTTCTCTACATATGTATATATGCATATATATTTCTCTATCTATGTATATATAGATATGCATATGTATAGATAGAAATATATATTTCTATATCTATATATACATATATAGATATAGATCTAGATAGTTTCCAACTTCATCCGTGTCCACGCAAAGGGCATGAACTCTTTCTTTTTTATGGATGCATAGTATTCCATGGTGTATATGTGCCATATATATATAGATCTATATATTTCTCTAACCATATATACATATAGATAGATAGAGATTATATATATGTATATATAGATAGAGATTATATATATCTATATAGATAGATATATATAATTCAGATTCTGTTTTTCTTTCAGGTTCTGTTTTTCCGGAGAACCTTGACTAATATGATAAGGACTGAAATGCAGCAGATTCAGGAAAGATGCAAAAGTAGGAACTAGAAATAGATATAGTTGTGTATAATTTCCTCAGTAAGATAATATAGACTTAGAATAGTTGAAGTTAATTTCTAGACGTTCTTTGATTTTCAATTCATTTGCTAATTAATAGAAGAGTAGCAATACCATTTGAAGAATGTAATATCATGTACCTACAATAATTTACACTCTTACCATGTTTATTGCTGAAGCATCCCATTTAAGGAGAGAAAAGCTAAACATATATACATTGAAAAGCTTTTTCCAGTAATATCATCCAAAATTTTAACCGTTTACCAGGTTTTTTTTTTCTAAGAATTTTAAAAGGAAAGATCAGCTAAATCACCACATTTTCTCACAATCAATCTTTTCTTGACTGAGTCCTTTGATATTTGTATCAATTGATAAAATTGACTCTTGGAACTTTGGTCATTAAAATTTGAATAAAGTTGGCAATGGGTAAATAAGTACTAATTCTTCTGTAACTCAAGAGCCTAATCAGCATGAGGTCTGAGTAATCCAGTTTTTATATTAATAGCCGTTACCCAAAAGTTGCGACGTGAGAAAATCTTTCCAAAGCCAGTGTTCAAACTCACTCACATTCCCTTGAACTATCAGAAGATTCAAATAACTCATAGTCAAAGAAAACATAAAATGTTAGTAAATTAGATTGGGGACACTGGATCTTTTAGAAAGAACACAGCATGGGTGTAAATTACTTGTGCCAAATAGTGCATCTAATAGGTACTCAGGTACCTAAATGAAGTCAGTGTTGCTCTTGAAATGTACAGTGTTTTGTGACCCAAGTCAATGGTTATCAAACATGAACAGTCATTTAGTCCGTATCTTTGTGGCTAGCTCTTTAGAAGCATGCAGAAAGTGGGGACTGTTTGCTTTTTCTTTAGCATTCAATAGGTCCTTTTAGTAAGCTTGAAAGTGCTCTAAAAAGAAACTTTATTGTAACATCATAGGCGTCTCACACCAGTCAGAATGAGTATTATTAAAAAGTCAAAAAATAACAGATGCTGGCAAAACTGAAGAGAAAGAGAAATGCTTATACACTGTTGGTGATAATGAAAATTAGTTCAGCCCCTGTGGAAATCAGTTTGGAGATTTTTCAACTAAAAATTGAATTGCTATTCGACTCAGCAATCCATTTACTGAGTATGTACCCAAAGGAAAAAAAAAATCATTTTACCAAAAAGACATATGCACTTGTATGCTTATTACAGCACTATTTACACTAGCAAAGACACGGAATCCACTTAGATGCCAATTAATGGTGGACTGGATAAAGAAAACATGGCACATATACACCATGGAATACTATGAAGCCATTAAGAAATGAAATCATTTTCGTTATCACAACATGGATGTAGCTGAAGACAGACTATCATTCTAAGCAAATTAATGCAGAAACAGAAAATTAAATACCATGTGTTCTCACTTAGAAGAGGGAGTTAAATATCAGGCATACACTGACATAAAGATAGAAACGATAGACATCAGGAACTCTAAAAGCAGAAAAGGATGGAAGGGAGTAAGGGCCAAAAGCTTCCTATTGGGTACTATGTTCACTATCTGGGTGTTGGGATCAACAGAGGCCGAAACTTTGGTATCGTGCAATATACTCTTGTAACAAACCTCCATATGTATCCCCTGAATCTAAGATAAAAATTAAAATTAAAAACAAACAAAAAAAAGAAGTGTGATTACAGCATTCATCCCTACTCACCAAACCACTGTCAACATCATAGGCTTCATTTTTGATAGCCACCTGACTCAGTTCACCATGTTTATTTACCACTTCATAGGTGCAAGCAGTTTTCAACAACTCATATAAGACACAAGGCCTAAGGAAGCTGAAAAACTATTATTATTAATGCATTTTCTCTAAGGTTATTTTCTCGATTGTGCAATGGGGTTAATGACTACCACTTCAGTGAGTAGCTAAGAGCAGTAACAATGCTGTACTTATTCCATTAGATTGCTAGGAGGAATAAATGAGCAAATACTCATAAAGCTTTTGGAACATTGTCTGGTACATTGCCATGCTAAATATGTGCTAGGTATTATATTAGTATCCCATTTTACAGAAAGGAATCTGAGAATCTTAAGACTTAAGAAACTAGCTCAGAATCACACAGCTTTTTAAATAGTAGGTTTAGGAAACCAATCCAGATATGCCTAACTACAAAACCTGTGTCATCTTCATTACCACAGACGTTGACAACCTTATCCAAGAAACAATTGCTTTTCTTCTTCAATATCTTTCTAGGAAAGATCGGTTGAATGAACATTGACCTGTATTTTTACATCCACAAATCTATAGTAAGGAAAATTGTACATTCTCTGTATTATATATTTTTCACCACAACCCAATGTTTTAGGAACTCTTATGGCCCTTTTTACAGATGAGAAAACTGAGGCACATAAAAATTAGATATCTTGCACAAGATCTCACAGCTGTTGTGACAAAGCTGGAATTCTACCTGAGTTTTATCTGACTCCAGGAACCACGTTTTTTATCACTTTTAACCAAAGTCTCCATCACCTTTGAATTTATTGTCTTTATATCTACTGTTTTTGGAGGTATTTGTATTCCTGAGCATCTCTCTCAAGAAACCATGAGGGACTGGTGCATGCTCCCAGTGAAAATACAGCCCACCCTTCCACAGCAGTTTAGAACTTCAATTTCCCTCGCCACACACACACACACACACACACACACACACACACACACACACACACACTATTTCCATCTCATAGATGTCTATTGTATTTATTTATTTGCTTGTTTTTGTTTTTAATCTGAATCCAACTCAGGATTAGACTTAATTATAAAAAGTTGAACAAAAGATGTCCCCTGCTTTTGGATTGGTCGTGGTCCTGTGGGATTCAAAAGCAAAACAGAAATTACTATTCTAAGAGATTTTTTCTTTCATTCTCTCTCTCCCTTTCTACACTCCCTCTCTTTCTCATATATATATAAGTGTATACACATATCCACATATAAACATATATATATATACACATGTAGGAATATAGGGGCACACATATAAGTACATAAATATACACACAAAAATATTTGAGTTACAAAGATCCTTGAGAGAATACTTTTTATTATGAGTGAATCCACTCGTATCTATATACTCTGCTAGCCTTGTTGAAATACTCATAGGTGACATTTATATTTATATAACATATATATATATTATGTGTGTGAGCATGTATATATATACACATATATACACATATACACACACATACACACACACACATATACACACATATATACACATATACACATATATATACACACATATATACATATACACACACATATATACATATATACACACACATATACACATATATACACACATATATACATATATACATATATACACATATACACACATATATATACACATATACACACACATATATACACACATACACACACATATATACACATATACACACATATATACACACACATATATACACATACATACACACATATATACATATATACACACACATATACATACATACACACACATATATATACATATATACACACACATATACATACATGTATACACATATATACACATATACACACATATACACACATATATACATATATACACACATATACATATATACACGTATATACACACACGTGTATATATACGCGTGTATATACACACACGTGTATATATACGCGTGTGTATACACGTATATATGTACACGTGTATATATATACACGTATATATATACACGTGTATATATATACGTGTGTATATATACATATATATATATATATATATATATATATATATATAAAACTTCCTTTCTTCATTCATTGCTTATTTCCACAAATATTCACCGGACCTTCATGAAGCACTTACTAGGGCTCCAGAACTTAAGCCATTCATTCTACCTACATGTATTATGCCAGTAAGCATCTAATTCTGACAGTGGAAACCAGCCACCTTATTTCATACTAATGATATTATGTATTTATATGGACAGTGAAAGACTCTTCATGCTGTTCAAGAGATTCTGGAAAAGAGCTGTGTGCCACACTGCATTCATAGATTAAGTATTCACCATCACTACAGTCTTTATTTGAGAAAGCCAAATGCCTTGGAGCCCACAGGTGAAAACTGTGTGTTCCTTGTTATCTGAAAATAGTGTGTCACTGCCAGAGTTAATTACCTAAAGAGCTCCGCACAGAATCCACGTAACTGAGTCATGCTTTTCTTCTAAATTAGAACAATATAATTGTAACACGTAAAAGTAAGTCTTTTTGTATTTACTCTAATGAGCTCACTTCTCAGTTTTGCTAGTGACATGATAAACTAATAGAAGGGTCGATATGATGTCTCTATGGTAATTATCATGCCACTTCTCCTCTCCTCCTACATTCTTCTCATGTTACATTTTAATGTGTTTCTGCTCAAGTCAATTCAATTTATCAGTAGGCAAGAGGCATGAAACAACACTGATTTGCTGTGGATCTACTTACAAGTAAACTGGAAAACTCAATTTTCAAGTTAAGTTTTCAATAAGAAAGATATACATGAGATGAACAATACTGATTTGAAAGATATCATTATTTACAGAGATTTAATCTTATGTAAATATAAAAAAAATATTAAATGGTGCTGTGTATTTTGCACTCGCAAAATATATGTGTTTCCTTCTTGATTCATTACAAGGGAACTTTAAGGTTATAATCTATAATACGATAAGCCATAAGTAATTACAGAATAATAAAATGTGAAGAGACCCAAGAGATACTCCAACGCAGTGAGTTTAATTTTTTTTAATTTTTTTATTTTTTTGAGAAGGAGTCCCACTCTGTTGCCTAGGCTGGAGTGCAGTGGCGTGATCTTGGCTGAGTCACAGTGAGTTTTAAACTGGAGTGTGTATCCCTTTGTGTAGAAGATCATGAAGACGTTTGAAGGAGTACGTGGATGTGGCTAGTTCTCAGAGAATCTATTTTGTTTTCCCACTTCCATGCATCATCTTTCTAAAATTGGTCTGCCTGGAAACATCCGGAGTACAGGCTCCAGGGAGACTCTTCTCTCTCTCTTCCCTTTTATTTTATTTTATTTTATTTTATTTTATTTTATTTTATTTTATTATTATTGTACTTTAAGTTTTAGGGTACGTGTGCACAATGTGCAGGTTAGTTACATATGTATACATGTGCTATGCTGGTGTGCTGCACCCATTAACTCGTCATTTAGCATTGAGATATACCTAGTGCTAAATGGCAATGTTTTCAAGTCGCCCCTAATATCACAATACGGGGTATTGCCCTTAGGAAGAAAAACCTCCAAGGCACTAAACACAGGTTCAACAGGAAACACTATTAGTCACTATTGAGAATGTGAGTGAAACTACCACTAGGTTACGTATTCTTTGCAATTCATGTGGTTTCCAACGCTTTCCTTTCAACCACGTTGAAGAAGGACCTAAGACAAATAAGAGCTGATAAATTTTAATATATAAGTCAGAAGGAGTTTAAATGAGTGAGAAACATTACTAAAATAAAACTCCTTTCTAATCTTATATTTTACACAAATAGGTTTCTAGTCTTAACATATATGCAACACACATACACATAAATTGTTTGATAATAAATTCAACTAGAGCACAAAATAATATTTATCCATGGACATATAAACTCATTGAAAAATTATTCTTATCCAACTCATTTAAGAAATAGATTGTACATAAATATTAATTTTATGTTTTATTTCTTTTATTCAAATGTGTAATGTGTTTTATTTTGATCAATGGTATACTACAAAATAAATGTGATCATAATTCAATCTTGAATGATTTTTTAACCCATAGGAAAGTATGGTAACTGAAAATTATTTATTTTAAAATGAATGTTATATGTATGTCATTAAAATACATATTTAATACGGATATATTTTATACCAAAGAAATATGATCTGATGTTCAATTAAAGGCTTAACTATAAATATTAAATAGTATAAAATTATGTGGGGATGACTATATGGATTACAAGACAAAAAGAAACAATGTTAAATTCCTGACTTTTAATACAGATTGCTCATGTACTTTTTAAAAGATAATGTGTGTATTCAATTGTTTTGTTTTGATATATAGATACTATTGATGCATTTAAAAAGATAAAATATTTTATTTTTAAAATTTGATATATCAATATGCTTTAAAGTATGTCCTTTCTCATCATGTAAACAAACATATACTGAAAAGTGTTTGTTTGTTAGCTTGTAATTTATAAGTGAAGGAGTATTTTTTAATGATCGCCATTCTAACTGGTGTGAGACGGTATCTCATTGTGGTTTTGATTTGCATTTCTCTGATGGCCAGTGATGATGAGCATTTTTTCATGTGTTTTTTGGCTGCATAAATGTCTTCTTTTGAGAAGTGTCTGTTCATATCCTTCACCCACTTTTTGATGGGGTTGTTTCCTTCTTGTAAATTTGTTTGAGTTCATTGTAGATTCTGGGTATTAGCCCTTTGTCAGATGAGTAGGTTGCAAAAATTTTCTCCCATTCTGTAGGTTGCCTGTTCACTCTGATGGTAGTTTCTTTTGCTGTGCAGAAGCTCTTTAGTTTAATTAGATCCCGTTTGTCAATTTTGGCTTTTGTTGTCATTGCTTTTGGTGTTTTAGACATGAAGTCCTTGCCCATGCCTATGTCCTGAATGGTAATGCCTAGGTTTTCTTCTAGGGTTTTTATGGCTTTAGGTCTAACATTTACGTCTTTAATCCATCTTGAATTAGTTTTTGTATAAGATGTAAGGAAGGGATCCAGTTTCAGCTTTCTACATATGGCTAGCCAGTTTTCCCAGCTCCATTTATTAAATAGGGAATCGTTTCCCCATTGCTTGTTTTTGTCAGGTTTGTCAAAGATCAGATAGTTGTAGATATGTGGCATTAAAAAGTCAGGAAACAACAGGTGCTGGAGAGGATGTGGAGAAATAGGAACACTTTTAGACTGTTGGTGGGACTCTAAACTATTTCAACCATTGTGGAAGTCAGTGTGGCGATTCCTCAGGGATCTAGAACTAGAAATACCATTTGACCCAGCCATCCCATTACTGGGTATATACCCAAAGGATTATAAATCATGCTGCTATAAAGACACATGCACACGTATGTTTATAGCAGCACTATTCACAATAGCAAAGACTTGGAACCAACCTAAATGTCCAACAACGATAGACTAGACTGGATTAAGAAAATGTGGCACATGTACACCATGGAATACTATGCAGCCATAAAAAATGATGAGTTCATGTCCTTTGTAGGGACATGGATGAAACTGGAAACCATCATTCTCAGCAAACTATCGCAAAGACAAAAAACCAAACACTGCATGTTCTCACTCATAGCTGGGAATTGAACAATGAGAACACATGGACACAGGAAGGGGAACATCACACACTGGGGACTGTTGTGGGGTGGGGGGAGGGGGGAGGGATAGCATTAGGAGATATACCTAATGCTAAATGACGAGTTAATGGATGCAGCACACCAACATGGCACATGTATACATATGTAACAAACCTGCACATTGTGCACATGTACCCTAAAACTTAAAGTATAAAATAATAATAAAATTTAAAAAAAAAGAAAAAAAAAGTGAAGGAGTATTTTTAAAGTTTGATGAACTTTTTTAAAAAAGTTCATCATAAAACAACTTAATAAAAAAGTTTGACTAATACTGTTCAAATAGAACTTTCAAACGATTTTCACGATACCTTCCTTCAAATGAAATCTTACAAGGAGTCCTAGTATATAAAACAGACATGCTTGGAACAACTGTGCACCCCATTTCTCCCCATACTGCTGTAACTCCAGCAGCAGCCCTGGAAGTATCTTCTATGCATCTATAAAACAGTTTTCTAGTCACTGATCTAGTAAAACCTCTTATTTTACAGTTGGAAAGCAATGGCTCAGAGCCAGTGAGTAGCTGAACTATCCTCAAACCCAAGTTATCTACATTCGAAGCTTAGATATTTTATGTATTTTAAAAAAATGTAACAAAGACTAGACTATAACAAGATACTATTTGGTCCCCATGGCTCAGTCTACCCTTTAATAAATCATTGAAAAATGCATGTTTGATACATAATTTTTTTTTGCCTTGTGTTTTTTAGACACTATTTTCAACCCCTCATTTTTCAAGTTTGTGGCACAATTCTCCTATGTGTGTCTTCTCTTTTTCCTAAGAGACTTAGGTAATAAAAAGACTAGAGTAAAACTTCAGTATCATAGAAAGCAAAGGAAAAGCAAACTTGATTAAGTAAAATGTATTAATTTTATGAGATTTTAAAAGAAATAGTGTTATTACTATTAAAACTTGAGATATGGTATAAATGAGCAAAATGAGTAAAATAAGTATAAACGGTGATAAATTCATTTTCAGGGTTACCACAAGCCCAAATCTTCTTTACTGTACAAGAATGAATTACTACATTCAGAAGTAATAAGGAAGATGAATATGGCTTTAATTTTTTGAGACTGATGTTTGCAAGCTTGATTATCTAGAAATATATCTACATAGATTATACGGTGCTTAACATAATTCATTTTGAAAAATTGAATTCAAAGACAGTACCTGTGTTTCATCTAAATAAATACATATGACTGCTTGACACTTCTGATTCTTTCTTATTCAACAAGTTATTTTGATGTCTATTGAAATTACCTTAATTTTTTGTGGTAATTATAAAATATCCAAGAAGTCTCTCCCCAACACAGTGTCATCCTCAGCTTAACTCTGCAAACAGAAAATTATGCCATCCCATATGTTTCCGGTTTATTACATCAGTTTTGACTTGAAATCTTCAGCTCTGTCTATAGAACGAAACTTAATAGGTCACTTAGATCAATATTGACAGTCAAATTTGCTAATCCCATTGCGTGTACAAGTTGCTCACAGGTAATTGGATGTATACATAGAAAACATTCCCCAGCCCCTAGGCAACTATGTCCTGCCTGTTCCTTAGTTTTATGTGTGCACTTACCTCTCTGATCTGCTATTGTGTTCCTCCTTGCACACTCTACTCTAGGGTCATTGGCCTACACTGCACTTTAATTCTTTTAACCTGCCAGCTTCCTTCCTGCTTCGAGGCATTTGCACTGGCTTCGCCTCTGCCTGGAATACATTTCCCCCAGATATATTACATGGCTCACTCACTTTTTTCAGGTCTTTTCCTAATGTCTCGTTGTCAGTAAGTTCAACTCTTACCATTATCCTTTTTTTCCTTTATTTGGACTTACTTATCATAAAGCGTGCTATATAATTTATTTCTTTGTTTTATTTTGTATTGTGCATCCCAAATATAATTCATGCAAAGACAGGATTTTTTTTTCCGAAGGAATAAATAAATCTTGATTTCAAATATGATAAAATATAAAAATAAATTTTTTAGTATTAAAAGCTATAGTAATATAAGATCATGGGACCTTCTATTTATGGAAGATTGTAGTTTAGAAAATAATAATATAGGAAGAAGATAACAGCAATTGTATACATAACAATATTTTAAATGATTATGTTAACAAAGAGAGAAGGAAAATGTAAATAAATTCAGAGAATTCGGTGCAATTAAATCAAACTCATTTTGTGAAATAAGACTCAACAGGGAAACTACCTGCATGATCCTTTCTGTGATGAACTGAATTTTCATCATCTATGGTGCTGGCTGGTCCTCAGAATCAGAAATAAGTCTAGTGTTAATAGAAATACTTTATCTTCCTTGCAAGTGAAATGTGAATGTTACAGACAATAGCAAACCCGTGTTTTAAAATGTATTGTGTATTATCAGCCTAGTAGCAGCATTTAAATTCAATTCACAAAACCACTTTAGATCAAGGCAGCATAAAAAAGGAATCTGTCAATCCCAACGCTTAGAAGCAACCAAAATTACATTTTGCTGTGCACTCCAAATTTTAAGGTGGCTGCATGCAGTTTAATAAGCTAAGTATATTATCCTTAAAGTAACTTTTTATATGGTGTTAATTATTTGTAAATATGCTAGTCTTCTCAAATAAATAGAATTCTCTTATCCTCTTTTTATTTCCCAATCTTGATAAATTCTGGGACATTAATTACATACATGTGTGTGTTTGTGTGTGTATGTGTGTGTTTGTGTGTGTATGTGTGTGTGTGTGTAATAGAAAAATGGCAAACTGTCTTTACCCTTGAGATTACGCTCATGTATTCTGTTCCTACCGTACACTCTGAGAAGCACATTAAAGTAAAGTAACTTGCTTTCAAAATGTTACTCTGCCTTATGTTGAATAAAAGTGGTGAAAGTGGGCATCTTGTGTTGTTCCAGTTCTCAGTGGGGGAATGCATTCAACTTTTCCCCATTCAGGTTAATGTTGGCTGTGGGTTTGTCATAGACGTCTTAAATATGATTCTGATAAAAGGTGCAAAAGAACACTTACAAATATAGACAAGGTCATCGCCAACAAATAGAGAGTAAAAACTGAGAGTCAAGTAGGAAAATTGTAAAATTCATATAAAGCATTTCTTTCAATGAAGACAAGCAGCTGCTCTCAGGAACAGATTCTATTTCCAAGTGGCAGAAGGGCTACTGTTCTAATAATGTTAACACATGGCCTGGAGAACCTCAAATAAAAACTATTACCTCAGAGAAGGAGCTGTAAAATTAAAGGGCCAATCAAACTGTATTTGCTTGAAAAGACAATCACAAAATGTGCATAAATAAACCCCTAACCAAGTAGCTTAGCCACAGTTGGCTGTCAATAAGAAAATGTAGAATGAAGCCAAGCACTGGATTCGATGTCTTACCATGTGAGTAGTGTGCTCACTTGTGATAAGCACCTGTTCTTCTTGCCTGCTTCATTCACCCATCTCCTTCCTATTTTGTATTTTTAAAATATTATATTAACTCACCATTTTTTAAACTGATTGATTGATTCCACTTCTCCCTTCTTCCACGCTCTCATCTTATAATCTCTCTCCTTTCTTCCATTATTCTTCTGAAATCCAAATATGACCTCACATATACCCTGATTTAATCATTCAGAGACTCCTTGCTGACATTCAGTCATTCAATGACTCCTTGCTCCTGAGACAGGGATTTTAATTTGCTTTGTTTTCAGTTGCATCTTCAGTGCCTAAAAATGTGCTTGCACTCAAAAGGCATTGAACAACTTTATTGAATGAGTAAACCAAATTTTTGCCATGGTAACAAATTATTTTCCACATTGCCAGACAATGCTCTTCACAACCTAGCCTGAAACCACCTTTCCTGGCTCTTTTTTTGGAATTCCTTCTGTCAAATACACTCTATGCCTGACTTACTCTCACTGTACCAAAATTCACCATGTTCCTAGAAACTTCACAATTCTGTGCTGCATGGCCCTTTCTTTCTTTCTTTCTTTTTTTTTTGGGGGGGGGGTGGGGGATGGAATCTCACTCTGTTGCCAGTCTGGAGTGCAGTGGCACCATCTCGGCTCACTGCAACCTCCGCCTCCTGGGTTCAAGTGATTCTCCTACCTCAGCCTCCTGAGTAGCTGTGATTACAGGTGCATGCCACCATGCCCAGCTAATTTTTGTATTTTTAGTGCAGATGGGGTTTCACCATGTTGGTCTGGATGGTCTTGATCTCTTGACCTCGTGATCCACCTGCCTCAGCCTCCCAAAGTGCTGGGATTACAGGCGTGAGCCACAATTCCTGGCTGGTCTTTCTAATACAGCCAGTAAGGAGAGATTCTACAGTTAATTGAGTAGCAAGATGCAGTCCTACGTGACGTGACATAATCATGGGAGTGACAGCCTATCATCTTTACTGATGTTCTATTGGTTAGAAGTAAGTTATAGGTCCCACATATACTCAAAGGGAGAAGATTCCAGAAAGGTACAACTACCAGGAGGTAGCGATTAGGGGGATACCTTAGAGTCTGTTTACAGCACTATCATTGCAGCTGGCTGAATGACGATTTCATTTATTAAGGTGAAGGTCAAATGAGGATAGAGTTTGAAGATCATGAATTCTGTAATAAGCATCTTGTATTTAAGGAGCCCTTGAGACATACATTTGCATATGTAGAGTAGAAAGCTGGATACATAGATGTGAAAATTGGAACAGAAGTTTGAGCTGATGAAATAAATTTTAAAAAATTGTTGGCATATATTGGCAGTTGAAGTATGAGAGTAGAAGAGATCATGGAGAAGGAGGGAGTCATAATCCCCCAAAACATCATTTCATAATCCCCGAAAACGTATTTAAGAGCCCAGAAAGAGAGAAATATTTATATAACAAATATATTTTCACTGCCTATTATGTGTCACACATTGTTTCGGGTGTTACCTTGTTTATGTGTCTGAAGCTCACATGAGGTATCTGAGTTGGGATAATAAACAGTCTGTGAACACTATTTAGACAGAGGCACTGTAACTAAGCATATAGCACAACTGTGTGCAGGGAATAGGTGTTAAATTTACTATGAGCTAAGGAATTACCCTAATTTACCTGCTATAAACATATGCAAACACACACTCACTCATACATACTAGTCCCAGGAATAGAAGGCTACAGTGTTCTGAACTGTGATTCTTCCTCATACATCTTGGGACATTTTTATAGACAGTTTTCAGATTACAGAATTAACCTTTAAGGTTTAACCAAATGGCAGGATTCATATTTCAAGGAATAAAACAAACAGTGCTATAGAATCAATAAAATAACACTATAGCAAACATAAAAAAAATCCCACTTCCAATACAGGCTTTGTGCAAACAGATTTTTTTTCTGATTTTCTATAACTTGTGGGGTGGTAAAATTCAATATGTAATTAGAAATCAATGGTTCCTCTTAAAGTTATACACACATTGAAGGACATTTTTGTTACTTAACTAGAAAATGGATGGAGGCATCACGCTACCTGACTTCAAACTATCCTACAAGGCTACAGTAACCAAAACAGCATGTTACTGGTACCATAACAGAGATATAGACCAATGGAACAGAACAGAACCCTCAGAAATAATGCCACATATCTACAACTATCTGATCTTTGACAAGCCTGACAAAACCAAGAAATGGGGAAACGATTCCCTATTTAATAAATGGTGCTGGGAAAACTGGCTAGACATATGTAGAAAGCTGAAACTGGATCCCTTCCTTACACCTGATACGAAAATTAATTCAAGATGGATTAAAGACTTAAATGTTAGACCTAAAGCCATAAAAACCCTAGATGAAAACCTAGGCAATACCTTTCAGGACATAGGCATGGGCAAGCACTTCATGTCTAAAACACCAAAAGCAATGGCAACAAAAGCCAAAATTGACAAATGGGATCTAATTAAACTAAAGAGCTTCAGCACAGCAAAAGAAACTACCATCAGAGTGAACAGGCAACCTACAGAATGGGAGAAAATTTTTGCAATCTACTCATCTGACAAAGGGCTAATATCCAGAATCTACAATGAACTCAAACACATTTACAAGAAAAAAACAACCCCATCAAAAAGTGGGCGAAGGATATGAACAGACACTTCTCAAAAGAAGACATTTATGCAGCCAAAAGACATATAAAAAAGTGCTCATCATCACTGGCCATCAGAGAAATGCAAATCAAAACCACAGTGAGATACCGTCTCACACCAGTTAGAATGGCGATCATTAAAAAGTCAGGAAACAACAGGTGCTGGAGAGGATGTGGAGACATAGGAACACTTTTACACTGTTGGTGGGAGTGTAAACTAGTTCAACCATTGTGGAAGTCAGTGTGGCGATTCCTCAGGGATCTAGAACTAGAAATACCATTTGACCCAGCCATCCCATTACTGGGTATATACCCAAAGGACTATAAATCATGCTGCTATAAAGACACATGCACACGTATGGTTATTGGGGCACTATTCACAATAGCAAAGACTTGGAACCAAGCCAAATGTCCAACAACGATAGACTGGATTAAGAAAATGTGGCACATATACACCATGGAATACTGTGCGGCCATAAAAAAGGATGAGTTCATGTCCTTTGCAGGGACATGGATGAAGCTGGAAATCATCATTCTCAGCAAACTATGGCAAGGACAAAAAACCAAACACCGCATGTTCTCACTCATAGGTGGGAATTGAACAATGAGAACACATGGACACAGGAAGGGGAACATCACACACCAGGGCCTGTTGTGGGGTGGGGGGAGGGGGGAGGGATAGCATTAGCAGATTTACCTAATGTCAAATGACGAGTTAATGGGTGCAGCACACCAACACGGCACATGTATACATATGTAACTAACCTGCACATTGTGCACATGTACCCTAAAACTTAAAGTATAATAAAAAATAATAAAAAAAAGAAAGGAAAAAGGAAGCGAGGGAGGGAGGGGCACAGGAGGGATGGAGAGAGGGGAAAGAAAGACAGTGAGCCTCTTGAAATAAAGGACCATGTATTATTCACTTAAAAAAAAAAAAAAAAGAAAATGGATGTAGCTTCCTAAGCAGTAACTACCTAGAGTTTAAAGAACGAAGGACTTAAGTTTTCTTGCTTAGGTCTTGCATTGAAAATGTTTCTGAAAGCAATACATATGCTCAAGAAAATGCACTTATAAGTAATTCTTGATAAGTCAAAAAATACAATATAAAAGAGGCAGCTATGCTAGAAACATGCTTTCATTCATTATGCTTTAGGTACTGTATTTGAGAAAAGTAGGTTCAATATTTTGTACGTCTCTGAGAAAAAGGCAAATGAAAAATTACCATTGTGTATAAGAATGTTCATTCCTAAGGCATAAAGGCTTAGAGAAGGCAAACGAAACTTGCAGAGCAATAACTCATAAGTAAGTGAAAGAATAAGCCACAGAAGTATAAATAACATGAGCTTTTTCTGCATTGAAATAATGAGGTTTTATGGAATCCAGACCTTGTCACTTCACCCTGCTCAAATGAGGTCGATTATATGTAAATAGATGCAGCATAATAATGAAAGATTGTACTTGGCAACTTTTCTGGAATAAAAGCTGAGTCTTAATAACTTCATGTAGCTCTCAGTTGAAAATACCACTATACTATATGTTCCTCCCTATCAAATGAAATGCAATATATATTTAAAAAGTAAATAACCCTTTCAAATTCATAATGTTTTGCCTAGCACTTCATGAACAGTTTTTTTCATCAAATTAAACAGAAATTATATTTGTCTTAGTTCTATACAGAACATTTGGAAAGTTGGTTTGTTGACACCGAGGATGTGAGCATCCATGAAATACCTCCTCCTCTTTAAATTAGGCTCAGTTCTATTGCTTTCTTTTCTGTCTAAAATCTATCTCTTTAAGTCTCCACTGTTCCTTTTTTTCTTTCATCAAGAAGCAGGTGAATTTATTCTGGAGCCATTTCTCCCCACAAAGACATAACAGTTTAACCAATGTACAAGAACGATAGCATAGATGTCAAGACAAAGAAGAGAGAATAACGAAGCCAAGCAGAGATGCAGATGTTAGAACACTGGTTGCCCAAGTTCACTGGCCATACTTTTAAAATGTCAATCACAATCTACTGTAGATTTTGTAGGTATCTCTAAACAGCTAAAGATAAAATTAATTTTATAAATTAATATTCCAGAAGTCCTCATCTGACTGAAACTCTGGAAAAAAGGTAGATGAAAGGACAAGTACAAATAGATGTAGTGAGATAAGTTTTTTGTTATGATTTTAGGGCATTCACAACTCTCTAGAAAAGAATATATCAATGACAAATTAGAGGAATAATACATCATAGTACTTTCATTTCAAAATTTTACTCTCATATTGGGCACTAAACTGTGAGTTCATAATTTTCAGTCACTAGAAGAGTCTTCCTTAAAAGAAAAGATACATGGGAAAATGCAGTGTGTCTGTAAAGCACTGCAGATCTGATTATTACTACCGCAGGCTGGCTGGAGAGCTAAGACATGAACATAGATAATGGATCTAAGAATGTGATCAGTCATATGAGAAAGGTGCCAAGAAATGCTATGAAAAGACAGGAAAATGGGAGAATTTTATGAGACTTTCAAAACTTACTATAAGACTTATGTCTCATATGATGTTGTAGAAATGAGGATAACAGCCTTACAGAGGGAGAGAACGTTATGAGCAACGGTAGTAAGGTTCAAATGCTTATGCCTCAAACTATTCATTGTGGTTTAAGCACAAATGATGAGTACTGGGAAGTAATAGAAGGCAAAGGATACGAAGGCAGTTTCAGGTTAAACTATAATTTAAATCAAATTTTTACCATTTTGCAGCAGAGTGACCTTGGGCAATACCTTAATGTATTAGTCAGGGTTCTCTAGGGGGACAGAATAGGATAGATGTGTGTGTGTGTGTATATATATATATATATATATATATATATATATATATATATATATATACACACACACACACACTCACTCATACAGACTAGTCCTAGGAATAGAAGGCTCCAGTGTTCTAAATGTATTAAGGAGTATTGGCTCACACGATCACAAGGTGAAGTCCCACAGTAGGTGATCTGCAAGCTGAGGAACAAGGAGGCCAGTCCAAGTCCCAAAACCTCAAAAGTAGAGAAACTGACAGTGCAGTCTTCAGTCTGTGGTTGAAGGCCCAAAAGTCCCTGGAAAACCACTGGTGTAGGTCCAAGATTCCAAAAGCTGAAGAACTTGGAGTCTGATGTTTGAGGGCAGGAAGCATCCAGCATGGGAGAAAGATGAAGGCTGGAAGACTCAGCAAGTCAAGTCCTTCCAACTTCTTCTGCCTGATTTATTCTAGCCACACTGGCAGCTGCTTATAGGGTGCCCATCCAGATGCAGGGTGGGTCTGCCTCTTCCAGTCCACTGGCACAAATGTTAATCTCCTGTGGCAACACCCTCACAGACACACCCAGGAGTGATACTTTGCATCCTTCAATCCAATCAAGTTGATACTTCATATTAACCATCACACTTGTTTTATCTGAGAATCAATTTTCTCATCTTTAAAATGGGAGTAAAATGATTACTTTAAGATTACCACAAGGAAAGCGTATGATGAGCCTAGCTTAATTTTTGTATATAATAGGCAGTGAACAAGGTAATGCCTATTACTTTAGGTTTCCGTGCTGAAACAATAATGTACAAAAAGTTATAATATATACAGATGCAACCTGCTTGGCAAAATAGATGTAAATCTGAAAATTTCTATGTATGTCTACATTTTTGTAACCAATACTGTATTTAAAGGTACTCTTGTGAAGCAGTATTTAAAGTAACACTATAGATAAGCCTATAGTATTACTTTATAGTACCATACATCGGCCTATAGTGAAGTATAGAATAACTTCCCTCCTTCTATTTTTCCCATTTCATAAATCCAGATTGTTAAATATCATGTGTACTTAATGTTGGGTATACCTATATAAACTTGCCTTACAAACAAACTTTGAAGTCAGAGAGATGTATATAAGCCAAAGGTCTTACAGCCTAGAATTGCTTACTTGTGAGAGATGTGTGATCAAAGGGTCAGTCTTTACCACCAGGAATACCTCATTGGCCATCAGAGAAATCTAAAAGGCATGGGACAATCTGAATTTTTACACTTCCATATCAGTGGCAGGAGAAGGGACAGATTATCAGACATGGCATGGTATATGTTCAGTTTTTCATTATAATGGCAAAGTGAATTTTTTACATTTGCATATGGAAAGAAATCAGAAGAACCCAGTAAACTGCCTGGATTTAAATTTGTAAAATCAGTTTACAAATATGTTTAATATGTCCCTTATAGTCACTGTGAAAAGAAGGTTTATGAAAGTATGTTAAATGAAGTTTCTCGAATTCTGGCAAAATTGAAATCTATAGGCGGTGAATCACAGGGTGTGTCAGAGCCACCAGTTGACTCTGAGAATTAAACATGGCAGCACTACACTCTGATCTCATTTGCAACTTGACTTTCTTGACAGAAACTATACTGGGGGATGACAGGTTGTAGAAATGAGACTAACTTGGTGTTTAATTTCTGAGTAAATGAAAGACAAATGTGGGCTTGAGGAGAATAATGCTAAAAGGACACCTCCAATTTATGTTGGGTAGGAAGGGCATATATTGGTATTTTCATTTTACAAACAAAAGCAAAGTTCAGAGTAGTTAACTTTTCTATGGTCACACAGCTATTAAGTTGTACATCTATCCCAGTTATTATTGCTGTGACGTAAACCACCTGAAAATCAAGTGGCTTAAAACCACAACTATTTAATTACATCTTATGTATTACGTGGTGAAGTAACTTGAGAGTGGTCAGCAGGATGATTCTTCTGCTCCTCATAACATTGACTGAGGTCACTTTGTGGTACCTACCTGATGGATGGAATAGTCTAGAACAGGGGTGTCCAACCTTTTGGCTTCCCTGGGCCACATTGGAAGAATTGTCTTGGGCCACACATAAAATTCACTAACACTAACGATAGCCAATGAGCTAAAAAAAACAAATCTGATAATGTTTTAAGAAAGTTTACAAATTTGTGTTGAGCCACATTCAAAGACATCCTGGGCCGTGGCTTAGAAAAGCTTGGTCTAGAGAGTCCAAGGCTGCTCTACTCATGTGTCTGACACCTTGGAGAGGATGACTGGAAGAAGGCTGGTATCAGGTAGGGCTTTTTACCAAAGTGTCTATATGTAGCCTCTCCAACATGGTAACTTCAGGGAAGTCAGACTTCTTAGATGGTAGCTGGCTTCCCCCAGAGAAAGTGCTCCAAGAGAACCAGGAAGAAGTTGTTTGACCTTTTCTAGCATTGTCTACCTCAGCGGTCCCCAACCTTTTTGGCACCAGGGACCAGTTTCGTGGAAGACAATATTTCCCTGGATTAGTTGTGGGGAGGTGGGTAGGGGTAGGGGTAGGAGGCTGGGGATGGTTTCAGGATGAAACGGTTCCACCTCACATCATCAGGCATTAGATACTCATAAGGAGCACACAACCTAGATCCCTTACATGCACAATTTACAATAAGGTTCATGCTCCTCTGAGAATCTATTGCCACTACTCATCTGACAGGAGGTGGAGCTCAGGCAGTAATGCTCACTTGCCAGCCACTCACCTCCTGCCATGCAGCCTAGTTCCTAACAGGCCAAAGATAGGCACTGGTCCACAGCCTGGGGCTTGTGGACCCCTGGTCTACCCACTTTTCAGTTAGACTTTACCCCTTGACTAGGGTGTGTCAAAATCAAATTATAAAAGAAATGTTTTTGGGGACCTTCTTTAGGAAATGCAATGTGTTGTTAATGCCATGACTAAAAATAGGGTCTCATGACTATTAGATTTTCCTAGTTTCTGCTAAATCTCTCTGCTTCATATATATGCAAGTGCGTGCCCAAAGACATACACATGGACATATACAATGACAAACACAGGTACACACAGTATAAGTTAGAATGTAAACTCTAATGTATTTTATTTTTTCTATTTTTGTTTTCTATTTTTGACAGTATATTGTCTATTTCCTATTTTTTTCATTATTGTACTCCCTCAGAAATTAGCATGGTAGGGGCTCAATGCATATTTATGATGTGAGTGGATGAATAAAGATGTGAATATCAAATGTAAGGAAAGTATCCTTAGTATATAACTTCAGTTTTCTGCATAAAAGATGATCAAGGAAATTTGTATTTTGATTAATTTAATTATAGCTATTTTATTTGCATTTTAGAAAATAGTTTGGCTAGTCTTGATTGATACTTCCATGCAATAATAAATAGAAATAATTTGTAATTCTAGAAAATAAAAAATGATTTAGTTTTTCTGTATTCAAATAGTCCTAGGATGAAATCTAGGCATGGGTGCATTTACAAGGTAAAATTTTGATGAGTACCTTCTATGTCCTTGAATAAATTGCTGCATCACAAAGTAACAATTTTGCAGCTTACCATATCTTTTTCTTCAAAGATATGTTAAGTGTCCGTCTACGCTATGAAGCCCTCTATGGATTCCCGGAATTGTAACAATCTACCTTTCCCTTTGTGCTTGGTTTGCATGTTATGATTTCACAATACATAGTGTTTCACTTTGTAATAATTTTAAAGTTATCTCTTAAACTACATGAGAAATACCCTGAAGATAGTCTGGCTTAATTCATGGTAAGAGGAAAAATATATCCTGTCTTCACTTATAAATATTTTTTCTTAGACCGAAAGAAAATCAATTTTTATACTAAAAGTAAATCATGGACTGGGGGCAATACTGAAACAATTTTCAATACAGAGATCTGTTTTAGGGGAGAATTTGTCATGTGTGGTGAAAGGCATGTTTTCTAGGAGGAATAATTAAACTTGGCCTACATTGAAAATGCATGTTCTTATACCCAAGAAAAAAAATGTCACTTTCACAAATGAGCGATGATCTGAAGTCCTTCAAACACACTAGAAAAACTCAGCTTCAAAAAACCACACATAAACAATGAGTAAGTTTCTTGATTAATTCGCTGTTACTATGTTCTTTGAGGCTTATAATTCACCCAGATGAAGTGCCTCTGAGTCAAACAAACTCTTTGTTCACAACTAATTTTGACCCCTGGTTTACAGTCATCACTTTGTTTTTAAGATAAAATGAAAACTGTAGTTCTTAATCATTTTATGACACTGAAAACATTTGATAACATGATCCCAAATTTCTGAGCTTTGAATTATTTTTAATATCCAGAGGGAACACAGCTTGGGACAGAGAGGTGATTTTTGCATTCATGATCTCCAACCCCTGATTTTCCAGATAGGGAAACCAACTCAAAGAGAAGGGGAACATATAAGTACATATATGGACACACACACACACACATACACAGACACACATGCACACATGCACACACATTGGATGAGTATCCATTATCCAAAATGCGTAGGTTCGGAACTGTTTTGGATTTAATTTATTTGAATTTTTGAATACTTTCATATACATACTGACATATTTTGAAGAAGGAACCCAATTTTAATAGCTTGAAGGTCATTTTATACAATATGTCTGATAATTTTGTGCATGAGACAAAGTTTTGATAGCATTTTGACTGTAACCCATTACATGAGGTCAGGTGTGAAATTTTCCTGTTTTGTCATGTTGACACTCAAAAAGTTTTGAATTTTGAAGCTTTCAAATTTAAGATTTTTGGATTAAGGATGCTCTATCTGTATACAGGCATACCTCATGTAATTGTGTTTTGACTTATGGTGCTTTGCAGATTTTGCATTTTTACAAATGAAAAGTTTGTAGCAATCCTGGGTTCAGCAAATCTATTGGCACCAATTTTTTTTTTTTCGACAGCATGTGCTCACTTCAAGTCTCTGTGTCACAACATTTTGGTAATGCTGGTGATATTTCAACCTTTTTTATTATTATTATATCTGTTATGGTGATCTGTGATTACTGATCTTTTCATGTGATGCTTGTAATTGTTTTACGGCCTCATGAACTGCACCTATAGAAGATGTTGAACTTAATCATATAAGATGGTGAACTTAAATAGATAGATGTTGTGTGTTTTCTTACTGCTCCACCAACCAATTGTTCCTCCATCTCTTTACCTCTCCTCAAGTCTCTATATTCCCTGACACACAACAGTATTGAAAGTAAGCTAATTAAAAACCCTACAATGGCCTCTAAGCATTCAAGTGAGAGTTTCACCTTTCTTTAACTCAAAAGCTAGAAATAATTAAGCTTAGTGAGAAAGGCATGTGAAAAGCTGAACTAGGCTGAAACCTAGACCTCTTGTGCCAGTTAGCCAAATTGTGAATGCAAATGACAGGTTCCTGAATAAAATTAAAACTACTACCACAGTGAACAAAAACATGATAAGAGAGCTAAACCACCTATTGCTGATATGAAAAAAGTTTTGGTTATCTGCAGAAGATCAAATCAGCCAGAACATTCCCTTAAGCCAAAACCTAGTCCACATCAAGATCATAACTCTCTTCAATTCTAGGAAGGCTGAGAGAGGTGAGGAGGCTGTGGAAGGAAAGTTTTAAGCCAGCAGGGGTTAGTTCATGAGGTTTAAGGAAAGAAGCCATCTCCTTTGATCCATCTTGAATTAATTTTTGTATAAGGTGTAAGGAAGCGATCCAGATTCAGCTTTCTACATATGGCTAGCCAGTTTTCCCAGCACCATTTATTAAATAGGGAATCCTTTCCCCATTGCTTGTTTTTCTCAGGTTTGTCAAAGATCAGATAGTTGTAGATATGCGGCATTATTTCTGAGGGCTCTGTTCTGTTCCATTGATCTATATCTCTGTTTTGGTACCAGTACCATGCTGTTTTGGTTACTGTAGCCTTGTAGTATAGTTTGAAGTCAGGTAGCGTGATGCCTCCAGCTTTGTTCTTTTGGCTTAGGATTGACTTGGCGATGCAGGCTCTTTCTTGGTTCCATATGAACTTTAAAGTAGTTTTTTCCAATTCTGTGAAGAAAGGCATTGGTAGCTTGATGGGGATGGCATTGAATCTATACATTACCTTGGGCAGTATGGCCATTTTCACCATACTGATTCTTCCTACCCATGAGCATGGAATGTTCTTCCATTTGTTTGTATCCTCTTTTATTTCCTTGAGCAGTGGTTTGTAGTTCTCCTTGAAGAGTTCCTTCACATCCCTTGTAAGTTGGATTCCTAGGTATTTTATTCTCTTTGAAGCAATTGTGAATGGGAGTTCACTCATGATTTGGCTCTCTGTTTGTCTGTTATTGGTGTATATGAATGCTTGTGATTTTTGTACATTGATTTTGTATCCTGAGACTTTGCCGAAGTTGCTTATCAGCTTAAGGAGATTTTGGGCTGAGACAAAGGGGTTTTCTAGATATACAATCATGTCATGTGCAAACAGGGACAATTTGACTTCCTCTTTTCCTACTTGAATACCCTTTATTTCCTTCTCCTGCCTCATTGCCCTGGCCAGAACTTCCAACACTATGTTGAATAGGAGGGGTGAGAGAGGGCATCCCTGTCTTGTGCCAGTTTTCAAAGGGAATGCTTCCAGTTTTTGCCCATTCAGTATGATATTGGCTGTGGGTTTGTCATAGATAGCTCTTATTATTTTGAGATACGTCCCATCAATACCTAATTTATTGAGAGTTTTTAGCATGAAGTGTTGTTGAATTTTGTCAAAGGCCTTTTCTGCATCTATTGAGATAATCATGTGGTTTTTGTCTTTGGTTCTGTTTATATGCTGGATTACATTTATTGATTTGCATATATTGAACCAGCCTTGCATCCCAGGGATGAAGCCCACTTGATCGTGGTGGATAAGCTTTTTGATGTGCTGCTGGATTCGGTTTGCCAGTATTTTATTGAGGATTTTTGCATCAATGTTCATCAAGGATATTGGTCTAAAATTCTCTTTTTTGGTTGTGTCTCTGCCCGGCTTTGGTATCAGGATGATGCTGGCCTCATAAAATGAGTTAGGTAGGAGTCCCTCTTTTTCTATTGATTGGAATAGTTTCAGAAGGAATGGTACCAGTTCCTCCTTGTACCTCTGGTAGAATTCGGCTGTGAATCCATCTGGTCCTGGACTCTTTTTGGTTGGTAAGCTGTTGATTATTGCCACAATTTCAGAGCCTGTTATTGGTCTATTCAGAGATTCAACTTCTTCCTGGTTTAGTCTTGGGAGGGTGTATGTGTCGAGGAATTTATCCATTTCTTCTAGATTTTCTAGTTTATTTGCGTAGAGGTGTTTGTAGTATTCTCTGGTGGTAGTTTGTATTTCTGTGGGATTGGTGGTGATATCCCCTTTATCATTTTTTATTGCGTCTATTTGATTCTTCACTCTTTTTTTCTTTATTAGTCTTGCTAGCGGTCTATCAGTTTTGTTGATCCTTTCAAAAAACCAGCTCCTGGATTCATTAATGTTTTGAAGGGTTTTTTGTGTCTCTATTTCCTTCAGTTCTGCTCTTCAGTTTCTTGCCTTCTGCTAGCTTTTGAATGTGTTTGCTCTTGCTTTTCTAGTTCTTTTAATTGTGATGTTAGGGTGTCAATTTTGGATCTTTCCTGCTTTCTCTTGTGGGCATTTAGTGCTATAAATTTCCCTCTACACACTGCTTTGAATGTGTCCCAGAGATTCTGGTATGTTGTGTCTTTGTTCTCGTTGGTTTCAAAGAACATCTTTATTTCTGCCTTCATTTCGTTATGTACCCAGTAGTCATTCAGGAGCAGGTTGTTCAGTTTCCATGTAGTTGAGCGGTTTTGAGTGAGTTTCTTAATCCTGAGTTCTAGTTTGATTGCACTGTGGTCTGAGAGACAGTTTCTTATAATTTCCGTTCTTTTACATTTGCTGAGGAATGCTTTACTTCCGACTATGTGGTCAATTTTGGAATAGGTGTGGTGTAGTGCTGAAAAAAATGTATATTCTGTTGATTTGGGGTGGAGAGTTCTGTAGATGTCTATTAGGTCCGCTTGGTGCAGAGCTGAGTTCAATTCCTGGGTATCCTTGTTAACTTTCTGTCACGTTGATCTGTCTAATGTTGACAGTGGGGTGTTAAAGTCTCCCATTATTATTGTGTGGGAGTCTCAGTCTCTTTGTAGGTCACTCAGGACTTGCTTTATGAATCTGGGTGCTCCTGTATTGGGTGCACGTATATTTAGGACAGTTAGCTCTTCTTGTTGAATTGATCCCTTTACCATTATGTAATGGCCTTCTTTGTCTCTTTTGATCTATGTTGGTTTAAAGTCTGTTTTATCAGAGACTAGGATTGCAACCCCTGCCTTTTTTTGTTTTCCATTTGCTTGGTAGATCTTCCTCCATCCTTTTATTTTGAGCCTACGTCTAAAACCACAAAAACCCTAGAAGAAAACCTAGGCATTACCATTCAGGACATAGGCATGGGCAAGGACTTCATGTCTAAAACACCAAAAGCAATGGCAACAAAAGCCAAAATTGACAAATGGGATCTAATTAAACTAAAGAGCTTCTGCACAGCAAAAGAAACTACCATCAGAGTGAACAGGCAACCTACAGAATGGGAGAAAATTTTTGCAACCTACTCTTCTGACAAAGGGCTAATATCGAGAATCTACAATGAACTCAAACAAATTTACAAGAAAAAAACAAACAACCCCATCAAAAAGTGGGCAAAGGATATGAACAGACACTTCTCAAAAGAAGACATTTATGCAGCCAAAAAACACATGAAAAAATGCTCACCATCACTGACCCATCAGAGAAATGCAAATCAAAACCACAATGAGATACCATCTCACACCAGTTAGAATGGCAATCATTAAAAAGTCAGGAAACAACAAACAGGTGCTGGAGAGGATGTGGAGAAATAGGAACACTTTTACACTGTTGGTGGGACTGTAAACTAATTCAACCATTGTGGAAGTCAGTGTGGCGATTCCTCAGGGATCTAGAACTAGAAATACCACTTGACCCAGCCATCCCATTACTGGGTATATACCCAAAGGGCTATAAATCATGCTGCTATAAAGACACATGCACACGTATGTTTATTGCGGCACTGTTCACAATAGCAAAGACTTGGAACCAACCCAAATGTCCAGCAATGATGGACTGGATTAAGAAAATGTGGCACATATACACCATGGAATACTATGCAGCCATAAGAAATGATGAGTTCTTGTCCTTTGTAGGGACATGGATGAAATTGGAAATCATCATTCTCAGTAAACTATCACAAGGACAAAAAAACCAAACACCGCATGTTCTCACTCATAGGTAGGAATTGAACAATGAGAACACATGGACAAAGGAAGGGGAACATCAGACTCTGGGGACTGTTGTGGGGTGGGGGGCGGGGGGAGGGATAGCATTAGGAGATATACCTAATGCTAAATGACGAGTTAATGGGTGCAGCACACCAGCATGGCACATGTATACATATGTAACTAACCTGCACATTGTGCGCATGTACCCTAAAACTTACTTAAAGTCTAATAATAATAAAATTATATATATATATATTTGAAAAAGAAAAAAAAAAGAAAGAAGCCATCTCCATAAGGTGAAGCAGCAAGTGCCAATGTAGAAGGTGCAGTCACTTATCCAGAAGATCTAGCTAATGTAAATGGTGAAGATGTCTATGTTAAACAACAGATTTTAAATGTAGATAAAACCACCTTCGGCCAGGTGTGGTGGCTCACACCTGTAATCCCAGCAGTTTGGGATGCCGAGGCGAGTGGACCACCTGAGGTCAGAAGTTTGAGAGCAGCTTTACCAACATGGAGAAACCGTGTCTCTAGTAAAAATACCAAAAAAATTAGCCAGGCTTGGTGACGCATGCCTGTAATCCCAGCTACTTGGGAGGCTGAGGCAGGAGAATTGCTTGAACCTGGGAGGCAGAAGTTGCAGTGAGCCGAGATCGCACCATTGCACTCCAGCCTGGGCAACAAGAGCAAAACTCCATCTCAAAACAAAACAAAACAAAACAAGACAAAACAGCAACAACAACAACAAAAAAAAGAAAAAATGCCTTCTATTGGAAGAAGATGATATCCAAGAGTTTTGCAGCTGCAGAGGAGAAGTCAATGACTAACTTCAAAACTTGAAAGGACAGGCTGACTCTCATTTAAAAGGCAGATGCAGCTGGTGATTTTAAGTTGAAGCCAACGTCCATTTACCATTCTGTCTAAAAATTCCAGGGCCCCTCCAAAATTATGCTAAATCTACTGTGTCTGTGCTCTATAAATAGAACAACAAAGCCTGAATGAGAGCACATCTATTTACGGCATGGTCTACTGAATATTTTAAACCCACTGTTGAGACCTACTGCTCAGGAAATAAGATTTCTTTCAACATATGACTGTTCATTGATAATATACCTGGCCACCCAAGAGCTCTGATGGAGCCATACATAAGATTAATGTTGTTTTCATGCTTGCTAATACAACATTCATTCTGTAGCCCATGAGTCAAAGAGCAATTTTGACTTTCACATTTTATTGTTTATGAAACATATTTCAGAAGACCGTAGCTGCCATGGATTGTGATTCCTGTGATGGATCTGGGAAAAGTAAATTGAAAACCTTCTGAGAAGGAGTCATCATTCTAGATGTCACTAAGAACATCTGTGATTCATAGGAGGCTGTGAAAATATCGATATTAAAAAGAGTTTAAATAAAATTGATTCCAGCACTCATAGATGATTGAGGGATTCAAGGCTTCAGTGGAGAAAGTAACTGCAGATGTGTTGAAAATAATAAAATAACTAAAATGAGAAGTGGAGCCTCAAGATGTGACTGGATTGCTAATCTCATAATAAAGCCTCAGTGGATGAAGGGTTGCTTCTTACAGATGAGCAAAGTTGTTTCCTGAGGTGGAAACTAGTTCTGGTGAAGCTGCTGTGAGCATTGTTGAAGTGACAATAAAGGATTTAGAATGTTCCATAAACTTAATTGGTAAAGTAATGGCAGGGTTTAAGTGCATTGACTCCAATTTTGGAAGAAGTGCTAATGTGGTTAAAATGCTATCAAATAGCATCACATGCTATAGAGAAATCTTTCATGAAAGGAACAGTCTATGAGGCATGATTCATTTTTGTTTTAGTTTAGGAAATTGCACAGTCACCCCAACCTATAGCAACCACCATCCTGATAGTCAGCAGCCATCAATATCAAGGCAAGACTCTCCACCAGCAAAAATATGATGACTATCTGAAGGCTCAGTTGGTTGTCAGCATTTCTTTTTTTTTTTTTTTGAGATGGAGTTTCGCTCTTCTTGCCCAGGCTCAAGTGCAATAGTGTGATCTTGGCTCACTGCAACCTCTGCCTCCCAGGTTCAAACGATTCTCCTGCCTCAGCCTCCCAAGTACCTGGGACTACAGGCACGTGTCACCATGCCTGGCTATTTGTTTTCTGTATTTTTAGTAGAGACGGGGTTTCACCATGTTAGTCAGGCTAGTCTGTAACTCCTGACCTAAGGTGATCCACCCCTCTTGGCCTCCTGAACTGCTGGGATTACAGGTGTGTGCCACCGCGCCTGGCCTAGCATTTTTTATCAATAAAGTATTTTTAATTAAGTACATTTTTACACATCTATTGCACACTTAATAGACTGGAAAAGTATGGGCATGTAAAATTTCACATGCATTGGGAAATCAAAGTTTGTGTGACTCAATGTATTGTGGTATTTGCCTTTGTGGTGGTCTGGAAACAACCCACAATATCTCTGAGGCATGCCTGTGTTTATGTGTGTGTGTGTGTGTGTACATATATATGTATACACACGTGTGTGTATGTATACACACGTGTGTATACGTATACACACGTATACACACATATACACACATATTATCTGGAGAAGATCAAATCAGCCAGAACATTCCCTTAAGCCAAAACCTAGTCCACATCAAGGTAATAACTCTCTTCAATTCTAGGAAGGCTGAGAGAGGTGAGGTATTTATACACATACATGCATATATATATGTATGCACACACACATATGCATACATATACATGCATGTATGTGTATGAATACATGTATACATATATACATGTATATATACATATATGTATGTATATGTGTACATATATGCACACACATATACATATATACATACATATGTATGTATATGTGAACATATTTTTATATATATTTGTGTGTGTATATATATATAAAACATAGCTAGTCTGTAGTAGAAATAGAACACATGTTTCTAAACTCATGCTGGGCTTATCCCAAGTCCATCAAAACTGCTAAAGGTTTGTTAAAATTTTTCATTTTAATAGAGTGGTCTTAGTCACAGTCATACAAATGTCAAATATCACATGTTTAATATAAAAATAACACCATATTGTAAAGTATATCATGCATCTTATTTTGACAGGTTTTTAAAAACTGTTTTGGTTAAGATTGTGACCTGGGCCTGTAGTATTCTTTATTGTTTATGCTGCATCATTAGAAACATGAATGTCACTGATTTAGGTGGCACGAGGGAGAGGGACGGCTGGAAAATAGGACAGATGAGAAGAATTATTGAACTGCACCAGACCAAGGAGGATTCATCAAGAGAATAATGATTATTTATGAGGCAACTCTCAAGTACTCCCACTTTTCACCTACTAGTAGTATATAAATTTAAGGTAAGTCACCTCACTGTGGACATAGAAAAACAAAGAACATTTTATTGTCAATTGGACATACTTGAATACGTATTCATCATAATTTACTCTAAGTTCATATCTCACATACATTTTTAAGGAAAAAATGTAGATGTTTATAAATTTATTTTTATAAATAATTTTGCTTTTCTCATTACAGGTAGTAGATATTAATTGTAAAATTAAAAACATGTATATTTACAATAATAAAACTTAGTTATTAAGCTCAATAATATTTTAGAGCCATTACATCTAGTCTTTTTATAATATATTCACAGAGGTATGCATATACATGCATCCACACATGAACATATATTATTTAAATGTTATTAAAATGTTATAACTTGCTGTTTAGGGTCTAACATGATATTTTTAGTATTTCCCAGGTCATTGGAAATTCTAAGTAACATTGTGATGAATATATACAAGACCATAATATAATATCACGGGTTCTTTACCCATTCTTCTACTGTTGGATATCTAACTTGCTTCTCAATTTTCTATTGTCAACACTGTTGTTGTTACAATTTTGGTATATTAATTATTTTATGTTTCTGATTATTTATTTAAAGTATTTTCCTCCAAATTACTGATGTCGTTTTTAAGGTTTCTGACTGATCTCAGCTTTGCGGTTATGATACGAAGCTCAGGTATTAAGCTGATTTGCTCACATTTTCAGTATGCTTCCACCAAATCAGCTTAGGCTACTGTGGCCAAAAGACCTAGGTTTCAGCCACAGGTATGGTTAAATGCATGACTTTTAGCAATTGTTTTTTGTAATTGTTTTAGATTGATAATTCTTTCTCCCTAACAATTCTACATATTATATTAAGAAATGCCATATTTCAAAAAATGATGCTGAATTTAAACATACCCTAAAAGAATAGATTTAGATGGCACACATCATACTTTCTCTCTTACTTTTTGATAATGGATCATAATTTAAAACTTTTTTGTTCACTTTCAGAAGACTAGTCCAAGCATTAAATTTAGGATTGAACTAGACAGCCCCAAGTTTTACTGAATGACTGAGTGTGATGGTTAATACTGAGTGTCAACTCGATTGAAGAATGCAAAGTACTGATCCTGGGTTTGTCTGTTGGGGTGTTGCCAAAGGAGATTAACATTTCAATCAGTGGGCTGGGGAAGACAAACCCACCCTTAATCTAGTGAGCACAATCGAATCAGCTGCCAGCGAATATAAAGCAGGCAGAAAAACCTGAATAAGAGAGACTGGCCTAGCCTCCCAGCCTACGTCTTTCTCCCAGGCTGGATGCTTCCTGTCCTCAAACATCAGACTCCAGGTTCTTCAGTTTCGAAATTCAGACTGGCTCTCCTTGCTCCTCAGTCTGAAGACAGCCTATTGTGGGACCTTGTGATCATGTGAGTTAATACTTAGTAAACTCCTACATATATATATATATATATATATATATATATATATATATATATATATATATATATATATATTCATTAGTTCTGTCCCTCTAGAGAACCCTGACTAATACAAATTTTGGTACCAGGAGTGGCTCTAGAGGAATAGAATATTAAGGATGGACTTTTTTCGTTGGTTTTGAGGTTTCTGGAGTTGACTGCTTAATACAATTAGACCTAAAAATGCTAAGGACTCTACTTCTAATAGTATGCAGAACACTGACAGTCCTTGGCATGAACTGTTTAGAGAGTTATGCAAAATAAATGCATTTGACACTCCTGATTCATTGCTCATGGGAGGCAAGGAGTTTAGTGACTCTATACATAATATGTTTGACCATATGTGGAGAACCAAGAAACATAATGAAGCTGGCTGGTTGCTCCTAAGTTCAGTAGACAAAGTGATGAAAGAAAATGATGAACTCGGGGATTCTATCCCTGAATTCAGAAGCAGATACTGAGCCTCAAATTCTCTAAGATTGCCCTGAGCGAGAGTCTCATCTCCTGTGGAAAAACAGCAGAAATTGTGGAAAAACAGACACAAGCTCTTATCATGCAAGTAGCTGATCTGTAAGGAAAGGTGTATGCACAGTCTTGCCAGGTGTCTATTGTTAAAGTGAGGACATTGATTGGAAAAGAATGGGACCCTGCAACTTGGAATGGGGACATGTCCCCCAATGAAGCTGGGGACACTGAGTTTTGTAAACTCTGATGAACCTTTTTTTGCCAGAAGAAACAGCTTCCCTATCCCCAGTAGTGGCAACGTCCCCTCCCTGACCCATGCTGCCATCAGCCTTCATCCTTGTCGGAGGAGATAAACCCTGTGCTGCCTGAGGCAACAGTGATGGCCTCCTCTGAGGCAGTTGTCAGGCAAGATAATGTTGATTCTCCTCAGGACTCATCTCCAACACCCCTGTTTGCTTCTAGACCTACAACTAGACTAAAGTCCAGGCAGGACCCTAGAGGTGAGGGTCTGAGTGTGACCCATGAGGAGGTGTGCTACGCTTGAAAATAACTGCTTCAGTTTTCTAATTTATATAAACAGAAATCTGGGGAACAGGTATTGGAATGGATATTAAGGGTGTGGGATAATGGTGGAAAGAACATAGAGTTGGATCAAGCTGAATTTATTGATTTGGACCTGCTAAGTAGGAACTCTGCATTTAATGTCACAGCTCAGGGAGTTAAAAAAAGATTCTAATAGTTTATTTTCTTGGTTAGCTGAAATATGGACTAAAAGATGTCCCATTGTGAGCGAGCTGGAAATGCCTGATCTCCCTTGGTTTTATGTAAAGGAAGGGATCCAAAGGCTTAGGGAGATTGGGATGGTGGAATACATTAGTCACTTTAGACCTATTCATCCCAGCTGAGAGGTCCAGAAGATATACCCTTGACCAATACCTTCTGAAATAGATTTTTGAGGGCAGCACCTGCATCTTTGAAGAGCCCTGTAATTGCTCTTCTCTGTATGTCAGATCTAACATGGGAACTGCAGTCACTGAACTTCAAAATTTAAATACAATGGGAATGATTGGATCCCAAAGTGGCAGTGGCCAAGTTGCAGCACTCAACTGTCAAAAGCAAGGTGGGCGTAGCTACCATAATAGACAGCAGAGGCAAAGCAGCAATCAGAATAGTCTGACTCAGGTAGAGCTCTGGCTTTGGTAATTAATTACAGTGTTCCTAGAAGTGAAATTGATAGGAAGCCTACTGCATTCCTACTTAATTTATGTAAGCAGAAAACGTCTAGGTTGAGTAGACAAAAGGCTAATTTGAATTATAAAAACAAACAGAATCATGACCCTTCAATCAATTTCCAGACTTGAGCAAGTTTGCAGACACAGAATCCCTTGAATGAAGAAAAGGCCAGGTCCCCTTGAGGAAGGACACCACTACATTACCAACAACTTATGCAGTGAATCTTTCTCCCACCCTTCCCCAAGGAGACCTCTGGCTTTTTACCTGAGCACATTTGCATTGGAAAGGGAAATGATCAGACATTTCGGGGACTACTAGACACTGGCTCTGAGCTGATGTTGATTCCAGTGGATGCAAAATATCATTGTGGTCCCCCAGTTAAAGTAGGGGCTTATTGAGGTCAGGTAATTAATGGATTTTTACCTCAGATCCAACTTACAATGGGTCCAGTGGGTCCCCAGTCTCCTCCTGTGGTCATTTATCCAGTGCCAGAATGCATAATTGGCATAGACATACTTAGCAGCTGGCAGAACCCACCCCCCGTTGGCTTCCTGACTGGGAGAGTGAGGGCTATTATGATGGGAAAGGCCAAATGGAGGCCATTAGAGGTGTCTCTACCTAGAAAGATAGTAAATCAAAAACAATATCACATCCATGGAGGGACCGTGGAGATTAGTGTCACCTTCAAGGAGTTGAAAGATGCAGGAGTAGTGATTCCCACCATATTCCTGTTTAACTCTCCCATTTGGCCTGTGCAGAAGACAGATGGAACTTGTGGATCTTGGAGAATGACAGTGGATTATTGTAAGCTTAACCAAGTGGTGACTCCGACAGTAGCTGCCGTATTAGATGTGGTTTCATTGCTTGAGCAAATTTACACATCTCCTGGTACCTGGTATGTAGCCAATGACTTGACAAATGCCTTTTTCTCCATTACTGTTCATAAGGCCCACCAGAAGCAATCTGCCTTCAGCTGGCAAGGCCAGCAATATACCTTTACCGTCCTACCTCAGGGGTATATCAAGTCTCCAGCTTTGTGTCAATCTTATTCAGAAAGAGCTTGATCGCTTTTCACTTCCACAAGGTATCACACTGGTTCATTCCATTGATGACATTATGCTGATTGGATCCAGTGAGCAAGAAGTAGCAAACACACTGGACTTATTGTGTGTCAGAAGATGGAAAATAAATCTGACTAAGATTCAGGGATCTTCTACCTCAGTAAAATTTCTAGGGGCCCAGTGGTGTGGGGCCTGTTGAGATATTCCTTCTAATGTGAAGGATGAGTTTGGTGCATTTGGCGCCTCCTACGACCAAGAAAGAGGCACAATGCCTAGTGGGCCTGTTTGGATTTTGGGGCAACACATTTCTCATTTGGGTGTGTTACTCCAGCCCACTTATTGAGTGACCCAAAAGGCTGTCAGTTTTGAGTGGGGTCCTGAATAGAAGAAGGCTCTGCAACTGGTCCAGGCTGCTATGCAAGCTGCTCTGCCACTTGGGCCATATGACCCAGCAGATCCAATGGTGTTTGAAGTATCAGTGGCAGATTGGGATGCTGTTTGGAGCCTTTGGCAGGGTCCCATAGGTGAGTCACAGCAGAGGCCTCTAGGATTTTGGAGCAAGGTCCTGCCATCTTCTGCAGATAAGTACTCTCCTTTTGAGAGACAGCTCTTGGACTGTTACCGGGCTTTAGTGGAAACTGAACGTTTGACTATGGGTCATCAAGTCACCATGTGACCTGAATTTTCTATCATTAACTGGGTGCTTTCTGACCCATCTAGCCACAAAGTGGGTCATGCACAGCACCATTCCTTCATCACATGGAAGTGGTATACACGTGATTGGTCTCGAGCAGGTCCTGAAGGCACAAGTAAGTTATATGAGGAAGTGGCTCAAATGCCCATGGTCTCCACTCTTGCCACCCTGTCTTCTCTCCCTCAGCCTGCACCAATGGTCTCATAGGGAGTTCCCTATGATCAGTTGACAGAGGAAGAGAAGACTAGGGCCTGGTTCACAGATGGTTCTGCACGATATGCAGGCACCATCCGAAGGTGGACAGCTGCAGCACTACAGCCCCTTTCTAGGACATCCCTGAAGGAGAGCGGTGAAGGGAAATCTTCCCAGTGGGCAGAAGTTCGAGCAGTGCACCTTGTTGTGCATTTTACATGGAAGGAGAAATGGCCAGATGTGCGATTATATACTGATTCATGGGCTATAGCTGATGGTTTGGCTGGATGATCAAGGACTTGGAAGAAGCATGATTGGAAAATTGGTGACAAATAAATTTGGGGAAGAGATGTGTGGATGGACCTCTCTGAGTGAGTGGCCAAAAACTGTGAAAATATTGGTATCCCGTGTGAGTGCTCACCAACGGGTGACCTCAGCAGAGGAGAATTTTAATAATCAGGTGGATGAGATAAGCCATTCTGTGGACACCACTCAGCCTCTTTCCCCAGCCACCCCTGTCATTGCCCAATGGGCCCATGAACAAAGTGGCCATGGTGGCAGAGATAGAGGTTACGAATGGGCTCAGCAACATGTACTTCCACTCACCAAGGCTGACCTGGCTACAGCCACTG
Source organism: Homo sapiens (assembly GCF_000001405.40). Classification (NCBI taxonomy): domain Eukaryota; kingdom Metazoa; phylum Chordata; class Mammalia; order Primates; family Hominidae; genus Homo; species Homo sapiens. The sequence continues at coordinate 142,920,641 of NC_000023.11, forward strand.
CTGATGCCCAATTTGCCAGCAGCAGAGACCAACAATGAGTACTTGATATAGCACCATTCCTTGGGGTGATCAGCCGCTACCTGGTGGAAGGTTGATTATATTTGACCTCTTCCGTCATGGAAAGGGCAGAGGTTTGTCCTCATTGGAATAGACTCTTATTCTGGATATGGGCTTGGCTATCCTGTACACAATGCTTCTGCAAAGAATACAATTCGTGGACTCACAGAATGCCTTATCCACCATCATGCTATTTCCCATAGCATTGCCTCTGACCAAGGCACTCACTTTACAGCTAAAGAACTGTGGCAATGGGCTCGTGCTCATGGAATTCACTAGTCTTATCATGCTCCCCATCATCCTGAAGCAGCTGGATTGATAGAATGGTGGAATGGCCTTTTGAAGTCACAATTACAATGCCAACTAGGTGACAATACTTTGCAGGGCTGAGGCAAAGTTCTCCAGAAGGCTATGTATGCTCTGAATCAGCATTCAGTATATGGTACTGTTTCTCCTATAGCCAAAGGATTCATGGTTCCAGGAATCAAGGGGTGGAAGTGGAAGTGGCACCACACACATCATTGCTAGTGATCCACTAGCAAAATTTTTGCTTCCTGTTCCTGCCACATTACATTCTGCTGGTCTAGAGGTCTGAGTTCTGGAGGGAGGAACACTGCCACCAGGAGACACAACAACAATTCCATTAAACTGGAAGTTACCATTGCCGCGTGGACACTTTGGGCTCCTCCTACCTTTAAGTCAACAGGCTAAGAAGGGAGTTACAGTGTTGGCCAGGATGATTGACCTGGACTATCAAGATGAAATCAGTCTACTACTCTATAACGGAGGTAAGGAAGATTATGCATGGAATATAGGAGATCCCTTAGGGGATCTCAGTATTACCATACCCTGTTATTAAAGTCAATGTGAAACTACAACAGCCCAGTCCAGGAAGGACTACAAATGGTCCAGACCTCTCAGGAATGAAGGTTTGGGTCACACCACCAGAAAAAAAAAAAAAAAAATGACCAGCTGAGGTGCTTACTGAAAGCAAAGGGAATGCAGAATGAATGGCTAGTAGAAGAAAGTAGTAATCAATACCAGCTATAACCACGTGACAAGCTGCAGAAATGAGGACTGTAACTGTCATGAGTATTTCTTCCTCCTTTTCTTAAAAACATATTTGTGCATGTACACACTTGTACTAAGAAAATATCTTCACTTTATTTCCTTTTCCTTTATCATGTGACATAAGATTTATTGACTTCATATCAGCATTTACATATTGATAACTTCATGTAATGGTATTTGCATTGGGGATTGGTGCATTTCTGGTTGCATGAAGGAGAATTGTATTATGTTAGTTATAATTATGGCCTTATCGTCCTTATTTGAAGATTGTGTATGATCTCAGGAGATGTGTATTGGTTCAAGTTGACAAGGGATAGACTTGTGATGGTTAATACTGAGTGTCAATTTGTTCGAAGGATGCAAAGTACTGATCCTGGGTGTGTCTGTGAGGGTGTTGCCAAAGGAGGTTAACATTTGAGTCAGTGGGCTGGGGAAGGCAGACCCACCCTTAATGTGGTGGGCACAATCTAATCAGCTGCTAGAAAATATAAAGTAGGCAGAAAAAAGCAAAAAGGAGAGACTGGACTAGCCTCCCAGCCTGCATCTTTCTCTGGTGCTGGATGCTTCCTGCCCCCAACATCGGACTCCAAGTTCTTTAGTTTTGGATCTCAGACTGGCTCTCCTTGATCCTCAGCCTGCAGACAGCCTATTGTGGGACCTTCTGATCATGTAAGCTAATACCTAATAAACTCCCATATATATATATATATATATATATATATATATATATATATATATATACACACACACACACACATACATATATATGTGTATATATATACACATATATATGTATGTGTATATATACACATATATATGTATGTGTATATATACACACATATGTGTGTGTATATATACACACATATGTGTGTGTATATATATACACACATATGTGTGTGTATATATATACACACATATATATGTATGTGTGTGTATATATATATCATATAACATATATACATGTTCCATTAGTTCTGTCCCTCTAGAGAACCCTGACTAATACACTGAGCTAATTGCAGCTCATTTTAAAGTTTTTTTTTAAATCAAGACAAGAGTAGGAGGTTTTTTTTTATCAACACACTTTGGGTCTTAGATTCAGAAGAACATCTACAAACACAATCAAATCCTAGGATTTCTGCCACTTCACTGTAACAATTTCTCAACCTTTCTTCCCCTAGATCATCCAGAAGCCAGAAGCTTATCTTGCAAGTAAGATCTGCTTACAGACCCAACGGCAGCTTCTAGTTTGTCTTTCCTGAGCATCTTTCCACTTTAAAGAGGAAAGAAAGACAAGTAATATGCACTAAGTGTATACCAGGTGTTCTCCCATATGTAACTTCATCCTCAGGTTTCCCCTGAAAAGTAAAGATTATCAGTGGCTTTATCAGAGGAGGAAACTGAGGAATTGAGGTTTTGAAGTAACCTCTGCAACAACACTCAGGTAGCAAGTAGCAGAATGTGTCTGACTCCTCAAGCTGTTTTTTGATGCACGACACGGAGATGTCTCTAAGCTCCTGACAGTTTTTCTTCTCTGCTTTCAAGTCCTGTTTCTTTGGAAGCCTCTGAACCAGAAATAGAGAGATTACTGTCACACTGTGTCTACCCCACTGTCTGCTGCTCACCCACCAAGTCAGCCTTTCCAAACTGGCACTCCCTTCATCCTTCTTGTCATGCTGCAGACTGAAATAGAAAATATGGTGGGATTTAAATAATTTTCCTTGCATATTTTCCATAGAACTAGGTTTGTTAAGATAGTGAAAAAAGATGATAGAAAAAAAATACTGCTTAACTTCCTCATGAATTCAGCTTATAGATTAAGCACATGTTTAAATCTGTGTGTCTCAGGGAACACAAGGAATTCTAATCCCACTTAACATGCACTTGATACACATTTGAAAAATTGTTCTTATTAAATTATGAATATAAACTCATGCATTAGAACATACACAGATCTTCATAGTATAGAAAAATGACTTCTAAACATTATAGAACTTAGTATAGTAGCAGAATTTCCATTATTGTTAAAGATCTGAAACTAATTTATTATATAATTTAGTTTCTTTCCGTCTTCTGTGTTTCCTTTGTTTTTCCTTCCATTTTTTTTTTTTTTTTTTTTTTTTTTGTCCTGAAAACATTTAGTAAGTAGGCCCTGTGTCAGGGCTTGAGAACAATGAGGAGACTAAGTTAGGACATTTACCAAAATTCACCCTGTCAACATTTTAGGGGAACATTCATCATTCATAATTGTCAAACATTCATGGAGACAGTAACACCTAGGATTTGTTTAGTATGTTTAATCACAATTAATTAACAAAGTCATTCAATCTTTTTTTTTTGATATGGAGTCTCGCTCTGTCGCCCAGGCTCGAGTGCAGTGGCGCGATCTCGGCTCACTGCAAGCTCTGCCTCCTGGGTTCACGCCATTCTCCTGCCTCAGCCTCCCAAGTAGCTGGGACTACAGGCGCCCGCCACCACGCCCGGCTAATTTTTTGTATTTTTAGTAGAGATGGGGTTTCACCATGTTAGCCAGGATGGTCTCCATCTCCTGACCTCGTGATCCACCCGCCTCGGCCTCCCAAAGTGCTGGGATTACAGGCATGAGCCACCGCGCCCGGCCGTCATTCAATCTTAATAACCACAAAAAGTAGGGCCTCTTATACTCATTTAACTGATGAGGAAACTAAAGTTCAGATAATTTTAGTGACTTTCCATAGATCACACAGCAAGCAAGAGGTGGAGTCAAATTAGAATGCTAGTCTGCCTGACTCCAACGTCTGTGGTGAATTATATACCAACCACGGTCTTTATTTCCCTTTATGCCATAATATTTTTTTCTTGTTTAACTAATTAAACAAACATATTATTTTAGTTACAGAACATTAGATTTAGAAAATCAAGAACCCTTAGGAAAATATTACATTAGTGTTTTTAATCATAAAACATAACCTAATTAAATCCACTTATCAAACATACATAATTGAAATAAAGAATACCAAGTAGAAGAAAGTCATTTTATTCAATTGAAAAAACATTTATGGTATCCTATGGGCAAAACACAATTGAGAATATAAAGATTAAAAAGCCATGGACCCCCAGGACTTGGAGCTTGGAGTCTGACTGGGGAGTCAGAGGCATATAAATGACTTCAGTAACAAAGCTAATGATTTTAAATACAGTAAAAAGAGGTTCAGAAAACATCATGTGGGATTTGTAGGAAAAGACATATTAGGTCTCCACAGGAACAATTGAGTTATACTTTTTAAAGGGCATTGGATCTAATATTAATTAATTTTTTAATTAATAAATATTGCTTGAATAAATAGGCAAAAGCCATAGGAGACAGGGTGAACTGTTTGAGCAAAGGTCAAACCTAGTGCTTTTCGACTCTTTTCATTCATGGTCACCAATCTGTAGATGACTAAACATGGCAAAATGATCAAATATCGTTATCTAATTTCTCAATAATGACAACATTAAAATTAGAGTGAATATTTAATCACATCAGTAGGCAAGAGATACCAACAAATTCCTTGCACACAGAAAGCATTAAGAGGTGATGTCCGATGAAGCAGGACAGGAGGAATCATATTATACAAACCCATTCTCATAATAATCTCATCAATTAGAATCACAGAGAAGCTCATGATTCAGCAGATGTCAATGGTTGGAGGACTGGGAAATTAATGATAAACATGCCACTTGATCAATCAAACATCCTTTTTCCTTTACTGAAACTATGATATTTACCGTAGCCAAACACATACCCACTAGGTAAAAAGAGAGAGAGAGAGAGAGAGGGCGGGGAGAGGGGAGATGCAAGAAAGAGGAGGTAATTCCTTTTAAAATAATTAAACAGCCCTAGAGAAAATTTCTCTTTGTTCCTGGCAATAATCTGTCTCCTGGTTTAATAATCCACCATTCCTCAAGCCCTGCCCAAGGGTAGAAACAGGTACAGGGCTGAAGACAGTAATATTAAGTCAAAGTCTGCATAAGAAAGAGTTGGAAAACTAACCTCACTCCTCTGTTAGACTCGCAGAATTCCTGCAATCAATTGCATAGCCTGTAGGCAAGTTAGCCCTGTGTAATATGGGCATGTCACTTGACCTTCCCAAACCTAATTTTTCTGACCTGTAAACTGAAAAATATAATATATAACCTCTCTATTAAAGAAACTTCATTAAATCTGATGTGACAAATATTTCATTAGAATTATCATATGCTAACATAACATGGAGGAATTAGAATACATAGACTCTGAGTTTGTGAACATCGGGGTGCCATGTGCAGAAGAAGAGTGAAACTAGACCCCTATCTCTCAACATATACAAAAATCAATTCAAAATGGATTAAATGCTTAATATAAGACCAGAAACTATAAAAGTTCTACAAGAAAATTTAGGGGAAACTCTTTTGGACATTGGTTTAGGCAGAGACTTTATGTCTAAGACCTCTGAAGCACAGGCAACAAAAACAGAAATAGACAAATGGGACTTCATTAAACTAAGAAACTCCTGCACAGCAAAAAGAACAATCAACAGAGTTAATGGATAACATGAAGAATGGGTGAAAATATTTGTAAACTATTCATCCAACAAGGGACTAATGGCCAGAATATACAAGAATCTCAAACAACAACAGGAAAAAAAAAACCAAATAATCCCATAAAAAGGTGGGAAAGGACATTAATAGACATTCTTCAAAATAAGACATACAAATGACAGACGGGTATATCGAAAAATGCTAAACATCACTAATCATCAGAGGATGCAAATCAAAATCACAATGAGATATCATCTTACCCCAGTTAGAATGGCTAATATTACAAAAGACAAAAAATAATGCATGGTGGCGAGGATGCGGGAACTCTTACACACTTGGGTTGGAATGTAAACTAGTACAGACACAATGGAAAAGAGAAAGAAGATTTCTTAAAATACTAACAATAGAACTACCATATGATCCAGCAATCCCATTACTGGGTATCTATCTAAAGAGAAAAAATAAATCAATATCTCAAAGGAATAACTGCATTCACATGGTTATTGCATAAGTATTCACAATAGAAAAGACATGGAATCAACCTAGGTGCCCATCAACGGATGAATGGACAGAGAAAATGTGGTGTATATACACAATGGAATACTATCAGGCCATAAAAAATGATATCCTGTCCTTTTCAGCAACATGGATGGAACTGGAGGTTATTATATTAAATGAAGTAAGCTGGGCACAAAAAGACAAATATCACATATTATCTATCACTTTTATGTGGGAGCTAAAAAAATTTGATCACATGGAGGTGGATTGTGGAAAGACAGATAACAGAGACTGGGAAAGGTGAGTGGGGAAGGGGAAGGATGAGAAGTGTGTGAAAGGACACAAACATGTGGTCAGACAGAAAGAATGAATTCAATGTTTGATATAGACTAGAGTAACTATAGTTAACAAAATTGTATTGTAGTTGGATGATGGACACCTTAAACACCATAAATTCACCACTGCATATTATATACAAGTAACAAAATTTTACATGTACCCAGTAAATTTGCACAAATACAATTTTTTAACAGAAAAACAAATTATGCAACTTTTCAAGAAATTAATATTGTACGTATGAAAAATACAGGGTATCATTGATTAAGACATATTTTAAACTACCTTCCAAACAGTTTAGAGTTGATTGTATCTAAGCTAATATTTGAGCTGGGCCTTCAGCATTGGTGTAAGATTTAATGAAGAAGACTATACATGGTATAGACAAAAGCACAGGGATAAAAATATTCCAAATGAGTTTGGAAATTAGCTTGAATGGAGTGAGTTTTCACAAAGAAGGAAATGGAATCAGATTGAAAGGGTAGATGAGGAAAGGTGATGCCATTATTTTATAGATTCAGACCAAAATATACATATTTTGCCTGAAGTTACTGGAAGATTGATTGCGGCAGAGTAGAGTTTCATGAGATGAGGACCCTGTTAATAAATAAAGTTTAAGCAGTCTGAGGATTAGATGGGTAAATCCAGACCAATAATCGAATCCTTCATATTTGAGCAAGCTCTCCCACTCTATAATATATATCCATTTGTGTTAACATTATTTATTTATTTGTTTTTGAGTTTTGCTCTTGTTACCCAGGCTGAAGTGCAATGGCATGATCTTGGCTCACCGCAACCTCCGCCTCCCGGGTTCAAGCGATTCTCCTGCCTCAGTCTCCTGAGTAGCTGGGATTACAGGCATGCACCACCACGCCTGGCTAATTTTGTATTTTTCCGTAGAGATAGGGTTTCTCCATGTTGGTCAGGCTGGTCTCAAACTCCCGACCTCAAGTGATCTGCCCGCCTCGGCCTCCCAAAGTGCTGGGATTACAGGCATGAGCCACCACGCCTGGCCCATTTGTGTTAACATTAAACAATCGTTATGAGAATGTTCACAATAGCTGGCCTTTATTGAGAGTGTCAACAAAATTGGCCCTAAAATCGTTTTTTGTTTTTTTTTTTCCTCACCCACTGCAGTGGCACAGAGACCCTAAGGAACACTCCCTCCTAATGCGGGTACCATTGATCCGCAAATTCTCTCTGGGCTCCACCTTCTGTGTTCATCCTTTCAAACTGTCCAGTCCATCCTGTCTGTCTCCATTTCCAGGATGTTTACTGCTAGAGCTTTTCTAACCACTTTGTCCCTTGGAATGATGCTTTGGATTAGTTCCTAAGTCTCCAACCTGGCTTCACCTGAGGTACTATATTGTGCTTTTTCCCCTTGCGTTCAGAAATGAGAGTCAACCCCACTTCTGCCTTAGCCTCCAGTTCCTACTGCCAGCCCATACAGAGCCCCAGTTCTCCTCTTTACTGGAGTGGGGCGTTCAAACACTGACTCTTCCCTTACTTAATGTTAGGCCTCCTGCTAGGTGCTTTAAGCAAGTAATTGTTATTAACATTCACAACAGTTATGTCATGTCAATTTAATTATTTCCATCTTCCAGGTGAGAAAATTAGGTTAAGTTAAATGTTTTAACCATGTGTCCAGTCACACGGCAAGTAAACTGGATTCCAAATGAAGTCTGCCACACTCCATAGCCTGAACTCTTTCCAACTCATCACATTACCTTTACCTTGGGGGTTTTCTTTACCATGCACACTGTTTGGATTTTAAAGATATTGATCATGTAGTGTTGGTTGCAGGAAAAACCACTTCAATCACTTCAACTACTTATCTTGGAATATTATCTTCAGTCAGCTCATCATTTAGTTGCTCTTTTCTGGCCATAATACACAGTGAACTGTATATCCATTTGATCCCCTATGACTATATACCTATATGAAGATATAGATATAGTTGGCTCTATTTATCATTCCCCTGAAACATACTATTGATTTGTTGAAAATAACTAATAATACTTTTAACAATTGCACTCATTAATAATGTGGCGTAGCTAAAGCACATTATTAGGATGGTAATTTGGGTCTATGGGTAAATAGAGAATATTCTAATGTTAGCATCATTTTCTTTAAATTTACCTTGGTTGCTGTGCTTTGAAATCAATGAGAAGAGAAACAAACAAATAACATATATGGTGTTGCACAGCATTAAAGACAAAATGTGCTATAAACAAAGACTGCATATTTTAAAACAGGGTGAAGGAGCAATTTTCTTTAAAAGCCAATAATTCGCTACTAACTACTAAGGGAAGAAGCTGTTCCTTTGTTGGCCCGTCTTCATTGCCAATCTATTTTTCTAAAACTGCAAGTACTTACATAAAATTAAATACAAAGGAGTTCAAGAACATCTTTGGATTTCAAATTCAAAAGATAGCTCATTATATGTATAATGATTTTGTCCTACAAGGTCACCTAGTAATTTTTTTTTCATTTTAATTAAAAAGCAAGACTATTGAGGGGCCTATACTAGGGCAAAGTCTCTTTGGATATGTTGCCATAACTCAAAGCACACATAACGGCCTGCTTCAGTATGTCAGGGAAAGAGGCCACCTGAGAAAGGCAGAGTGAATGCATATTTCAGAATACTCCTAATATGCAGAGGAAAAAAGAGGAAAAAAGGAAAAAAATCAGTCTCACCCAACAAAGGCTAAAAGCTAGACTTTCTCTAGCTTGTAAGACAGGACCAAGGGTTTCGCACTTAATTTTGCTTGACAATATTTTTATGAGAGAAGTCCAAATCAAAACAATGGAATGAAATGGTTAAGAGAAAGAAAATAGCATTGTAGTTCATCTTGATTATTGTCGACTATACGAAACAAGGTTCTTCTCTGAAGAAGGCATTTTATGAGTGGCATATTTATTTAAAAGTGCACTTGATACAGAAAGCTGACTATATCAAGCATTGTTTGAAGGGCAGAGCACCAATTTTAAATCTAATTTAAAACCACCGGATTTGGTTCGATGTTATTAAAGGTTACAAAATGTGATTTATAAATAGTTCATGATTCATGTCCTTAGGTTAGTTTTTGATTTGTTTATTTTTGCTACTGTTTTACAGCGCTAGCATATGACTGCTAAAATTCTGTTTTTATATGTTATAAAATAAATTTGCATAATAAGAAAGCTTATCACAGGAGAAAACCAATGGTTAGACTACTAAGTAAGTGCACTTGATGTTTTTTATTACCATTGTTTTAATCAGAAGTAAACCTCACTGGAATGCAATTCACTTGTAATTTACTGAGTTTTTTGGATGACTACAAGTGAGGAAGCTTACTAACTTGCTGTGTGACCTTGCAAAATTTGCATAAGTTACTTAACCTCTATAGGCTTCAGTTTTCTCTTCTGTGAAGTACAAAACATCCTTAACACATGATCTCTAATGACCCTTGCAGCTATAATACTCTATGAATTTCTTTAGTGGTAAGTATAAAATATTAACTCAGAACATCTCTAGATAGTGGTAGATAAAGCACGGTTCATTCAGCCATGTTCAAAAAAATCTACAATTATTTATTACCACCTCACACATTTATGCTTCCTCCTTCAATTAAAATGTTATATATTAAGAAAGAGAAAATGTTTATACAATAAACTACAAGATAAAGGAACACATATGTTAAGGTTACTGTTAAGGAGCTATAAGATGGTAGAATGCAGAAATATGACTCTGCCGAGGATGATATTCAGTAAAGATTATGTGAACAGAAAAATACAAAGTTATAGTTAGACAGAACGAATGAGTTCTGGTCTTCTACTAACAATGTACTCTGTATTTCAAGATAGCTAGAAGAGAAGATTTTGAATGTTGTCACCCCCCCCCCCGCCAAAAATGATGAATATTTAAAATGATGGATACAATAATTACCCTGACTTGCTCATTACACAGTGTATATATGCATTGAAACATCACACTGTATCCCATAAATATATACTATTATTATGTGTTAATTATAAATAAAAAATTATTGATGAAGAAAAAGATATGTAGAGAAAGTTGCACACAGTGCTCTCTCCAAGAACAGAAGCTTTGTTTAATATAAGGAATGTAAAGGCAATGACACGGGTGAGATGCTGCCTATAAATAAAATGCTGCTACAGGTATGGAGAGGGTGAGGCTAAAGGCAGGCATTTCCTTCGGGAAGCAATTCCAGTAATCCAGGAAAAAGGTAAGAAGTGTTTGAACTAGGGTGCTGGTAGTAGGAAAGTAAAGAATAAGGCTGAAGTCATGGATATTTGGAAAAAAGAAGGGATGAGTTTTGGTGGAACAATAAAAAAAGATGATAGACGGACAAAGAGGAATAAAGAAAGTCTTGTGAGATTTGGAAACTGAGAGTAACCTTAAAGAACAAAGAAACACATGTATTAAGGGTACTGATAAGGAGCTATAAGAAGGTAGAATGAAGAAATATTCTGCCAAGGATCATGCAGTGAAGACAGAGACATCAAGAAAAGGATCTGAAATTGGCACAGCAAAAAAAAAAAAAAAGAAAAAAAGAAAAAAAATTGTTTGTACGCATGATGCAGGAAAGTTCTGTCCAGGTTTTCAGTCAGATAGAAATGTCCAATAGGCAATTAGAAATGAGAAACACTTCACTCTGGAATCCATGACACAGAAGTGATCATTGAAGGCTTGAAAACAAATGATAATCATAAAGGATAGGGTAGCAGGAGAAAATATCAGAGGCATGAGGCCATAAATAGATGATATATCTTGGAGTAGTGTGATACTTAACTATTACCAGGTATGCATGTATACAAATGGCCCCGACTTACTATGGTTAAACTTGTGATTTTTTTTTTCCTTTGCTGTAGTGTGAATGTGACACAAATTCAGTAGAAGCTGTACTTGGAAGTTAGAAGTTTGATCTTTTCCCAGGCGAGCCATATGTGGTGTGATGCTCCCTTGCTACGCTGGGCCGCACAGAGAGCCACGGCTCCCAGTCAGCTATGAGATCAGGAGGGTAAACAATCTGTATGCTGCAGTGTATTGTGTTGCCAGCCTCTTTTGAATACTGTGTCTTGTGTTTTTGCATCCCATCATGTCCATAAAATGCCCATCTGTGTACAGTTTTCAACACTTTATTACAAAATAGGCTTTGTGTTAGATGATTTTGCCCAACTATAAGATAATGTAAGTGTTCTGAGCACATTTAAGGTAGGCTAGGCTAAGCTATGATGCTTGGTAGGTCAGGTATTTTAACTGCGTTTTTGACTTACGATATTTTCAACATATGATGGGGTTATCAGAATGTAACTCCACTGTAAGCTGAGGAGCATCTACAGTCTCCTTCATGACTGGTGATAGATAAATCACATGTTTGTGTTTTAGACAACCTAGATTACCCAGTTAGATAGATAACAAATGGAATTATAAACCCCAAAATCTCAGACAGGTCTCAGCTAATTTAGAAAGCTTATTTTGCCAAAAGTTGAGGACGCATCTCCATGACACAGTCCCAGGAAGTCCTGACGACATGTTCCCAAGGTGGTCGGGGGACAGCTTGGTTTTATACATATTAGGGAGACATGAGACATCAATCAATATATGTAAGAAGTACATTGGTTGCATCCAGAAAGTTGGGGACACCTGGAAGCAGAGAGGGGGCTTCCAGGTCACAGGTAGGTGAGAGACAAACGGTTTCATTCTTTGGAGTTTCTGATAAGCCTTTCCAAAGGAGGCAATCAGATATGCATTTATCTCAGTGAGCAGAGAGATGACTTTGAATAGGATGGGAGGCAGGTTTGCCCTGAGCAGTTTCCAGCTTGAATTTTCTGTTTAGTTTAGTGACTCTGGGGGCCCAAGGTAGTTTTCTTTCACAGAATCTAAATATGAATGTGATAAAAGGAATTTGATCCTTTCATTTTCTCCAATGTTTTGAGGTAGAAATAAGAAGCCTCAACAATAATGATAAATTATTGTAATTTGTAATGTTAGTGTTCATTTACTGAAGTTCGGTCTGTGCCAGCACAGTCCTTTAGGAAAATCAGATAAATAATGGTTGTCATAAAGGAGTTTATTTTCTAACTCTGAGGAAGGGCAGAGTGACCTCTCAGCAGAACTAAAACCAGAATGTTTTCTTTTGCTCCTTTACTAAATATTTGCCCGTCAAAGTTTTAGCCTGTTCATGGGCAAAAAGAAGCAGAAACTTGAACCAGGGATTGTATCTTCAGGAATTTTGAATGTAAGTAGGCATGACTATAATGAAAATGTTCAGTCTGAAAGGGTCCAGCAGATTGGGTGTTCTTTTGTTGACTTTTTTTTTATTATGAAGTATACATTTATTAATTTTATAATAAAACAATGAAAAATTATTTATAGACATCTAGTTCTCTAAATTTAGAGTAGGACTAATTCTATGTTTTATTTTAAATTGTTTTTTTAATTATGCTTTAAGTTTTAGGGTACATGTGCACAACGTGCAGGTTTGTTACATATGTATACATGTGCCCTGTTGGTGTGCTGCACCCATTAACTCGGTTGAGGTAAAAGTAGAAGGCTACATTTTAGTGGGTGTCTTTGTTACCCAAAGAACCAATTTAATTCCAACCACATACCTAAGCCACCCCATGACACTTCTCACAATTTTCTGAACAGAATCAATGTAATAGAAAATGTATTCACAAACTCCATATTGCACTATTATTGGAAAACAAAGCAAAAGTAGCTTAAAATGTATTGTCTTGGTTGAAGAAACAAGAAATAATTAAACATTGGAGATTTCAGCCTATGAATAAGGTGAGTGCATAAAAATATCCCCAGGAAATTCATGTTGCTTTCAAAGAATATTGAAATATTAAATCCACCCCAACATCTGGGAGATAAATTCTCTTTATGTGTGTGTGTGTATTTTTCTTTAATGAAGCCAAGTTTATATTTTTGTCTTCATAAACAAACAGGTAAAGAATTCGATGAAGTGACTGTAGCCCACAAAACAAAAACACAAATCATTTTCTGTATTTTTTCTCATTTTGGCAATAAAATAATGTTGATAGATTTCCTTTAAAAATACAGTCATATTAGTTCTACACTGAAACTTGGACTGTATGAATACAAAACTGTTACTTTATATTCAAATCTAGTCCAATTATAAGATTGTGCAATCTTGCTGTAAATCTTGGTTTCTTGTCTTCAAGATAAATGTTGATTTAAAGATTATAGCAGAAAATTAAACTAAAATTATTCATGAAATTTGCCTATAACTTTTATGTTTATCTAAGGACAGCTGCTAAAATAAGCCCCTTTCAGTTATCCCCAACTCCCCATAATTGTTTAAACTCCCGCCTGTGTTTTAATGCCTGTGTGTCAAAAGGGTTGCTAAAGAAGAAAAAAAGAAAATATTGAATTTGGAGAATTTGACTTTAGTATTTGAAGTTTCTAGATTTACTGCATTGTTTTTATTACCATTTGCATCAATTGATAGTTGCAAAAGGATGCTTTTTCTTAGAAATTGACTTACTTTATTGATGTCATTGTTGCTATATGATTCACTTTGATTAGGATTAAACCTGTTTTTCCCCAATGTCTTTCTAAAAATATCCTTACAATGAATTCCTTCTCCTAATATAAGTGACCCGATTACATTTGATTCTTGGTGCATGTGGGTGGGAGATGGAAGGGTCCAGTATACTACTAATATGCTTTTGTAGGCTCCAGTGAAACCTGAATCTCCTTCAGTGTCTATCACCAGTCTTTTATCCCATAATCTCTTGGGCAAAAAGGAAAACCCATCTCTTCTCTCTGCTTCAGAAACACAGAAAGCCAGCATGACTCCCATTGCAAAGATACATACACTGCATGGATATAAGAAATGATTGAAACCAGCCTGTTGACAAGAGCTTGAAATTGCGATATATAGTAGGACAACATTAGTAGCTGTTAACCTATCATCTACCTGTCTATCACCTATCTTTCTATTTATCTATCAACTTACTTACCTATCTATAATTTTGCCATTGCTGAAGTCTTAATTTAACTCCTCGTAATAACCTTTCCTCTGGGGTAATTTTTCAGTTATTCACCTTGCCTATATTCCCTCCCCATTAGAAACCATCCTGAATTCAACAGCAGTGGTAATTCCTTTAAACCATGACCCTGATCATGTCGTTCTTCCTGTTTAAAACCCTGCATTGAGTCCCCATTCAAGGGCCACCTCTATTAAACTTCTTGGCCTCCTCTTTGGTGCCTCCTTTTCCTATACCACGCCGCTCATCTCAGTGAACCATACTCCATGTTGCTTTCTTACCTCTATGCCTCTAGTCATTGCACCCTCTAAAGATGATCTTTTCTCCCATCACCTTATAAGTAAATCCTATTTGTTGTTCAGACTTTAGTGCAAATATCACATTCTTTTTCTCATTTCTTAAGACTCCCCCACTCTCTTTCTACCTACTCTCTCAGTTGGAAGTATCTTTTCCCTCTTCTGAACACTTACAGCCTTTATGTAACTTTCTTTCACAGAACTAACCATTTTCTACCTCTTTCTGTGTTGTAGGTAATATATTTACATATCTGAATGTCTTATTTGTTCCATTATTCTATTGTTATGTTAAGGAGACTACAGAATTATGTTTATTTTTGTGCCCTTCACAATGCCTGCACATTGTATATAAATGCTCTACAGTTATTAAAAGAATAAATAACCGCTGTTGCTAATATGCTTAAAGACAGAGTAAGAATCTCTATTTAAAACAAAATGAATTGTATTGCATCTTTATAATGAAAGACAGCATCACATAAATGGAAGAGCATAGAATGGAAAAAGATATGGGTTCATTACTAGCTCGACTATTTGCTGGAAATTTGGACTGGGGAAACCAGATTGTTTATTTCAATGACTGTCCGTTTTTACGGAGATTATTATTATCTATCATCCAAAGTCATTGCAAGTATTAAATTATATAATTTATGTACATATAAACACAATAGCTAACACACTCCTGCTTGACCTGCTTGATATTTATTTTTTTCGCAGTACTTTGACAGTATTATCCCACTGTATCCTGGCTTCTATTGTTGCTATTAAAAGCTCTGCTGTCAGTCAGTTTTGGTTCCTTGCTAGATCATTTGCCTTTTTATTTCCCTCTAGGTACTTTTCACTTCCTTCCTTTGACTTTTATGTCTTCTCATTTCACTGACATATGTCTAGGTGCATATTGTTTTAAATTAATTATATTGGAGTTATTCTGTGCCAATTCATTCTTTGGATTTATGTCTTTCATTTCTGGAAAACCCTATACCATTACTTATAATATTCATCTCCCAGTCTCTATTTTTCTACTATTCTCCTGGTTAGATATTTATTAGACACCTTATCCTCCATATTGCTTAATACAACATTAGTTTTTTATCTCTCTGAACTGCATTCTATGAAATTTCTTCAGAACTATCTTTTATAAAAACAAATTCTTTTGTCCTGCTGTGCCTATTCTACTATTTAATCTGCTCATTTAATCACTATTCAAGAAAGTATATATTGGTTTTGTGTCTATAATTTTTATTCTGTTCCTTTTTATGCCTATAACTTCTACTGGATTTTAGACATTCATGGTCATTTTTAATAGTGTCCAATGTTTGCCCATTTTTTTTTATCCTTTTATTTCTTTAACTATTTCCAGCAGACTTATTTAATACTCTACATCAGCTAATTCAAATATATAATTCCCTTGGGGCTTTAAATCTGGTGTTAATGTCCCTATGTTTATGCATCATATGTTGTTTGCTTATGTATTATGCAATCTTTGGTTATGTGTTTATATTACATGGATCATAAAATGTGAGAACCCCAGGGAATAAAGTATAAACATTTTTTTTCCAGATAAAATGTTGTGCTTGTTTCTACTTGGGGACTACAGTTTCTGCTGATCTGGAATCACACTAGTCTCTGTGAAGTTTCCCCGCTGTGTGAGACACTTAGGATCAATTCTGCCGTCTTGACACTGGCCCAAGTCTTAGCTTCCTCCATGCAATGCTGTTATCAGCATTTTTACTCAAGACAACTCTGTTAGTCCATTTTGTCTGCTATAAAGGAATACCTTAGGCTGGGTAATTTGTAAAGAAAAAGGATTATTTTGGTTCATTGTTCTATAGGCTGTACAAGAAGTATGACACCAGCATCTGCTTTTGATGAGGCTGCAGGATGCTTTTACACATGGCAGAAGGCAATGGCAGCCAGCATGCCACATGGTGAGACAGGAAGCAAGGTGGGGAGGGCAGTGCCATGCTATTTTAAACAAGCAGATCTCCTGTTAAGTAGTAGAGTGGGAACTCACTCATTACCACGTGGGGAGGGCACCAAGCCGTTCATGAAGTGTCTGCCCCCATGACCCAAATACCTCCCACTAGGCCCCACCTCCAACACTGGAGATCACATTTCAACATTAAATTTACAGAGGAAAAATATATAAATTATATCAATAGCCTACTTTATGGTACTTACTTGCTGCTAAACCCTCCACGTACTGAGCTCAACTCATATACTTTTTGGTGGGAAAGAGACCCAGGAGAACTCTTTCACCTAAGAAATATAATGCATCAAGATAATAGTTTCATATAAAATTAGTGATTTTGCAGTGACAGAGACCTTCGGTGCCAACTTTCTGCCACACCTGAAGTGAAAGACTTCTGATATTATACACATCATTTATTGGTGTATATAATTGTGGACTTGTACTGTTTTTATATTTTTCTGTTGGGTTTTACATTTATATTTTCCTCCCTCCAGAGTTTTTTAGCTGACTTTGAACAAGAAACACATAGTCTACTTCATTTTATTCCCATAGTATCTGTAACATATTAGGTTCTCAATAATTACCTTTTAAATATATACAGAAAAATTCCATGCTCTTTAATTTATGTGAACAGAATATATGACAAAATCTAAGGATGTAAATTATCTGATAAAAGCTGTGAAAGTAACAGACTCCTCAGATGTGAACTTATATATCTATTTAGAATAAGGGAATATAAATCTTCCCCTTTTAGAAAATTCTGAGACTGTAACATTTATGCCTTCTTCCCCAACACTTTTACTTATTTGCCTTCACACCAAATCCCTAGACAGAAAGAAGATCAAAAACATCAATACTATTTTATGACATACTCTGAAAAATGAAACAGGTAAGAAATATGGATAAAATACTAACTTATTTTAACTGTAGAATTTAAAAGGCTGTGTTTACTGAGACAATATCATATGTATTAATGTGACCTTAATGTGAATAAAAAACAATTCTACCATCTGAGTATTTGGTGATACAAAAATCAAAATTATAAAAAAAAGGTTCTGAAGTAAAAGTGTTAATTAAAAGATCAAAGAAAAATGCATAGTCAATGCTTAATTATCTAAATACCAGTAACTCAAATCATGTGCTCCTTCTTTCTCTGTGGCTGCCTGTTGGCTACTTAGAAAACTCATTATGATCTTCATTACAGGACAGAAAGAGAAAATTAAAAGAATAAAAAGTCTACGCTATCCATTCAGAGAGACTTTAACAGTTCTGATAAATAATAGAGAAAGATAAAATTGAAACTTTAGTTTCAAAGGAGGCTAGTAAATCATATATATTTGTTCCCTTTGTTCATTGACCCTATCCCCATTAATAATTCAAAATTAGTAGTACATATAGCACCTACACCTGTGCCGACTCATCTAGGTTATGTCTGAGAGTCAAAAATGCAGAAAGAAGGATTTCTGGCTGGGTAGTTCTGACATTATTCACCTCTCCTGGCCAAAGCCCTGAAATGAATCTTTATTTTCAATCTGCAATTTAAATATTGCCTAAATGGTTCTGTCAACAGGCTCTGTCCAAAGGACGAAAAAGAATTGGCAGTAATATAAAGGATATGATTATTGAATTCTGCCCCAAATCCTTCTCACATTAGCCTTCTATAGCAACTAAAATTGGCAAAATTATGCTTAAAAGAGGACAGGCCTTATCTATTGGGATACAAGTACCATTAACCCAGGACGAGCAAATAATCTGTCAGATTACTTAGCTGTTATGGTGAAAGGCAGAAACCAGGGCGTTTATGAAAGCAGACATAGTGAATAGGAAAAGTCTCCAGCCTTTGAAAAAAATATAGATGTACTTATTTCAGAAGGGCATGTTTTCAAAGAAAACTTCCTCGGTTTTAGCTTCTCATGGCCAGTCTGTCAGTGTACTGTAAGAATTACTTCCTAACATTGCAATACCAGGCCGTAGTTCAATGAGTACAGTGATTAGAATTCCTGACATCAAAATATTAATTATTTAGAATACATACAGAATTTATTTATAGACTCATTTTTTTAAAAAATTACAATATACATTTTTATGTATTGTAACAGTTCAAGAAAGTTGCTTCTATGCATTTCCTAATACCACTTAAATTTTGTAGATGCTTTGATTTCAACACAATCCTGAGCACATTATGATTGAAGCAAGCAAATAGCCATGTACTCAGGCTTGTGAAAGGTGCTAAAATATATATATATATATATATATATATATATATATATGTGAATAGCGTGTGCTTAGAAGTTAAGTTAGATGGATCTGGAATTGAATACTGGATCAGAATACTGGATCTGATCCTTACTAGCTATGTGACTTCTTACAGCATACATGTTCTATGAGCACTCATTTCTAACTTAAGAGTTGGGTAGTAATAGTGTTTATATCATAGAGTTCTTATTGGGTTTAAATAAAATAATCTATGTAAAGCATTTTTAGAGTGCCTGACACATAATAAATGCTCAATACATGTTATGTCAATATTTTAATGTTATTACAATAAATATTTTATGTAATTGATATTTTTATTATTTACAAAATATTAAACCCAAATTACCAGGAACAATATATACCTTATTTTAATCTATATTTATTATTGTTATTTCCCTGAGAAGAAAACTCAGTTTCAGATATTTTAGGTAAGTTACCTGAAGACACATAACCATAAATGAGAGCGTTGAGTGTTGCATACACAACTGTTTCACCCCAAAGATCATGTTTTTTCATTGCACACACTGATTCTTAAATGAATATTTCTTGTAATTATGGTTAAGATCCAGGAGGAGAAAAGGGGATTGCATTTGGGAACTGGCTAACTGGTCTTCCAATGTAAGATAGCAGCATATTCAATACATTGATACCACCTGTCATGATAGGTCAAAGCCCCACATTACCCCGTCTCTACTAAAAAAAAAAAAAAAAAAATCCAAAAAATTAGCCAGGTGTGGTGGCGGGTGCCTATAATCCCAGCTGCTCGGGAGGCTAAGTCAGGAGAATCACTTGAACCTGGGAGGCGGAGCTGCAGTGAGACGAGATCATGCCACTGCACTCCAGCCTGGGTGACAGAGCAAGACTCCATCTCAAAAAAAGAAAAAAAAAAGAGTTTACTCCTTGTCATGTACAAAATACTTAACAGGCCTATTTTCTACAGTTTAACAAAACAGAGCACACTTGTCCAACCTGTACCGAGGTGCACTTTTAAGTATACAATCAAAATGTTTTCCAGCTTAAGCCACGTTAATGTGTCAGATTGATTGAATTCCAATTCTGAAATAAGTGCAACTAAAACACTAGCAAAACATAATGGAAAAAAATGAAAGGGATTTGTGCTAGAAATAACAGGTAGAGCAGTGAACATATGTAGAAACCGACATAACAACAGTGAAAGAATATATAGCTTCTGAAGCACCATGGCAGCCTGAGCCTGCAAAATCCTTTTATTAGCTGCCATACAGCATCCAGAAGAGTAATTAGGGATTTGAGCAGCATAACACAGGGTAATAGAAGGGGCTAGAAAGAACTGCAGCATAGCACAATAGCATATGCCAGTCGGAGGAAGGCTGTGCACTCCGTTTGAAAAATCAGTGAAAGGGAGAAAATGTTGTTATTCCCCATGATTTCTGGAGAGCTGACTTCAAGGCGATGGGTGAAGCTGAATCTAGTTGCAGTGAGCCACGCACAGGCTCACAAATTTTTACTTCCCGAAAAACCATTTTGAGTCAGCTCTGATTTGCAGATCTACAAAATTTCAAAAGGACTCTGAATTGCATAGGCAGTCAGTTTTTTTAAATAAGCAGTATTTTCTCTATGGGGCCGCTTGGGTGGAGTGGTGTAGCATCTTAAACCATGAATTAGTATCAGGCTATGTACAAGCTATAAAAGTAAATAAAAGTCTTACCAATAATCTAGATAAAATAATTAATACAATTAACCAGAAGTAAAAACAAAGGTATAAGAATTCATTCATCTTTGCATGAATTCAGCAAATGTTTATTAAATACTTAATACATGGATAGGTCTACTGAGAAATGTGTAAAGATATCAAGAAATCCAATACACAATCTTTCTCTAAAGAAACTGAGGAAAAGCAAATCACATTGTGAAAATTTAAAAAGTAAAATGAAAGAATGATAGGTATCTTGACAAAAGTGTGAATGTAAATGTCAGTGGTTCAACTATTGAAACGACTTAATCACTCTAATTTTCAGTTTGCTCATCCAAACAATTGTTATGTGAATTGTTAACTTGAAGTCATTGTCTCGGTGAACTTAATTTTTAAAAGTACGTTAAAGTGACTTCCTCTTCTGAAAGATGGAATAGATATACTTTTGCCTATTTCTCTTTCTAAATAAAACCAAACCCCCTGAATATTATATATAAAACAAACGTAAGAACACTCTGAAAGTTGGAAATAAATAGACAGTTTGGAGAGCTCAGGACCCAGGAAATGACATGGCAGTGAGCTTCCTGGGTTTCTTTTTCTTTCTTTCCTTCTTTCCTTCCTTCCTTCCTTCCTTCCTTCCTTCCTTCCTTCCTTCCTTTCCTCCCTCCCTCCCTCTCTCCCTTTCTCCCTCTCTCCCTCTCTCTCTTTCTTCTTTCTTTCTTCATTCCTTCCTTCCTTCCTCTCTCTCTCTTCTTTCTTTTCTTTTCTTTTCTTTTCCTTTCCTTTCCTTTCCTTTTCCTTTCTTTCTTTCTTTCTTTTTCTTTCCTTCCTTCCTTCCTTCTTTCTTTCTTTCCTTCCTTCCTTCTTTCTTTTTTTCACATGTCATATATTTGAGAGTTGCAGCTAAAGAAGCCAACAAATTGGAAATGCCGAAAGTCACAGACAAAAAGCCCAAATAAAATTCTGCTTTGTTTAGCCAAAGGACAAGAAAAGAGGTAGCCTAGGCAAGACAGAAAATTTTGATAAAATAACTACTCTACTGCAGCCAATCCCTACCCTTGAAAAAGCTATTCTTACCCCCAGTCTTGTGTCCAAAGTTGGAGGGGCGAGGCTTCTAACTTCATGAGGGTGTAATGAGGAGTTCCAACATCCGGCTATGCATGGCGTCTATTTCTGCTTGGCAGTAACAAGGCACCCGTGCAACTCCTTTCAGGGGTGTTGTCAGAAGAGGCCTATTGAGTAGCAGTAATGAGATACTTCACTCCCTAAACAAGGTGAAACTACCACCCCAACTCACAGGTGGCAATGGAAACTAAGTGGACAACTGGGATTTCTGAACTTACCTGGCAAAAAGGAGACAGTGGCTCTCTCTTCCCCTACCAGAGTGATATCACAGAAAGCCAGCTAAAACAGATGGCTTAAATAAGATCCAAAGGGTTACAACACAATACATAAGATTTCTTCTATGGTGTGAATGTTTGCACCTACCCAGCTCTGCCAAATACTTATGTTGAAAACCTAATAACCAATGGGATGATATTAGGATGTGGGTCCTTTGGGAAGTGATTAGATCATGAGGGTGAGATTAGTCCTTTTATAAAAGAGGCCCCAGAAAGTTGCCTTCCCCTTTTCCACTATGTGGGGACACAGCTAGAAGGTACTACCTATACACCAGGAAACAGTCCTTCACCAGATGTCAAACCAGCCAGTACCTTGATCTTGGACTTTCTAGCCTTCAGGACTGTGAGAAATACATTTTTGTTATTTGTAAGCCACCCTGTTGATGGTATTTTTTTATAACAGCCCATATGCCCTAAGACAATGCACATGTTTTAGAAAAAAAATAAGTCATCAACAAAGAACCAGAAGAATCGGAACTATTACTACTGTCTCTGCTATAGGAATGTTTTCTTAATGCAGACCAATGAGCTGGAGTCAAAGGACAGCGTGGCCCACCTATTGATCTGAAGATGTAGAATTCAGAGATTGTAGCAATTAAAGCATATAATGTTTGAAGGGCAGAATACTGGGAAGGAAAATGCCATGCAGGAAAGGATGGTGGAGTTACAGAGGTCCATGAGTGTCCCTTGTGAGTTACTTGCTGAAGGCTGGGCTGCACATTCAGAGAATGAGTCTGCGTGAGATTTACCAGAAAATAGCTACTATGGGGTTGGTAATGGAAAACAGATATTAGAGGTAGAGTAGTTATAGACATATTAGACATCAGACCTAGACAGAGAATATAGACATCATTAATACCTGCAGATTTTGCTCAGCCACCAGAAGGCCTAAACCTTATGTGTAAAGGCCATCATCTAGAATAGGACATGAAAAAGTATGGTTCTTGAGTGTAATCCAGCCTGTCATTCGTATTTGTAAATAACGGGTTGGAGCCTGGCCATGCCCATTTGTTTATGTATTGTTAATGACAACTTTTATGCTAAAATGGAGGAGTTTAGTAGATTCCACAGAAACTCTATGGCCCACAAAACTAAACGAAAAAAATTTACTACAAGGCTATTTATAAAACAAGTTTGCCAATCCCTGCTCTAGAGTAAAGACTACCCTAAATCCACTTTAACAAGCCTACCAAGCCCTCAGTAAAGACAAGATGCCTGCCTAAGACTAAAATTTAAGTAGTAAAACGAAAAAATGCATTCTCATTCCAGGCCCCTACCACTAAGCACAGTGTCAAGTAGCAAGTAACTTGCAAGAGACATAGATCACTAAGACGCATTGCAAAGAGAAGACTTAAAACTGAGTTTAGACGATATATTGAAAAATAAATCCACTGGCAAACCAATCCCTATATTAAACATGGGTTTTTCTAAACATATTTGAAGACTGGATATAATGAGTACAAACTTCGCAACAACATACCTCAAACTCTTATTTAGATTAACTTAAATATCCGTAATAAAGATCTAACAAAAGAGAATGTACCCCTATTTTCAAGCATTTGAAAAGGGTTATCGCAATCATTACTGTGTTATAAAAGAGAGCTGGTTTAAAAAAAAATAGGAAACAGAAAATAGGCAAGAAAAACAAAACATTCCCAAGGGTAAAATAAATCATTATAACCAGACTCAAATATTATACAGATGTTGGAAGTATCTGAAAATGAATTTAAAATAATTGTGATTAATATGCTGAAAGTTATTTTAAAAAGGTGGACAACATTTAAGATCAGATAGGTAATTTTAACGGAGAAAATGGAAACTATAAGAAAGAATGAAATGTAAAAGCTAGACATGCAAAGTACAATAACCTCACTAGATTCAACACAATATAGAAAGTAATTCATTTACTCAAAGATGTACCTACAAAAATTACTTAAACTGCAGCACAAAGAAACTATAAAGAAAGCAGAACATATCATCCAAAACCTGTGAGACATTAGGAAATGATCTAATATTTGCATATTTAAGATTGTACAAGAAAAAAAAAAGAGAGAAAATAGGGAAGGAAAAATATTTTTAAAAAATTGGCCAAGAATTTTACAAATTTAATGATATAATCAAAAGCACAGAGCTAAGAAGCTCAGAAAACACGAAATAGAATAAACGAAATACACAAATTCACACTCACATATTTAAGTGTATCATTTTCAGTTTGCTAAAAAGAAAGACAAAACGAAAATATTAAAGGTTTTCAGATAAAAAGAAAACATCACTGACATTGTTAGGCCTTGTGTCTCCACCCAAATCTCATCTTGAATTGTAATCCCCAGGTGTTGAGGGAGAGACCTGGTGGGAGGTGATTGGATCATGGGGGCAGATTGCTCCATGCTGTTCTCATGATACTGAGTGAGTTTTCATGAGACCTGATGGTTTTATAAGTGTTTGAAATTGCTTCCTATCCTCACTATCTCTCTCACCTGCCGCCATAGAAGGCATGCCTGCCTGCTTCCCCTTCCGCCATGATTGTAAGTCTCCTGAGGCCTCCCAGCTATGTGGAGCTGTGATCAATTAAACTTCTTTTCTTTATAAATTACCCAGTCTCAGGTAGTATCTTTATAGCAGTGTGAGAGTGGACTAATACAATTACATACAGATGAATAGACTTATAGCATACAGCTCTTTATAAAACTAAGCAAGCTAGAAAGTATGGGGTAAAATCTGTAAAGTGCGGAAAGAAAAAACTACTGTCAACTTAGTAAAAACGTTTTAAATAAATAAATTAGAATTTTTCAGAGAAACAAAATCTGTAAGAATTTACTGGGAGAAAAAAGAATTGTTAAAGCAATAAATTGGAAAGGAAGAAATAAAGGTGTCCCTCTTTGCAGATGACATGTTTGTGTACAAAAGAAAATCTTTTAAAATCATTGGAAAAGCTCCTAGAAGTAGTAAAGTGATTTTTTTCAAGGCCACATGATATAAAAATCAATATATACAGGTAAACCATATTTCTATTTACCAGCAATTAAAAATTATAACTCAGTTTAAAAAATACAATACCATGACAATAATACCCCCCCGAAAACTCAACCCAGGTTCATATTTTACAAAACATGAACAGGCTCCATAGGTTGAAAATAGAAAATATGGATGAAAAAATCAAAGAAGATATCAATTCTTCTCAATCAAATCTGTTTACTGTAATCTTAATCAAAATCTTGACAGGCTTTTAAAAATAGTTATCAACAAGGCAATTTTGAAATATATATATGGAAGTGCAAAATAATTAGAAAAGTCAAAGCTATTTTTTAAAAGGACAAAGTTGGAGGATTTACAATATCTGAGTTCAGGACTCACTGTGAAACTACAGAAATTAAGGTAATGTGGAATTGATGAAAGTGTAGACTTACGAATCAATGGAATATAGAACTGAGCAATAGGCTCACACAAATATAGTAAAAACAAAAATCTATAGACTGTTTTCCGGTATATGGAGGCATGCTACACCTTTGTATTGGTATATTTCTGTCAATAAGATCAAAACTATCTCTAAAACTGTGGTTCTTATGTATTTGTGGGGTATAAGTCTTGTTGAGAGTGGGAACTGTGTCTTGTTCATTTCTATTCTCCTCAGTTATAAAGATAGTATTAATTCATTAAACTCCAATTGCATCACATATTAATGCTATAAACTTGGGAAAGGAACTTCTCTCAACTTCCTCTCCTGTAAAATGGAGATAATACTACATACACGATAAGACAGTTGTGCCGACTAAATGACATCATATATATAAGGCAATCAGCAGAGTGAATTGCATATCATAATATAGAGTAACCCCCTTAAATATTAGTTGGTGGCCTTAGGTTGGGATTTTTAGAAGTAAACCTTTAATGTGTGATAGACAGACATTCTTGTCCAAGTAATTATTGAGGAAGTGTCCTCAGAGGGGAAAAAAGAAAGAGAGAGAGAAGCAGAATAGGGCCAAAGAAGTTGTTAAACAAGAATATGGTCTCAAATTCATGTACATTCAGTGTGATCCCAAGGGCAGCTCTGAAGCACAAAATGCGCTACAGAAGAGAAGTAGCCTCGTTATAAGTAGAGAATAGTCTGTGGGTGCAACTTGGAGGTAGCTTCTATGTGGCAGACAGTAATTCACTGGAGAAAGGGATCAATTTTGAGCAGTCAGCACTCACAGCAGTTAAGAGGCAAGAGCGCACTTGCTTGTGAGAGGACATCTGGCAGGGCACTGACAGCATCTTCTAACTTATTGTGATTGTCTGATTATTCTACCAAGATATTTAAATGTAAACTAAGACTTTAAAAGTAATATAGTGGCTCACGCCTGTAATCCCAGCACTTTGGGAGGCAGAGGAAGGCGGATCATGAGGTCAGGAGATCGAGACCATCCTTGCTAACACGGTGAAACCCCGTCTCTCCAAAAAATACAAAAAATTAGCCGGGCGTGGTGGCGGGCGCCTGTAGTCCCAGCTACTCGGGAGGCTGAGGCAGGAGAATGGCGTGAACCTGGGAGGCGGAGCTTGCAGTGAGCCGAGATTGCGCCACTGCACTCCAGCCTGGGCGACAGAGCGAGACTCTGTCTCAAAAAAAAAAAAAAAAAAAAAAAAAATTTAAAAAAGTCATGTAATACAATTGAACAATATTATGGAACATCTGTCTCCCAACCTCAACTAAAAGATGACATTACCAGCAACACATAAGCACAATATTAAGTAGTTGAAATGTAGCAGCAAATGACAGAGAGAGAGAGAATATTTACAAAATTGGCCTAACTTATAATGCTCTCTATCCACCTTCTACACTCAGTCTTCCAAAAAGCTCTTACGGGAAATGCAATGTGAAATAAATCTTTTTTAAAAGTACTTAGTGATGCATTTCACTGTACAGAAAATTCATCTGAGCAGGTATTTTATCACAGACAGAAAAGAAAACAACAATAACAAAAACAGCAAGGTTGATTATTGTTGTTTCCCCACTGGGAAGAAACCAAAAGAGGGAAGACTGAATGATCATAAACACTGATAGTTTATTACCTTCAATGAAAATTGGATTATGTAGATGAGAAAGAAAAAAAATCTTCCAAAGAACCAGGAGGTATGAAAGAAGAAGCACCTAGTCCTGCTCCTCCTACCACCCACTAAAGGACAATAAAATAATGGCCAACCTCATATGTTTTGCCAGTGTTTGCCTTCCACTTTCAGGAAATGGGATAAGATTGTTGCTAGAGATTTGTGAGTGAAAAGTGGGGAGTAAAACACCTGATTTTGGCCCTGAATTTCTCACTTCAGAGCAAGGGTTTCAGGGCTCCATTCTGAAAGGAAAAATTATACAAAACTTGAAGGTAATCTCTATGGATTGGGTAGTCAAATGAAATAGAGGATTCTCATGTAGATTTAAATTTCAGATAATGATGGATAATTAAGACCTACTTACACTGAAAAAACTATTGTTCGAGTGAAATTAAAATTTCAGTAGGCTTCTTGTTTCCTACTATTGGAAATTCATATATGGACATGTTACAGGATGTGGATATGATGGTTAGAGCTCCAGCTCACTTTTTGCAGCATAAGGAGACATGCTTGAATACAAAACGTTGATGCCTTGGTTCCTGTTGATATGAAGGTTTTGCCATGCCCACACAAGGGAGCATTTTGGACTTTTTATTTAAAAGTGAGAAATAAACCTATATCTTGTCTAAGCTATTTTGTATTTTATGACCTGTATAGAACACTCTCTGGGTTTTGACTCAATAAATATTTGTGGAATGAATGAATGATTGAAATCCAGTAGATTTCACCCATACTCTTTCAGAGAAAATAAAAGGTCTTGATAGAACTGGCCACATTACACTTGAAAAAATACTGTGAGTGAAAGGAAGAATTAAAGTAACATAACAAGTACTATATAAATAGCAAGTTCATAAGAAAATACTATCAAAAACAATCTTTTACAGTATGTGCTTTTTAGTATTAAAATACTTGAGAACGCAAATTGGATTAAACAAAAATGATAAAACAAAAAAAGATGAAAGAGTAAATCATAGAAGTAATAATAATGCTTCAAAATTCAAAATAGAACTAAGTCAATGTGAAATAGAATGGAAAAGAATAGTGATGGCTGTAAACCATATTAATGATGTGGATAACAGGCTTAGAATAATAATAGTGATCATAATTGGAAGAGGAGCAGACTAAGACCTTAAATAATTTTGAAAGAAAGTAACATGTAAGGAGAATACAATAATGAATTAATATACATATAGTGCTACATAGACAGTGCAACAAAAGAACAACAAATAAAATTCAGAGGGGAGGCAGAGCAAGATGGCAGAATAGAAAGCTCCACCAATCCTTGCCCCACCCCACCCCCGACAAGGACACCAATTAACAACTGTCTACATAGAAAGAAACACCTTCATAAGAACCAGAAATCAAGTGAGCACTCACAGTACCTGTTTTGAACTTCATATCACTGAAAGAGGTACTGAAAAGGCAGAAAAAACAGTCCTGAATCACCAATGTCACCCCTCACTCACCCCTAGAAGCAGCCTCATGGTGTTGAGAGCATTTCTGAGCACTGGGGTTGGGATAATACAGCAATTTTGAGAAATAAAACTCAGCGCTGTCCCGTTACAGCAGAAAGGAAAACCAGAACAAACTCATCTGATACCCATCAACAAAGGGAGCATTTTTCTTTGTATTTATTTTTCATCAACTTTTATTTTAAGTTCTAGGGTACATGTGCAGGATGTTTAGGTTTGTGACACAGTTGCACCATACTGATTTGATGCACAGATCAACCCATCACCTAGGTATTAAGCCAAGCATCCATTAGCTATTCTTCATGATGCTCTCCTTCCCCCCACCCCACAACAGGTCCCAGTGTGTGTTGTTCTCCCCTCATGTGTCCGTGTGTTCTCATCACTCAGCTCCCACTTATAAGTGAGAACATGTGGTGTTTGGGTTTCTGTTCCTGTGTTAGTTTGCTGAGGATAACGGCTTCCAGTTCTATCCATGTTCCTGCAAAGGACATGATCTCGTTCCTTTTTATGGCTGCATAGTATTCCGTGGTGTATATGTACCACATTTTCTTTATCCAGTTTATCATTAATGAGCATTTGGGTTGCTTCTATGTCTTTGCTATTGCAAATAGTGCCATAATGAACATAAGTGTGCATGTATCTTTATAATGGGATAATTTATATTCCTTTGGGTATATACCCAGTAATGGGATTGCTGGGTCAAATTATATTTCTGCTTCTAGATTTTTGAGTAATAGCCACACCGTCTTTGACAATGGTTGAACTCATTTACATTCCCACCAACAGTGTAAAAGTGTTCCATTTTCTCCACAACCTCACATGTTTCTGTGGTTTCTTGACTTTTTAATAATTGCCATTCTGATTGGTGTGAGATGGTGTCTCACTGTAGTTTTGATTTACATTTTCATAATGATTATTGATGTTGAGCTTTTCTTCATATGTTTGTTGGCTGCATGAATGTCTTCTTTTGGGAAGTGTCTGTTCGTGACCTTTGCCCACTTTTTAATGGAGTTTCTTTTCTTCTTGTAAATTTGCTTAAGTTCCTTGCACAGTCTGGATATTAGACCTTTGTCAGATGGATAGATGCAAAAATTTTCTCCCATTCTGTAGGATGTCTGTTCATTCTGATGATAGTTTCTTTTGCTGTGCAGAAGCTCTTTAGTTTAGTTAGATCCCATTGGTCAATTTTTGCTTTTGTTGCAATTGCTTTTGGTGTTTTCACCATGAAATTTTCGCCTGTACCTATATCCTGAATGATATTGCCTAGATTTTCTTCTAAGGCAATTCTAGTTTTGGGTTTTACATTTAATTTTTACTTAATTTTAGTTAATTTGTGTGTAAGGTGAAAGGAAGGGATCCAGTTTTCTGCATATTGCTAACCAGTTCTCCCAGCACCATTTATTAAATAAGAAATATGTTCCTATTGCTTGTTTTTGTCATGTTTGTCAAAGATCAGATGGTTGCAGGTGTGCAGCCTTGAGTTAATTTTTGAATACGGTGTAAGGAAGGGGTCCAGTTTCAGTTTTCTGAGTTCTCTATTCTGTTCCATTCATCTACGTATCTGCTTCTGTACCAGTACCATGCTGCATTGGCTACTACAGCCTTATAGTATAGTTTGAAGCCCGATAGCATGATGCCTCTAGCTTTGTTCTTTTTGCTTAGGATTGTCTTGCTATATGGGCTCTTTTTTGGTTCCATATGAATTTTAAAGTCGTTTTTTTTAATTCTGTGGAGAATATCAATGGTATTTTAATTGGAATAGCATTGAATCTATAAATTACTTTGGGCAGTATGGCCATTTTCACGATACTGATTCTTCCTATCCATGAGCATGGAATGTTTTCCATTTGTTTGTGTGCTCTCTGATTTTCTCGTGCAGTAGTTTGTAGTTCTCCTTGAAGAGCTCCTTCACTTCCCTTGTTAGCTGTATTCCTAGGTATTTTATTCCCTTTGTAGCAATTGTGAATGGGGGTTCATTCATGATTTGGCTCTCTGCATGCCTGTTGTGAGTTTATAGGAATGCTAGTAATTTTTGCACATTGATTTTGTATCCTAAGGCATTGCTGAAATTGCTTATCAGCTTAAGAAAGTTTTGGGCTGAAATGATTGGGTTTTCCAGATATAGGATCATGTCATCTGCAAACAAAAATAATTTGATTTTCTCTCTTCCTATTCGAATACCTTTATTTCTTTCTCTTGCCTGACTGCCCTGGCCAGAACTTCCAATAGTACGTTGAACGGTAGAAGTGAGAGAGGGCATCCTTGCCTTGTGCTGGTTTTCAAGGGGAATGCTTTCAGCTTTTGTCAATTCAATATGATGTCTGTGAGTCTGTTGTAGATGGCTCTTATTATTTTGAAGTACGTTCCTTTGATGCCTAATTTATTGAGGGTTAACATGAGGAGATGTTGAATTTTATTAAAAGCCTTTTCTGCATCTATCAAGATAATCATGTGGTTTTTGCTTCTAGTTCTTTATATGTGATTAATCACATTTATTGATTTGCATATGTTGAAACAACCTTCCATCCCACGGATGAAGCCAACTTGATCATGATGGATTAGCTTTTTGTTGTGCTGCTAGATTCAGTTTGCTAGTATTTTGTTGAGAATTTTTGCGTCTATGTTCATCAAGATTATCGGTATGAAGTTTTTTTTCTTTCTTTCTTTATCCGCCAGGTTTTGGTATCAGGATAATGCTTGCTTCATAGAACAAGTTGGGGAGGAGTCCATTCTCCCCAATTTTAAAAAATAGTTTCAGTAGGAATGGTTCTAGCTCTTCTTTATACATCTGGTAGAACTTGGCTGTAAATCTTTCTAGTCCAGGTTTTTTTTTTCTGGTTGGTAGGATTTTTATTATTTATTCATTTTTTGAACTCCTTAATGGTCTGTTCAGGGATTCAATTTCTTCCTGGTTCATTCTTTGGAGGTTGTGTGTGTTCATGAATTTTTCAATTTCTTCAAAATTTTCCAGTTTGTGTTCATAGTAGTCTCTGATGATTTTTTTTTTTTATTTCTGTTGGGTCAGTGTTTACATCACCATTGTCATTTCAAATTGTGTTTATTTGGATTTTCTTTTCTTTCTTTATTAGTCCAGGTAGTGGTCTATCTTATTACTTTTTTCAAAGAACGATCTCCTGCATTCATTTATCTTTTGTACGGTTTTTTATGTCTGAATTTCCTTCGGTTCAGCTCTGATTTTGCTTATTGCTTGTCTTCTATCTTTGGGGTTGATTTGCTCTTGCATCGCTAGTTCTTCTAGTTGTGATGTCAGGTTATTCATTTGAGATCCTTCCAACTTTTTGATGTGGGCATTCAGTGCTATAAACTTCCCTCTCAACACTGCCTAAGCTATGTCCCAGAAATTCTACTATGTTTTATTTTTGTTCTTATTAATTTCAAAAACAATTCTTGATTTTTTTGCTTTAATTTCATTGTTTACTCAGGAGCAGGTTGCTTAATTTCTATGTAATTGTATGATTTTGAAAAATTTTCTTAGTATTGATTTCTATTCTTTTTTGCACTGTGGTATAAGGGTGTGGTCGATATGATTTTGAGTTTTTGGAATTTGCTGAGGATTGTTTTATGTTCAATTGTGTGGTCAAGTTTGGAGTATATACTGTGTGGTGAAGAGATGAATGTATACTCTGTCATTTTGGGGTAGAGAGTTCTGTACATGTTTGTTAGGTTCATTTGGTCAATGGTTTAGTTCAGGTCACAAATATATTTGTTAATTTTCTGCCTTGATGATCTGTCTAACACTTTAAGAAGGGTGTTGAAATGTCCCACTATTATTTTTGGGGAATCTAAATCTCTTTGTAGGTCTCTAAAAACTTGCTTTATAAATCTGCATGCTCTAATGTTGGGTGCATATATATTTAGGATAGTTAGGTTTCCATGTTGAACTGAACCCTCTACCATTATATCATGCCCTTCTTTATCTGTTTTTTTATTATTATACTTTAAGTTCTGGGATACTTCTGCAGAACGTGCAGGTTTGTTACATAGGTATAAACGTGCAACGGTGGTTTGCTGCACCCATCTACCTGTCATCTACATTAGGCATTTCTCCTAATGCTATCCCTCCCTTAGCCCCCCACACCCCGACAGGCCCCAGTATGTGATGTTCCCCTCCCTGTGTCCTGTGTTCTCATTTTTCAACTCCCACTTATAAGTGAGAATGTGGGTGGTGTTTTCTTTTCTGTTCCTGTGTTAGTTTGTTGACCATGATGGTTTCCAGCTTCATCCATGTCCCTGCAAAGGATATGAAATCATCTTCTTTTATAGCTGCATAGTATTCCATGGTGTATATGTGCCATATTTTCTTTATCCAGTCTATCATTGATGGGCATTTGGGTTGGTTCCAAGTCTTTGCCATTGTGAACAGTGCTGCAATAAACATATGAATGCATGTGTCTTTATAGTAGAAGGATTTATAATCTTTTGGGTATATACACAGTAATGGGATTGCTGGGTCAAATGGTATTTCTTGTTACAGATCCTTGAGGAATCACCACACTGTCTTCCACAATGATTGAATTAATTTACACTCCCACCAACAGTGTAAAAGTGTTCCGATTTCTGCACATCCTCTCCAGCATCTGTTGTTTCCTGACTTTTTAATGATCGCCATTCTAACCAGTGTGAGATGGTATCTCATTGCGGTTTTGATTTGCATTTCTCTAATGACCAGTGATGATGAGCTTTTTATTTTATGTTTGTTGGCTGCATAAATGTCTTCTTTTGAGAAGTGTCTGTTCATATCCTTTGCTCACTTTTTGATGGGGTTATTTGTTTTTTTCTTGAAATTTGTTTAAGTTCCTTTCTGGATATTAGCCCTTTGTCAGACAGATAGATTGACAAAATTTTCTCCCATTCTGTAGGTTGCCCGTTCACTGTGATGATAGTTTCTTTTGCTGTGTGGAAGCTCTTTAGTTTGATTAGATCCCATTTGCCAATTTTGGCTTTTGTTGCCATTGCTTTTGGTGTTTTAGTCCTGAAGTCTTTGCCCATGCCTGTGTCATGAATGGTATTGCCTAGGTTTTCTTCTATGGTTTTTCTTTTATGGTTTTAGGTCTTGTATTTAAGTCTTTAATCCATCTTGAGTTAATTTTTGAATACAGTGTAAGGAAGGGGTCCAGTTTCAGTTTTCTGCATATGGCTAGCCAGTTTTCCCAACACCATTTATTAAATAGGGAGTCCTTTCCCCATTGCTTGTTTTCGTCAGGTTTGTCAAAGATCAGATGGTTGTAGATGTATGGTGTTATTTCTGAGGCCTCTGTTCTGTTCCATTGGTCTGTACATCTGTTTTGGTACCAGTACCATGCTGTTTTAGTTACTGTAGCCTAGTAGTATAGTTTGAATTCAGGTAGCATGATGTCTCCAACTTTGTTGTTTTTGGTTAGGATCGTCTTGGCTATATGGGCTCTTTTTTCGTTCCATATGAAATTTAAAGTAGTTTTTTCTAATTCTGTGAAGAAAGTCAATGGTAGCCTGATGGGAATAGCATTGAATCTAAAAATTACTTTGGGCAGTGTGGCCATTTTCACAATATTGATTCTTCCTATCCATGAGCACAGAATGTTTTTCCATTTGTTTGTGTCCTCTTTTATTTCCTTGAGGAATGGTTTGTAGTTCTCCTTGAAGGGGTCCTTCACATCCCTTGTAAGTTGTATTCTCAGGTATTTTATTCTCTTTGTAGCAACTGCCAATAGGAGTTCACTCATGATTTGGCTCTCTATTATTGGTATATAGGAATGCTTGTGATTTTTGCACATTGATTTTGTATCCTGAGAATTGCTGAAGTTGCTTATTAGCTTAAGGAGATTTGGGGCTGATATGATGGGGTTTTCTAAATACACAATTATGTCATCCGCAAACAGAGACAATTTGACTTCCTCTCTTCCTATTTGAATATCCTCTATTTCTTTCCCTTGCCTGATTTCACTGGCCAGAACTTACGATACTATGTTGAATAGGAGTGGTGAGAGAGGGCACCTTGTCTTGTGCTGGTTTTCAAAGGGAAGCTTCCAGCTTTTGCCCATTCAGTATGATATTGGCTGTGGGTCCTTGTATAAGTTGCTTTCTTCTTACTACTTTCATAATTTTCTGTTATTTTTATAATTTTGTTGTATCTCCTTGGGCATATAACGTATGAAACGTTTTTGGTTTCATCTTGTTTGAGGACCACTGAGCTTCATGAATATTATCCATATTCCTCCAAATATTTGAGAAGTTTTCAGCCATTGTTTTCTTCAATACAATTTCTTCCACTTTCTCCTAACATTTTCTTTGGCAGCTATAATATTTATATTGATGCATTTGATGGTTTCTCATAGGTCCCATACGCTTTTTAAAAATTTATTATCATTCTTCTTTTCCTTTTTGTTCCTCTAGCTGGCTGATTTCAAATGACCTATCCTTGAGTTTACTAAGTTTTGCTTTTGTATCATTGAGACTTCTGTTGAAGCTCTCTATTGATCTTTCATTTCTATCATTGTACACTTCAGATCTAAGATTTATATTTGGTTGTTTTTTACAGTTTATATTAATTAAACTTCTGAATGTATTCAAGCATTTATCTGATTTCTTTAGTTGTCTGTGTTACCTTCCATCTCATTGAGCTTCTTTAGGGAGATCATTTGTATTTTGTTAGGAAATTTATAGATCTCAATTTCTTGCAGATCAGTTACTGGAGATTTATTAGTTTCCCTTGATGGTGACCTGTTTGTCTGATTCTTCATGATCCATGTAACTTTTAATTTGTGTCTGTACATTTGAAGAAGCAAACACTGCTTCCAGTCTTTACAAACTGGTTTCAGCAGGCATAGTATTTCTCTTGTTGAATCCTTGGGCTGGTGAAATTTTATCTGGAATTGCAGTTTAATGGGGTTGGAGCTAGGTCATGTGGAGGCTTCTGGCTCTGCTTTATACACTGGGTAAGTCTGTTATTATGGGACCAGGTGAGTATTGATTCTACCTGATTCCTGGGTAGATCAGACTTCCTCTAATACCTTGGTCCATAGGACTGGTGCTGCAACAAATGTCTGTTTTAGCATCTGCAGTTGGATTTGTACATGTTGTACCTGTTACCAGTTGCACTAGCAGGGTGCCTCCCATTGTGTCCCTGGGAGTACTCCTGCTGGGTAACTGAGTGGATTCCTGAATGGGAAACATTGCCCCTCTACCACAGCTGAGAGGGGCTAGAACCAAGTCACAGGGCTGCTTCAAGGTTCACAGCTTAGACCAGTATCTCCATGCCTGCCTCTGAGGATATGGATATCCAGGCTTCCTAGTGGGTTCCTGTGTGGTCAAGACTGTCCCCAGAATGCAGCTTAGAGGGACTGAAGCCAGATAAAAATTCTGCCTTAAAGTTTGTAGTCGCACCACAGACAGTAGGCCTATTATCTGAGGCATGAGTGAACATGGCACTTTCCAGTTCCCTTGGCAGATACTGCTATTAGCAAAGCCAAGGCTTAATAAGCCTGTAGCCAAGTCCACAGAGGAATGGGGCTGTATTTCCTGTACCAAAGTTGGTTATCCTGCCGCCTGAGCATGTGCCTGCCTTCTCAAAATGGTCCTCCTTAGTCTTAAGCTCTATTGGGGTTTTTGCAACGTTATACCTATATCCCCCAAATCCCATAAAGGCACTTTTGACTGTGGATGGCTGCCAAATTATTGTTACCATGGTGGGACATCAATGGGAGACTTCTATTCTACCATCTTACTAACATCATTCCCAGATAATTTTTAATCTAAGCAAGCTGATTCTAAGGTTTATAAGGTTTATATTCTAGTTTGTATGGAGAACCAGGAAAGTTCTTAAAATCAAATAGTGATTTGGAGTCTAGCTCTAACAAATGCTAAAATATTTTATAAAGTCATTTCTATCTTGTCAGCTTTCAGTAATCTTTAATTTACCATAATACCTCATAAATTACTACCATACCATTGAAGCTGCTCTTGTTAAAGTCAGCGATAATATCCAAGTCTTTAACACTAATGAATGACTCATTTTGTCTTTACATAGCTTGGCCTCTAAGCATCACTGGACACTGGTGACAATTTCTTCCGCCTTGCAAGCCTTTATGCCAGTGTTTTTCATGATCCCATTCTCTGTTTAGTTTTCTCCAGCCTCTCAGGCCTGCATTTCAGGTTCTTTAGCTGGTTTCTCTTATTTCCCAAACACCTCAAATGCTGGCATTTTTAATGCTCTGTCCTAAGCCTCTTTTCTTCTCACTGTGTGCATTATCACTAGGTTGTATGATATACTCTAAAGGTTTCAATTACTAGCTAAGATTTAAAGTGTGGGTAATAAATAAGTAGATTAAAAGAGGAAGGAGAGAGCATTCCAGAAAGAGGGAAGAGCATGTGAAGACAGCAAGGCCTGTTTGAGGATATATATTAATTAAAACAGTAGCTCTCGTTTATTGAGTACTTAGTATATACTAGGCTCAAATCTAAATGTTTTCAATCTACTAAATTTCTTATTCCTAAACCATATGAGATAGTTCTCCATTTACAGATGACTAAAATGGGGCACAAAGAAGTTACATAATTTGCCTAAATTATGCTACTAGTAAACAGGGCAACCAGGACTCCAACCTAGGTAGCAAGACTCCCAAACCTGGATTGTAATCACAATCCTATGGTTCACTGTAGCTTTAGCACTGAAGTGAGGGAACACTACTAGGAAAAGAGGCTGGATAGGTGAGGACTACAAACACCATTACAAATATTTGTGCCTGGAATCTCTTTCTCTTCTCCATGGGCCTTCCAGTCTTCTGCTACATTCGGCTAACTCCTACTCATTCTGCAGATCTAGGTTTAAATATGACTTTTTTTCCAGGAATCCCTCCTTCACCACCTCAGGCTTGATTGACTTTCTACTGCTATATATTTATAAAGCTTTTTATGCCATTTATCTTCCTAGTTAATTTCACTTATCATCTGAGACTCAATACAAACATCATCTATAGACTCTTTTCCTGACCACCTCCCCAGTAGATTACATCTTACTGCAGCAAACTTCATCCCGCTTAAACCTAGTTTTTAAGTTTCTGTTTTCCATTCAATCCTAATTTTCTTGAGGCAGGGGCATAGTATGGTTCATCCACAATGGTATCACTAGCAACTAGAACAAGACATAGAGCAGACATTCAATAAGTGCTTCTTAAATGGATTAAGATTAACTAAAATACCACTAGTAAAACTACATGGCTGCTACCATTAATGAGCACTTAATTTGTGCCAAGTACTAACTAGATTATTTTTATGCAGTATTACTAACTTCCCTAACCACCCAACGAGGTGGCCTTATGATTTCTTTTTTAAAGGAGAATAAAATGAAGCCCAGAGAAAGTAAATGATTGCCTATAATAATAATAATAGTTTACAGTCATTTAGTGCTTATTTGCCATGCCCCAAATTAAGTATAATTTTCATAATTTACCTATGACAAAGAAATTGTTATTGTAGTAGAGATGGAAGCACTGAGGCTCGGAAGTAAGACACCTGTAAAGTTACCTTTCCATCAGTGAAGGATACATAAAAAGCTAATTCATGCTGATAAGGAGTATTTATTGGCAGTTATCTAGGTCTTTTATTAATTTTCTTTTTTCCTCCTCCAATCAAGACACAATAAATTTATATAATTTGGTAAAGTATTTACAAATATGGATGTGTCTGGCAAAAGTAACAAAATAGGTCTTGCTTTATTTTCTTCAAAAGAAGAGACTTGGTAACCATTTGAGTAGGGGACCAGTTTTTAACTGGGCACCTGAAATTTGCCATTTAGCATATTGTGTATAATTCCAGGTCTCTCAACCAGTTCTTATTTATTTATCTATTTATTTAGAGACAGAGTATCACTCTGTCACTCAGGCTGGAGTGCAGTGACACAATCACAGCTTACTACAACCTCAAATTCCTGGGCTCAAACAATCCTCCCATCCTAGTGTTTGAGGAGCTGGGACTACAGGAGCACACTACCACTCCTGGCTAAGGTTTTTTATTTTTTTATTTTTTTATTTTTGGAGACAGGATCTTGCTATGTTGCCCAGGCTGATCTCCAACTACTGGTCTCAAGCAATTTTCCTCCTAGGCCTCTAAAAGCACTGGGATTATGAGTGTGACCCATTGCACCTGGCCCCAGCTCACCTTTAATGATAATATTTAGTAGGAATTATTTATTTGCCATATGTACTGTCCAGCTACATCATTTTTTTCATGAAATCTTCTCTGTAGAAAATAGTGTAGTAAAGGGACTATCACAGATTATAGAATGAGTGTGTTGCTCCTTATATACCTATCAAAAATGTTGATGAAAATATGTTATGATTAAAAAGTTTTTAATCACATCTCACATAGATGATTACCTAATTATAATCCCCAAGTCTTTGCAACTTTTCATTTAGCTTTATGCATTTTTAAAATGACAGCTGAAAGAAATCATCTGGTCAGAATACTAATAAGAAGAATATCAACTGTCTTAAATAAAATCAAAATGAACAAAGTATTTTATATTTTAGTATGTTGCTAATGAGTGACAGAAAATTTAGTGTGTTGTTAATGAGTGACAGAAAATTATGTGTTGCTGACTTATATTCAAATCTATTTTATAGGAAAATATGTTTTCTTTAAGTCAGGGATGGCAAAAATAAAGTTGCCAATTAATAAGTACCCCCAGTTAAACTGGTTATAATGAATATGTGTGTGTCAGATTTAGTGTAGAAGGGAAAATAAAGAATGATTAAGGTAGAAACAGTTCTTGCCAGGGAAAAGAGATAAACGTTATGCATTTTCTTACCTATTAAATTAGTCTGTTCTCACACTGTTAATGAAGACATACCTGAGACTGGGTAATTTATAACAGAGGGAGGTTTAATTGACTCACAGTTCTACATGGCTGGGGAGGCCTCACGATCATGGCAGAAGGCAAGGAGGAGCAAGTCATGTTTTCCACGGATGGCAGCAGGCAAAGAAAAAGCTTGTTCAGGAAAACTCCTGTTTTTTAAAACATCAGATCTCGTGAGGCTCATTCACTATCACAAGAACAGCACAGAAAAGACCCACCCACGTGATTCAATTACCTCCCACCAGGTCCCTCCTATGACACGGGAGAATTATGAGAGCTACAATTCAAGATGACATTTGGATGGGGACACAGCAAAAGCACATCATTTTACCCCCACCCCCTCCCAAATCTCATGTCCTCACATTTCAAAACCAATCATGCCTTCCCAACAATCCCCCAAAGTCTTAACTCATTTCAGCATTAACTCAGAAGTCCACAGCTAAAGTCTCATATGAGACAAGGCAAGTCCCTTTTGCCTATGAGCCTGTAAAATCAAAAGTAAGTTAGCTACTTCCTACATACAATGGGGGCACAGGCACTAGGTAAATACACTCATTCCAAATGGGAGAAATTGGCCCAAATGAAGGGGCTACAGGCCCTATGCAAGACCAAAATACAGCGAGGCAGTCAAATCTTAAAGCTCCAAAATAATCTCCTTTGACTCCATGTCTTACATTCAGGTCACACTGATGCAAGAGGTGGGTTCCCATGCCCTTGGGCAGCTCTGCCCCTGTGGCTTTGCAAGGTACAGCTCCCCTCCTGGCTGCTTTCACAGGCTGGCATCGAGTGTCTGTGACTTTTCCAGGTGCAGGGGCAAGCTGTTGGTGGGTCTACCGTTCTGGGTTCTGGAGCACAGTGGCCCTCTCCTCACAACTCCAGTAGGCAGTGTCCCAGTGGGGACTCTGTGTGGAGGCTCCAACCCCACATTTCCCTTCCACACTGCTCTAGCAGAGGTTCTCCATGAGGGCCCTGCCCCTGCAGCAAACTTCTGACTGGACATTCAAGCGTTTCCGTACATCCTTTGAAATCTAAGCAGAGGTTCCCAAACCTCAACTCTTAACTCCTGGGCACCCACAGGCCCAACACCACACGTAAGCTGCCAAGGCTTGGGGCTTGCACCCTCTGAAGCAATGGCCTGAGTTGTAAGTTGGCCCCTTTTAGTCACGGCTGGAGCTGAAACAGCTGGGATGCAGGCCACCATGTTTGGAGGCTGCATAGAGCAGGGGGGCCCTGGGCCCAGTCCAGGAATTCATTTTTCTATTCCTCCAGGCCTATGATGGGAGGGGCTGCCATGAAGGTCTCTGACATGCCCTGCAGACATTTTCTCCATTGTCTGGATAATTAACACATTTCTGCAGCAGGCTTGAATTTCTCCCCAGAAAATGAGATTTTCTTTTCTACTGCATCATCAGGCTGCACATTTTCCAAACTTTTACGCTCTGTCACCCCTTGAATTCTTTGCCACTTTAGAAATGTCTTCCACTAGATACCTCAAGTCATCCCTCTCAAGTTCAAAATTCTATAGATCTCTAGGGCAGGGGCAAAAGGCCGCCAGTCTGTTGGCATAGCAAGAGTGACCTTTACTTGAGTTCCCAACATGTTCCTCATCTCCATCTGAGACCACCTCAGCGTGGATTTTATTGTCCATATCACTATCAGCATTTTGGTCAAAGCCATTCAACACGTTTCTCAGAAGTTCCAAACTTTCCTGTTTCTTCCTGTCTTCTGAGCCCTCCAGTCTCTAGGAAGTTCCAAACTTGCCCACATGTTCTTATTTTCTTCTGAGCCCTCCAAACTGTTCCAACCTCTGCCTGTTGCCCAGTTCCAAAGTCGCTTCCACATTTTTGGGTATCTTTACAGCAGCACCCCACTCTACTGGTACAAGTTTACTGTATTAGTCTGTTCTCTCTGTTCTCATGCTGCTGATAAAGACATATCCAATACTAGGTAATTTATAAAGGATGGAGGTTTAATTGGCTCACAGTTCCACATGGCTGGGGAGGCCTCACAATCCTGGTGGAAGGTGAATGAGGAACAAAGTCACACCTTACATAGCCGCAGGCAAGAGAGCTTGTGTAGGGGAACTTCCCTTTATGAAACCATCAGATCTCATGAGACTTATTCACTACCAGGAGAACAGCATGGGAAAGACCCATCCCCATGATACAATTACCCCCTACTGGGTCCCTTCTATGACACATGGGAATAAGGGGAGCTACAGTTCAAGATGAAATTTGGGTGGGAACACAGCCAAACCACATCACCTATCATGCATTGGTGTGGATGTGAATATTAAATAGTAAATTATTTGGATCCGAAGCTCCAAATGTTGGGAAAATAATTTCCAGATATATTTAATTATCCTGATGGTTGGCAAAGGTGCACCTTGAATTATAATAAATCCTAACTGTCTGTTCACATTCACAGTATCACCAGTCATTAAGTTCAGGACGTGCAGTTGTACTTCCAAATTGTTCTGAGATAGTTAACTAATTATTCCATACCATGATCTACCAAATCCTGCTCAAATAAGAGTGCAAAAGCCAAGGGAAATGGTCTTGCCCTTAGCACAAAGCTAAAAAGCTAGGTTTTGCAAAGTTAGGTATTTGACAGTTAAGATCAGGAGGGAGGGATTCTTGCTGAAATTAAATACTTTTAACACTACTAACATTGGAAGATAATTTGCTTTCTGACTTTTTATGACAGAATGAGTTTAACAAGCAAACTGTATACATACACATATATGCCCACACAAATTATTCTCCTTACTTCTGCTAATTAACATCATTTCCCTTTTTCCTCCTAATGCCATCTCTATTATAGAAATTATTAGTAATAATTAATAGTAAAATCATTATTATGATAGATATAACATGTAGCTCAGTTTAACAAATATTTCCTGATCAATTACTAAATATCAGAAAAGGTGTTGGACATGCATACATAAATTATAGTGGAAAAGGGTCCAAAGGTTAGATTTGAAGTCCTCCGTTGCAGCTAGTACAATGAATTCCGAAGTAAAGCACTTCTGCTGCAATTCTTCAGGAAACAAATTTGCCAGCTCATACTCACTCATGGAGCCTTCATATCCTAGTTCAGAGGTTCTTAAAATATTGTCCCCAAACCAGCCATGCAAACTTTTGGTCCCCCTCTAAACTCACTAAATAGGAAACTATAACTACAGTCCATCAATCTATAGCTACTCAAGCCCTCCTAGTAAATCTAAAGCATACTTAAGTTGTTTGAGAACCACTAGCTTATTCAATAGTCTATGTCTACATCGTTATATTCCTTCTCTTTTAGATCCCATTCACAGCCAAACAGGCTCCAGTGACACTGAATCTGATCCAGTTCCAGGTCTGGCTTCCTTAAGGATGAAGGACCACAAGGGATAAGGTCAAGTGGTCCCAATCTTCTCAACTAAGACCAACCTCAAGTTGATCCACCAGCTTAATACGACCATATAATTGAGCCTAGTTTAGACCAACAGAACTGCTTGGGCAACCCGAAAAAGCATGCTATGTATAACATCGATATTTTTAAGCTTCTAAATTTAGGGGTGATTCTTTAATGCGGTGTAACTAAAACATGAAACCTGAACCCAATCTCGAAAACTATAAGAGAGCTATTGAAGAGTTAAGATAGAGAATTATA
This sequence comes from Homo sapiens, assembly GCF_000001405.40. Lineage (NCBI taxonomy): Eukaryota > Metazoa > Chordata > Mammalia > Primates > Hominidae > Homo > Homo sapiens. The sequence continues at coordinate 142,963,823 of NC_000023.11, forward strand.
CGATCAGATTTGCATTTTTAAAAATCACCTTGTTATAGTATAGAAGAAGGGTTGAAGGGGGAAAACAGGCAGAGGAGTTAGCAAATGCATGCAAGAGATATTAGACCCTGAATCAGAGCTGTAAGTCATTTACTTTACATAGAATTACATAAGACCAAGGTGTTATAATTCAATATAACTGGAAAGCTATGGTATGTGCCCATAATGTTTCATCAGGTAGGAAAATAATATGTTTAGCCCCTTTAATAAGCTGTTTGCATCTTTCGTCCAGTTAGACCTTAGGTAACTATATGGGTGCTGCTATGCTGTAACATGTTCCACCTAAGTTATACGTCTTCAAAGAAAACGTAGAAGCTATCTTATTGACAGAACTATCTCACAACCGGCAAAGTATATTGGTTGATTTTTTTTTCCAATACATTCTATAGGTTTGTGTTACTTCCTTCACATATTCAATTCAATTGTAGATTATTAAATAGGAGAATAATTGTAGATGAGCAAAAAGGCTTGCATGGAGAATATAGCAGCAGATAAATGGCCAAATGGCTGGCTTTGGAACAATGATTCATCAAACGTGATTAGTGAAATCTCGCTAAGCACTATGTAAGGTAAAGACTGGTATTATTAACAGAATGCAAGTAATGGCCTTTATGAACAGGAATACAAAACTAAGGAGAGAAAAGGCTGAGAAAAAAAGTAAGGGTCAGATAATATGCTGAGATGAAAATGGAAATGGACAATATTAGACTCTCCATGAAACTAAAATTGTGATAGCAGATTATACCACATTACAGGAAGTTAAGAATAACATTGACACCATAGAAAAGATCAAATGATCGTTATGAGCAGCTTTTTCCAAAACACACAAAAAAAGTATGGAAAATGTAAAAATTATGACTGAGAATTTGGTAATTGTTTAAAATATAAAATTACAATCCAAGCAACAAGTTATGGGGGTTCTTAAGGAGGAAAACTTAGAAGTCCTAAAATAATTAATTAATAAAAGTAAAATTGAATAATGTTGTCTAAATCTAATAAGAAGATGAATATGCAGCATTAAAGACCTTCCTTTTTCCCTGTAAATTTAATGCAAATAATTCTACACGTAGACACACTGACAAACGTTTGAATAATTGTATTCTTAAAATCCTATAAGTATCAACTAATGACTCAAAGAAAGTTACTTCAAATTGCCTTCCAATTTCCCTCAGCAACACTGACTATCAGAGAACACTGTAATAATAACATATTATAAAATTTGAGGGCAACTTGTCTCCTACTGCCACCTACAACCAAGTAGTCATTTATTTGTAAGGTGAAATCTTCAGCTTCAGGACCTTTGTATTGCTGTTTCCTATCTTCCCCAAATTGCTTCGTCATTTGTTCTTTCCATTCATAAAAATTTCTGTCCAAATCTACCCTTCTTGGAAATGTCTACTCTATTGAAAATGACCATTATTCTATGCTTCTCCAGATATTTTATAGCTGTCATCACTACTTGTAACTTGATATTTATTTTGCACCGTTCCTAATGAAATATAAATTCCATTAGATTAGTAGTTTCATAGATAATTGTGTATTTTCTTGCATTCATAATGCCTAACATAGTCAGAGACACATGATAACTACTTAATATGTAGTTGTTGAATGAATGAAAATGTATGAATCCCCTTATAATCTCTCATTTGGATCAATAACTGGTCTTCTTGCTCCTAATCCACATCATCCCCCCTCCTAATTCATTTTCTGCACAGAAGCTACGTTGAAGTTTTGAAATTATGTCATTGTATTTAAATCCCTTCGATAACGGCCCATAAAATTTTTTATAAAATCTCAACTTATTGTGGTCTAAAACTTCTTATATATTCGGTTGTTTCTTCAACCTCTTTTTATGTCATTACAAAACTTGAGTGGAGGCAGGTAAATGCAGATAATAGCTTGCTATTAATTTAACTCAGTTGTATAAGGATATGAAGCTGCTCTAAATTGATTTATAAAGTTAATATAATCCAAATTAAAAGCCAGTCAGTTTCCATTGCAAGAAGCCAGAATTATGACCTATTGTGTTAAATGTATTTAATACCACAGAAAACAATTTTTCAAAAGCACTTTCTCTTCCTGGGATAATTGTTACAACGATAGACCCCACTTCTTTTATAGCCCACGCTTGTTACTAAATCATGTTCATTAAATCAAGGGATCATTGCATGAGCCTTTCAGTATCTTCTCACTAACTTTCCAAAGCTCTGTACTTTACCTGATTATAGTTTGGCCTCCCTTTCACTCCATTTGGCAGTTACGTTTCATAGTTTATATTGAAGGCTTGTGGTCATTTCTTTGTTTCTAAAAATATAGTTTTCTTCTCTATTTTCATTTTGTTTTTCCCAGTTTGTCAAATTACTCTAAAATTTAACCAAAAGTTGATTAGTTTACCTTATAAAATTAAAAAAATGGGTATGGTTACAAACTATGAATTTTAAAAGGATAAGTTATACAGAAGAAGATAATATGAAGTGATTAAATTAAAACAATACATTGGTACTTAAAATACTAGTTATTTCAACAAAACTAAAAATCTCAGAAACTAACCACAGCATATATTCCAGTTGGTGACATAATAATGGTTGCAATGTCCAATCCATAGGAGAAAGATTAGTCAATAAATTATAATAGAACTAAACCACAACTAAATTTCAACAGGATTAGAGTTTTTATATATAAAATGAAATTATAAAATTAAAAATACATAGTTGTATATCTTTCTCCTTTAAAGATCTTAAAGAACATTGGTATATTTAAATACTTTGGAAACTTCTCCTTATATAAATGTAGATATAAAGAGCAAAACAGCTATTACAAAGATTAAAACTCATCATTTATAGAGATATATACATCTTTAAGAAAAACTCTAAAACATAAATAGAAAATGAACAAAGAATAGCAACAACCGATTCACATCAAATTAAATGCAAATGATTTATTTTTAAATACTTAAATTCAGTAGTAATCAAGAAGATGCAAATTAAATATATACATTTCCTTCTCAAAATAGAAAGCTAAATATATTACTAAAAGTACAGCTAAAATTGCACTCTCATATCATGCAAATGGTTGTTTCAGGCTGCCAAAAAATAATAAATAAATAATGCCACAGACTAGGTAGCTTAAACAATAGAAATGTATTTTCTTACACATCTGGAGACCAGAAATCTGAGATCAAGGTGCCAGCAGGGTTAGTTTTTCCTTATGCCTCTCTTCTGCCTTCTCCCTAGCTTACAAATGACCATCTTCTCCCTGTATATTCACATAGCATTTTTCTGTGTACATGCATTTCTGGTGTTTTCTCCTCTGGTGTTACCAGTGCTATGAGATTAGGGTCCCACTCTTGTAACCTGATTTCATCTTAATTATGTCCCTAAAGATGCTATCCTCAAATATAGCAACGTAAGGGGTTAAGGCTTCAATGTATAGATTTTGTGGGCACACAATTTAGTACATAACAGTAGTTTAAATTTTTCATAATTTTATAAGTAGCCATTTGCCATATATCTATAGATCACTTATTGTTTTTATAGGAATCAACAAGAAAGACATATTCAAACGTACATTCAAAGGTTTTGACAGAACGATATTTACCACGAGAAATATTTGTATTTTTCCTCAAAAGTGAAACTACCTAAATAGGCGACGATAGGAGGACAAGTTAAATTAATGATACCTGTAATCGTGTTTCAAAGTATATTTAATAATGTAAAGTATGCACTCAGTGCAAAGTTCAGTACACAAAACATTACAGTTCATCCTATATGCAATATTAATGCCAATGGGAAATATATATATATCTAACATGTATATAACTTCATTTCAGCATAGTATCCTCTAAAATCCTATAGATGTATAATTGTATATTACGTATTACACATATTTATACATATAAATATCAGAAAGCACTACACTAAAATTAAGAAATTTTTATTTTTGAGTAGAAAATCTTTTTTCTGTATTATTCTTTAACAATTTTTAGTTTGTGGACTATTTTCTATACAGACAACACATAACTCATAAAATCAAAAAAGAGATATTTCATACGTTCTTGGCAATCACTCAGCTCTTTTCTTACTTATCCTGACCTGCGGTCTCAAGAATGTTTCAATGGAAACCTCAGGCATCCATATCGAAGGCTGCCAAGGCTTCTGATAATTCCTTTTAAAAATTCATTTAATAGAGTCTTTCTTGATATTTCAGTTATTTCATTTTTTATTCTAGTCATTTAAATATCCTCCCAAATAAATACTTAGATTTAACAAACATTCAATTTTATATCTATAAGTCTTCAAAACTTTTTCTAATAGTAATTATTTTAATAATACTGTCAAAAAGTGATCCTTCCATGTGAGAACTGGAGACATTCTAATACTCAGCATCCTGTGTCCTACTGGAGGATAGAGAAATATGTAATACATATTCTCAAGAAAAAATTTGGTAAACAGCCACACTCACAAATACCTATAATGGATCACTGAAATAAGAATTGCCATTGAACTCCAGAATTGGATATTTTTAGACATTTTTCTAAATACAGAAATTGTTGCCATAGTAACTTGTAACAGCTGTGAATAATCTGGCCCTAATCTGAAGCACTAAGCAGCATTACAAAGGCTCGGTTCAACTACTTTTTTGTCTTGAAACATTTGGGTTATATATTGAGAGATAAACACCCTGAGCCCTGTATACTAAAAGTTCGATAGCATCAAAACCTGTAAAATGCTTAGGAATAAGCTTAGCTATGGAGATGAAAGACTTGTATACCGGCAACTATAAAACACTCAAGGAAAACATTAAAGCCAACGCAGATAAATGAAAAGACATCCCGTGTTCATGGATCTGAGCAATTAATATTGTTAAAATGTTCATAACCAAAGCAATCTGCATATTCAATGAAATCCTTGTCAAAATCTGAATAACATAGCTACAGTAGCCTTCTAAGAGATAATTAATATAAAAATATGTAAACAGAGACAAGTAAAAACATGGGGGAGACAGAGTTAAGGTGTATAATTTTATTGTTTTTTGCCTTTGTTTCTATTATTTTATTTGTGATATAAGTTTTTATCTCTTTAAAATAATGACATTTGTAGAATATTTCACCCAACTACTACAGAATACATAGTATTTTCATCAGCACATGAAACTTTCTTCGGAATAGATAAGATCTTAGGCCATGAAACAAGTCTAAACAAATTCAAAAAAGTAAAAATCTTATCAAGTATCTTCTCTGGTCACAGTGAAATAAAACTAGAAATCAATAACAAGAGGAACCTCACAAAACACATAAACACATGGAAATTAAACAACAGGCTCCTGAAAGAACAATAGGTCAATGAAGAAATTAAGAAAGAAATTTAAAAATGTCTTGAAACAAACAAAAATGGAAACATAACCTACCAAAATCTGTGTATATTGCAAAAGGAGATAAACATCTATATCAAAAATGTAGAAAGACTTCAAATAAATAACCTAGTGATGTACCTGAAGAAACCAAAAAAGCAAAAACAAACCAATTCCCAAATTATTAGAAGAAAATAAATAATAAAGACTAGAGCACAAATAAGTGAAAAGAGACTAAAAACAAATACAGAAGATAAACAAAACAAAAAACTGGTTTTTGAAAAGATAAATAAAACTGACAAAGCTTTTGCTAGACTAAGAATAATAGAAGACCCAAATAAATAAAATCAGAAATGAAAAAGGAGACCTAGCAATTGAGACCTCAAAAATACAAAGAATCATTGAAGACTATTATAAACAACAATATACCAGCAAATTGGAAAACCTAGAAGAAATTAATAAATTCCTGGACAAATAAAACCCGGTAAGATAGAACCATGAAGACATAGAATACCTCAACAAACCAATAGGGAGTAATGAGATTGAAGCAGTAATAAAAGATCTACCATCAATAAAAGCCCAGGACCTGATGGATTCACTGCTGAATTGTACCAACCATTTATAGAAGAATTAATACCAATCCTACTGAAACTCTTAAAAAAATTGAAGAGGAGAGAATATTGCCAAAGTCATCCTATGAGCCCAGCATTTCCCTTACACCAAAACCGGACAAGGACACAACAAAAAAAGAAAAGTGCAGGCCAATATCCCTGATGAATATCGATGCAAAAATCCTCAAGAAAATACCAGTAAACCAAATTCAATAGCATGTTAGAAGGATGATACAACATGATTATCCTTCTAATGTGCTCATGTGCTATGATCAAGTGGGATTTATCTCTGGGATGCAAGAGTGTTTCAACACATGCAGATCAATAAATGTGATACATCACATTAACAAAATCAAGAACAAAAACCATATGATTATTTTAATAAATGCTAAAAAAATTGATAACATTTAACATCACTTTACGATAAAAACTCTCATCAAAATGGGTATAGAATAAACATACCTCAAAATAATAAAGGTCATATATAAAAAACCCACAGCTGATGTCATATTAAATAGGAAAAAAATGAAGGCCTTTCTCTGAAGACTGCAATATGATAAGGTTTCCCACTTTTACCACTTTTATTTCACATAATATTGATAGCCCTGGCCAAAGCAATTGGGCAAGAGAAAGATATAAATGACTTTCATTTTGGAAAGGAAGAAGTCAAATTAGCCTTATTTGCAGACAACATGACTTGAGACTTAAAAAAACCTAAAGACGCAATCAAAAAATGTTATAACTTAAATGAAATTAGTAAAGTTGCAGGATACAAAATAAACATGCACAAATCAGTAGTGTTTATATGAGACAACAGCAAACAATCTGAAAAAGAAATCAAACAAACCATTCCATTTATAATAGTTACAAAAGTGTAAGACACCTAGGAATCAATCAAACCAAGTAACTGAAAGGTCTATACAAGAAAAACTATAGAATTCTGATGTAAGAAATTGAAGAGAACACAAAAAATGGGAAAATATTTCATGATCATGGATTGGATGAATTAATATTGTTAAGATGACAGTACTACTCAAAGCAATTTATGGACCCAATGAAAGCCCTATCAAAATACCAATGACATTCCTCACAGAAATAAAAACATTCTAAGATTTATATGGAACCACAAAAGACCCTGAATTCCCCAAGCAAACCTCAGCAGAAAGATCAAAGCTGAAGACATCACATTCCCTGACTTCAAAATTTACTACAAAGCTATAGAAAACAAAACAGTATTGGTGTGTCTGGAATTGGTGGGTTCTTGGTCTCACTGACTTCAAGAATGAAGCTATGGACCCTCGCAGTGACTTACAGCTCTTAGGGTGGCGCGTCTGGAGTTTGTTCCTTCTTATGTTCAGATGTGTTCGGAGTTTCTTCCTTCTGGTGGGTTCATGGTCTCGCTGGCTCAGGAGTGAAGCCGCAGACCTTCGTGGTGAGTGTTACAGCTCATAAAAGCAGTGTGGACCCAAAAAGTGAGCAGCAGCAAGATTTATTGCAAAGAGCGAAAGAACAAAGCTTCCACAGCGTGGAAGGGGACCCGAGCCGGTTGCCAATGCTGGCTCGGGCAGCCTGCTTTTATTCTCTTATCTGGCCCCACCCACATCCTGCTGATTGGTAGAGCCGAGTGGCCTGTTTTGTCAGGGCACTGATTGGTGCGTTTACAATCCCTGAGCTAGATACAAAGGTTCTCCACGTCCACTCAGATTAGTTAGATACAGAGTGTCGACACACAGGTTCTCCAAGGCCCCACCAGGGCAGCTAGATACAGAGTGTCGATTGGTGCACTTACAAACCTTGAGCTAAACACAGGGTGCTGATTGGTGTATTTACAATCCCTGAGCTAGACATAAAGGTTCTCCAAGGCCCCACCAGAGCAGCTAGATACAGAGTGTCGAATGGTGCACTCACAAACCCTGAGCTAAACACAGGGTGCTGATTGGTGTATTTACAATCCCTGAGCTAGACATAAAGGTTCTCCAAGGCCCCACCAGAGCAGCTAGATACAGAGTGTCGATTGGTGCACTCACAAACCCTGAGCTAAACACAGGGTGCTGATTGGTGTATTTACAATCCCTGAGCTAGACATAAAGGTTCTCCAAGGCCCCACCAGAGCAGCTAGATACAGAGTGTCGACTGGTGCACTCACAAACCTTGAGCTAAGCACAGGGTGCTGATTGGTGTATTTACAATCCCTGAGCTAGACATAAAGACTCTCCACGTCCCCACCAGACTCAGGAGCCCAGCTGGCTTCACCTAGTGGATCCTGCACCGGGACTGCAGGTAGAGCTGCCTGCCAGTCCTGCGCCGTGCACTCGCATTCCTCAGCCCTTGGGTGGTCGATGGGACTGGGCGCCGTGGAGCAGCGGGTGGTGGTCGTTGGGGAGGCTCGGGCCGCACAGGAGCCCATGGAGTGGGTGGGAGGCTCAGGCATGGTGGGCTGCAGGTCCCGAGCCCTGCCCTGCAGGAAGGCAGCTAAGGCTCGGTGCGAAATCGAGCGCAGCGCCGGTGGGCTGGCACTGCTGGGGGACCCAGTACACCCTCTGCAGCCACTGGCCCGGGTGCTAAGTCCCTCATTGCCCGGGGCCAGCAGGGCTGGCCAGCTGCTCCGAGTGTGGGGCCCACCAAGCCCACGCCCACCCGTAACTCCAGCTGGCCCCCAAGTGCTGCACACAGCCCCGGTTCCTGCTCGTGCCTCTCCCTCCACACCTCCCTGCAAGCTGAGGGAGTGGGCTCTGGCCTTGGCCAGCCCAGAAAGGGGCTCCCACAGTGCAGCGGCGGGCCGAAGGGCTCCTCAAGTGCTGCCAAAGTGGGAGCCCAGGCAGAGGAGGCATCGAAAGCGAGCGAGGGCTGTGAGGACTGCCAGCACACTGTCACCTCTCATTGGTACTGGCATAAATACAGACATATAGACCAGGGCAAAAGAATACAGAACCCAGATATAAATGTATGCACTTACAGCCAATTCATCTTTAGCAAAGGCACCAGAACATACAATGGGGAAAGGACAGTCTTTTCAACAAACACTGCTGGAAAAACCAGATAACTATATGCAGAAGAATAAAGTTAGACTCCTATTTCTCACATATACAAAAATAAAATAAAATAAAATAAAATAGATTAAAGACTTAAATGTAAGATCTATAACTAAGAAACCTCTAGAAGAAAACACTGGCAAAACACTCCAGGACATTGGTCTGGGTAATGATTTCTTGGGTAAGATCTCAAATGCACAAGCAAACAAAGCAAAAATAGACAAATGGAATTACATTAGTTTAAACTGCTTCTTCACAGCAAAGGAAGCAATCAATAAATTGAAGAGTCAACCCAAAGAATGAAAGAAAGGAATGCAAACTATGCATTTGAAAAGGGGTTAATATCTTGAATATGTAATGAGTACAAACAACTCTATAAGGAAAAACTTAATGATCCAATTAAAACATGGCGGCAAAATATCTGAGCAGATATTTCTTAAAAAAAAAGACATACAGATGGCCAACAATTATATGAAAAAATGCTCAGCATTTGTAGTTATCAGAGAAATGCAAATTAAAAACAAAGAAATATTATCTCACCTCATTTAAAATGGCTTGTGTCAAAAACACAGGCAATAATGAATGCTGGGGAGGATGTGGGGAAAAGTGAACCCTCCTACACTGTTGATGGGAATGTAAATTAATACAGCCACTATGGAGAACAGTAGGGAGGATCCTCAACATACTACAAATAGAACTAACATATGACTCAGTAATTCTACTACTGGTATATAGCGAAAAGACAGAAAATAAATATATAGAAAAGACATATGCAAATCAATAAACATAATCCATCACATAAACAGAACCAATGACAAAAACCACATGATTATCTCAATAGATGCAGAAAAGGCCTTCGATAAAATTCAACACCCCTTCATGCTAAAAACTCTCAATAAACTAGGTATTGATGAAACGTATCTCAAAATAATAAAAGCTATTTATGACAAACCCTCAGGCAATATCACACTCAGTGGGCAAAAGCTGGAAGCGTTCCCTTTGAATACCGGCACAAGACAAGGATGCCCTCTCTCACCACTCCTATTCAACATAGTATTGGAAGTAATGGCCAGGGCAATCAGGAAAGAGAAAGAAATAAAGGGTATTCAAATAGGAAGATAGGAAGCCAAATTTTCTCTGTTTGCAGATGACATAATTGTATATTTAGAAAACCCCATCGTCTCAGCCCCAAATCCCCTTAAGCTGATAAGCAACTTCAGCAAAATCTCAGGATACAAAATCAATGTGCAAAAATCACAAGCATTCCTATACACCAATAATAGACAGAGAGCCAAATCATGAGTGAACTCCCATTCACAATTATTACAAAGAGAATAAGATACTTAGGAATACAACTTACAAGGGATGTGAAGGACCTCTTCAAGGAGAACTACAAACCACTGCTCAAGGAAATAAGAGGACACAAACAAATGGAAAAACATTTCATGCTCATGGATAGGAAGAATCAATATCGTGAAAATGACCATACTGCCCAAAGTAATTTATAGATTCAATGCTATCTCCAACAAGCTACCATTGACTTTCTTCACAGAATTAGAAAAAACGACTTTAAATTTCATATGGAAGCAAAAAAGAGCCTGTATAGCCAAGACCATCCTAAGCAAAAAGAACAAAGCTGGAGGCATCATGTTACCTGAATTCAAACTATACTACAAGGCTACAGTAACCAAAACAGCATGGTACTGGTACCAAAACAGATATATAAACCAATGGAACAGAACAGAGGCCTCAGAAATAACATCACACATCTACAACTGTCTGATCTTTGACAAACCTGACAAAAACAAGCAATGGGGAAAGGATTCCCTATTTAATAAATGGTGTTGGGAAAACTGGCTAGCCATATGCAGAAAACTGAAAGTGGACCCCTTCCTTATGCCTTATACAAAAATTAACTCAAGATGGATTAAAGACTTAAATATAAGACCTAAAACCATAAAAACCCTAGAAGAAAACCTAGGCAATACCATTCAGGACATAGGCATGGGCAAAGACCTCAGGACTAAAACACCAAAAGCCATGGCAACAAAAGCCAAAATTGACAAATGGGATCTAATTAAACTAAAGAGCTTCTGCACAGCAAAAGAAACTATTTTCACACTGAACAGGCAACCTACAGAATGGGAGAACATGTTTGCAATCTATCCATCTGACAAATGGCTAATATCCAGAATCTACAAAGAATTTAAACAATTTTACAATAAAAAAAAACCCCATCAAAAAGTGGGTGAAGGATATGAACAGACAATTCTCAAAAGAAGACATTTCTGTGGCCAACAAACATATGAAAAACACCTCATCATCACTGGCCATTAGAGAAATACAAGTCAAAACCACAATGAGACACCATCTCATGCCAGTTAGAATGGCGATCATTAAAAAGTCAGGAAACAACAGATGCTGGAGAGAATGTGGAGAAATAGGAATGCTTTTACACTGCTGGTGGAAGTGTAAATTAGTTCAACCATTGTGGAAGACAGTGTGGTGATTCCTCAAGGATCTAGAATCAGAAATACCATTTGACCCAGCAATCCCATTACTGGGTATATACCCAAAGGATTATAAATCATTTTACTATAAAGACACATGCACAATTACATTTATTGCAGCACTGTTCACAATAGCAAAGACTTGGAACCAACCCAAATGCCCATCAGTGGTATACTGGATAAAGAAAATGTGGCACATATACACCAGGAAATACTATGCAGCCATAAAAAAGGATGAGTTCGTGTCCTTTGTAGGGAAATGGATGAAGCTGGAAACCATCATTCTCAGCAAACTAACACAGGAAGAGAAAACCAAACACTGCATGTTCTCACTCATAAGTGGGAGTTGAACAATGAGAACACATGGACACAGGGAGGGGAACTTCACACACTAGGGCCTGTTGCAGAGTGGGGGGCTAGGGGAGGGATGGCATTTGGAGAAATTCCTAATGTAGTTGACGCGTTGATGAGTGCAGCAAACCACCATGGCACGTGTATACCTATGTAACAAACCTGCACGTTCTGCACATGTATCCCAGAACTTACATCATAAGAAATAATTTTTTAAAAATATATCTGCACTTCCATGTTTATTGCAGCACTATTTATTTAGCACAATAGGTAAAATGTGAATCTACCTAAGTACCCATCAACGGATGAATGGATAAAGGAAATATGACATATTTATACAATGAATATTATTAAGCCATAAAAGTAATGAAATCCAGTCCTTTGCAGCGACATGAATGAAAGTGGAGGCTGTCATGTTAAGTGAAATTAGTCAAGCACAGAAAGACGAATATTACATGTTCTCACTCATATGTAGAAACTAAAAAAGTGGATCTTCTGAAGTTAGAGAGTAGAATGTTGACTACCAGATCCTGGGAAGAAGAGGAGGTTGAGATGAATGGAAAAGAAACACAAACATAGTTATTATCACTGAACTGTCCACTTAAAAATGGTAAATAGGGCACATTTTCTATCTTGCCTCAATAAAAAATTAAAAATAAAAAACCAAAGATAACAAGTGTTGGCAGGAGTGTGAAGAAAAGGAAACCCTTGTGTACTGTTGGAATGTAAATTGTTGCAGCCACACTGGAAAACAGTATGCAGGTTCCTCAAAAAACTTAAAAGTAGAACTACCACAAGATCCAGCAAATCCACTTCAGAGTGTACATCCAAAGGAACTGAAATCAGTATATTGAAGACATATCTGCACTTCCATATTTATTGAAGCATTATTCAGAGTAGCTAAGATATGAAAACAACTCAAGTGTCCATGAACAAACAGATGGAAAAAGAAAATATGGTATATACATATAGTGGTATGATATTTACTCTTAACAAAATAGGGAAATCCTTTCATTTGTGACAACATGGATGAAACTGTAGGACATTAAGCTAAGTGAAATAAGCCAGACGCCAAAGGACAAATACTACGTGATATCAGTTAAATTAGAAATCTAAAATAGTCACATTCATAGAAGCAGAGTATAGAGTAGCGGTTATCAGGCCTAGGAGGTTAAGGATAGAGGTGGGTATTGGTCAAGAGGTACATAGTTTCGGTTATACAAAATGAACAAGTCTTAGAGATCTACTGTTCAGCACAGTAGCTATAGTTAACAATAGTGTATTGTATACTTTCAAATTTGCTAAAAGGGTACATCTTAAGTGTTCTTATCCCAAAAATAATAACAATAATGATAATAATAATAAAACGGGAAGGAGGAATCTTTTGGAGGTGAGTAGGTTGATTACATTGTTTGTGGTAATGATTGCATGGGTATGTACTTTATTTCTAAACTCATCGAGTTTTATCCATTAAATATGTACAATTTTTGTATAAATTACACCTCAATAAAACAATTTCTAAAAATATGCACATCATCATTATTTGTGGTTTTGTGTCTTAGAAAGTATCTACTTTTTTTCTTCCCTGGGAAACACGGCCTTCTCAGAAACCACGTACTTCTTTGATGCTCTGTCCCCCAGGGAATTCTCAAGTTCACTGTCAGTTTCTGGACCTCAGCAAAGAGAACATCTACATTTTACATGATATACAGCACTCACCTTTGTTTAGGACATAACTGGTATTGTTTCTGGTTGCAAAATACGTGAATTTGGTCATTTCTTTTCAGATGGTTGAAAGTTATAGTAGGAATATTCACCCAAGACCAGCAATAAGCCTGGCCCCAACACATGCCTGCTCTGCCTGGCTCTAAAGTATCTCTTTGGGGCAGTCTAATAGTCACCAGAGTAGCTGTCACTGCAGCTTAACCACATGACCTCTCCTTCTACCTCCTTTCTGAAGAATGAAAGAGAAGAAACATACCTTGAAAGTTGTAGATGTCCTAGCATCAACACCAGCTTGCACAAACATGCGTGAAGTTCTTATTGACAGCTGTGTGCTGTAAGGGTGGTTGCCATTGTACAAAATAAGGAAGCTGAGATACAGGAAGTGAAAACACATAACATATTATTTGCCTTAGTTCTCATTTGGAAAGTAGTAGAATCGGGTGTGTAACTAAGTCTCAGAGCCTCCAAAGCCTGTACCCTTTCAGATGTACCTTACTAATCAGAAATTTAGGTGAGGTATTGGAGAGGGAGTATAGAAGAGAGTTCGCAAATCAAAATCCAGGAGAGAAAGAGGGCTGAAAAGGCAGCAGTATATATAGCTTCCTGTCTCCACTTCAGAATCTTCTTGTGAATTTGTCAATGAATTTGTGTTAACTTTCATGGCTTCATCTTCTACATCCAAACTACAGTATTTATTTTCTTGTGTAAATTACTTCAAAAACTTAGACGAATACTGCAAATGATTAGCCTTTACAGCTTCTTTTTTGAATTTCAAAGGATTCTACAACCCTTAATTACTCACCTACATCTGTAAGGCCAGGCAAGAATTATCACCTTAATTGAACCAAAGGAAACCCAGAGGTCAAGCAGTTCCCTGCTGCCCCCACAGCAAGAAAGTGACGGAGTGAATCAAGAATCGGAAAGCATACTTCCTAATTTCAATTCTATATATAGACATTGACTTTTTAAAGTTTTCTAGCAAAAGAAGGGCAGTGCTGCTAATTATAATGAGCTGAATTACTCTGCTTGTCACTCAGACAAAAATGTGTTTATTAAAGATAGGCAAGACAGTGAGAGAAGAACAGAGAGACAACGAGATAACAAAGAGACAGTGCAGGGAGACAGCTTGTCAGTATAAGGAATGAGCTGTCACTTTCCTTGTTGGAAGCAACAGGGAGCTTTATGAAGAAGAAGGGAAAGCTTAAGCTAAATGGGGGAAAACACAGTCCAGGTGACAAGCAAGGAGGTCAGCAGTCCAGAATAATTTCATACCACACGTGCTGCTCTTCAGCAGGGTTAAGCATAAAATGAGATTACTATGCAAAAAAGGCACAGATTTGAAATACCAGATCTTTAACTCAAATATCTTTTTGTTCAATACTCCTGGAGTGTTCCTTGAGTCTCTCCGGGAATTTTAAATTAAAAAAAAAAGTGACAAAGAAAAATTATTTGAAAAGTAGAATAAGAAGATTCTGAGAGTCCATAAATTAAGGAACGCATTTGGTCAAAATTATATAATCCTGAGTTAGCAAACATGTAGAAAAATTGTAATCCTCTTCACTTTAAGAACTCATTTCAGTGTGGTTGCATGTACTCCTCATTCTTTAAAGCAATTATTTCACATTCAGAAGCCACTTAGTGGCCAAGTGGCATATAATATGCAATAATTTCATAGTTTCCTGAAACGTAAGTTTGAAATATTGAATAAATTGTTTTTGTTGTTTCCAAATGAACCACATCCCCTGAGTAATCACCTTCATTCTCATATGAAACAATAAACAAAAGGACAAATACTACATGATGCCACTTATATGAGGAATCTAAAATAGTCAAATTAATAGAAGTGGAGAGTGGAATGATGGTTGTCTGGGCCTGGGATACATAGTATGAAATACAACATCACTATTAAATGAATGTAGTAGTAAATCTATATGTAATGTCTTAGAAAAAGATATATATATAGATATAGATATATATATATAGATATATATATATTTTTTTTGAGACACAGTCTCACTCTGTCGCCCAGGCTGGAGTGCAGTGGCGTGATCTCGGCTCACTGCAAGCTCCGCCTCCTGGGTTCAAGCAATGCTCCTGCCTCAGCCTCCCAAGTAGCTGGGATTACAGGCACCCACCACCACGCCCGGCTAATTTCTGTGTGTGTGTGTATTTTCAGTAGAGACGGGGTTTCACCGTGTTAGCCAGGATGGTCTCAATCTCCTGACTTCGTGATCCACCCGCCTCTGCCTCCCAAAGTACTGGGATTACAGGCATGAGCCACTGCGCCCGGCCTAAAATATATTTTAAGTGAAAAAGAGTAAATTGCAAAGAATGTGCTCAGTGTGAGCCCATTTTTTTGGTTGTTTGAAGAATGCATAGTCATGGGTAGAACATGTTGGGCAGTATATTTGCATAATTCAAATGGCCACCAAACAGAGTGACCATCCTGCTGCCCTTCCCTTGTAAGTTTATTTTGTTACACTCCAAGCCATCTTTTTGACCTTTCCTCTCCTCAAATAACACATCCCTGAGCTAATGACCTGACTTCATATTTTATTGAGAAAATAGAAGGCCACAGATGAGACCTATCTTATCACCCCACCAGCAAACCTACAGGCTACCTCTCTGTTTTCTGTGCCCATTTTGTCTGCCTTCCCTCTTGTCAGCTACAATGGAGGGAGTATCCCTGTTTTTATCAATGTCCAACCTCAACATTTGTGTACTGGAGTCCCTCTACGCTTGATTTCTCAAATATCTGATTTCTATTCTCAGTAATATTCTCTCTCTCTCTCCTCCCACTCCTTTCTTTTAAGATGCCTTATTTATTTTTGTACTTACGTTGATCATTACCAACAGAAATACAGCATAAGTATGTTATATGTCTTGCTTTTTGATTAATAGCAACAGCAAAAACATTCTTTTGAGCTCACAACACTTGCCAGGGTTTGCCCCATTTCTCTGTTTCACGTAATGAAAGTAAAACTTTTTGAGAGTTGTCTGTAATCTCTTGCCTCTGCTCGTTAAACTCACATTCTTTCTTTACCTCTATCTGTGGTTTTATATTTCCTCTTCTTCTCCACTAATTGTACTTTTGTCATGTCATCAATGACCTCTATATTGGCAAATTTTATAATCATTTCACTGTTCTTAGCATATTTACTTTCTCAACAATATTTGACAGTTAATCTTCCTTTCCCTTTTATTTATTTTTATTTTTTATTTTTATTTTTATTTTTAGGTGGAGTCTCACTCTGTCGCCCAGGCTGGAGTATAGTGGTGTGATCTCGGCTCACTGCAACCTCCACCTCCTGGGTTCAAGCAATCCTCCTGCCTCAGCCTCTCAAGTAGCTGAGATTACAGGCATGCCACCACAGCCAGCTGATTTTTTTTTTTTTTTTGTATTTTTCTAGAGACAGGGTTTCACCATGTTGTCCAGGCTATGGACCATGTCAGGAAACATGTTGTCCATGTTTCCTGACCTCAAATGATCCGCCCGCCTAGGCCTCCCAAAGTGATGGGATTACAGGCGTGAGCCACCGCGCCCATCCACTTTCCCTTTAAAGATATATATAATTTCTTAATTTTTTTTTTTTTACTTCTTATATATCACAACGGTCTGGGTTCCCTTTTACCTAACTGGCTACTTCTTGGTTTCTTGGCTGGTTCCTCCTTGTCGTCCTGAATTCTAAATGTTGGAGTTCTCTGGGGCTCTGTTCTGAGCCTTCAGTCTCTATCTGAATCCTCTGTAGAGATTACCTCATCCAATCCCAAAATGTTAAATGATGGCTATCAGCCAGTGATTTCTCAAACTTTATCTTCAAATACTCTTTATAAGCCAAATAGTTTTCCAATGCCTGATTTTCTCCACTGGAAGTCCAGGCACAAATATCCAACTGCTTCCCTGACATTTCCAAATAGTTCTCTAACATGTATTGTAAATATTAAATGATCAAAAGAGAACTTGATTTCCCCCAGAATCTGCTTTTCTTCTAGTCTTCTCTATTTCATCGAAGTATACTACTACACTCCCAGATGCTTTTGTTCCAAATAAAAAGTTTTCATTGATTCTCTTAATTCCCTTAACAGCCCCACCCACCTGTATTAAATGCACCTTAAAGTTATGTTACCTATGCCTATAAAACATCTTTAGAATCATTTGAATTCAAATTATTCCAACTTGCCATCACTGTGGACCAATTTCCATTTTTTCTGGCCTGGACTACTGCAATACACTGATTCATAAATGAAGTGTATGGTTCCAGGCCAAAATCCTATGTGTGACTTTTCAGGCATGACCATAAGTAATTATCAAGGCTTTACCTGACAAACCTTACAGGGGAAGCTACTCTCCCATACCAGATTTAGTGCACAGCTGACACCTTGCAGTTACTAACCGAAGTTACAGTCACAGACTCATATGTCACACCCCACCTTTCTCCAGCTTGTTGTGCTCTTTGGTATATCTGCGTCCTTAGCTCAGGCACCTTCATTAAGGGGTTTCTTTACTTGGGGTTTTGGTAGAAGCCTTCCTCAGGTGCCTCTGCATCTGAGGATAAGGAACAGAAAATCTTGAAGACATTTTTTTCTCCACTCTGACTCAGTACTTTTCCAGTCCCAATGCTTCACCCTCCCCATTCTTCCTGTCCCCTCGTCTCTGAGTCCATAGAAATGCAGGAGCCTTTTCAGATAGCTAGCTAGATAGATAGATAGATACATAGATAGATAGACACATAGAGAAATAGATAGATAATATATATTTATCCATGAACAAAGAGAGACAGAGAGAGATCTCTTCTGTCCCCACATTGAGATGACCACTATGACTGTGCTGATTTACATGAACTTTGACCCAGCCTGCCATTACCTGGGAGAAAGTAGAACAGGGAAAAGTGAGGGCTTTCTCTGGTTTAGTCTCTTGCTTATATTATACCAGAAAGTAATTAAACCTGGACAATGACTGTGATTTTGTCTTGTTGTTTTAATCAACTACTTGGACACCTAACAATGCATCTCTCTCTAATTCAGTTGCGCTCCTAACAGTAAATTTACATGGAAAGACAAGGGAAGTAAACTAGTCAAAATACTTTTAAAGTGAAGACTATCATTGAAGGATGCACACTGTCCTGTTGTAAGATTTACTATAAAACTATAGTAACCAAAACAGTGTAATCTTGGTTAAGGGAAAGACACAGTGATCAAAAGAGCAGAATTATGCGTTCAGAATAGATCCACAGAAATAGGCCAATTGATTTTCTACAAAGGTACAAAAACGTTTCAGTGGAGAAAGGATGCTTTCAGATAAATAGTGTTAGGGAAATTAGACATCCCTATGCAAATAATGAACCTCACATTGTATCTAAAAATTAACTGATAGACCTAAATATAGAATGTAATACTATGAAACCTTTATTTAGAAGCAGAAATGAGAAAATCATGACTGTGGTTAGGCAAAGATTTCTTACACATGACAACACAAGCACAATCCTTAAAAGAAAAAAAAATACTAAATTGGACTTTATCAAAATTAGAGACTTTTGCTCTGAGAAGAACACTGTTAAGAGAATGAAAAGGCAAGCTACAGAAAACGTATCACATACATGACAAAGAACTTGCATCTAGAATATATAAAGACACTAAACTCAGGAATAAGAAACAAATAAAAAGTGGACAAAATTCTTGAAGCAACAATTCACAAAGGAGAAAATACGGCTGGCATATAAGCACATGAGCATATGGGCAACATCATTGTTCATTAGGAAAATGCAAATTAAAACCATGATGAGATAGCTGTATATCTATATTAGAATGCCAAAAAAAAAAAAAAAATTGTGACAATACCTAATACTAGAGAGGGTATAGAAAGCCTGGACTTTTAATTCATTGTCATAAAATGCAAAATGGTACAGACATTCAGAAAAACAGTTTGGCACCACATATAAAGTAGTACATGCACTTCCCATATAAGCCACAAATTCCACTGCAAGATATTTATTTTAAAGAAACAAAAATATATGGTCACACAAATTATTGCACACACATATTTATGGAAGGTTTATCATCTCCCAAAACTGCAAATAACACAAATAGCCTTCAGTGAGTGAAGGGATAAACAAATTAAAGTGTAACCATGCAATGGAATACTACATAGGCAGCAAAAAAATGAACAAAAAGCCCCACAGAAACTATTGATATGCACGTACACAAGGCACACAAGAATTTGGATAAATATCAAAGAAGTCATGCTGAGTAAATGAAGCCAATCTCAGAAGGACATATATATATAATTTTAACTTTATAAAATTCTTGCATAGACAAAAGCTATAGCTGTGAAGAGCCGATTAATACTTGTCAAGGGTTAGAGGTCAGAGGAGGGTATAATTTCAGAGGGTTAGCCCCAGGGAGTTTTGGAGTTGAGGTAACTATTCAGTTTTCTGATTGCGGTGGTGGTTATAAAGGTTTATATATATGTTAAAATTCATAGAACTGTATATGGAAACATCTTTTAATATATATTAATATTAAAAATAAAATGTTAAATGTGAGTTATTCATTTGCCTTATTCAACCAACGCCATGTACACATAAACACTAATCATTACGGGACCGAATCATTTTTCATAAATTCATCTAAAATTAGTCAAGCTCACGTAAGGTTTATTCAGGTAAATGTCACTTTTATGTACTCTGATGGATTTTTACAAATAAAATTAACTAAACTTTGTTTTGAAACTATCTGAGCCATTTCGACAAGCAACTAATGCAGCTCAAGAAGTTATTGGTTAAGGAGGATTAGTTATAGGATATCCTCTAAGACTGTTGCATAGATATGTCACCTTGTTTTGGCTAAACATGTTCTTATCAGTACTTCTGCTTCTTTCATCCTGCCATGAGCCCACACAAGGACTTGAGTGAACATGTGTTTCTTTATAAAGCTGAAGTGAACAAACCTTATGACTTTTTTCTCTCCTATACCACCAAGATGGGCGTGTTCTCAGCTAAGGCTGACATTTAATAACTGCACTATTTCTTAACTTTACATTGAATTCACATGCATAATAAGTAGTTTAATGCTAATAATTAATTAAATGAACATTTCCCAGGAAGCTACGAGCTGCCAGTTACTGTGTTAGGTGATGTTAATACAAAGTTGAATAAGACATGATTTCTGACCATAAGGGTATCATAATCTAATAGAGGACATGAAAAATGGTGATGTGAACAGAAACCACCAATGAGTAAGCTATTCTTGGGGCATAATTTTGTCATTAGGGGAAGAAATATTACCTTCTTTGAATTTAAAAGGTCACTGGTGAGTGAACCTATTAAATGCTTCTTAATGCAGTGTATGTCAAGTTCAAATAAGTTTTCCACATGCTAGATTTCATCAGGTTCGTGATTTTTAAATTGAACAGTTTTGTAGCTTATTCCAACTAGAGGAGCCTTCCCTCAAATTCCAAACCCAAGTTGGATGAGTACATGAGAATAAACAGTCAATGTAGTGCATGACATATGTCCCCTTAGTTTTGGACTCCTCTTTTCACCTATTCAGTTTTGTGCGAGTTAGGATATGCATGACGAAGGATGCCATGAATTTTTCATTTAGAAACCATGTCCCTGAGACAAGTTGGTTTATTGACATGTCATCAAGATAGTTCATTTAAGATATATTTAATGAGCCCTGTATTATATTCCAAGCACTGTGCTTGGTAATACAGACATACAGATGAATAAGACTAGGTAGGTATTACCCTTCAAGTGTCTCAAAATCTAGTGAAGAAGTTAAGCACACAATGCAGTTTATGGGGAAAGAGTAAGCATATGTATGAAGGGCAGACGTAGCATAGAGAGGTTGGAGTAAAAGTTACTGGGGGTGGGGGACAAAGCATGGCTTGAAAGTTTATGGTCTTACTGAAACATATTGCAGCATTTGAAATGATAAATTTCTCTCTCATGAAAACTCTCCTTTAGCTCCTGGATACCATATTTACCTGATTCTCATCCGATCTCTGTTGACCCTCTTTAAATTATCTTCTTATCTTCCTTTTTTCACTTTTATTTTAAGTTCAGGAGTACAAGTGCAGGTTTGTTACATGGTAAACTTGTGTCGCAAAGGTTTGTTGTAAAGATTATTTTATCAGCCAGGTATTAAGCCTAGTATCCATTAATTATTTTTCCTGATCCTCTTCCTCCTCCCACCTTCCAACATTTGATAGGCCCCAGTGTGTTTTATTTCCCTCTGTGTGTCCATGTGTTCTCATAATTTAGGTCCCACTTATAAGTGATAACTTTTAGTAGTTGGTTTTCTGTTCTTGTGTTAGTTTGCTAATAATAATGGCTTTCAGCTCCATTCATGTACCTGCAAAATACATGATCTTGTCCTTTTTTATGGCTGCATAGTATTCCCTGATGTATATGTGCAATATTTTCTTTATCCAGTCTATCATTGATGGGCATTTAGGTTGATTCCATGTCACTGCTACTGTGAATAGTGCTACAATGAACATACACATGCATTTGTATGTATAATAGAATTATTATACTGGCTCTGTCCTGGGCCTTCAGTCTCTATACTGTTTCTGACCCTTAAATGATATTGTCTTTCAGGGTTCAATTCTTTATCTTGTGCTCTCTTCATCCAAAAGGAATTTTCTGGGAACTCTCAGCCAGCACAGTGGCTAATCCTACCAATACATTACCCTCATCCTTAGCTTCTCCATTGATTTCAGATGCTTATCTAATTGCATATGATGTATTTTATTCATTCATGCATTTATCTATTTGTATTACAAATAAATCTTAAATGCCTACTATGTACCAGAGACTCTGCTAGGTATGGAGAAATGGAGTGGTGAGCAAAAACAGATGTGGTCATTGTCACATGACTATCCCATAGGCATATCAATCTTAGCATCTTTAAATCCAAACACGTACACTTTATCTCCTAAAAGAATAATAACAGTTAACATTTCTGGATTGTTTATTGAGAACCATGGTTCTGAGAACTTCATATGCATTACCCTATTTAACCTCAATAGCAAAGTTATGATACAGGTACTAGTTCATCTCCCTTTTATAAATGTGGAAACTGAGACACAGGAGCATTAAATACCTTACCAAGGTCACACAGAAAATAATTGGCACAGGTGGGATATAAATAAAGATGATCTCTTTCCAAAGAGATACCTGGTGCTGTGAGATCACAGATGAAATACGGCACCGGCTTGTCGTGGCTGCGGCCACTGTGACTCTTTACAGCATCCTCCTTGATGTCTGTGAGTGGCCCAGTCCCCTCGTCACGCAGCCAGGCAAAAAACCTGTGTCTACATACATTTTTTTCATCCATCGTTCAGCCAGGGTCCGCAGGTCAGGCCCGGCAATAATTTATCTAAAACGTCACAGTTGATCATACCACTCCTTTGTTTCAAAGTCTTTTTAATATTTCCATTTTTTTTTTTTTTTTTTTTTTTGCAGAACTTCAAGAAATAGACAGATCCCTTCATAGTTTGGTCTCTGATTTCCATTCCAGCAGCATCTTCTCAGCTTCACCCTCATAGATCATTCATTGGGCACTCTAAAATGACTGCAAGTATGTATACATGTCATGCTCTTTCTAATCTTTAAACTTTTGCTTATGCTTTCCTCTCTGCTTGAAACTCCTTTCTCCAATTCTACCTCATTCATTTCTGCTGACATTTTCAAAAGTCAGCTGAAAAATTAGTCTTCTCCAACCACCAGAAGGTTTACTGTATTTCTTCTGTGATCTCACAGCACCACGTATATTCCTCAACCTTGCACTTACCACTGCATCTCATAATTGTTTTTTAATTTGTCCTAGACTAGTGATATGGTTTGGCTGTGTCCCCACCCAAATCTCATCTTGAATTGTAGTTCTCATAATTCCCATGTGTCATAGGAGAGACCCAGTGGGAGGTAATTGAATCATGGGAGCAGTTACCATTATGCTGTTCTCATGATAGTGAGTGAGTTCTCATGAGAACTGATGGTTTTATAAGGGGCTTTTCCCGCTCTGCTCAGCACTTCTCCTTCCTGCTGCCAAGGACGTATTTGCTTCCCCTTCTGCATGATTGTAAGTTTCCTGAGGCCTCCCCAGCCCTGCATAACTGTGAGTCAATTAAACCTCTTTGCTTTATTAAATTACCCAGTATCGGGCAGTTCTTTACAGCAGCATGAGGATGGACTGATGCAACTGGAAACACATAAAGATCAAAGACCTCTCATTTTCCATCATCAACATCCCTACCTTATTATATTTATCACACTGCAATTTTATTTATTTATTTTTATTAATTATTTTTTTTGAGACACAGTCTCACTGCATCACCCAGGATGAAGTGCAGTGGCATGATCTCTGCTCACTGCAACCTCCACCTCCTGGGTCCAAGTGATTCTCCTGCCTCAGCCTCCCAAGCAGCTGGGATTACAGATGCACACCACCATGCATGGCTGATTTTCTGTATTTTTAGTAGAGATGGGTTTTCGCCATGTTGGCCAGGCTAGTCTTGAATTACTACCCTCAAGTGATCCACCCACCTCGTCCTCCCAAAGTGCTGGGATTACAGGTGTGAGCCACTGCGCCTGGTCCCACACTGCAATTTTAAATCTGTCTGTATGATTATTTGACTGATGTCCATCTTTCTATTGCAATGAAAGGGCTATCTATGATGGCAAGAATGATATCTATTTTTTGCTCCACCTTGTGTTTGTTGTGCCTAATAAAATGTCTTGAATAGAGTAAATGAAGAACATAACAAAAGCTTCACTTGAATGCCAACTGTTTGCAGGTAGAGAGTTAAATACCAAGAACCCAGAAGAAGCAAAGGTCATGGTCCCTGCCTTCTGAGAATGTCATGCTGCAGACATGAAGTTAGAAGTATATGAAACCGAGCCAGTGTCTAAGTGGTAAATGATAACATGTCCAATGCTCACATATTCCTCATTATAAGAGGAAAAGTGAACGCAAAGTGAAGGCAATATTTGTGTGATGTTAGAGAAGTGATATCAAAGGATCCATGTCATCGCATGGCACTCATTCGCACATCCTGAACCCTTAAACCCAGAGGATAATAAAATATTTTAAAAGTTAAGCAACATGACATAGCCATTGAATTCTACAGCTTATTATACCAAGCAAATAAGGGAAAAAAAATTCAATTTGTCTTTTTTGCTCTTTCTCCCCATATTCTCTTGTAGCCATTGTGGGCACAAGAAGTCAGGTCCCCAAGACTGGCCTAGATCAAATGACCTTCCAGAGGAGGCATAAATTTGGTACCCAAATTTGTTCAGCATTTCAACAATTTTTCTACCGTCAACATATTTTCCATGTATATTTTATTCTTAGATGGTTAGTGTAGCTTCTAAGATCCTGATAATAAATATTTCCAAAAAGAGATTATAAATTTTCTCCGGCCACGTTACCCAGACTTCTATGGAGTAGTGACTGGCTGACTCCAGAAGATCCCCTTCTTCAGAAACAGCAGTCCAGGCAGACTAAGGTTATTGCCTGGGATTGCAAAGGTAGTACTTAGCGGAGTTGTGATTCAAAGGATATGAAGATTGAAGATATTATGTGGAAAAAGCCTAGCACACAGCCTAGTAGTAACTAGGTACACACTCTATATACCCTAATTAATCCTGACTGCAGATAAAAGGCTGAACAATACAACACTTCGTGGTCTCTTTCTGCACTTTAAAATGTGATCTTTTCACGAACAACAAAGGACATCATGAGGACTGTGGTTTATCTCTCTAAATACAGCCCATTATAAAGTATGAGCCATCTATGTGTTGGAACTCTTTTCCTAAATTTTAGTAGAATCATTTACCATGACATAATGAGTCTCTGCATAATTTTTACATTCCCTATGATTTACTTAGCCTCAGTCTTTCTCTGTCCTTTTTTTACTCTTGTGCTCTCAATCTCTGCAGCTTTTTATTACGAATGCTTATTAATAGATACTACATATCCAGATGACTGCCAAACTATGACCCAGAATATTAGAACTTGTTCTTATCTTGTGCATTGTAAATAATAGATAAAATTTTAAACATTGTACTGAGTTTGATATTTACATTCCATATTTAAGAAGAGAAATTGTGCAGATTTGTAAAAATGCTTTTTTCCATTCATGATACCTAACAGTAATCATTAATGATTTTGACTGCTTATTGTCATTTTTATTGTATTCTATCATTTTCTAAGTTTAGACATTGTGAGTTTGGATTTACTTCACCCTTACGGTTTAGTGCAGAGATTGGCACACTGAGGCCCATGAGCCAAATCTGAACTGTCACCTATCTTATTAAATATATTGAATCACAGACGTCATCATTTACATATTCGCCATGACTGCTTCTGTACTATGTTGGCAGAGTTGAGCAATTGTGATAGAGAATTTATGGCTCACAAAACCAAACATATTTGCTATCTGGACCTTTATAGGAAAAGTTCTTGACCCCTAGTTTAATCCATACTACTTCTTATATCATTCTATAGAACACAATATTGTGTGAAATGGGAGAAAGGAAACATTTTTCGTCACTACTGAGCAATAGTCTTACCCCTTCCAGTAGCCACAGCCCAAAATTAATTAATTCCCTTGTGGCAATCTCCCGAGCCTCCGTTTCCCAGAAAATTTTACTGAGGAAGTTGCTCAACGCCTACATGAGAAATCCTGCTACTGGACATGCCTTCACGGGCTGGTTGTCTCGAATTTTGTCACCACATTTAAGAAGTCATAACGCTTTCCTAAAACAAAAACCAAGGTTTCTTGAACTCCATGGAATTATAGAAAACAGGACTTCACTATTACTCTCTACTTTGCTATTTTTGCTAGTCCTAGACTACTTTGAAATGTTGT
Organism: Homo sapiens; assembly: GCF_000001405.40. Classification (NCBI taxonomy): domain Eukaryota; kingdom Metazoa; phylum Chordata; class Mammalia; order Primates; family Hominidae; genus Homo; species Homo sapiens. The sequence goes on from NC_000023.11 coordinate 142,990,317, forward strand.
ACATATTTCAACAAAAAGATTCAGAAAGCAGTTGCAGATGATTTTAATGAACCCACGAGAGGACATTTCAAACTTGCATTGCATGTGATAAATAAAGCCCAATACTGAATTTGCAAAAGAATTCTAACATTTCCAGATTAATCAGAAGCCTTTTGGAAAATGTAAAGAATGACTGCAGCATATTTGTTTTAATAGAAGTTAAAGGTTATAAGAATTTTGACACGTCCTATCTATAATAAACCTGTATTTGCTTAAATTTACATTTCCTATTACCTTAGGCACCGCTTCTTGCTTCAACTCCAGAAAAATATTGCCTTTATGCTGAGTCATAGAAAGGTATAAATCTACAATACATCCTTCTTATAAAATAGCCATGGAATTTAAGAATTATATGTTGCTCTCAGTGCAGGTGTATAATTCATGGTAATGTTACATATAAAGGATAATACACCTTAAAGTTGCAAATCCTAACTGGGATAATTATACCCAAAGCTTATCTAAATTTCCTTCTGCTGCCTTAAATTGATAGGTTAGTCTATCCAGTTACATGAAAATGTAGAATTCCCGAAGGATAAGCCTTTTAAATAACAGCCACTTTCATGTATTATTTTTTTGTCTGGTCAAAAGAGACAGAATCTCAGTAATCAGTCAGTATTGCTATCTTTAATTTGTTACCTCCATTTGGGTGATAAGGAAGGATCCAGCACAGCAGAATGTTTCTAAGTTTAAAATACATTACACACTTGATGTGAACATATACAGCTGGCCGGCGCTCTTCACAAAACACGACTTCCTGTCTCTATAAAATAACAAACCAGACTGGTCTTTGGTACCTCTACCATGTTACCTTTTACAACAGTGAGCTTATCTACCTGGACCTTAAATGTATCAATAACTACTGATTTCCTCTTGTACCATGTGGAATTTGGGAACATAAAATGCCTAAGTCTAATAACTTCAAAGTTATAACTTCTTTATGATTTGATTTTAAGCCCTTCTGAAACTTACTTTGGCGTTTGGTATGAGGTAAAAATGTACATTAATTTTGTTTTAATATCTGCCGATATGGCAGCATCATTTTCTTCTTTAAAGAAATCACATATTTGTCACTTTTTAGTGATGCACTAGTCTGTAAGTTGAATATTTTTATGATTTTTTGATGTATGATGGATATCAAATACATAAAAGGCACACATAGCATATATATGGTTTAAAAATAGCCTGAATATATAGACATCGATGTATTCACTACACATCTTAAGAAATAGAAGATTAGTAGTACATTTGAAACGCTGTGCCTCCTTTCTCAATTTTATCCTCTTTCTATACATCCAGAAGTAACCAGTGGTCTGAGTTTGTGCTAAGCATCTTTTCGTAAACTTTATAGTTTGAGTGCATGTGTACTACCTACTCCAAAATGATCGATACTGATTGGTTTTACCTGTTTTGAAATTTACTTAATAGAGCAGAATTACATACATTCTTCTGGAGTTAATTTTTTCGTTAGACTTTTTTTTATAATTCTTGATGTACATATGTGCATTTTCACATCTGTATATTTCGGTACATCAATGTACTATTTATTTATCTAATTTGGGCCAAATATGGTTAACTTGCTGGTATTGCTTATTGTCTTTCTGACACAAGTAAATGTAAGCACCATAAGGCAGTTTTTTTTCTCATTGTTCTGTTTTGTTCACCACTGTATCTACAAGAGAAACAGCTCACTGTTAAGATTCAATAAATATTAAATATCAAATATGAATGAAATTCTTCCTGATGTAAATCTTTTCACATTCCATAAATACAGCTATGTATTTCATGGAAGATGTCGGTAAATATCTTTATTTTTATAAGATGCTCGGCATCATTAACCATTCAAAAGTACAAATTAAAAACCATAATCAGACGCCATTTCACACCCATACATTGTAAAAAAAAAAAAAAAAAGTAACAACAAAATAGATTAATCTGTATGTGATGCGAAGGAAGCTCACATTCTGCTTGCAGGGATTTAGGTTATTACAAAAACTTCAGAAAGCATGTTGACATAATCTGGCAAACAATAAAAAGGAGACAATCATAATCTATAACTCCACAATTACACTTCTAGGTATAAGAAAACTAAGATTGTTTTTCATGGAAAAACAAAACAAACATCAAAAAACAAACAAAATACACTGTGAAAACAGCACAGATTTTATTCATTCGTTAATTCAGCCAATATTTATTGATTGACCAGTGCATATGTGCTAAGCGCTTCAAATGTGTTAACTCATTTATTCCTCACAATACCACTATGAAGTGGATCCTATTGTTATCCTTATTTTGCAGGTGGGGAAATTGATGCACATAGAAGTTAAAAAGCTTGCCCAAAGTCAAAGCTATTATGGGCAAGAGCCATAATTCCAATCCAGGAAATCTAACTTCAGAGTCCAAATTCTAAAAGGTAACTTTCTGAGAGTGACAATTCACAAAAGAATTTGTGAGAGGATCTCAAATATAGTCAAAATTACCTAAATTTTAATTTAAATCTTGAGTAAGCCATGTCTAGAAAATTTTTCCACTATTGAAATATACTGCTTAATCACACAATAATATAAAAAGTTTTTTTTCAATGGCTAAGACCATCTGATTATATTTTGTTCAGGCACAACCTAAACTGAAGTTCTCCTGAGAAGTGGGGTAATGGGCTGAATTGTCTCTAGAAGCCTATTCCAGCCTAAAGATCTTGTGATTGATGTTTTATATCAAGCAGAATTTTTATTCCATCAAAAATTAATAAAGGGTATCTATTAATATTCTGTAATATCCCTCAGGCTATCTCAGTTAACAAAATCATGAAATAAACTGTGACTTCTAGCACAGCCCTCAGCAGTTTAGGTTTAGCAGCTCAAAAATAAACGGGTCTCTGGACACATCGAAAGAACAATTTCCCTAAGAGAGAGAAAAAAAATACCTTTAATTGTTTGACACTCACTCATCCTTGCCTGGTTAGACGTGAATATGTAATAATGATGGACATATTGTACTATTATTATTAATTACCTCTATATACATTTACATGGAAATTTTCAAAGTAATTTCAACTACATTAGTTCCTTTGATCCTCACAAAAGCTTTACTGGCTTTTCAGGGCAGATATTTTATATTTTTCCCTGTTTCTCAGATCAGTACGTTGAAGTTCCTTCATCTAATACCATTTACGACAGAAGAGTCTTATTATGATTTGGTATTTATGAAATCACGAACAGAGTTTTGGGAGGTTTCCTAGACAAATGAGTAGAAAAAATGTCTCCGCATCTAAAATAAGGAACTAAAATATAAATCAATCACTCATCATCACCATGTAATGATGAGTGATTGGCACTGAGGAGGTATACTTGGCAACTGGTGTTATTTTAATTATCCGTGTCCTACAGAGCCCAGAGTCTTCATCCAGATGGGAGAGAAATTGATGGCCAGGAAAGATTCAATTAAACATTGTGCTTGGAGGATGGATTTGGCCTTTTGTGGTAGGAAAACAGAGGCAGGCACACATAGTAATGTCTTTGTAGAGGAACTGCTTGAAAGAAAGCAAGAAAAAGTGAGATGTAACAGCTAGAGATGCAGTATACTAAGGATGGACTAGCAAACAATATAGAGTCCATGCTATGGGGGGCTTATATTCTAGTGGGAAACGGAGAGGTAAATATAAATAAATAAGTAAAACATACGATATATTTTAAGTGATCCAGCTAAAAGTAGAGGATAAGGCGAATATAGCAAATGCCAGGATAAGGGTGGGGAATTGTTATTTTTCTGTATGGTTGCCACCATTATGGTGATAAATAAGCAGAGACCTGAAGTAAGGGAAGAGTTTTCCAGATAGAGGAAAGAGTATACAAAGCCCCTAAGGATGGAGTATTCTTAGAGTTTTAGAAGAACATCAACCAGGTTTATGTGATGAGGCAGAGTGATCAAAGGGAAGTGAGTGGGAGATGACTTCAGGGAACTAGAGGACAGGAAGGGCATTGTAGATCCTGCAGGATTGTGTCCATTACAGGAAGGATTGCAGCTTTTAATATCAGTAAAGTGTGGAGTCATTAGAGAATATTGAGCAGAAAAGTAACACGATCTTACCTAACCATTTAAATGATCATTCTGTCTGCTGTGTTGAGAAGAGTCAATAGAGAACAAAGGTGAAAGCAGTTGAAAAACAGATGAGGTGAGAGATGATTACGGTTAAGATAAGGTTGTTTCCGTAGAAATAATGACAAGAGGTTAAATAACGAATACATTCAGAAGGAAGCGCTGTCAGGTTTTGCTTCTAATTTGGATGTGGGATGAAAAAGACAATGGAGTAAAACATAACTCCAATGATTTTGGCCAAAGCAACTGGAAGAACGGAGTTACCACCAAGATGGGAAACATCATGGAAGGCCAGGTGTATGTGAGGTGGAATAGAATAGGAATTCAGTTTCATACAAGTTAAGTTTGAGGTACTTATGATGTGTTTGTTTCAGTTTATTTTTGCACAACAAATGACCCCATAAATTAGTGGCTTAAAACAGTAATAGCATTTATGTTGGGTAAATGTCTGCTATTTTTAGGGTTTATTTGGCTTAGCCCATGTCTGTTCCACTATGTTAACCAGGGTGGCTCAAAGATGGGGAACTGGAATGATCAGAAACATCACTGACTCACCTGTCTGGTAGTTTATACTAGCTGTTTATACTAGTTTCCACTCACCTGTCTATACTACGTAGTTTATACTAGCTATTTATACTAGTTTATACTCACCTGTCTGGTAGTTTATACTAGCTGTTCAGAAAAGACCTTGCCTGTAACGGCCAGAGCACTTTCAAGTGACCTGTTCATGTAGCCTGGGCTTAGTCACACATGGTGGCTGGGTACAAAGGGCAAATCAAACAGAGAGATAGAGAAAGAAAAATCATAGGCTTTTTTTTTTTATGACCTAGCCTTGGAAGTTACTCACTGTGAATTAGGCCACATTCTTTTGTGGAAGAAATCACAAATACCTGTTCAAGTTTCAACTAAAGAAGAAATAGATACCACCTCTGAATGGGGGTGTGGCGAGGTTCTAGCAGACTGTGTGATATTGGACACACTACTGTTAGTTACAATTGTTTTGTAAAATATAATTCATCACAACATTCAAATAGAGATTATGAATAGGCAGTTAGTTGAATGTGTGTCTGAAGTTCAGGGTAGCAGTATTTCCAGAGATATAAAATAGAAATTATTTAACCAAAATAGATTTAAATAAGTAAGATTAAATAAGATTATCTAGAGAACTAGTATGGATAGGAAAGAAAATCAGTCTAAGGACTGAGTCTTGGATCATTACAACATATAGAGATCTGGAAAATGCAGGAAAAACAGCAATGATTGAGCCAAAACAATGAGGAAGGGGGAAAAATAAACAAGAAAGTGTGATATTTTGAAGGCCAAACAAAGAAAGTATTAAGAGCAGGAGTTGTCAGCTGTATAAAATAGTAACCAGTTGAGTAAGATCAGGCTAAAATAGTGACGATTGGGTATTGGAAAGGTAGAAATTATTGCTCACCTTGATAAGAGCTAGTTTAGGGGAGTGGTATGGGTTAACATCCGAATGAAGTGGTTCAACAGAGAATGGTAGTTGGTAAGTGGGAAATTGAGAATAGGGACATATTTTTGTAGACAAGTTTTGGTGTCTTCCTTTGTTTTTGGATTGTATATTGTTTTCATTTAGATGTTACTTATTGTATTCCTTTTCCTGTTGCAATTGTAACGGATAACCACGTTTGGTGATTTAAATAACAACAGTTTGTTCTCTTATAGTCTTAGAGGTCATGAGTTGGAAATAATTCTCACAGGACTGAATGAAGATATTAGGCAGGGCAAATTCTTTCTGAGGACAACGTGGGAGAATCTGTTTCTTGTCACTTCCAGTATATGGAAGCTGCCAGCACTCCTTGGCTTGTGGCTCCATTACTCCAATTTTTACTTTCCTCACCATGTTGCCTTCTCTGACTTTCCAGTGTTCTAATAAAGACGTTTGTGTCTAAACCTGGCTCACCACCTGGATAATATAGGATAATCTCCCCATGGCAAAATCCTTAACTTCTGTGTACAGTAACTGTTGCCATACAAGGTAACATTTACAGGTTCTACGGATTAGGAGGTGAACATTTTTTTTTGGGGTGGGGGACATTATTCAGCTAACCATATCCATCCATTCTAAAATAGATTTATAAATGCAGAATAAAAATGACCTTTCTTCCTTGAAAATTGTTTTTCTTTTTGTAACGTAAGATTTCCAAATATCTACCCTTTTCTCTTTTTACTGTTCTCATGGTAGGAATATAAATCACTTCTACGGTCTTCATTTTTTTCTGTATTATGAGAGCAGAATAAAGGTCATTATTACAAGGCTGTTTAAAAGAGAACATGTAGTGGTGTGTGTGTATTTATGACATCTTTGCTTCTATGAAGTCTTAAATACACGACTATACATGTCTATAAAGATAGAGGAGGGCATTCGGTGTGTGCCAGACGCAGAGGCAGCAGCAACACATGTTCTTTTGGACTCAAACATGAACGCTCTGCAGGTGACAGCAGGTGTTAATATGGGGAAAACTGCTTTCCAGAGATGTGCTTCAGGTGGATGTCAATAGCTATGATAGTACAGTGTAATACAGACGTCTTTAGAATCCTTTTGCAGTGTGAAGCCATCTCAATTTCTTAGAGGTCAATGAGAATTGTGGCATGATTTGAAAAACTGTATTGAATTCTACCTCCTGTAAAGTCAATGAAAATTAAATGGTAGAGTAAGGAGGAGTGCCTCATGTTATGATAAGTAGAGCAAGTTTTGCACTCAGTAATATGGCAAGCCATTTTTAGTCCAAATTTGAAGCGTGAATGGAGAAGAGTAAACCCAACCTAAATATAACATAATTTGCTATGCTATCCTGTGATACATATTTAGCACGTACCAGACAATATTCTAAGCATTTTACATATGTCAACAAATTTAATCCTCACAACAACCTTATGAGATGGAGACTATTATTATACGCACTTTGCATATGAGAAGATTGCTACAGGGTGGAGAAATAACTTGTCTAAAGTCACACAGCAAGTGACAAGTGATGCTACAGATAAAACCAAAGCATTCTTAATTTAGAGTCTATTCTTGTATCCACTATACTATATAATTCCCTTGTTTGGTAGTAAATCTATTTGCTTGCTTTTGGGTATTTTTTTCTGATTGATTTGTCCAAATTTCAATGAACAAAAGGGAGTGATACATTATATGAGTTGGTATCTGCATTTGATACAAAATTGAAACCACTTTTGACCATGGATCTAAACAAACTTGCATGATATCACATAAAGACAACTATTGATTAATAATTAAAGTACATTGATTAATAATTAAAGTACTTTATTGATTAATCATTAAAGTACTTTAATTATTGATTAATCATTAAAATACTTTATTGATTAATCATTAAAATACTTTAATTATTGATTAATCATTAAAATTATAAATGCGCATATTCAGGATTTGGATATTCACATGGATATGTGCATTTATAATTTTCTATTCCCATACACATCCTCTCATTTTACCTTCAGAATCATCTTTGAGGAAAACAGGACTTTCGTTTTAAAAATCAGTAACTGAAGCTCAGAGAAATAAGAAATTTGTTCAATGTCGCACAAAAGATGAAACTACCTCTGCAAACTGAACAGACAGTGGTTATGCATCTCATTGTATCAATGAAAGTTCTTTTGAACTATTTCTTAAGCAGCCTTATTTTTCTTTTTGGCATGATAGTGGCAGCTACACCCCGAAACTGGGGTGTGTGTGTGTGTGTGTGTGTGTGTGTTGAGGGGAGACGAATGACTAGATGACTATAAATTTCCATACTTGAAGTTCTATGATTTTCTGCTCCCTGGGAATGTGACCTGATTGAACACATGAATAGACAATATGAGCTATATCTTTCCAGAAGCCAAATTAACCTCGGAATTTACTATGGGAAAAATATTAATAACAAAGTATCAGTCTGAATAGTCGTCAAAAATAGGACAACAAAATACAGCACAGTCTATAAAGTTTGAGCATTTATGTCAATCAGGGCAATAAATATTAGGCAGTGTAATAAGCCTAAAACCTGTGTCTTAACATAACAAATATTTATCTCCCCCTCAGTACAAATCCAAAGCTGTTCCTAGTGGGCACCACTTCTCCATGTCAGAGTTCTCCACTTCCAATCACAAGGACAGAGGTAAGTGCTGGAGAGCACAGCGTAGAAGATCCTACAGAGAACTGTAGAAGTCAAAAATGAAAGTGGTGTACAGTACTGCCATACATACACGTTGCATTGCCCAAAACTCAGTAACACAGTAACTTCTAGATTTAAGAAATGAAGAGAAGGGAGTTTTGGATAATGCTGTCTTCCTATATTCTCAGGAATAAAAGAAAATCTTGATGAACATGTAGTATGCACACTGCCACAGAAGCGGCACATCAAGAGTTCTACCAACCTCAAAGCTATCACCACACAGCTCTTCCCACGTGATGGCAAATTCTCATTTTCAGAGTCAGACACGGTTGAACAATGGAAGCATGTGCTTATTGTGATGTGCGTAAGTGAAATGACCTCAGCTTCCTCTGTCATCTCTTTGGCTTGATGGAAATAATTCAGCTGTATGGCATTTATCACATTTATTGAAATCTTAAAGTCATCACGATTGTTTTAGAACTCTTCAGTTATCGTCATCAGTAGCAGCATTTACATAGCATGTTACAACCCACAAAGAACTTTGCAGACCTGCTGTCATTTGAGTTTCACAATAATCTTCTGAATCACTTGGGCAGGAAGCATTTCCCCATATTATAGAACAAGAAACTGAAGTTCTGAAAGGTTAAGACATTTCCCTTTATTTAAACCAGCTAGAAGATAGCCAAGCTGAAACCAGAACACAGGTCTCAGACACCGGATATCTACTACAGTGCCATTCCTATTATGCTGATTTACCTCTCACACAACGTCTGTAGCAAGATTCCTACATTAGGTCCGGCCAAGAAGGACCTCTGGAGTTAGGTACTGAAACAGATTTTTTAAATTCTTTTCTTTTTTTAAGTATGGGATTTAGTCACAATCAAAAAGTCTTTCAGTCAATAAGTATTTAGTGAGTCGCCACAACAGGGAATTGACACTGTTACGCAATGCCTTCAGACAGACTTTAGACTTTGTTAAGTGTTTAAAAATTGACTTTCACTGAGTGAAAATCCTTTGTCTTATATTTGAGCAGAATATTGATCTGAGTGAACAACTTTTTGGATAATTTAAATATAGCAGGATTTTATATCATTCGTAAGTCAGGCCAGTTTTTCTATTGGCTGTCAATCTTGAGACAGTGTGACATTAGATATAAAATCAGTTAGTGTGTTGGGAGAAATATCTTCTTCTGTCCACACAAAAAATTTCTACCATCATACTAGGCTTAGATATAAAATAATGATTCAGGTCTGTATATTGTGAACAAATAGGTGAAAAACAACTAGAGGTTTCTGAGCTGCCACGTGTTGGCAAACCATTGGAATGGCAGATCTTACTATACACAAGACTCGAAGGCAAAATGTATTTGCCAACTCCCTGCCTCCATATTCAGGACCTGGATATGAGATTACACTCCATGAGCTAAACTATAAAACTCTAAAATATCCTATGATAGGAGAGATAGGCAGTCTACAGAGACACCTTAAAGAAACAAAATGGGTAATGAATGCAGGCTTCTCAGCTTTCACTGTCCATCAGAATGAAAGTGTATCAGCCATAAACTCAAATAATTATAGCCACATTAATTGAACACCTGCTATGTGCCAGGCATATATGCTAATGCATATGTTCCATGCATAGGTGTAATTAAGTCTGTTTGTGAGACAACTAGAGATTAAGTTATTCTTTTATCAGCCCCATTTTACAGATAAGGCAACCAAGCAACTAAATGAGTTTCCAAAGGTCACACAGCTAGTAAATTACGAACTTCAAATCAGGATTCAGAAGCATACGGATCTGCTTTCAGAACTTGAACAGGAGCTCAAGTGATTTCCTCATCAGGACCACCTACGTAAGGCTTAAAGTTGTAAGTGGGTCAGTCCTGCTGCTATATGCACTGAATCTGAATTTTAAGGATGAAATGTAAGCATCTGTACTTGGAAAAATCTTCAAATATTTATACTCTGCCACGAGAAGGAAGAACCACTGCATTAACGTATACCACGTAAAACGAGGAGAGTGACTGTGGTTGAAAGAATACTAACTTGGTCTCCAAAATTCCAGTTTTTTGGTGTAGGCACTCTGCATAATCACCACCCTTTGTGTGTGGGTGGGGCCTGTGGATATGAAGGGATAATCACATAACTTGATTAAGTTATATGGCAAAGGTGATGGGCTAGTCATTCCTATAATGGCTACCTTATATAAGACTCTGTCTTAGCAGATTGGAGGAGAGGACCTTCTGCTGGCCTTGAAAATGTAGGCTGCCATGTGAGAGGGCCTATAAGCAAGTCACATGGTAAGGGACTATGTGAAGTTTCTAGGAGCTAAGAACAGCCCACTGCTCAGAATCAGTAAGAAAAGGGGAGCTCACTCTTACAACTTCAAGAAACTCAATTTGCCACAATCACATGACCTGTGAAGAGGACCCCAAGTTTTAGAAATGAACACAGCCTAGGTGAGAGCCTGATCAGAAGTACTATTTAAGACATGCTTAGACTCTTAGCTCATGGAAACTATGAAATCGTAAGTGTGTGTTTTGAGGTATTAAGTTTGTATAATGTGTTGTGCAGCAATAGATAACTAATACGGTTATCAAAGAATAATTCTCAGCACCCATTTAATCCTAGTCCAGGAGACAGGCTGCCCTGGTCCAGGAAGGCTACCAATGTTAGATATATTTATATTGTAGTGGCAGGCTCATATCTGATGTAGCTATTTAGCTTCTCCCCTCATTCTGATGCCATACTCACCAAGAAACCTTGTGAATTTGATTTAACTTCTCCCACAGGTGCTCCTTAAATATGTGTTAACTAAAAGAAAGAAGAGCTTTAGTCCCTTGAGTCTGTCATATACCATGATAAAGAAATCAATTGGCATTCTGGTTTAGACCACATTCTCTGTGACTTTGATTAGTGTGAGTCTGCCCATGATAGATCAATGAGTTTGGGTGCTAGGAAAGCAGTCTCTGAAGCAGTTTGCCTTGTAAAAAGCCCTGTGCATCACTGCTCCTTCATTGAATAAAGATGTGTCAAGTGCTTACTACGTAGCAAACGCTATTGGCTCACATTATGGATACTTTCATTGAAACCTCATCATTAACAAGCTATTCATTTGACAAAGTCAGTGAATCAATTAAACGTAAAAGAAATACCAAGTGGGGTGGTATATGGAGGCAGAGCGATGAACAAAAAAATGCCTTGTATAGAAATCAGTGTAATGTATTACTCAAAATATAAAGCATCTGTCTTGTTCTTTTTATGACAAAAATGTTTGCAGCCTGGCATTAACAAGTTTGACATTCACTCTCTTTTATCTGGTATTTCCTTGATGGTAAAATCATATCAGTGAACATTCTGCACCAGAATTCTGACTCCATTTGTTTTAATAGTGTGTGTAATAGAGGAAATCTGGTGCCATTGTCCTCTATTTGTCCTCTACTGCAATCTTACCTGGCAAGCTGCGGGAATCAGTACAATAGTTAATTTCTAGATAAGCATATCTTCAGAAGCCATACAAAAATCAGGTGCAGGTTTGGACTGCAAGATTGAATTTTCTAAACATAATAGCTTAGTTGTAGCAGGGAGAGAGTAGATATTTCTCCTCTGATGCATTTCTATCCACTGATAGTGGATATGGGCAGTTAAAGGGATGGAGCCTATTATTACTATCCTTCTTTCTGCAAGCACAGTTTTACACAGATTCATGCCTTTGCCTGCCTATCTCCTGGGCTCAGTTACCAGGGTATTTATGAAATGTCCCCAAAGGAAAAGAAAGGTCATTGAGTAAGACTGAACTGAGGCTGCATTTTCTCAAGTACCACTTGACATCAAGTACAAATATGAAATAAAGTACTGTGCTGTTTACTATGAAAACGCAGTTGCTGTCCTTTGCAATTTTTAATTCAAATATTTAGGCAACACTTGACCTGGATCAATTCCCTGGTTACATGATGAATAGACTGTGGTGAACTAAAGTTAACACAGTTTCTGTCCTAATGACAGCAACGGCCTAGTTGAAGAGACTGATACGTAACAAATCAATTACCTAAAAACAGATGATATATTCTTGGACAAGGATATAATAAGACTAGAAAAGCAGTAATCCCTTTACACTGTGTGTTGCTTTTCAGGTTTATCTTAACATCTCTGAGACAAGTGTTATTAACCCCCATATTACCCATGGAGAAACTGAGATAAGGTTTGGAAAGATTAACTGACATGTTGAATATGACTTGCAATTCAAACCAGATCTATAAATTTCAGATTCAAAGCAGCTTCATCAATTCTCAAAGCAGGGGTTTTCTATAGAGAAAACGAATTCTCTCAAAATTGCAAATGCCCATCAATGACAGACTGGATAAAGAAAATGTGGCACATATACACCATGGAATACTATGTAGCCATAAAAAAGGATGAGTTCATGTCCTTTGCAGGGACATGAATGAAGCTAGAAACCATCATTCTCAGCAAACTAACACAAGAACAGAAAACCAAACACCGCATGTTCTCACTCATAAGTGGAATTGAACAATGAGAACACATGGACACAGGGAGGGGAACATCACACACCTGGGCCTGTCGGGGTTGGGGGTATAGGGGAGGGATAGCATTAGGAGAAATACCTAATGGAGATGATGGGTTGATGGGTGCAGCAAACCACCATGTCATGTATATATCTATGTAACAAACTTGCACGTTGTGCACATGTACCCCAGAACTTAAAGTATAATAAAAAAAAGAAAAGAAAATGAATTATCAGGTGGATGTGATCTCATGTGAATAGATATAATGAGCGGGGGCAAATTAATGATACAAAGGAGGGCAAGGTGAAAGGCTGATAATTACAGGATCCCGTGGTTGAAGTGAAGCAGAAGATAGGATGACAAGGAGAGAACCAAGGTGTAGAGCTGAGCTAGCAGCATAACTAGTGAAGCAGAAGATAGGATGACAAGGAGAGAACCAAGGTGTAGAGCTGAGCTAGCAGCATAACTAGTAACAAAATGACCATAGTAAAAGCTAACATACTCCCTTGCTTTCACTGTATATCCTTATATACAACGAAAAGGCCTCATTCCTCTAGTCACATGAACAGGGGAAACACATATGACTAAGTAGAGATAAGGATGATGAAGTTTGGAGAGTAATGAGTGCTTCCCATCCTGCTTCTTCCGCCGAAGGGATGGAATTTACAAAACCTAAAGGTTTCATGTCTTCCCTCAATTAGCGCTATCATCTCTATACCATGAATGATACTATAAGGCTTACATCAATGCCCAACAGAGTCAAAGAATCAGGTTTGTGCCATATCTGCTAGCATACTTAGTGCATTCACTGTGAGAAACAGTCAACGGGAAAGGAGTAGGGACAGGGACTCTCTGTTTTCTTTTTTTTTTTTTTTTTTAATTATACTTTAAGTGTTAGGGTACATGTGCACATTGTGCAGGTTAGTTACATATGTATACATGTGCCATGCTGGTGCGCTGCACCCACTAACTCGTCATCTAGCATTAGGTATATCTCCCAGTGCTATCCCTCCCCCCTCCCCCCACCCCACCACAGTCCCCAGAGTGTGATATTCCCCTTCCTGTGTCCATGTGATCTCATTGTTCAATTCCCACCTATGAGTGAGAATATGCAGTGTTTGGTTTTTTGTTCTGTTTTCATTTTCCATATCCTTATTTCTTCATATGGTGGGGATGGAGGGTGAAAGCAGGATAGAGACTGTCTCAGGGTATACAATTCATCTACTCACAATGGATTTGCGAGTAATGCAGAGCTTCTGTTTGCTCTCAATAGAGGAGCAAGCACATCCTACTGATGGAATCCCCATAAAACCTATCTTACGTATTGGGGTGATGGAAGGGAAAAAGAGGAATATATAATTAGTCTTTCTTTGTACTTAACCACCTATATTATTCAGGGTTCTCTAGAGGGACAGAACTAATACGATAGATATATATATATGAAAGTGAGTTTATTAAGGAGTATTGACTCACACGATTACAAGGTGAGGTCCTACAAGAGGCTGTCTGCAAGCTGAAGAGCAAAGAAGCCATTCTGAGTCCCAAAACTTCAAAAGCAGTCTTCAGTCTGTGGCTGAAGGTCTGAGAGCCCCTGGCAAATCACTCATATAAGTCCGAGAGTCCAAAAGCTGAAGAACTTGGAGTCTAATGTTTGAGGGTAGGAAGCATCTAGCATGGGAGAAAGATGAAGTCTGGAAGACTCAGCAAGTCAAGTCCTTCCAACTTCTTCTGCCTGCTTTATTCTAGCTACACTGATGGCAGATAATTAGACGATGCCCACCTATATGGAGGGTGGGTCTGCCTCTCCCAGTCCACTAATTCAACGTTAATCACCTTTGGCAATGTCCTCACCGACACACTCAGGAAAAATATTTTGCATCCTTCAATCCAATCATGTTGACACTCAATATTAACCATCCCACCACCTATGAAGAGAGGAGCAGAATCCTCAGATTATTCACAGGAACTCTTGAAATTAGTAGCATTGGAAAGAAATGGCAATAATTTGATGAAGGAGCTGGAAATTTGCTGGTAGCTTCTCACACTGGACATTGCTTTGTGGATTCTCACGCTCCTTAAAGTTATGGGCAAAGCATTGGCTGCATTGGTTTTGCATCTACCCTTAAGAAAAACAGCAAAAAAAGGCTGGGAAAAATTAAATATAAGAAGAAAGGTAAAATATTACAGTTTCATTTATAATGACTGTGCAACCTATGTCACAGGCAAGAGAGGTAAGGAATAGTGGGAAGGTTTTAATAGAGAAAAGATAGCATACTCAAATTGAGACAATCATTCCAAAGGGCCACTTTACCAAAGAGTAGGCATATGGAAACATTGAGGGAGGATGCATTAGTGAAGAAAGGGAGCAATTTCCAAAGCTGGAAAATAGAAAGTCTTGTATTATTATCTCGGAGGGGCAAAGTGACCTTTGGTTTTGAATACGGCTAATTCAAGATGATGTTCAGTAAGGGGATGTCCAGGGAAATTAATAACCCTACCTAACTCTTCTCCTTCAACTCTCTTACTCCTCAGGCCCCAACAGCTTAACCCATCAGAGAGACTGGTAGAGAAACACCGCATTTAATAATGCTCTCTTTCTTCCTGGAAGGCCTTAAGGGTAGCAGCTATGCAATGTTACAGATCTTCGACACCAAGAACTAAGTCTTAGGTATCATAAAGACATAATTATCATTATATAGCAAAATATTTAAAAGTTTCTGCTACTTACTAGTTCTGTGACCTTGGGTAAAATCCTTAACCTCTTTGAAACTGAGTTTCTTCACTAATAATAATAATAATAATAATAATAATAATAATAATATTTTTATGAAATTGTAAAGGTTAAACAAAAATGATCACAAAGCTTAGCATGTAGTAAATATTTTGTAACTAGTAACTCTTATTATAAAAGAACAAATGAATTAATGAAAAATCAGAAAAATACCTTTTTATAAGGTCTTCCTAGCAGTAAGATTTTTGAATATTTTTTACAAATAGTATTTCTTGGCCTAAGGGACCTCTTAGGAATAAACTATTTTGCCCATTAAAACATGGATTTTGGGCCAGGCGCGGTGGCTCACGCCTGTAATCCCAGCACTTTGGGAAGCCGAGGCGGGCGGATCACGAGGTCAGGAGATGGAGACCATCCTGGCTAACACGGTGAAACCACATCTCTACTAAAAATACAAAAAATTAGCCGGGCGCGGTGGCGGGCGCCTGCAGTCCCAGCTACTCGGGAGGCTGAGGCAGGAGAATGGCGTGAACCCGGGAGGCGGAGCTTGCAGTGAGCCCAGATAGCGCCACTGCAGTCTGGCTTGGGCAAAAGAGCGAGACTCCGTCTCAAAAACAACAACAACAATAACAAAAAACATGGATTTTGTCTTAAATAGGACTAACCTGTTAGTAGAGCATGCTATTTTGAGACTATTAAAGCGCACAGGCAAAAAAAAAGATGGAAGGTTTCACAGATTATTGAGGCTTGGGATACATTATTTTAAAAATTTCTACAACCCAACAGTTTCATTTTTGCACTTCTGAGTTTTTAACAAATTGGATTCATTGTTCAAAAGGACACCACTGACAGTCATTTAGAATGCCAAGGGCCACCAATAACCTGGGATCTTCATATTAGCTTGCAAAGTGTCTCCAAATGTTTCTTTCTTAACAAATCTAATGATTAAAGTAAAGTTTAGGTTAGATGACTGTTCAGTCCCAGGATGACCTGCAGAAATTGTCGGTTAGACCCAAATCTTGCTCTAGATGTGCAGCATTTGGCCCTTTAATCATTCATCTGTCTCTAATTACCACCAACTCACATCAAGGAGCAATTGCTCCTTACAGTCTAGCGTGATTGACTGAAATCAAACTCTAATTTGAATGTGATTATGCCAATGAATTTTAAACTTTCAATTGGTAATAAATCACAGTGATGCTAGTAGTGTTGTTTTTGGTATCTCAATTTTCAGCTCCTGACTCCCTGGGCACGATTAAGGTAGGCACTTTCAATGAGATCTATGACCCACCATATTTTTGATAATGAAAATCAGCAGTCTGCTTCAACTTTTCTCCTGGCTTCTCAGCATGTCATTGGCCAGACTACCAAGGCACAGGCTGGCGTAATTCAGCCCATCCTAGAATCAACGTACTCCCTCCTTACAGAGACGTTTACAAAATGGTACATGCTGATCAGGGCTATATTGTTAGAAATAATGATGCTCTGAAACTCTAAGGTCAAGTTCAAATCCTGGCTCTATCTGGAGGCACCTAGACTTTCTGTTGAAGTAAAGGACGCAATTCTTTACTTTAAAACACCTCCTCAGGACGCATAAACTTAAGACAGAACAAAACTGGTGGAAGCTCAGGTATTTTAATTTTATATTACACTCCACCACCTGTGTCCAACAGGAAACCAATATTTTCTTATACATACTATAATATCTAGCCCAAGGCAGCCTGAGAAAAATTTTATTTGAGCCCAATTCTTGAATGGATCAAGTATGACTCACTAGGGTACAGCAACAATGACAATTTGGCCCTCTGCTTGTTTATTCTTTTAATTTAGAGAAGTGTGTGGTGGTATATATTTTTTTTAATCCACCAATTTCCACTTTTATACCCCAGTTAGGCAAAGTTGTAGCTGGTTCTACAGTTATGGCATGATACTCTTCTCCCTCCATGTTTAAAAAAGTACAGTCCGTGGCTCTGACTTCTGATAGCTGTAGATACCAGGAGACATGTAGTATTATAAAAATCCAAGCCAAGATAAAGTGTCTGATTGGGAAATCTAATGCTTCCTTCAGCCACCATCTAACCCACAGTGATTGTAAACCAAGGCTTGGAATAATATTTTCTTAGCTATTACCACACTGTTAGACTTCTTATCTTGAAAGACAAGCAGAATTTAATTGAGGCCCATAGAGCTATGCATACTTCAGGTAAAGCAGGTAAGGCTTATACTCTAACTCACATTCGTAAAATCACTACGAAACAGATATACCTGTCTTACAATTCCCCATTGCCTATGAGAAAGAAACCACTATTAGCACTTGATATTCACCTCAGAATAAAAGACCATCAGAACTAAACCAGCCACGCCCTACATCCCTAATTAGGTTCTTTAAGGAGCCTATTTTGCCCCGGGCATTCTTCATCCTCTAGCTGTTCCTCCACATAAAACTCTTTACATTCACAAATCTACCTTCTTCTCACATCCTTTTGCAACTACCAAGGACTCACTTTCTCCATTTTATCATTTAGATTTTGTCTCTAATGTCAGCTAATCTACAATTTGACCTATTCATTCATTGCAATGTCATACAGAATGCCAGTTGGCTTTTTTGTATAATTTGAGAGGTTAATTATAAAAATAATTGTTGAAATACGAAAGATCTAGAACAACCAAGGAAACTGGAAAATAAACAAGTTGAAGAACTCATATTATCTAATTTCACAACCTACTGTAAAAACTAAGGTAATGCAAATGTATTATCAGCATACAGATAGACAATTAATCTATCAAGGGAATGGACAAGAGGTTTCAGATCTAGAACTAAACATATATGGTCGATTGATTTTCAATAAAGTGGCTAAGATAACTAAATGGGAATTTTTTTCAGAAAAAGTAGCTGGAAAAATTGGATATCTGTATGCATATACAGGTAGGGGTGTGTGTGTGTGTGTGTGTGTGTGTGTGTGTAGGGAGAGAGAGAGACAGATGGATAGATGCCTATATATGTGTGCATATGTATATACATATATACATATACCCTATGTATGTAAGTATATCTTAAGTATGTATATCTTAAGTCAACTACAAAATTAAATTAAAATGTATAATTGATTTAAATATAAGAATTAGAACTGGCCGGGCATGGTGGCTCACGCCTGTAATCCCAGCACTTTGGGAGGCTGAGGCGAGTGGATCATGAGGTCAGGAGATCGAGACCATCCTGGCTAACATGGTGAAACCCCGTCTCTACTAAAAATACAAAAAAAAAAATCAGCCGGGCGTTTTGGTGGGCACCTGTAGTCCCAGCTACTCAGGAGGCTGAGGCAGGAGAATTGCTTGAACCTGGGAGGCGGAGCTTGCAGTGAGCCAAGATCGCGCCACTGCACTGGAGCCTGGGCGACAGAGTGAGACTCCGTCTTGAAAAAAAAAAAAAAAAAGAATTAAAACTATAAAGCTTTTAAGAAAAATATAAGAATAATCTTTGTGATCTTGATTAAGATAAATAGTCTTTAGGAAGGTTATAAAAAGTAAGAAAAAAAGAAAAAAAACTTTAAAAATGATATATTGGGCTTCATCCGAATTAAAAAACTTTTTATTCAAAAGAAACTGGTAAAAAACTAACAGGCAAACCACAGGCTAGAAACAAGCCAAATGTTTACCACTTAGTGAATACATAAACCAGTTTTGTATTCTATACCATGTAGTAGAATTCAGAAATGAGAAAAAAAAGAATTACTAATATATGCAGCCATATGAACGCATCTTGAAAACAATATAATAAATGAAAGAAGCCAGACACAAAACTCTACCCGCTGTACAACTTAATTTATGTAAAATTGTAGAAAAAAACAAACCTGTAGTTAGAGAAGGCAGATCAATGGTTATCAGGGCAAAAAAAAAATAAAAATAGGAGAAGAATACTACAAAAAGTCAGAAAGAATCTTTGGAGAAAAATGGAAATATAATATATATCTTTATTTTGATGGTAGTCACATGACTGTATACATTTGTCAAGACTCAGAATTGTACACATGAATTTGGCAGATCCATTTTATGAAAATTATATCTCAATAAAATTGATTAAAATATAATTGATAAAAAGATATATGTATATATATACTTGATATGTATATGTATTTACGTGTGTCTATATATTTGATTTTCAATATTACGTGTGTCTATATATTTGATTTTCAATAAAGATAAAATTAGCTCTGTAGCCTGTTTCGTGTGTACCAGTGGGCATACTAACTGCTAATAATTAAGCTACACAATAAATATGAGTGGAATTAATAAAGGAAAATGCCATAAATTATAATTAAAAACCAATATAAATAAAATATAACAAAATTTTCAATTAGAAGTACATATGTATGGAAGAACATGGAAGCTTGTATGAGTGTATTTGTTAATTGATTGATTTTTCAGTATACCTGAGCCAACTACTTTGAGAATTGTTGTTGATGCCTTAAGGCCATGCTATGTACTGGAAGCTCATGTTTGCGAAATGTGTGATTAAAAAATCAGTTAATTCAAATTTCTATTTTACATGAAATTGACTAGGGATAAGCAACAGCAAGAGAGGGTCAATCAACAGTGGTCAGAGATTGGGATACAGAGAAAAATTCAAAACCATAGAAGACTCTTGCAATAAATATGTTTAAATATCAGGGATAAATACAGAGGAACTAGGGATAAAGTTTTAAAAACCTTTAAAGAAGCACCTACACATGTGTAGAGCGTTATTTTACTTCACTTCAGCAACCTCTAACTAACCAATTATATTAATGATAATCATGAATCAAGGATCTCAGCAGTGCTTACCTGTCTCATAATGAAGGATGTCTGCTTATTCTTCATCCCCAAAGAGGTCTGCAGCTCAGAAGGGCTGAGGCATATAGAAAACTGAAGCCAGCTTGCCTTGATGACTCTGAGGAATATGCCAGGCTAAGAGATAAAAATGATCAAAGAAATACATGATTATTCTAATTCACATTAGCATGAGAAAGAAAGTAAATTAATTCATATATTGTGAATGAAAGAATGTTATTGACCATGATTAGTCTGCAAACAGTATCTCATGCTGTTTATTCATTAATGGCTCTTTTTAGCACTTTTTTCTGCCACATTTAGTAAGCACTTCATGTAAAAGAGTGTGCCTCTGAGTATTCATAACACACATTCGTGAACCATCTAGCCAGATTCACGTTGTACACTTTTCCAAGTTGAAGTCTCCAGCAGCCAATTTCACAATTCTTTGTCCTATAAAATTCTTACTTTATCCCTACACTGTGGTATGAAGTATCATTTCCTTAATCTTGATTTTGGCTTATCTCTCATATGCTCTATACTGGCACCTCAGTGCTGCAACCTTGGGGAAACCGTGGGCTTGGTTATATGCAAACTATTTCTGGCCTAGGAATAGAATTAGGACAACTATCATCAGGTCTTTGTGGCTCAATCTAGCTCCAACAATGGAAATGAATTATCATGGTAAGGAAACCTTGTTTTTGTTGCTTAAAATGTATTAGACCAGTCTAAGAAATAATAACTGCTTGGCAATCTGAAAAGTGTTTTCATCTAGTAAGCAGCAGAGGGGTTTAGTATTGTTAACACTTTGTTAAAAGAAAAAAAAAAAGCATGGTATTACAGCCAAAAGAGGATTTGAACCTTTTATCTCATTTGAGAAGTAAGTAAAGCTTTATGGAACTATCACCTTGAATAAGCCCACCATAATCATAAAGCACATTTACTTATTTAATTGTATTTTTGTTTTCATCTAACCCTTATAACTATCATAATTAGTATATTTAGCTAGTTCTTCTCCTCCCTCTGGGAAAGAAGTTGCGTAAGCCTCATGGCTTTTCTGATAATTCTTACATAATAAAAGGTTATAAGGTCCTCTGGGAACACTTTAAAATATCCAGTCCCATGAAATAAATAAAACTCCAAATTTAATATAAACTTAAAGCTCCATCTCTTTCCTGAAGTCATTGAAAGGGGTATACTATGGTTTGAATATGTTCCCCAAAAACACATGTTGAAAACTTAATCCTCAATGCAATCGTGTTGGAAGGTGGAGCCTAATGGAAGATGTTTAGGTCATGAGGGTGGAACCTCCATGAATAGATTAATGCAGATTCTAAGAGGGCTTGAGACTGTGAGCTAGATCTTTTGCTCTCTCACACACATCCTCTTGCCACGTGATGCCTATCACCATGTTACGGTGCATCAAGAAGGACCTTACCAGATATGGTCCTGTGACCTTGGGCTTTCCAGCCTCCAGAACCATGAGCCAAATAAGCTTCTTTTGTTTTTAAAGTATCCAGTGTGTGGTATTCTGTTATTGCAACACAAAACAAATTAAGACAGGGTGTGTTCCTTTCCTACTTTGTGTTTCTATTCCTCTTCTCCTAATTTTTAAACTAAGGTTTATATCCTCAGAATTGGAGCAAGGAGAGGAAGGGGAAATAATGGAGTAGGGATGTGTCTGCATGACTAATACTATCCTGGTTATCTAATTCTACCATTCTCTGAGTGTGAGGCTGCCTTTCTGGCAGTGTGATTCCAGGGGTTCTTCCGGCATCTCGCATTACTGTAGATACTCATCTGAAGTTTCCTTGATGAGAGCTGTACCCATCAGGGTCCCATCAGTTTACAGGTGGTACATTCAAATCTAGATAATTTGAATAAGGTTTACTTTAAAATGGATTATTTACAAAATTGTGAATGGAGAATAGGCAAATGGTAAAGAAGAGTAAGGTGACCTCGGGATAGTGACAGTGAGTGTTGCTACCTCTACGCCTAAAAAGATGAGAAAAGGGAGTGATCACCAGTAACCAGAAGGAAACTGTCATGAAGAGAAGGAAAAAATGAGGGAAAAAAAAGAAATTGATCAAAGGTGATAATAAGATGAGGTGCCTCAGATAAAAATAAGCAAGAAACCAACATTCTAATATAATTTTCTACTTTCTTTATATCTTCTGCTGTGGATTCCCTTTGTAAAACTCAACTGGAAGCCAGAGAGCAAGGTAGCCCTATTATGTAGTGCATCAAGGTCAGCCTTCTAGGGCAAGGAATAGATGTAGATAAGTGGAGAGAGGAGGTCTTAGAGTGGGGCAAGATGGCAAAACAGAAGGCTCAACCATCACCCCTGTAAGGACACCAATGTAACAAATATCTACATAAAAAAGGACCTTTATAAGAACCCCAAATCAAGGGAACACTCACAGTACCTGGTTTTAACTTCATATCACTGAAAAAGGCATTGAAGAGATAGGAAAAAAATAGCTTTGACTTACAAATGCCACCAACTCCCAATGCCCCGGCAGGGTCAGCGTGGTGCATAGAGCATTTCTGTGCAATGGGGAGAGAGAGCACAGCAACTGTGAGGCACTGAACTCACTACTGCCCTATTGTAGCAGAACAAAATCCAGACCAAACTCAGGTAACACCCAACCACGGAGGGAAAAATTAAATCAGCCTTAGCCAGAGAAGAATTGCTGATCCCAGCAGTTGAAAATTGAGCTCCTGTAAGCCCTGCAACCATGGGCTAAAGGGCTCTGTGTCTCTAAGTAAACATTAAAGGCAGTCTAGGCCATAACAACTACAAATCTTAGTCGAGTCCTAGTGCTGAAATAGGCTCAGAGACAGTGGACTGTGTGGGGCACCTGACCTACTGAGACACTAGCTGGAGTAGCCAAGGGAGTGCTGGGATCTCCTCCTACCTAATACCAGGCTTCACGCCTCATAGCTCCAAAATATATTCCTTCCTTCTGCATAAAGGGAGGAGAAAAAAGAGTGGGGAGAACTTTGTCTTGCATTTTGGATACCAGTTCAGTCACAGCTGAATGGGGCAACAGAGTCATGAGGCCTTCTATCCAGGACTTAGCTCCCAGATGACATTTCTGGACACACTCTGGGCCAGAGAGGAACCCACTATCATGAAGGGAAGGACCCAGTCCTGGCAGGATTCATCACCTGCTAACTGAATAGCCCTTGGGCCTTGAATAACCAGCAGTGATACCCATGTAATACCCAGGTACTACATAGAGGGATTTGGGTAAGACTCTGAGACTTGCTGGATTTAGGTAAGATTCAGCACATTTCCAGCGGTGGTGACTATGGGGTAAAAATCCTTCTGCGTGAGAAAAGCAGAAGGAAAAGTAAAGGGTACGTTTCTTGCACTTTGGGTACCAGCATGGCCACAGGCAGGTAGAGCATCAAGGAGGCTCTTAGGATCACTGATTTCAGGACTTGGCTCTTGGATGGCATTTCTAGACCTGCCCTGCAACTGAGAGGAGCCCAGTGCTCTGAAGAATGAGTCCCAGCCTAGGCTACATTCACCCCAAGCTGACTTAAAAACTCAGGCCTTCAGGGAATAGTGGTGATAGTCTGACTGGAATCCCCATGGGCCTGTGGTCGTGGTGGCCATGGGATGAGTCTCCTCTGTCTCTGGAAAGGAGAAAGAAGAGTGTGAAGGAGTGAATCTTGTGGGTTAGGTGCCAGCTCAGCTGTAGTACAATAGAGCACCAGGTAGGCTTCTAAGGTTTTTTGTCTCTAGTTTCTGACTCCCAGGTGACAGCTCTGGACCTGCTTGAGACCTGGGGGAACTTGATGGTCTGAAGCAAAGGACACCTTTGCCACCTCCTGATTGTAAAGCCACAGAGCCTTGAGCAAACAAAGGCAGTAACCAAGGAGTGGTTACAGCAGAAGGGCCTGTGTGAGACCAAGTGCTGTGCTGGTTTTAGGTCTGACCAAGCATAGTCCTAGTGAAGGTGGCCATAGGGGTGCTGTGTCACTTCACCACCAGCTCCATGTGGCTCAAAATCAAGAGAGAGACTCCATTTGTTTGGGAGAAGGTAAGGGAAGAGAACAACAGTTTCTGCCTGGTAATCTAGAGAATGTTTTCCGATCTTGCCCAAGACCATCAAGGTGGCACCTCTACCAGTCTGCAAGAACCACAGTGCTATTGGGCTTGGGGTACTCCCTGAAACAGAAATTGCTTAGATTGCAATACCTACATCCTATCTAATATCTGGAAAGCCTTCCAAAGAAGGAAGGGTACTAGCAAGCCCATATTGAAAAGTCTAAAATAAATACCTAACTCTTCAATGCCCAGATACAGAAGAACATCTAAAAGTATCAAGAAAAACATGACCTCACCAAACGAACTACATAAACCACCAGTGACCAGCCCTAGAGAAGAAGAGATATGTGAATTTTCAGACAGAGAAGTCAAAATAGCAGTTTCGAAGAAACTAAAACATATTAAAAATAACATGGAGAAGGAATTAAGTATTCTATCAGACAAATTAAACACAGAGATTAAAATCATTAAAACAAATCAAGCAGAAATTCTGGAGTTGAAAAATGCAGTTGGTATAGTATATAATGCATCAGAGTGTTTTAATAGCAGAATTGTTCAAGCAAAATAAAGAATTAGTGAGCTTGAAGAGAGGCTATTTAAAAATACACAGCCAGAAGAGAAAAAGTAAAAATAAATAAAACAATGAAGCATGCCAACAAAATCCAGAAAATAGCCTCAAAAGGGCATACCTAAGAGTAACTGGCCTTCAAGAGAAGATAAAGAGATAATGTGTAGAAATATTATTCCAGGGGGTAATATCAGAGAACTTCCCAAACCTAGAAAAATGTATCAATATTCAAGTACAAGAAGGTTATAGAACACCAAGCAGATATAACCCAAATAATAATACCTCAAGGCATTTAATAATCAAATTTCCAAAGGTCAAGAATAAAGAAAGAATCCTAAAATCAGCAAGAGAAAAGAAACAAATGGAACTTCAATATGTCTGGCAGCGGACTTTTCAGTGGAAACCTAACAGGCCAGAAAAGAGTGATGTTAAATATTTAGAGTGCTGAGGAAAAAAATGTTTTACCTTAGATTAGTATATGTGATGAAAATATTCTTCAAACAAAAGGACAAATGAAAATTTACTCAGACCAACAAAAGCTGAGAGAGTTCATCAAAATATGACCTGTCCTAAAAGAAATGCTAAAGAAGTGCTTCAATCAGAATGAAAAGAATGTTAATGAGCAAGAAGAAATCATCTGAAGGTACAAAACTCACTATTAATAGTTTGTACACAGAAAAACACAGAATATTACAACATTGTGCCATGTGTAAACTACTCTTCAGTAGAAAGACTAAACGAAGAACCAATCAAAAATAATGATTACAATTTCTCAAGACATACCCTGTACAGTAAGATATAGATAGAAACAACAAGAAGTTAAAAAGCAAGAGACAGGCCAGGCACGGAGGCTCACACCTGTAATCCCTGCACTTTGGGAGGCTGAGGCGGATGGATCACCTGAGGTCGGGAGTTCAAGACCAGCCTGACCAACATGGAGAAACTCTCTCTCTACTAAAAACACAAAATTAGCCGGGCATGATGGTGCATGCCTGTAATCCCAGCTACTCGGGAGGTTGAGGGAGGAGAGTCACTTGAACCCCGGAGGCAGAGGTTGCGGCGAGCTGAGGTTGCGCCATTGCACTCCAGCCTGGGCAATAAGAGCAAAACTCTGAAAAAAAAAAAAGAAAAAAAAAAAGCAGGGGACAAAGTTAAAGCATGATGTTTTTTATTAGTTTTCTTTTTGTTTCTTTTTTCACTTATGCAAACAGTGTAAAGTGGTTATCAGCCTAAAATAGCGGGTTATAAGATAATATTTGCCAACCTCATGGTAACTTCAAACCAAAAAACATACAACAACTTCACAAAAAAATAAATGTAAGAGATTGAATTATATCACCAGAGAAAATCTCCTTCACTAAAAGGAAGACAGGAAGAAAACAAAGAAGAGAAAGAAAACAAAGAAAAATAATAAAATGGAAGGAGTAAGTCCTTACTTACAAATAATAACATTGAATGTAAATGGACTAAACTCTCCAATCGAGAGACATGGAGTGGCTGAATAGATAGAAAAATAAAGCTCAATGATGCTTTGCCTACAAGAAACACATTTATCTTACAAGGAGACACATAGATTGAAAATAAAGAAACAGAAAAAGATGTTTCATACCAATGGAAACCAAAAAAGAGCAAAAGTAGCTATATTTATATCAGACAAAATAGATGTCAAGACAAAACCAATAAGAAAATATAACGAAGATAAAGGGGTCAATTCGACAGAAAGACATAACAGTTTTAAATAGACATAGATCCAACACTGGGACACCCAGACATATAAAGCAAATATTATTCGAGCTAAGGAGAGAGATAGGCCCCAAACCAATAATAGCTGGAGCCCATAATACTTTCAGGATTAGATAAACCTTCCAGACAAAAAATCAACAAAGAAGCATTGGACTTAGTCTGCATTAGAGACCAAATGGTTCTAATAGATATTTACAGGCCATTTCATCCAATGGCTACAGAATACACATTCTTCTCCACAGGGATAATTCTCAAGGATAGAAGATACGGTAGTGACATGGTTTGGCTTTGTGTCCCCACCCAAATCTCATTTTGAATTGCAATTCCATAATTTTCATGTGTTGTGGCTGGCACCCAGTGGGAGGTAATTGAGTCACTGGGGTGGTTTTCCCCTCTGCTGTTCTTGTGATAGTGAGTGAGTTCTCATGAAATCTGATGATTTTATAAGGGGCTTCCCCCTTTGCTCGGCACTCATTCTCTCTCCTGCCACCATGTGAAGAGGGGATTTCCAGCATGACTGTAAGTTTCCTGAAGCCTCTCCAGCCATGTGGAAATGTGAGTCAATTAAACCTCTTTCCTTTATAAATTACCCAGTCTTGGGTATGTCATTATAGCAGTGTGAGAATGAACTAATACAGATAGGTCACAAAATAAGTCTTAAAATATTAAAAAATAATAAAATAATACCAAGCATCTTCTCTGACCACAATAGAATAAAACTAGAAATCAAAAACAGAATAAGTTTTGAAAAGTATAAAAATACATAGAAATTAAGCAATATGCTACTGAGTGACCAGTGTGTCTATGAAGAAATTAAGAAGGAAGTTGAAAAATGTCTTAAAAACAAATGATAACAGAAACATAACAACACCTATGGGATACAGCAAAAGGAGTTCTCATATGGTATGGATCTGTGTCCCCACCCAAATCTCATGTTGAAATGCAATCCCCAGTGCTGGAGGTGGAGCTTGGTGAAAGGTGATTGGCTCATAGGGGTGGTTTCTAATGGCTTAGCACCATTGCCCTAGTGCTGTTCTAGTGATAGAGTTCTCACAAGATCTGGTTTTTTAAAATGTATAGCACCTTCACCATCTGTCTCTCTTTCTCCTGCTCTGGCCATGTGAGATGTCTCTATCCCCTTTTGCCTTCCACCATGATTTTAAGTTTCCTGAGGCCTCCCCAGAAGCTGAGCAAAAGCAGAAGTCATCATACTTCCTATACAGCCTGCAGAACCGTGAGTCAATTAAACCTCTTTTCTTTATGAATTACCTAGTCTCAGATATTTTGTTAGCGTTGCGTGAGAACAGACTACTACAAGTACTAAGAGGGAAGTTTATAACTATAAGTGCCTAATCAAAAAAGAAAACAAACTTCAAATAAACAACCTAATGATGCATCTTAAAGAGCTGGATAAACAAGAGTAAACTGAACCCAAAGTCAGTAGAGGAAAAGAAATAATAGATAAAGTAGAAGCAATCGAGGAGAAATAAAGGAAATTGAAAAAAGAAAACAATATAGTTGTTTCCAATGAAAAATGTAATTGGTTTTATGAAAAATTAAACAAAATTGACAAGCATTTAGCCTGCTTGACTAAGAAAAGGAGAGAAGAACCAAATAAGTAAAATCAGAGATAAAAAAGGTGACAGAACAAGTGATACCACAAAAATTCAAAAGATCATTAATGGCTAATATAAAATACTATATAGCAATAAATTGGAAAATCTACAAGAAATGGACAAATACTTAGGCAAATACAAACTGTTAGGATTAAATCATGAAGAAGCCCAAAAGCTGAACATACTAGTAATGAGTAATGAGATCAAAGCTGTAGTAAAATTCTCCCAGTACATAAAAGCCTGAGACCAGACAAGTTCACCACTGAATTCTACTAAACATTGAAAGAAGAATTAATATCAATCCTACTTGAAATTTTGTGAGTAATAAAAAGGAGGGAATACTTCCAAACTCATTCTATGAGTCCAGCATTACCCTGATACCAAAGCAGGCAAAGACGCATTAAAAAAAAAAAAACCTATAGACCAGTATCTTGAATGAATATTGATGCAAAAATTCTCAGCAATATACTAGCAAACTAAGTTCAAAAATACATTAAAATGATCGTTCATTAAGTGGGACTTATCCCTGGGACGCAAGGATGGTTCAACATATGCAAATTATGAATGTTATACATCCTATCAACAGATTGAAGACAATAACCATATGGTCATCTTAATTGATGCTGAAAATACATTTGATGAAATTTAATATCTT
The DNA here is from genome assembly GCF_000001405.40 of Homo sapiens. Classification (NCBI taxonomy): domain Eukaryota; kingdom Metazoa; phylum Chordata; class Mammalia; order Primates; family Hominidae; genus Homo; species Homo sapiens. The sequence continues at coordinate 143,019,297 of NC_000023.11, forward strand.
TCATGATAAAAATCCTGAAGAAAATATTCCTGAACAGAATAAAAGCCATATATGACAGACCCACAGATAGTATTACACTGAATGTAGAAAAACATAAAGCCTTCTTCCAAGATCTGAAAGATGACAATGACGCCCACTTTCAACACTGTTTTGTAACATAATACTGGAAGTCCAAGCAAGAGCAACCAGACAAGTGATAAAAAAAAAGAGCATCCAAATTGGAATAGAAGCATTCAAATTATCCTTGTTTGCAGATAGTATGATCTTATATTTGGAGAAACCTAAAGACTGCAAAAAAATAGAATTGATAAATAAATTATTTAAAGCTGCAGGATGCAATATTGACATAAAAATAGCATTTCTATATTCCAACAGTAACAATCTGAATAAAATATATAGTCCCATTTACAATAGCCACAAATAAAACTCAATACCCAGGAATTAATAAATGAAATGAGAGATCTCAATAATGGAAAGTATAACACACTGATGAAAGAAATTGAAGAGGACACAACAAAATGGAAAGATATTCCATGTTCCTGTATTGGAAGACACAATATTGTTATAATGTCCATATTACCCAAAGCAATATACAGATTCAATCAAATCCCTGTAAAAGTACCAATGACATTCTTCACAGAAATAGAAAAAAGAATTCTAAAACTTATATGGAACTACAAACCACCCAGAATAGCCAAAGTTATCCTAAGAAAAATGAGCAAAACTGTAGAACTTACAGTACCTGACTTCAAATTATACTAGAGTTATAGTAAGCGAAACAGCATGGTATTGGCATAAAAATAGACACATAGACCAGTGGGAAAGAACATAGAACCCAGAAACAAACCCCAAACACCATAGTGAACTCATTTTCATCAAGGGTTCCAAGAACATATACTGGGGAAAAGACAGTCCCTTCAATAAATAGTGCTGTGAAAACTTGATACCCATATGCAGAATAATGAAACTAGACTCATCTCTAGCCATATACTAAACATAAATCAAAATGGATTAAATATTTAAACGTAAGGCATCAAACTATGAAAGTACTACAAGAAATCGTTCATGAAACTCTCCAGGACCTTGTTCTGGGCAAAAATGTCTTGAGTAATACCCCATAAGCACATGAAACCAAAACAAAAGTGAACCAATAAAATCACATCAAGTTTAAAAGTTTCGGCACAGCAAATAAGACAATCAACAACGCGAAGGGACAACCCACAGAATGGGAGAAAATATTTTCTAACTACCCATCTGACAAGAGATTAATGTATAGAATATATAAGTAGCTGAAACTCTATAGGAAAAAAATCTAATAATCTTATGCAAAAATAGCCAATAGATTTGAATAAACATTTTTCAAAAGAAGACACACTAATGGCAAACAGGAATATGAAAAGGTGCTCGTCACTGATCATCAGAGAAATGCAAGTAAAAACTACAGTGAAATCTTGTTTCACTCCAGTTAAATTGGCTTATATAAAGACAGGCAATAGCAAATGCTGGCAAGGATGTGGAGATGTACACTGTTGGAAATATAAATTAATACAACCACAGCTTGAAGGTTGCTCAACAGTTTGAAGGTTCCTCAAAAACCTAAATAGAGCCACCATGTGATCCAAGACACCTACTATTGGGTATATACCCATAAGAAAAGAATGCATTATATTGAAAAGACAGCTGAACTCTCATGTTTGTTGTAGCACTGTTTATAATAGCTAAGAGCTGGAAGCAACCTAAATGTCCACCAATAGATAAGTGAAGAAAAAAATGGGGTACATATACACAATGATGTACTATTAAGCCATAAAAAAGATATAATATCATTTGAAACCACATGGATGGAACTGGAGATTATTATACTTAGTGAAACAAGCCAGGCACAGTAAGACAAGCATCCCATGTTCTCACTTATTTGGGGGATCTAAATATCAAAACAATTGAACTAATGGACACAGAGAGTAGTAGGATGCTAACCAGAGGATGGGATGTGTATTTAAGGGTTGGAAGGATGGTGGGGAAAGTTATGGGTATATAAAACAGAATGAATGAGTAAGACCTACTATTTGATAGTAAAACAGAGTGACTGCAGCCAATAATAACATAATTGTACATTTCAAAGTAACGAAAGGAATATTATTGGGTTGTTTGTAACATGAAGGATAAATGCTTGAAGGGATGAATACCCCACTCTTCATGATGTGATTATTCTATATGGCATGCCTTTATCAAAACATCTCATGTACCTCATAAATATATGCACCTACTATGTACTCATAAAAAGTAATTAAAAAATAATTTAGAAGAAAAAATTAAAATGTTGAGCAGTGTAGAAAACTTCTGACTCCTTAGAATGTTTGCTTTTAAGGTGTCAATTTTATTTTGTCAGGCTGGACATTACCTCAGGATATGTTTTCAATATGCCAGATATAGAATATACTTTTGGAATGGAATGAAGAACAATTTTCTTCAAAAGGTGCAGAACAAGGACAATGGTCTTTATATCCCTATGACTAGCCCAGTGCTTGAGACAGAATATGTGCCCACTTAAGAGTTGTTGAGAGATCTGATGGTCTTTGGTAGCTTACTTCTGTTTAAAGCATCCTATTTCTGGGCTAATCCTCCATATTAAACCAAGACCTTTGTTCTTAAGGGCTAGTATCCTCCCAGTGGTAATAGAATCAGAAAGAAAAACCAGGGTAGTTCAAGGCAGAATAGCCCCACCACACATAGTTTTACACTGTGGAGTTGTAAGTCTGGTTGGCTGGAATCATAATATTACCTAAAGTTTAAAAAAATTATAGCATCTTTAAAGGTGAGGATTACAGAATCATAGCATATTTTTTTAAATGACATTCATTGTTCCAATTTACTCATTCTACAGCTGGGGGATCTGAAGCCTACAGAAGGTATGCAGTTTACCCAGAGTACCAGAAAGAACATGAGATTTAGGGCAGGATGAACCTAGGTTTGAACACTTTTTTCACAATTATTGAGTTATTGAGCTTCTCTGGGCCTCAATTTCCTTTTCAGTAAATCAATCCCCTGTGATGATATCTACCTCCCGGGACTGCTGTGAGCATTGCATCTCTGCTGAACATCTTCCCTCTGCCTTTCCAGGTCCACTCACCACCCTACTTCACCTGTTCTGTCCGGGGAGGCTATTTAGGAAGGATTCTATTAATGGGTTCCTAGGGTCCCTGGTGTCCACTGGGTTTGGCTAATGGGGAGCCACAAGGAGAGTTGGAGGTGGAAGGGAGAAAGGAAGGAGAGTGAGGGCTGTAGACCTATTCTCCTGGCTCCCTCCCTGTGAATCACCCCGGGCTGGATGAGTCTCTTGGTAGAGGTCACTGTTCTTCTCAAAATAGTCATTTCCTCATGATTATTGATCTTTCCAGGTTCTAGTAACCACTTCCTTCCTGCTCTAATTCCTTTGGGTCTGGAGTGATGGCAGTTACTACTAGCACTATCTCTGATGGTCTCCCTGCATCTGTCTGTTTGTAAGTGATCACTTTGCAGACAAATGCTTGTCAAATTATTCCATTTTGCATGTACCATCTGTTTCCTGTTTGACCTAGATACTATACGCTTAGACCAGAGCCTAGCATATAGTAGGTTCTTGGTGTATGGAATCTATTGCTAGTAGTATTAATAGTAGCGTAGAGGTAGTAGTGGTTGCAGTAGAGGTAATAGTGCCGGTATTTTTCAAAGCCACTCATCCAGTCACATGCAAAGCCAGTAGTAGGATGTATTCCTCTCCCATCTTTTTCATTGATTGCTCTTCAACTGTCTGTGCTCCAGAGGGAAATACATGGTTGGCCTCTAACACCTTGCTGTTTGTAGCCACAGAAAGGGGCAAATCCCAAGCAGATCATATCCTATACCACATTACACTATTAAAACCTGCCTTAGACAGCTTAAAATGTGTAACAAAAATCATTAAAATGTAGTTTATGGTTATTATTAACTAACTAGTGTCAGTTTATAATATCATTTGTACAAAGGCCCCAAAACAAGAGCTGAAAAGGTTTCAAGGAATCCCTGGTTCTCATCCTGGTCCATTTTTGACTTACAGCATGACATGGGAGAGTCACTTTGAGTAGTTCCTAAACCTGATATGATAAAGAAGAATATTCTTGAAAACAAAAAACATCAGAAATAAAAAAGTTCAATGCAATGAACTCATTGTACACTGATGGCCTTTAATTTTTTATTATGCATTTTGGTGGAAAATATAACATAATTACTAAAGATTTCAATAGGAGTTATTTTATAAAGTCAGTTGTAATCTTTCAATAGAAATATGCACTGAATGTGTTCCTAACATTTTGATAAATTTTCATTGGATAGTGATATACCCATCAAAACATTTTTAGTAAACAAATTAAGAAAACAATTATAAAAAGTAATAAGGTAATTGAAAGCTGTTATTTTCAGCAATTTTAATCACTTTTTGACCTACCCTATTTTATGTGGTATGCCTTTTGGTTTTTGTTTATTTGTTTTTTTTTTATATAACATGACAAGTCAGGGTGATGTTCTCACTGTTAATTGCAGGCAAGAGTCCAAAAAAAAATTAAATCCTTAGAAGTTAGCTTGTGAGTATTTAATAAATAAAATTGTTCATCTCTAGACAACATCTGGGATTCACTAAGAAAAATGTGTACCTTAATAACAATGTTCTTCTGGTTTCTTAGATTTTAGATGGAACTCATGGGAATGCTATAAATTGGTTGTGTTTGGAGGTCAGCAGGGTACTTTGCTAGGATTTCTTGATTTTATGGGGTATGAAATAAAGATATGTGAGCTCGATGAGCACTGGAACAAAAATCTAGGGTCTACTGCTCTTTCATTTTATTTTATTTTTTCCATTATTGATTTTTGTGACTTCCTATAGAGAATTGGACAGGTGTCAACCTGGGAGAGAAATCTAGGGCCATGCCTCCTCTATCTTTGGCACTCTCTCTTCCTCTCTTTTAAAATATTTTTATTTTTCTATTTTGAAACAATTATAAGTTCACAAGAAGTTTCAAAGATATGTACATAGAGGCCTTATGTATCCTTCAACCAGCCTCTCCCAATGGTAAAATCTTCAGTACGCTACCACATTACACTATCAAAACTAGAACACTGACATTAATACAATCCAGAGCTTTTTAAGATTCAACACTTTTCTTTTGGCTGTTCTAGGCCCATTACATTTCCATATGAATATTATAATTATCCTGTCAATTTCTATTAAGAAACCTTTTTAGAATTTGTATTAGGTTTGAGTTGAATCTACAGATGAATTTGGAAATAACTGACATCTTCAATATTGAATCTTCTAACCGAAAATCAAAGTATACATCTCGATTTTTCCTTATGTTATTATCTTTGCAATTTTTTGTAGTTTTAACTGTGCAAGTCATTTACATTTTTGTTCAGATTTATCCCTAAGCCTTAATATTTTTTGAGATATTTTAAATTGCACTGTGCTTAATTTCAAATTCCGGTTGTTGAAATTAACTACCAGTCGACCCTAGGACTACCATTGGCTGAAACACTGACTGTTCTAATATATAAACTTCTAATATATAACTTCTAACATATAAACATACAATTGATTTGTGTGTTGATCTTCTATCCTGCAATCTTGCTAATCTCAATTATTGTCAAAGCCTTTTTTTTTTTTTTTTTTTAGATCGACTTTTCTACACAGGCTCTCATGTGGTCTTTGACAAAGGATACTTTTACTTCTCCCCTTCCACACTAAATGCCTTTTGTTTTTCTTTTGCACTGGACACAATCTCCATTACAAAATGTAACAATGCCCACACTGGTGTACATGTTGGTGTTAGATAGTATTCTGCATGTAAACACTCAGAACAACTTCCAGCACATGTGTACCCACTCCTCCCCCAACCCTACACACTGGTAAAAACCATGTTGTGGGAGACTACATTTGCTATGAACATACACCCCTGATTTGAAACAAGACTAGGATACCCAGTAAGGATGTTTATTCACTGAAGTTCTGGCAGACTGAAGGCCATGATTTCAGACTAGAAATAGGAAACTTAAGAGGACTACATGGACATTGGAAAAAAGAACATGGATTGAAATTTGCCTGGCAGAAACCTGAAAGTTAATGGTCTTCAAGGTGCATATGAAGGAACTGCAGGAGGGAAGCGGGATAATTCACATCTCCACCAATAATTAAATGTAGCCACACTAGCTTGGAGGGATTTGAGGTGAGACATCTAAAATACTAGGTCATGGTGAGGGTTGGAAGACAAAAGAATGAATCACTTAATAGGAATGGCTGTGGGGAAGGGCTTGAAGGAATCATCCTCTCACTTCCATGTGAACCATGAACATTAAACATGGAGAAATGAGGAGCGGAGGCAGATCAGTTTGGGATGCATCTTCAGGGGATGCTGAAACAACAACAGCATTTGGTTTCCTCTACACCCCTTTCACCCCTCCCCCACAAACCCAGGGAGTTGTCAGAGGTGGTTCTTTGTGATGCCAAAGCCACCCTAGGACTACCATTGGCTGGGACACTGCCTGTATGATCAAACAAAGCTCAAGGGTGTGGCTTCGTCTTGCTCCCAGGAGGGTATATATACAGGGTGGGCAAAAGCTCTGGGACAGCCCACTGGAAAGCTTCAATACAGCTGTGGAAATCTGCACCCTAGAAGATCCTAGTACAGAAATTCTACAACCAACCATAATCATGGAAGAGCCAACTTCCAGCACCAACGAGAATAAAATGAAGAGCCCCTGTGAATCTAACAAAAGAAAAGTTGACAAGGTCAGATTGTTAGGTTTTGAAGGGAAGGTGAGGGTGAAAGAAAGACACACAGATAGGGCGCGGGTCAAACAGCAACACGGGTATACTGCAGACACCTGCAGAAATGTGGGGCCAGCTTCATGCCAGAGCCCACCGCTACATACAGGCCAGCGTACTTATAGGTATGGGTGGGAGAGGTTTGGGCAGTATGGCTGGCTGCTCGGCGGAATATTGATAAGATGTTGTTATGATCAGGCAGTTTGGCCCTTTTTCTGGTGGGATGTCATCATGGTGTTGCTTGGACCTTTTTCCCCAACAAGATATGATAGGGATGTTTTTTTAGATGGGCCTTTATCCACCTCATGGTCAGGCAGTTAGGCGGGATTTTTCTCACGGCCAGAACTCCCGTGGAATGTTTCACTTTGACCAAGGTCTACAAAATAGAAGGGAGCTTACAAGAGAGTGCAGTTTAGACTGATATTCTTGCCTTCTACTTTATCATAAAAGGAAGAGGGACGTGGTTGATTATCTGGCTGCTTGCTGCTGAATAGGGGAGCTGTATTCAGGGTTTGGGTTTTGAAGCAGTGGGTGTTGGACTTCAGAGTTGTTTTCCTGGAGGCACTGGTACCGGACTTGGCAGCGGAGAAGGATGGTATCAATGTGTTGCTGGGTGGCTGCCTGGACAGGGGAGTTTAGCTTTAGGGAGATAAAGAGGGATATGAAGGTGAGTATACATGGGCCAATTGTAGTATTTGGAGGAGAAAGATTAGGGGACCTAAGAAAGCGGCCCCCTGCTATCCCAGTGCTGAGTGCAGCAGAGATGTTTAGTTCTGCTAACACTAGAATGAAATGTAGAGCCTGCTTAGTGTGTGTGGAGGAAGATGAGACAGAAGCTACTAAAGGAAACCGGATGGTCTGCTTGTGAGGCAAAATGTTAACGTTTAGACTGAAACACAAGGGTGCATGTTCCTGACCAATTGGCCAGTAGGCAGAGATAAGAGTTTGTGCCACAAAGGAAGAAGACACTGGGGGTGGACAGACAAAA